>NC_000004.12:18072916-18697916 GCF_000001405.40 Homo sapiens
CAAATAGTACTCCATTATGTATATGTACCACATTTTAAAAAAATCCGTTTGTTGATGTTTCCAAATTTTGGCTATTGTGAATAGTGCTGCAATAAACATGGGAGTGCAGATATCTCTTTGATATCCTAATTTCCTAGCAGTGGGATTGCTAGATCATACGGTAGCTCTATTTTTAGTTTTTTGAGGAATCTCCAAACTGATCTCCATGGTGGTTGTACTAAATTACATTCCCACAAACAGTGTATTAGGGTTTCCTTTTCTCCACATTCTCACCAGCAGTTGTTATTGCCTGTCTTTTGGATAAAAGCCATTTTAACTGTGGTGAGATTTTTAAAAATCTATTTTAATTGACAAGCAAAACCTAATTAAACTAAAGAGCTTCTGCACAGCAAAAGAAATGATCAACAGAGTAAACAGACAATCTATAGAATGAGAGAAAACATTTGCAAACTATGCATCTGACAAAGGTCTAATATCTGGAATCTATAAGGAACTTAAACAATCTCACAAGCAAAACACAAATAACCCCATTATAAGATGGGCAAAAGACATGAACAGACACTTCTCAGAAGAAGACATACAAGCAGCCAACAAACATAGGAAAAAATGCTCAACATCACTAATCACCAGAGAAACGTAAACCAAAACCACAATGAGATACCATCTCACACCTATCAGCATGCCTATTATTAAAAAGTCAAAACACAACAGATGCTAGCAAGGCTGCAGAGAAAATGCAACACTTACACACTGTCGGTGGGAATGTAAATCAGTATGGCCACTGTGGAAAGCAGTTGGGAGATTTCTCAATGCAGAGAAAACAGAACTACCATTTGATGAAGCAATCCCATTGTTGGGTGTATATCCACAAGAAAACAAATTGTTCTACCAAAAATACATGTACTCGTGTGTTCATTGCAGCACTATTCAGAATAGCAAAGACATGGAATCAACTTGGATGCCTATTGATGGTGGATGATATAGACAAAATATGGTACATCTGCACCCCAGAATACTACACAGCCACAAAGAGAACGAAATCATGTCTTTTGCAGAAACATGGTTGCAGCTGGAGGCCATTATCCTAAGTGAATTAACACAGGAATAGAAACAAAATACCACATGTTCTCACTTATAAATGGGAGCTAAACAATGGACATAAAGATGGCAACAATAGACACTGGGATATTCTAGAAGGGAAAGGTAGGGAGCAGGGCAAAGCTTAAAAAACTATTGGGTACTATGCTTAGTAACTGGGTAATAGGACCCATATCTCAAACCTCATTATCACACAATGTATACAGGTAACAAGCCTGTATCTGTATCCTCTGAATTTAAAATAAAAATTGAAACTATATAAATATAAAAGAAAAGGTGAAACTCTATACCCAATAATAACTCCCCAAGCTTCCCTTCTTTCAGCTCCTAGTAACCATCATTCTTCTATATGTTTCTGTGAATTGGACTACTCCAGTTACCTTGTGTCAGTGGAGTCACACAGTATTTGTCTTTTTTGTGGTTGGCATATTTTACTTAGCATAATGTTTGCAAAGTTCTTCTATGTTGTAACATGTATCAGAATTTTCTCTCTTTTTAAGGCTGAATAAAATTATGTTGTATATTTATAAAATTAAAAAATCTTATTTTTAAAAACTGAGAAGAAAAGAAAAAAGCATAAGAGCTTGCTATGGTTGTATAAGTGTGTAGAATTAGGTGCACACACACACACAGACACAATCAACACCTTATGACAATCTGCTAAAATGAAAGGTAAGATATTGCATGGTAATTATGAGACATCACCTGCTTCTTACCTCAGATATCTTTCTGGTAAGGCTTTGTCTACTGGAGCTTGATCACTCTTTCTCATGGCCATTATTTCTTGGAGGGAAAAGGACAGGAAGAGAGAGAGGGAGAGGAGAGGAGATGCTGGGTAGTATGTTTATGTGGAACACTTTCCAGTCTTCTTCAAATTGACTCATTGGTAAGATTGTATTTCTTATGGTTAAGATAATATAAGGTAATCGTGAGGGAAAGAGTAAACAGCTCACAGACAAAACTCTTAGGATCTCCTAACCCTCACTTTTGAAATTCACAATTGCTTTGAATGAAAAGGGAGTAGATAGTCTATTGAAGGAGAAGATTATTACAGATGAGGTTTAATATGCCCTCTTGACATATCCTATTCAGTAGAGCCCAAGAGTGATTGCAAATCCCCCAAAATGTTAAACTGAATTACTGAAAAGGATAAAAGTTTGGCAAAATGGTGAAAAAGAAAAACTGCAAGGGGTCCTCCTGGAGCCTTAGGTTTAGAGTCAGTTGTACCTGAATCAAGAGTTAAGAGGAACTGGAGTTTTTAAAGAACACACCACAAAACAAGTAAGCAGTTTATATTAACACGTATTTTCCAAACCAAAGTCAGCACACATGAACTAACAAGTATGAGGGCGTTTGGGGACAAAGGGGTAGAATACTTTTAACTGAGGCTACCTTGGGAAATCTGGGTCACAGAGACAACAGAAAGTGAAGGGGTGATAGGCTATTGATCCTGCCTGTCCTGTCTCTTGTGATTGACATGTGTTAATCACCAAACCAATATCCATACTCTCTTCTTCTTTTTTCTTGTTTTAAAATTGAACTCTTCTTTTATTGGTTGGCAATAGGACCAGCTTAAAAACAAACAAACAAACAAACAAACAAACAAAAAACCCAAAACATTTCCCAGGCTCCCTTTCAGCTTGTGCAGCCATGGGATTGAACTGCATGAGACATATTATGTGTAACATTTGGCGTGGTTATGTTCAACATTTAGCATGGTTCCTGGCACACTGTAAATAGTGGTAAATGGTGGTTATTATTGCAAATGAATTTTTAAAATTTCAAGTGTTATATAGTATAAAGGATCATTCTTCTGATTATAACTGTGCCAGTTATTAAAGTATTGTCTTTGAGCTCCAAATCCTCTTTTCTAGATTTGTCTCCGCAGTGTTGGGGCTAAGACTTTGCAAAACGTATTTCTGCTTTGTCAGCAGTTCCTCGTTGCTCTTCCATTAGGGGGCACTAGAGGGAGACTGAGCGTGGAGGAGGAAGAGGGTGAGCGCCGCTTCCTGTCTGGTTCTTGTTGGCTTCTGATCAGCTTCCTGTTCACGTGAGCTGCACTCTAGCAGTGCTTTTCCCTCCTGGCACTGGCAGTGCTTTTAAGAATTGAATCCAGTTTGCAGTTTCTCTGACACTTTCAAATATTGTGCTCCACTTCAGAGTCACTGGCACTGCCCATGCCTCATTTTTCAGAGGTCTGTGTCTCAGGCCTATGGGGCCTTTTCTCAACTCTTCTCAACAGTACCAGTTGAGCTGCACCCCCTCCTGAGAACTCTCACTTCTGCACAGGGCCACTCTTCCAAGCTCCTATGTTTTAATAATTCCAGCCTCTTCCTGTCAGCCCTAGGGGTGTCAGGTGTTGCCTGAAGAATTTTCAGGAATTTTGCAAGTAGCTAAACCATTGGCGGCAGACCCCTATTTGGAGCTCTGGCTGGTGTTCTGAGCCTGCATTGTACACTGGTTCCAATGTCCCCAGACACGACATTGTATTGGGGCCCTGAGTCTTTTTCCTCAACCATGGTGGAAGGATTTACATCATAGAATTTGGCAAATGGTACAAATAAGATTTCCTCAACTAAAGGGCAAGTTGTAATCACTTGGGAGCCTATCACTACTTTAGAGTTTATTTTTTATCCAATCAGTTACTCAGTTAACACAGTTAATTTATATTCATTTCACATAACTATTGTGGTTGTGTGTTCTGGATCGACCTTGAATGATATAAGAACCTTGTAGAGTTGTTAACCATCAACCCTGGTTGTACTCCAGGAAAACTGGTATATGTGTGTAATTTTCTTGACACATAATTTTTTTTTGAGACAGTATATCCCTTTGTCTTCCAGGCTGGAGTGCAGTGGCACGAACACAGCTCACTGTAGCCTTGATATTCCAGGCTCAAGTAATCTTCCCACCTCAGCCTCCCAGGTAGTTGGGACTACAGGTGCACACCACCATGCCCAGCTAATTTTTTTTTCATATTTTTTGTAGAGATGGGGTTTCTCCATGTTGCCCAGACTGGTCTCAAACTCCTGAGCTCAAGCAATTCACCCACCTCGGGCTCTCAAAGTGCTGGGATTACAGGCATGAGCCACCACTCTGAGCTGACAAATAACTTTTGTAAAGATTGCCTGACACCTAGAATATTAGAGACATTTGATTAATTGTGTTACTAACATTAGTTAACATCAGTAACATGAGTTGATGCTGGTTGAGTCTCCAGGAGATATATAGAAAGCAATCTTGCATGTTTTAGAATATAGTTTATAATTTTGTCTTTTGTGTAGAAGGGAATGAGATGTAGCTACTAATCACATTTTTGCTGAGCAAGGATGACACGTTTCTTGAAAAAAAATAAATCAAACATTGTTTTAAATATGTTAGGGTACTATGGGTCATAAGGTGTCCTATTATAAATCTATTGTAAAGGAAACAACCATTTCCTATTTTGGCACTGGTGTAGATTTTGTTTCACAAATCAGGTTTCTAAAAAGCAAGGTATACGTGATATCTCTTGATTCCTTAAGATATACAGTCT
This sequence comes from Homo sapiens, assembly GCF_000001405.40. Lineage (NCBI taxonomy): Eukaryota > Metazoa > Chordata > Mammalia > Primates > Hominidae > Homo > Homo sapiens. The sequence goes on from NC_000004.12 coordinate 18,077,550, forward strand.
GGATCTTTGGATAACTATATGCTTTCAGTTAAGGTTTTTGATCTCCATTTTAACTGCATAATTTTGCTTATTAGACTTGGAGAAACCTTTCGTTGGCTCTCCAAAGCTTTGATCTTGCTCAGTATGCCTATGTGAGTCTCCACAAAGTTATATTCTGAAAAGAGATGCCAACATTCTAATATAATCGTCAAAATGACTTGTAAGAAAAAGCAAACTTTTCATACAAATCCTACACTTAAAGATGCCTTCCTTCCAATAACATTCATTAAGGGACCATCTGTTTGCCTTTCATTATCATCCGGACCACTAATAAGCGAGTTTAATTTGAACAATGTTATTTGCACGCTACTTCTAAATTTAGTGCTTTTCAAAGAAGTCAGCAAGGCTGGCCTCCAGGAAATAGTGACTTTGATGTAACATCTGGTATTCAGGGAGTTTCTGTGTAGTGCCCAACTAGTGGGTGGACCAAAGGGCAAAGGGAAGTCAAGCGACTTGCCCAGAGTCATGTAATTAGTTAATGACTTAACCTGGCATATCTGCGGTTTCTATCTGTGGCTAAAAGTCCTAGCCTGTGTATTTCTATTCTGTATGTTGTATAGATAATGTGTATGCAGACATAGCACCCCCTTTCCAGCTAATATTCACAAACAGATAAACAAATGTGTATTGATCGGTAAGACTAATTATAGACTTATTTATTTGCGTCTTTCTCTATGGCGCTCCCTCCCTGTATTGTGGGAAGGAAATAAATTTCCTTGTATTAACCTTCCCTTCATTAAAAAATGGTTTGAATTAACAGGAAATTGTTATTGCCTGCAAAAACTTCTCTGTAAGTGAACTGATCTTTTTCCTTGCAAGAAAAATGGAAGGTTACACTGAACTAAGAGCCCACTTGATTTGCGGGAGACTGGAAGGCATCAACATTCAACCTTTTTTCCTTCTTAATTGTTTACCCCATTCTGCTTCCCTGGGCTGGAGATCAGAGATGTCAACACCTAAAATGTAAGATTATAAAGAAAGTTTGAGGTTATGATGCTTTTATTATAAAAAGCAATTCTTTTTTGCTACTTTACTGGGTCAATACATTTTATAATCAACGTGTCATTTTAATATCCTTGCACCAATTATAGCATAATATATTCCATCTGATTAGTACTTTTAACTTTAGCGATTTCACATCTATGATTTAATTTAATCTTCTCAGGTTTTTATTAAAAAATTATTTGCATATTATGCATATTGTATATGCTTAGAATTGTTTTTTCATTACCAAAATAACTGTTTCAAATTTTATACGGTCAAGCATATCTTAATATCTTAGAAATTAAGAAAATTAAAATTCTAATCTGAAAAATTGGAGTTTAAATCTCAGCTCTACTGGCTGTGTGACCTTGAGCAAATTATTAGATCTTTGTAACTTCAAAGTCCTCATATGTGAAATATTTCACAGCATTGAGAGAATGAAATGAAATCACATGTAAAGCTGTTAGCACAGTGTTCTGATAAACGTTAAAAGGTCGGGAAATGGTTATTAATTGTTTTTCCCATTCTTTTTCTTTTTCCCTGTAAAGTATATTAGTGTTCTGTGCTGGTTCTTGCCTGACCCTTAGAGAGTTTATGAAAATCACAGACACATCGTGGAATGAGAGGGCTCTTGAAAACCTTAGAAAGCTTAATTATAAAGTTAAACGGTGTGGTAGAGACTTGGTATTTAGCTGGACAGGATCCATTCCCTTTGCTTTGGGTGATGCCACCATGATTTACTTTAAGGTCATTCCTTTTGCTCTTTTCTGTGCAGTATTGGGACTACTGCCAGAAAGTGACATGGTCTCCCTTGGCCAAGGGCTGGGCATGAGACCCAAGCTGTTCCAATTGTGGTGCCTCTCCTGGAAATTTGAATCCTGGTGAAATAACACAAAAATTGGAAAATGATTGAAGCCAGTGGGGCCCTGAATTGATTATCCATCAGAAGAGCTATGTAGTACACTTGAGTGTCTAAGAGCAGTGACTTAGAGCCAGACAGCCTGGGTTTAACTCCTGGTTATATCACAGTTAAAGCAAGTTACTTATGGTTTAAGTGACCATAGCTAGGGCAAGTTACTTACCTTCTTTATGCCTCAGTTTTTTTTTTATCTCTAAAGTGAAATCATTAATAGTACTGAATTCGCAGGGCAGTTGTGAGTATTAAATAAGTTAATACTATTTAATAGATGTTTAGTGAATATCTAAAGGGCTTAGAAGGTACCTGGTATATATTAAGTAGAGTATGCATTATAACTGCAACTGCATATACTGGTACTATTATTACTACTCTGTTCTTGCCTCAAGATGCCCAAACCTACTCTCATTCCTGTTCTTCCCTAATTTTGGTTCTCTAGCCTTCCCTTTAATTCACTGCTTGAGGGCAGTGAACAAGAAGAGTAGTGAGGTCTGAGGGGCCATAAGCGGAAACCATGCAGGGCATGAATTAATAGTAAGGACGTTGGATTTTTTTCTAAGTGTAATGAAAGCAGTGATGTCCTGGAACTGGTTTACACCATTAATGAGACCTGATTGTTAGCTCCTCTTCCCAAGCTTGTGTCCAGTGATTTCAAGCTGGTTGTTAAATATTGACCAGCATACCAATGGATAGGAAGCTCTTGGATAAGGGAAGGAGAGTGGCACAATCTCATTTACCTTTTAGGAGGATCACCCTGGCTGCTCTGAGGAGAACAGTTTGCAGAAAGTCAAGAGTGGAAGCAGGGAGACCAGCTAGGAATCTATTGGTATAGTCCTGGGAGTGTTGATGCTGGCTCAGGGGTTGAGAGTGGTGATAGAGTATTAACAAATAGTGAAATGTAGGACACATTTTAGAGTCAGAGTGACAGTATATGCTGATGAATTAAATGAAGGATGTGCATGAAAGAAAGGAATCAAGAATGACTTTATATTTGGGTTCTGAGCAACTGGCTTAATGGAGATGCTGATTATTGAGATGGGGAAGGCAGAGAAGTAGCATATTGGTGTTGAAACTTGTAGTCAAAAATTGTAATTTGGATCTCTGTTTCCAGTGTAGAAAAACTGAGGAACAAAAAACAATAATCATTGGAAAGCGTGTTGTAGTCAGCTTGGGCTGCTCTAACAAAATGCCATAGACTATCTGGCTTAAACAACAGACATTTATTTCTCACAGTCCTGGAGGCTGGGAAGTCCAAGATCAAGGTGCTAGCAGATTCAGTGTCTGGTGAGGTCGCCCACTTCCTGGCTTGCAGACAGCTGCCTTTTCCTTGTGTCCTCACTTGACAGAGAGAGAGTTCTAGCTCTAATCTCTTCCTTTTCTTATAAGAACATTAATCCCATCATGGGCACCCGTCCTCCTGACCTCATCTAAACCTAATTACCCACCAAAGACCCCACCTCCAAATACCATCACATTGGGTATGAGAGCTTTAACATTTGAATTTGGGGGAGATACGAACATTCAGTTCATAGTAACAAGTGACTATTGTTAAAAAGCCATACAAAGAGGACGATGAAACTAGGGATTTGTCAGTTGGTAGAAGCAAAGCACTGGTGAGAAGCCAGATTATAGCTGAGAGTGAAGAATTGAAATTAAAATCCTTGAGGTCAAGTGTTAGCCTATTAGACAGAGAGCTGGCCACTTCTTAAAGTCTAAATAGGTTTCCAACTAACATTAAAAATGTACCTATTGCAGGGCGGGAGTGGTGGCTCATGCCTGTAATCCCAGCACTTTGGGAGGCTGAGGCGGGTGGATCACGAGATCAGGAGATCGAGACCATCCTGGCTAACATGAGAAAACCCTGTCTCTACTAAAAAAATACAAAAAAATTAGCTGGGTGTGGTGGCGGGTACCTGTAGTCCCAGCTACTTGGGAGGCTGAGGCAGGAGAATGGCATGAACCCGGGAGGCAGAGCTTGCAGTGAGCTGAGATTGTGCCACTCCACTCCAGCCTGGGTGACAGAGTGAGACTCTGTCTCAAAAAAAAAAAAAAAATTGTACCTATTGCATAAAGAGCTTGAACAAACATACGTACAGCGAATAAAAACATTTAATTATTGCTTTTCTAAGCTTACACTAGATTATCTCCAATGACTAAAGAAATTGCTGATTATAAGGTTTCTATTTAACAATTCATGGTGACTCTTCAGGCCACGCTATTACAGTGGTAAAAGTATAGAATAATGGCTAAGAGCACAGGTGCTGGAGCCCAGATGCCTGGGTTCAGATCCCAGCTCTGTCCATTTCTAGCTGTGTGACCTTCAGAGAATTGATGGAGCAGTTTCTTATCTGAAACTTGCAGGTCTCATGGCAGAGGGAAAATACAGTTGGCTAACAATGTGTTAATGCTTACAGTTTCTTCTCAAAAGTGACAAATATGACTTTTGCTCATATTTCATTGGCCAAAGACAGTTAAATGGTCAAACCTGATGTCAACAGCATAGGGATATTTGATCACCTCGCAGAGAGGCAGTACAAGTCACAACGCCATGCCTGACTTCGATCTCCTTCAGGCAGTGACAACCAATATTTTGAACAATAGCACAGGCTACCTATATATACATATACATGTGGACCTCATTGTTAGTATTTAACGACATATGATCTTAAAGCTTTGGCTCCATGTTTATTACTGACAGCATCAAGATTCTCTAAAAAAAATTAAAAATTCTCATTAACACCTAGAAGGAACAGACCAGAGAATTATACTCCTGGCAGCTCATTAGAAGAGAATGGCTGGCTTTCTTATCTATCTTGGAATTTTAGAATGTGTTATAATAGCAAATTTCTTTTGGGGACTTGAGTTTCTGTGGATTTCATGTCTAGGTTTTTGCTAGCAAGTGCTTGGATTTCTTCCCTGGCTGCCCTACAGGCATGGTGCTGCAACTCTGCCACTCATCACACTCCCTGGGTCTCATCATTTTTCTGCAAAACAGGGTAGACCAGTTGTCATCCACTTGACTCACAGTCATGTTGTGAGGATTAATGAGTTAAAGTTTGTAAAATGTCTCCAGCTCCTGAAAGGTGATAAGTAGAAGGCATAATTATTGGTATTTTCCCATCTTTATTTAGACTTGAAAGGCCTTTCTGGTCACCTTTGAGATTTTGACATAAGCAGGCTACAGTGGTGAATTATTTGTTTTACAGCCTTTCTGTTTGACATTTCTCTACCCTCACCCCATCACAGTGACTTTAAAGAAGGAATAGTCAACGTTAACCTTTCCTGTCTCCATCTGTTGAGATTTTTGGCTTGTCTTATTGTTATTTTGTATATTTTATTCTACCATTTATAAGAACATGCGCTCAGACCTATGCTATTAGCTAACTAACATGGAGACATAAAGGGCAAACTATAGTCACATGTTTTATTCTATATAGTACCTGGTAAGTTCATAGGGTGGTTCAATGATTAACTAATATTATTCACAAACACAGGCTTCCAGTGAGCTCTCAATATAAACACCTCGTTACTAATTTAAAATGGAGTTCAAAACAAATGTTTATTATTAATATATTCAGTACATTAACATATAGGCACTTTCCATCCCTGGCTTTGACCAGATAGCATATAGAGAAAGGAGAGAGAGAGGAATATTCTATCTAGAAGTCATTTCAGGGATGTCATTTAAGTTAGCATTATTGTATCCATTGTGATTTTGCCTTTGGGGTACAAAAATAAGCTGCAATACTTTTCCAGCCAGGCAAATTTGGTTTCTTTTAAGAACATACAAATAGATAGATTCCATGTTCCTATCTAAAGTCAGTACCACTTCAGAGTCACCTTTCTCCTTTAATTCTTGCTTCTGCAAAGCTGAATTTGGCTTTCCTTTAGTTCTAATGGAGGCAAGTTGGTAAATCCCTATCTACAATGAGGCTCAAGAAGTTACATGTAAAATTTGAATCAGGAAGTTGAGGATTCGAGTTTTGGCTCATTTCTCTATTCAGTCAACAAACATTTCTAATGTGTTTGTTAGATATGGTACTATCTACCACACCACCCAGTACTACCTATCTAGCCTCCAGTGAGTTCTTGATTCACGGCAGTTTATTCAGTATGTAGCGATTGAGTGCAGGTGTAGGAGAAGCTATGGATTCTTTTTATCAGTCATCTTTCTATGCTGTGTACAAATAATAGATAGACTGGTTATGGGTTAGGCTTTCCTGGGATCGAGTGATTTAATGTATGTTAATTTCTACCTCCTAAGCAGTTTTTGAGAGTTAGAATTTAGATGCACAGTTGTCACTGTTTTCTTAGGCAGACTTCTTATGTTCCTTGGCTGTTTAAAAGCTAAAGAATATTAATGACAATGAACAACATTAGTCATTACTCAGCTCTGATTAAACAGGCATTCTAAATTGCTCAATGTATTGGTCTATTGATGCTTCCAAAATCCTCTGTGACTGATCTTGGGCAAGTTATCTACCCTCTCTAAATCCTAGATTCTTTATCTATGCAGTGCAAATGATCTTGGTTACTTTCCAGGATTGCTACAAGTACTAAATGAAACCATGCAGTCTTCGGACGAGTATTTATTGAGTGCTTCTTATGTGTTAGGTGCTGAGCCAGCTCCTAAGGGTATGGCCATGAAACAAATCTGGCATTGTCCCCATTGTCATGGGGATTAAAGTCTAGGGAGGGAAATAGACATTAAATAATACAGATCATAATTACGATTGTGATCAGTGCTACAAGGTGAAAAACAGAGTAATATTGACAAAGATTCTTTGCTTGACCAAACTCCTGAGCTTTCTCCTCGGCTTCTCCTAGGGACATCCAAGTACTTCTTTGTAAAATCCAGTTTTAGCAAGAACTCTGCTAAGTCAGTTACCTCCATCCTCCATATCTGATTACCCTTGATAACTAATTGCATTTTTCATCCTCTACCATTCCCCAGGTGATGTCTGACCACACTGACCTGTCTTCAGCAAGAATCCCATTAAGTCTGTTTAGCCAGAATCCCCCTTACAGCTGATGTTGCCTGTCAGTAATTTCCTAATCACTGACCCCCACACTACTCCTTGGCTATAAATTCACACTTACCCATGCTGTATTTGGAATTGAGTCCAGTCCTATACAGAGGCCTCTTTTCTCCTATTGCAATAGTCCAGTTTTTACCACCTTAACTGTGATCTGGTTCTGTTTTCTTTTTCACTATAAGTGAGTCTTACAGAGAAACTGAACAAGAATGTGGAGGTGGGGAAGGAAGATGCCCTTGGGAAGGGGACCTATAAGCTAAGACTTGAGGATAAGTAAGAGGAAGAAAAGGGGAGAATCAGGGAGGAGCATTTAGGCAAAGGAAATAAGCTGAGATGAGATGGAGTTTGGTGCCTTAAGGCTATAGTGAGATTTCAGTGAACAAGAGTGAGAGGGATGCAGATGAGCTCGGGCGGCTGTTCAGGATTTGATCGTGCAGAGCTTTGTAGGCTGTAGAAGAACTTTCGATCTATTCTAAAGGTTATAGAAACTGCTGAAACACATTAAGTAGATTTGAATTACAGTACCTTTTCATCTGACTGATAGCAGTGTGGAGAAAAACTTAGAAGGAGGTCAGAATGGGTACAGCAAAACCAGCTAGGAGGCTGCTGTAATTGTCCAGGTAAGAAATGCTGGTGGCTTGGGGCTTGTGACGTCTTCATGGATGCAGAGAAGAGATGCATTGGATATGGTAGGCAAGGTCAGGGGTGGGGGGGCAGTTAAGAAAGCTGCCCACGTTTTCTGGGATGAGCTAACAAATGGAATATATTAGTGCTGTCTTTATTCAGAAATGGGACACTCCAGGTTAGACAGAAAATACTTTGGGGTAGACAGAGAATGCTAACTTCATCTTCAGGTATGTTTAAGTTTGGGGTGTCTGTGAAACATACAAGTGAAGACAACAAGTACACAGTGAATATATAAAGATCTAGAGCTTAGAAAATAGGCCTGGATAGAAAATAGATTTTGACATAGAAAGGATGGTTATTAACATCATAGAATGAATGAAGTGGCTTAGGGAAAGGGCACAGAGTAAGAAAAGCAGACCTAGGACCACACTTAAAGGAATATCAGTATTTAAAGGCTAACTAGAATAGTATTGGCCAAGGAGGCTAGAAAAGAATAGTAAAAAAGATAAGACAGAAATTAAGAGTGTGTAGTCACAGTACCAAACAAAGGTAGTTCTGAAGAAAATAGGCATGGATAGGCCCAAGGAATATTTTTGAAAGGATGGAAATGTTTTATTATTGACTGTGTTGATGATTAAATGGCTTTGTAAATTTTCTAAAAAGAGTTGAATTTTATACTTAAAAAGGATGAATTTTATGGCAAATAAATTATATCTCAGTACACGGTAAAGGAAAAAAAAAAGAAAAAAGGCATGGTAATCATGTGGACAGTTGAAGAAGGATTGAGACAAAGACTAAGAAGTATCTCTTCTTTTTCCATCAAAAGAAGCCTTTCACTTATCCACCACGATCAAGTCGGCTTCATCTTAAGGATGCAAGGCTGGTTCAACATATACAAATCAATAAATGAAATTTATCACATAAACAGAACTAAAGACAAAAACCACATGATTATCTCAATAGATACAGAAAAGACCTTTGATAAAATTCGACATCCCTTCATGTTAAACACTTTCAATAAACTAGATATTGAAGGAACATAGCTCAAAATAATAAAATAATAAGGACAATTTACGACAAATCCACAGCCAATATCATACTGAATGGGCAAAAGCTGGAAGCATTCCCCTTGAAAACCGGCACAAGACAAGTATGCCTTCTCTCACCACTCCTATTCAACATAGCATTGGAAGTTCTGGCCAGAGCAATTAGGCAAGAGAAAGAAGTAAAGGGTATTCAAATAGGAAGAGAAGACGTTAAATTGTCATTGTTTGCAGATGACATAATCCTGTATCTAGAAAACCCCATCGTCTCAGCCCAAAAGCTTCTTAAGCTGACAAACAACTTCAGCAAAATCTCAGGATACAAAATCAATGTGCAAAAATCACAAGCTTTCCTATACATCAACAAAAGGCAAGCCAAACCATGAATGAACTCCCATTCACAATTGCTACAAAGAGAATAAAATAACTAGGAATACAGCTAAGAAGGGAAGTGAAGGACCTCTTCAAGGAGAACTACAAACCACTGCTCAAGGAAATCAGAGGGGACACAAACAAATGGAAAGACATTCCATGCTCATGGATAGGAAGAATCAATATCATGAAAATGGCTATGCTGCTGAAAATAATTTATAGATTCAATGCTATATCCCATTAAATTACCATTTATTCTTCACAGACTTAGGAAAAAAACTATTTTAAAATTCATGTGGAACCAAAAAAGAGTCTGAATAGCCAAGACAATGCTAAGCAAAAAGAAAAAAGCTGTAGGCATCATGCTATCTGACCTCAAAGTGTACTATAAGGCTACAGTAACCAGAACCATCTGATCTTCGACAAACTTGACAAAAACAAGCAATGGAGAAAGGATTCCCTATTTAATAAATGGTGTTAGGAGAACTGGCTAGCCATATGTAGAAAACTGAAATTGGACCCCTTCCTCACACCTTATACAAAAATTAACTCAAGATGGATTAAAGACTTAAATGTAAAACCCCAAAACTATAAAAACCCTAGAAGAAAATCTAGGCAATACCATTCAGGACATAGGCACAAGCAAAGATTTCATGATGAAAATGTCAAAAGCAATTGCAACAAAAGCAAAAATGACAAATGGGATCTAATTAAGCTAAAGAGCTTCTGCACAGCAAAAGAAACTATAATCAGAGCAAACGGACAATCTACAGGATGGGAGAAAATTTTTTCAATCTATCTATATGACAAAGGTCTAATATCCAGAATTTACAAGGAACTTAAACAAGTTTACAAGAAAAAAAAACAACCCCGTTAAAAAGTGGGCAAAGGACATGAACAGACACTTCTTAAAAGAAGACATACATGCGACCAAGAAACATATGAAAAAAAGCTCAACATCACTGATCATTACAGAAATGCAAATTAAAACCACAATGAGATACCATCTCATGCCAATCAGAATGGCAATTATTAAAAGGTCAAGGAACAACAGGTGTTGGTGAGGCTGCAGAGAAAAAGGAATGCTTTTACACTGTTGGTGGGAATGTAAATTAGTGCAATCATTGTGGAAGACAGTGTGGTGATTCCTCAAAGACTTAGAACCAGAAATACCATTTGGCCCAGCAATCCCATTACTGGGTATATACCCAAAGGAATATAAATCATTCTATTATAAAGATACATGCATACATATGTTCATTGCAGCACTATTTGCAAAAGCAAAGACATGGAATCAACCCAGCTGCCCATCCATAATGGACTGGATAAAGAAAATGTGATAAATATACACCATGGAATACTATGCAGCCATAAAAAGGAATGAGATCATGTTCTTTGCAGGGACATGGATGGAGCTGGAAGCCATTATCTTCAGCAAACTAATGCAGGAACAGAAAACCAAACACCACATGTTTTCACTTACAAGTGGGAGCTGAACAATGAGAACACATAGACACAGGGAGGGAAACAACACACACTGGGGCCTGGTGGGGGCAGGGGTGAAGGAATGGAGAGCATCAGGAAAAACAGCTAATACATGCTGGGCTTAATACATAGGTAAGGGTTTGATAGGTGCAGCAAAACATGATGGCACATGTTTACCTATGTAACAAACCTGCACATCTTGCATATGTACCTAGAACTTAAAAAAAATCCTCCTGAAATTAAAAAAAGGAGGGTTTAATTAGAAAGGTAAAAGAGTGTTTGGGAGGAACTGAGAACTGAATGAATGGTGAGGAGTGAAGGTAGTGTGTGTGAACGACTGTTCTTAGATACGAAAGTGCTTTGCAAACTGTAAATCACATTGTATTGTATTGGGATTGGATTTTATTTTTAAATTTAAAAAACAGATTTATGGGGTCCAAGAGAAGTTTTGTTATGTGGGTATATCACATAGTAGTCAAGTCTGGGCTTTTAGGGTAGCCATCACTTGAATAGTGTACATTGTACCCATAAGTAATTTCATATCCCTCACCCACCTCCGACCCTCTCACCCTTCTGAATCTCCATTGTCTATTATTCCATTCTCTATGTTCATGTGTACAAATTATTTTATTATTATTATTATTTTGAGATAGAGTCTTGCTCTGTCACCCAGGCTGGAATGCAGTGGTGCAATCTTGGCTCACTGCAATCTCTGCCTACCGGGTTCAAGCGATTCTCCTGCCTCAGCCTTCTGAGTAGCTGGGACTACAGGCGTGTGCCACCATTGTCTAATTTTTTTTTTTTTTTTTGCAGTCTTAGTAGAGACGGGGTTTCACTGTGTTAGCCAGGATGGTCTTTATCCCCTTACCTCGTGATCTGCCCGCCTCAGCCTCCCAAAGTGCTGGGATTACAGGCATGAACCACGGTGCCTGGCCCCATGTATACAAATTATTTAGCTCCCACTTATGAGTGAGAACATATGGTGTTTGAGTTTCTGTTTCTGGGTTATCTGAAATTTTATTTTTTGAAGGCGTAACAGGCTTTCTCCCTAGAACAGTGATTTTCAAAGTGGAGCGCACAAGTAAATATTAGAACTTGTAGATATTAATTTAATCTAATAATAAGAAGACAGTTGGCTTTGCCAACTTTTGATATATGGATTGAGAGTGGTGCTCTCCTTTGGTCCATGAAGCTTTTTCATGAACAATGTGTATGGTGTTGGGAAAATGTAAGGGTTTTGCCAGGTAGAAGGTGGATAGTGATCCTGACCTCGAGAGCTCATTCACCTCCAGTGAAATACAGGATGTTCCAGTTTATGCCTTTGCAAGAAATTTCACAGGTTATATTACCAGGCTTTAATGAAACAAATCTTCAAAAAATGGACAAGTTTCTTAAAAATATTCCTATAAATAAACTTCATATTAAAGAGAATTTTAGTAATTTTACTACAAAGAACAAGAAAACACCTCCTCTCCTTCTAGTACAGACTCTCTGTCAGTCAGAATAATGGTTTGATCTGACCAAAAGGGGCCAAAACACCTGAAACAATTACAACAATCTGAAATATTAATCTATTGTTATTAGTAGTGCTACCACACTTTGTCCCATTTGTTTTCTATTGGGTTTACTGTGCTTTTGTGAGCTATATTTTCTAGCTGTAAACAAACAGCTATAAATCCATTAAAACCACATATTGAAATAAACTGAACTCAGTAGCAAACCTTTGAACTACTATGTCATAAATTGAGAAACCAAGGTTTTTTGAAAAACCAAGTTGTAATCAATGCATTGCTTATATCAAAATTAATATTAATTATTTAAAAGGGCAAATTCATGTAGTAAAGTCTTAAAATAAATCTATGCTACCCCTACAATACTACTATTTACTTGTTTGGTCAGTTCAGGGCAAAAACTGTGAAGGTAAGTTTTGATTTTAGTATCCCCCTCCCCACTGGCACCCAGGTTTGATGAGTGCCCTTTCCCTCCCCGCCTAACCTCCTTTACCCATGCTCCTCCCCATCCACCCCACATAAGCTGCCTCCTGATGGCAGTCCTTCTTATCCCACTGAGTGGCTGTGGATGACAACAGCAATTCTCAGTGACCTCTAAAATACGTCCTTTCCTGTCCTGCCCAGGAGAGTGGAAATTGACAGTACCTAGGGAAATCTTTAAAACTCTGCATAGGAGGCAATTCCAAGATCGCCGAACAGGAACAGCTCCAGTCTACAGCTCTCAGTGTGAGCAACGCAGAAGACGGGTGATTTCTGCATTTCCAACTGAGATACTGGGTTCATCTCACTGGGGCTTGTCAGACGGTGGGTGCAGGACAGTGGTTGCAGTGCACCAAGCATGAGCCAAAGCAGGGCGAGGCATTGCCTCACCAGGGAAGCTCAAGGGGTGAGGGAATTCCCTTTCCTAGCCAAGTGAAGCTGTGACAGACGGCACCTGGAAAATTGGGTCACTCCCACTCTAATACTGTGCTTTTCCAATGGTCTTAGCAAAGGCACACCAGGAGATGATATCCTGCGCCTGGCTCAGAGGGTTCCACGCCCATGGAGCCTCACTCATTGCTAGCACAGCAGTCTGAGTTCAAACTGCAAGGCAGCAGCGAGCCTGGAGAAGGGGCACCTGCCATTGCTGAGGCTCGGGTAGGTAAACAAAGCAGCTGGGAAGCTCGAACTGGGTGGAGCCCACTGCAGCTCAAGGATGCCTGCCTGCCTCTGTAGACTCCACCTCTGGGGGCAGGGCATAGCTGAACAAAAGGCAGCAGAAACCTCTGCAGACTTAAATGTCCCTGTCTGACAGCTTTGAAGAGAGTAGTGGTTCTCCCAGCACGGAGTTTGAGATCTGAGAACGGACAGACTGCCTCCTCAAGTGGGTCCCTGACCCCCGAGTAGCCTAACTGGGAGGCACCCCCCAGTAGGGGCAAACTGACACCTCACACGTCCAGGTACCCCTGTGAGATGAAGCTTCTAGAGGAACGATCAGGCAGGAACATTTGCTGTTCAGCAATATTCGCTGTTCTGCAGCCTCCGCTGCTGATACCCAGGCAAACAGGGTCTGGAGTGGACCTCCAGCAAACTCCAACAGACCTGCAACTAAGGGTCCTCACTGTTAGAAGAAAAACTAACAAACAGAAAGGACATCCACACCAAAACCGCATCTGTATGTCACCATCATCAAAGACCAAAGGTAGATAAAACCACAAAGATGGGGAAAAAACAGAGCAGAAAAGCTGAAAATTCTAAAAATCAGAGCGCCTCTCCCCCTCTAAAGGAACGCAGCTCCTCACCAGCAATGGAACAAAGCTGGATGGAGAATGATTTTGACGAATTGAGAGAAGAAGACTTCAGACAATCAAACTTCTCTGAGCTGAAGGACGAAGTTCGAACCCATTGCAAAGAAGCTAAAAACCTTGAAAAAAGATTAGATGAATGGCTAACTAGAATAACCAATGCAGAGAAGTCCTTAAATGACCTGATGGAGCTGAAAACCATGGCACAAGAACTATGTGATGAATGCACAACCTTCAGTAGCTGATTCAATCAACTGGAAGAAAGGGTATCAGTGATTGAAGATAAAATGAATGAAATGAAGTGAGAAGAGAAGTTTAGAGAAAAATGAGTAAAAAGAAATGAACAAAGCCTCCAAGAAATATGGGACTATGTGAAAAGACCAAATCTACGTCTGATTGGTGTACCTGAAAGTGACAGGGAGAATGGAACCAAGTTGGAAAACACTCTACAGGATATTATCCAGGAGAACTTCCCCAATCTAGCAAGGCAGGCCAACATTCAGATTCAGGAAATACAGAGAATGCCACAGAGATACTCTTCGAGAAGAGCAACTCCAAGACACATAATTTTCAGATTCACCAAAGTTGAAATGAAGGAAAAAATGTTAAGGGCAGCCAGAGAGAAAGGTCGGGTTACCCACAAAGGGAAGCCCGTCAGACTAACAGCGGATCTGTTGGCAGAAACTCTACAAGCCAGAAGAGAGTGGGGGCCAATATTCAACATTCTTAAAGAAAAGAATTTTCAACCCAGAATTTCATATCCAGCCAAACTAAGCTTCATAAGTGAAGGAGAAATAAAATACTTTACAGACAAGTAAAGGCTGAGAGATTTTGTCACCACCAGGCCTGTCCTACAAGAGCTCCTGAAGGAAGCACTAAACATGGAAAGGAACAACCAGTACCAGGCACTGCAAAACATGCCAAATTGTAAAGACCATCAAGGCTAGGAAGAAACTGCATCAACTAACGAGCAAAATAACCAGCTAACATCATAATGACATGATCGAAGTCACACATAACGATATTAACCTTAAATGTAAATGGGCTACATGCTCCAATTAAAATACACAGACTGGTGAATTGGATAAAGAGTCAAAACCCATCAGTGTGCTGTATTCAGGAGACCCATCTCACATGCTAAGACACACATAGGCTCAAAATAAAGGGACGGAGGAAGATCTACCAAGCAAATGGAAAACAAAAAAAGGCAGGGGTTGCAATCCTAGTCTCTGATAAAAACAGACTTTAAACCAGCAAAGATCAAAAGAGACAAAGAAGGCCATTACATAATGGTAAAGGGATCAATTCAACAAGAAGAGCTAACTATCCTAAATATATATGCACCCAATACAGGAGCACCCAGATTCATAAAGCAAGTCCTTAGAGACATACAAAGAGACTTAGACTCCCACACAATAATAATGGGAGACTTTAACACCCCACTGTCAACATTAGACAGATCAATGAGACAGAAAGTTAAAAAGGATGTCCAGGAATTGAACTCAGCTCTGCACCAAGCAGACCTCATAGACATCTACAGAACTCACCACCCCAAATCAACAGAATATACATTCTTCTCAGCACTGCATCACACTTATTCCAAAACTGACCACATAGTTGGAAGTAAAGCACTCCTCAGCAAATGTAAAATAACAGAAAATTTTTTATTAGCTGTTAAAAACTTTACTGAATCATTGATTTCAAGAGTGATTTATAATCTTTGTTTAATAATAGAAGTTATACATCTTATTTTTAAGTTTG
This sequence comes from Homo sapiens, assembly GCF_000001405.40. Lineage (NCBI taxonomy): Eukaryota > Metazoa > Chordata > Mammalia > Primates > Hominidae > Homo > Homo sapiens. The sequence continues at coordinate 18,093,108 of NC_000004.12, forward strand.
TCTGCTTCTGTATGTCTGTTTTCTTTATTCCCTATTTGCCTATCAGTATTCCAGAAAATACCACAAAAAATTAAGTCAAACCTGAATCGCTTAACAAGCATTTAAATAAAGAAATAAAGATGCCCTCAACAGAAAACAACAAAACACAAAAGGAAATCAAACCACAGTATTCTATATAAAACATCACAAATGTTCAAGTATAGAAGAGTGTTGTTTAGCTTATTAATTTCGAGATGGTTAAAAAAATCAATATCTTAAAAATGTGTATACATTAAAAATTCATAAATATGTTTTTACTATTTTGATTTTCAACGCTTAACAAACTGTCTCTCAGACCACAGTGCAATCAAACTAGAACTCAGGATTAAGAAACTCACTCAAAACTGCTCAGCTACATGGAAACTGAACAACCTGCTCTGGGATGACTACTGGGTACATAACGAAATGAAGGCAGAAATAAAGATGTTCTTTGAAACCAATGAGAACAAAGACACAACATACCAGAATCTCTGGGACACAGTTAAAGCAGTGTGTAGAGGGAAATTTATAGCACTAAATGCCCACAAGAGAAAGCAGGAAAGATCCAAAATTGACACCCTAACATCACAATTAAAAGAACTAGAGAAGCAAGAGCAAACACATTCAAAAGCTAGCAGAAGGCAAGAAATAACTAAGATCAGAGCAGAACTGAAGGAAATAGAGACACAAAAAACCCTTCAAAAACATCAATGAATCCAGGAGCTGGTTCTTTGAAAAGATCAACAAAATTGATTGACCACTAGCAAGACTAATGAAGAAGAAAAGAGAGAAGAATCAAATGGACACAATAAAAAATGATAAAGGGGATATCACCACCCATCCCACAGAATTACGAACTACATCAGAGAATACTATAAACACCTCTATGCAAATAAACTAGAAAATCTAGAAGAAATGGATAAATTCCTGGACACATACACCCTCCCAAGACTAAACCAGGAAGAAGTTGAATCTCTGAATAGACCAATAACAGGCTCTAAAATTGAGGCAATAATTAATAGCTTACCAACCAAAAAAAGTCCAGGACCAGATGGATTCACAGCTGAATTCTACCAGAGGTACAAGGAGGAGATGGTACCATTCCTTCTGAAACTATTCCAATCAACAGAAAAAGAGGGAATCCTCCCTAACTCATTTTATGAGGACAGCATCATCCTGATACCAAAGCCTGGCAGAAACACAACAAAAAAAGAGAATTTTAGACCAATATCCCTGATGAATATTGATGCAAAAATCCTCAATAAAATACTGGCAAACTGAATCCAGCAGCACATCAAAAAGCTTATCCACCATGATCAAGTGGGCTTCATCCCGGGGATGCAAGGCTGGTTCAACATACGCAAATCAATAAACGTAATCCAGCATATAAAGAGAATCAAAGACAAAAACCACATGATTATCTCAATAGATGCAGAAAAGGCCTTTGACAAAATTCTACAACCCTTCATGCTAAAAACTCTCAATAAATTAGGTATTGATGGGAAATATCTCAAAATAGTAAGAGCTATTTATGACAAACCCACAGCCAATATCATACTGAATGGGTAAAAACTGGAAGCATTCCCTTTGAAAACTGGCACAAGACAGGGATGTCCTCTCTCACCACTCCTATTCAACATAGTGTTGGAAGTTATTGCCAGGGCAATGAGGCAGGAGAAAGAAATAAAGGGTATTCAATTAGGAAAAGAGGAAGTCAAATTGTCCCTGTTGGCGGATGACATGATTGTATATCTAGAAAACCCCATCGTCTCAGCCCAAAGTCTCCTTAAGCTGATAAGTAACTTCAGCAAAGTCTCAGGATACAAAATCAATATGCAAAAATCACAAGCATTCTTGTACACCAATAACAGACAAACAGAGAGCCAAATCATGAGTGAACTCCCATTCACAATTGCTTCAAAGAGAATAAAATACCTAGGAATCCAACTTACAAGGGACGTGAAGGACCTCTTCAAGGAGAACTGCAAACCACTGCTCAATGAAATAAAAGAGGACATAAACAAATGGAAGAACATTCCATGCTCATGGGTAGGAAGAATCAATATTGTGAAAATGGCTATACTCCCCAAGGTAATTTATAGATTCAATGCCATCCCCATCAAGCTACCAATGACTTTCTTCACAAAATTGGAAAAAACTACTTTAAAGTTCATATGGAACCAAAAAAGAGCCCGCATTACCAAGTCAATCCTAGGCCAAAAGAACAAAGCTGGAGGCATCATGCTACCTGACTTCAAACTATACTACAAGGCTATAGTAACCAAAACAGCATGGTACTGGTACCAAAACAGAGATATAGACAAATGGAACAGAACAGAGCTCTCAGAAATAATACCACACATCTACAACCATCTGATCTTTGACAAACCTGACAAAAACAAGAAATGGGGAAACAATTCCCTATTTAATAAATGGTGCTGGGAAAACTGGCTAGCCACATGTAGAAAGCTGAAATTGGATCCCTTCCTTACACCTTATACAAAAATTAATTCAAGATGGATGAAAGACTTACATGTTAGACCTAAAACCATAAAAACCCTAGAAGAAAACCTAGGCAATACCATTCAGGACATAGGCATGGGCAAGGACTTCATGTCTAAAACACCAAAAGCAATGGCAACAAAAGCCAAAATTGACAAATGGGATCTAATTAAACTAAAGAGCTTCTGCACAGCAAAAGAAACTACCATCAGAGTGAACAGGCAACCTACAGAATGGGAGAAAGTTTTTGCAATCTACTCATCTGACAAAGGGCTATTATCCAGAATCTACAAAGAACTCAAACAAATTTACAAGAAAAAAACAAACAACCCCATCAAAAAGTGGGCAAAGGATATGAACAGGTACTTCTTAAAAGAAGACATTTATGCAGCCAAAAGCACATGAAAAAATGTTCATCATCACTGGCCATCAGAGGAATGCAAATCAAAACCACAATGAGATACCATCTCACACCAGTTAGAATGGCGATCATTAAAAAGTCAGGAAACAACAGGTGCTGGAGAGGATGTGGAGGAACAGGAACACTTTTACACTGTTAGTGGGAAGGCAAACTAGTTCAACCATTGTGGAAGACAGTGTGGCGATTCCTCAAGGATCTAGAACTAGAAATACCATTTGACCCAGCCATCCCATTACTGGGTATATACCCAAAGGATTCTAAATCATGCTGCTGTAAAGACACATGCACACGTATGTTCATTGCGGCACTATTCACAATAGCAAAGACTTGGAACCAACCCAAATTTCCATCAATGATAGACTGGATTAAGAAAATGTGGTCCATATACACCATGGAATACTATGCAGCCATAAAAAAGATGAGTTCATGTCCTTTGTAGGGACATGGATGAAGCTGGAAACCATCATTCTCAGCAAACTATTGCGAGGACAAAAAACCAAACACCGCATGTTCTCACTCATAGGTGGGAATTGAACAATGAGAACACTTAGACACGAAAGGGGAACATCACACACCGGGGCCTGTTGTGGGGTCGGGGGGCGGGGGAGGGATAGCATTAGGAGATATACCTAATGTAAATGACGAGTTAATGGGTGCAGCACACCAACATGGCACATGTATACATATGTAACAATCCTGCAAGGTGTGCACATGTACCCTAGAACTTAAAGTATAAAAAAAAAAAGAATCCAAAGAGAAAAAATGAAATAAAATAAAACTGCGTAGCCACTGACTCCCGAATCCCACGTTTAGGAATTGATCATAAGGAAATTCTTATAGTAGGCTAGAAGTTTTAACTTCAAGGGTATCACCTAATACAGAAAAATTAGAAACTACTTAAATATATATGTATATAACAATATACAGGCTTAAATTTTGGTACTTCTATCTAATGGGTATTACCCAGCCATGGGAATCATTCCATAGAAGAACATTTAGTGGTGAAGCTATTTGTGATATACAGCATTTAGGGTAGAAAGCAAGATATAAAAATATTTACCTTATTCAATTATTAGAATGAATATGAATGAGATAATGGCTGGAAAGTTATGCATGAGAACACTAAGGATCATGACCCTTTGCTTAGAGTATAATTGACGATTTTTAATTTCATATTTGTTCTTATCTTGATTCCTTACATTTTCTAGAAGAAATGTAACATATTGCTTTTGTAATTAGGAAAAATAAGTTTTTGAAAAAAATGGCCTCATTCCCTGTTCTCTGTCCTCCTTCAAAGATAGAGAAGTTGAGCTGATTAGGAAAATCAGAGCTTCCGGTGAGGTCATTATTGACTGCAAATGGTCAGGATCCCTGATATTCAGGCCCCTTCACATGTAAGCTAGAACCTTTTATCACAGCAGAGGGAAGGGCAGTGAGCACCGACCCTCCAGCAATAGTTACTGTCAGGGCCAAGCATCCATCCAAGCTCTTGGGACACAGCAGTGACCAATTTGATGTTTCTGGCCTCAGGAATTTTTACATTCTAGTGAGCAAAGACAGTTATAAATAAACAAATAAATATATAATGTGTAAGGTGAAGTAGCATCGATGGAAAAAAACATAGCAGGTTAAGAAGGCAGAATAATTGGTCGTGTGATGTGCATGCATTTGTGGGCCACATTAGACAGGGAGACGACAGAGAAGTGAACTCTGGTAAGCTTGCATTTGAGCAGACACCTGTAAGAAATGAGGGATGGACCCATGCGGTTTTCTGGCCATCCAGGTTGAGGAAATGGTCAGTCCTGAGGCAGAAGAGAGCATGTGAGGTTTGAGGAACAGGTGGGAGGTCTGCAGTACTGGAGAGGGAGCAAGAATTGAGAGTGTCAGAAGGCTCCATCAGGCAGGCATGCAGGGGTGAGATCACAAAGAGTCTTGGGGGTCATGGGAAGGGCTTTGGATTTTATTCTGTCGTCAGACACTCCTGGAGGGCTTAGAGCAGGAACATGACATGATATGATTTAAGTTCTAAAATAATTGCCCTGACGGCTGTGGGAATAATGGACTGTGGATTTGCAGGGGTGAAACAAGAAGCCCAGTTATAGTAATAGTGTCATTGTTCAATCAAAACATGACAGTGAATTATCACAGGATCCATCAATTCTACTTCTAGGTATTATATACCCGAAAGAATTGAAAGTAGGGACTCAGTTCCTTTATACTTGTACAACAGTGGTCATAGCAGCATTATTCACAATAGCCAAAAGGTGGAAACAACCCAGGCATCTGCCAACAGATGAATGGATAAAGAAAATGTGGTATAGGCTTATAGTAGAATATTCTTGAGCCTTAAAATGGAAGGAAATTCTGGCACATGCTACAACATGGATGGACCTTTAAAACATTATTCTAAGTGAAATAAGCTGATCACAAACAGACAAAATATTGTATGATTCAACTGATATGAGGCACCTAGAATAGTCAGATTCATAAAGAGAAAGTAGAGTAGAGGTTACCAGAAGTTGGAGGGTTGGGCTGTGGGAAGGGGTCAGGGATGGGGAGTTACTTTAAATGGGTACAGAGTTTTTGTTTAGGATGATGTATTAGTCCGTTCTCATGCTGCTAATAAAGACCTACCCAAGACTGGGTAATTTATAAAGGAAAGAGGTTTAATTGACTCACAGTTCAGCATGACTGGGGAGGCCTCAGGAAACTTACAATCATGGCGGAAGGGGAAGCAAACACATTCCTCTTTACATGGTGCCAGCAAGGAGAAGTGCCAAGCAAAAGGGGGAAAAGCTCCTTATAAAACCATCAGATCTCATGAGAACTCACTCACTGTCATGAGAACAGCAGCATGGGAGTTACTGCCCCCATGATTCAATTACCTCCCACCAGATCTCTCAAATGACATGGGGGGATTATGGGAACTACAGTTCAAGATGAGATTTGGGTGGCGACACAGCCAAACCATATCAGATAATGAAAAAGTTCTGGAAATTGATAGTGGTGATGGTTGTAGCACTCTGTGAATGTACTTAATTATACACTTAAGAATGGTTAAGATGGTAAAATTTATGTATATTTTGACACAATTAATGGTTAATTCACTGGTAAAAAATATAGCAGTGGCTTGAACTAAGAGGCAGAGGAGGAGGTGGTAGGAAGTGTTGAATTTTGGATATGTTTTGAAGGTTGAGCCAACGGGATTTTCTGATGGTTTAGATTTTTATGTGGGAGAACAAGAAAGGAATCAGTGATAATACCAGGTTGGTGAGCTTGAGCAACTAGAGGCATGGAGTTGCTGTTTCCTGAGATGGAGGAGACTTTGGGAGCAGACGGTAAGGGAAGCAAGGAGGTTTAGTTTCAGACTTACTAAATTTGAGATGCTTATAAGACATCCAGATGAAGATGGTGAGTTATCCATATACTAATCACTGGTCCATCCAGCCAGGCCTTTCCTTGGTGAATTCATCTGGATCTTGCCACAAGAAGTCACATTACAGGGTTTGTTATTTAAAATACATCAATTATCTAAATTATATCAGATTTTATTTGAGCATATCATATGAAACACAAAAACAATCAGATACATAAATAAATAAGTAAATAAAATAGAGCAAGTCAGCTTTCCAGGATAATCAAGAAGGAGCTATGGTGTTTTGGTGATTATTCCTAACATAGAATTTGTGGCTGTGTAATCTGGGGCAAATTGTACTTTTGAAATAAGTACATTTCGTTCATTATCTTTTATCATGAGGTGACCCTAATTCACTTGGTGCTTCAGATAATATTTAATCAAGAATCTCAGAGTCACCCTGATCTCTCTTACCTGACAAATTATGGTAATATAGAACTCAAATCTAACCCAAGCTCAAAGTTGTTAAATACTTTTAATTTTCATCTGTGTTTTGTGTTGGAAAATAATTTTAATATTAAAGGACAGCTGTAGACTGCTAATGACTTGAATACAGTTTGACTGTTTTCATAAAGTGCTCTGTGGGATGTCAGAATATTTAATTCAGGATGTTAAAAACATCCCAAAATGTCACAATAATTATATCACAGCAGGCAATTAAAACACTGGAAAATGCCAACTGACTAAGAGTGTTCCTTGTTATTTAGGAAACGATTAAGAACCTGACATATAAAGTAAAAAACACTGGTTATAACTTTCTCTTTCAATAGACAATTTCTTCATCTTCTATGAAATTGACACTTGATACAGTCAGGGTCATGCTAAAAATGCAGCTTAAGGAGGCACCACGGATGAGGTTTCCATGTGATCTTTAACTTTATAATATCTATATTCACACATTGTAAAAAACATTGTTTGGTTTTACATATCATACCATATGTGCTGCAATACCCTCCACACAATGGCTGTGTTAATTATATCTTATGTTGGCAGCCTTAATTAATCTGATTTTACCATCTTAAATTATGGGCAATGGAATTATTTCCTCATTTTTCAAATTGTACTTTTGTAAATCCTGATGGATTAACGATGTAACACTGAAGACCAGGGGCAGTGTTTTCATAATCCCCGAGGATTAGAGTGTCATTCTCAGTGGGGATGTTAAGAACTGACTATGATGAGCTGCAAGGGAATATATTCAGGCAGAGTGAGGTACAGAAAACCAAGGGTACCAAAGTCCCAAGAGTTCAAATGCAATTACAGGCGTGTGGTTATCTCGAGTGTAAGTGAACAATTTGCTCATGCAGTTGTAACATTTGGAAGGACTGTGTTTATGGACAAAGAACCTGTGAAGCTGCATTTTAAACCTGAAACCGCATTTTGGGGAAGTATGGCCAAGTTTAAAATGGGTCACCTGAGGGTTAAATACTATTTTTAAGTAACACACTTAAGCAGGACTTGTTAGGATATATAATTAGCATCATAGCATTCACAGAGAGCAAGAATGATTACAACCAGCATTTATTTTTGATTTATGGGAAATATCACGGAAAACAATTGCCCTGACTGTAAGAAATACATATAATTAAATATGTTAATGTCATAGAGCTCCTAACATGAGGTCCAGCAAAGAGTAGTTGTTTAAAACATTTACTTCCTACTTTCCTTTGTGAATACACACATCACCATAAGGAACTATGGTGTAGAGGGCTAAGCATCAAAAGATGAATAGACTAGGGAGAAGAGGAAGACAATGTCTTAGAATAATGTCCAAACACAGCAGCATATTTCAGTATTTATACAATTTGGGGGGTCTTCTTTAAGAAAAATAACACAAAATTATCACTTCAAAAATCAGGAACAAAAGTATTTAATTAAGAATGAGAAAAGAAAACACAATAATTAACAATTAAAAATTCTGACAAATACCACAAGTATCTCGAAATCAAGAAAAATAATATTTTATTTTTATTATTTATCTATCTGCCACACCACTAGGATACCTTTTTTCTTCATTTTTAAACTGCATACTTTTTTATTATGTTTTCATATGACAATGATTTATAACATTTTTCTATAGAATGTGGGATATAGGTTGATAATTCAATCTTTTCTTTTATGTGGTAATCAAAATATGATTTTTTAACATGATTGACTTTTTAAAGAAAAGTTTCAACTTCACAACTCATTATTTATATGCTGTGTAGTTATTTAAGACTGTTGACAAATTTGGGCTCTACTAAGCTTCTTCCAAATATGAGTTGTAAGATTTCAGGGCATTTCAGAATTTTTTGTGCAGTGATGAATCTTCAGTGTTGGCAGAATTAATGACATGCAGTAAGTAATTTGTCACTGATAACTCCTTTGCAGTGGAATATTAAAAGTTAACTGTCATCTTTGTTGACACGAGAATTTCATGTCAAATCAGCAAGAAATGTAAGCCTTTTCTCAATGCGTTCACATTATTCACTCTTCTTTATTAATTAGATGAAATATCTAAGAGCCTATTCATTACCTCTATTCAAAATTTATTTCTTCTTCTTAATCATTTCGTTTGGTATGATCTGAAAGCTTCTTGTCACAATTTGCTTTCCAATATCAGAATAAGTTGTTGAATTCATTCCCTATCTTTATTGCTTTTATTTCATACTTATTTTAATCTGAAATTTATCAGTTATTTAAAAAATAATTTAAAAGTGATAAGAAATGGTAGCCTTCCTATGTACCCAAATGAGGAGTAATTCCTCACTTGTTTTATGTAAATATTTTTCTAAGTGGCAATAAAAATTGTGCATTTGAAATTTGTCAAACGTCATTCTCATCAAAAAAAGAAAAAAGGTAAAAAGGTCTTTCTTACGTTGAGATGTCTTGCAATAAATTCACATACTTGGAAATTTTGGTGAACACCAAACCCAAACTAAATATATAGCCAACTCTTCCCTTAGCTAGATCCCAAAACATGCCCTAGCCACTCCACCACCAGCTGACACTAGAGGAGGTTTGAAGGAGGGGAATTCAGAGTGGAATGGACAGCTGTCTTTACCACTTATATTGAAAGTGTTTTCCTTTTCTAAAATTTTAAAAATATGAGACTATGCGAACACCTTGCTAGGGCCCCTCTCAGGGCCTTGGAAGGATTCCATGGAAGTGGGGCCTTGAAACTGAAGCTTCATTAGTTTTAATGTGATTCTGCCCTTGTTTAAACTTCTGAGTATAGTTATTATAAATGGCTTCTGCTAACTTCTCTTATCACTTTCTTCCCTTGCTTTCTCTGGCTGAGCCTCACTCAATTTCCTTCAGTTCCTTGACTCTACCATGCTCTGTCTTACCCTGGGGCATTCACCAGAGCTATCCCTGTCTGGCTAAATATTCATCCTCCGTCTGTCACTTGAGAAGTCCCTTAGCTTTTCATGATGACCCATGTCTATCTCCTTTATTTACTCTTATGGTATAGTATATTAATACTAGTAATAATAATACTAACAAATAATTGATGGTCCCATGGTATGGTGTCATAATAATAACAATCACAAATCTGTGTTGTATCTAGTGATTTAGTGTGCATATGCTCTGTCATTTGCATTCATTGCTAGAGGTCAGCTTGTGAGAGAAGGGACTTTGTCTTTCTCCTCTCTATTGTAATTCCACCTTCAGGTACGTTTCTGGAATATTCAATAAATATTTCTGGAAATGTCAAATGGAGGAGATAGAGTTTTCCAGGCTGAGGGAATAGTAACAACAAGAGTGTAAGCTTAAAAGGCAGTATAGTATTTGGGAGTCTAAGCTCTGGAGTCAGACTTCTGGGGTTTCATTCCCAGCCCATCAGCTGCATGAACTTGGTCAAATTACTTAACATTTCTGTCTCAGTTTCCTCACGTGTGAAATGGGGATAACAGTAGTATCTACCTCATATGGGCTCTGAAAATTAAATAAGTGAAGATGTGTGAAGTGTTTAGAAAAATGTCTGATACATAGTAAGCACCCAGTGGATGTTAGTTATTATGAAAATTTATAGCTTCATCCCTGTCAAAAAGTTTACCTGTTTTAAACGAATCACCTTTCAGCTTTCACATCAAGCCATCATTTATAAGATATGAGGTCAGGTTTGAGCTAAAAAGACTTTAGAGATCATCACTCCAATCTCTTCATTTAACAGAGGAGGAAATTTAGTGGACAGAATATTAAATGGATTTTCCTTTAGTAATCTGGCTTTAGAATTCATCTTAATATGCTCAAGGCTGGATGTTGCTTGGAAGACTATTCCTTGTCTCTCCAAAGATTTTTCTGAAGGAAAGTCTGGTCCTGGCACTCCAGGTCCTGCCAGATCAAGCTGGTGGCGATGGCAAGTTTAGAACCAGAGGCTCGGTGATGCATGGTTGGAAGTGACATGAGTGTTGAGGTGGTTGAGCTGCTCCCCTAGAGATGGTGGTTGTGTTTTGCTGTTGGATGAGTTGTCACCTGCCTCAGTGACTCTATACTGCCCATTATATTTATCAATCTGGGTACTAAGGTTCTGGAATAGCAGAAACAGCTTGACAACAGACTTGTGTCTTGTGATGCAGCCTATACTGTTTTATTCAGATGCCAGAGGCTGATGCAATGGCTGAAAAACTATCAAACTGATCCTGGATTTTGGCTGTTAGCCTCTAGGTCAAAAAGCCACATGAATGTTGCTTGTGGTTTACTTTCACATGCTTTCACTATTAACAGTATATTAATAATAGTTATTAAAATAGTTTAATATTTAATAATATTAAAGCCACATGAATGTCACATATGGTTTACTTCCACATGCTGAGACCCTCTAAATCAGAGGTGGTCAGTGTCTCTGTGGAATTTGAAACAGGCAAATGGAATCTGGAACACTGAGTATCTCAGGGTTTACAGCTCACGTTCTTAGGGGGATAATACACGCACAGAGTTAAAAAGAAACAGTGCTTTCTGAAATGTTTGGCTTGGGTGGCTGGCTTTAGAATTCATCCTAATGCACTGTAACTATTTGGCATGTCTTGTAAGATGTTGCTTACGCAAATAGCAGGAGTCCCAATTCATATATAATTTGGTTAGGAGGATTGCTTATCATTTCTGCTCAAAGTAAGTAATAGGGCCTTAATTAAAAATATGGATTTAGTATATCTCTTAACAATAACTTTAAAGGACTCTAGCTCAGTAATTTGAAACAGAAAAGATTGGTTGAGAAATACAGAATGGACAACAAGGAGTTAACTCTATTTTACTAAACTCATATTTATATACCCAGAACACTGCAAATACTACAAAGATAAATGATAGATAGATAGATAGATAGATAGATCAATTAATAGAACCAGGATAAGGGTCTGGGTCTGGTTTTAAACTATCTTCAGAGTGCTAGTTGGTAGACCATGACTTTATCAGAGAAGCTAATATAGTGCCTGCTATTTTATTTATTTATTTTTAAAATTTATTTATTTATTTTTTATTATACTTTAAGTTCTAGGGTACATGTGCACTGGGACACAGGGTGGGGAACATCATATAGTGACTGCTATTTTATTTCAACTCTGCTCATTTAAGTTAAATATATTAAAAATATATTTGTTGAACACATTATGTGATAGAAGCTGCACTGTGTCAATTATTGTGAATGTAAGGATAACTAAGGTGTGGTTCTTGTCTTCAAGCAGTTTACCTTTGAAAGGAGCTGGTAGAGGTTCTGTGACCTGAGCCAGATAGGGATTATTTGAGGTTTCCTTTTTAAATTGTTCTTTTTACTTTCATGTTGAATCATATCCTTCACTGGACTAGTTGCTTATTGGTGTCAGAATTTTTTTTTTTTCTCATTGTAGAGCAAGTTCAGTTGGTTAGAGGTCAACTTTTAACCACCAGTTAGAATTCAACTACTATCTATTTATTGCATTCGCTTATTTCTGTTCCCACTTGCTATTGCACAAATATAAGCCATGCAGGAAATGATAAAGTGAGAAGATGCTCCAAATAATGCCTTTTCCCCGTGATTGCTTGTGAACACTTTGTGCTTTGCTGAGGTGGGAAGGTGTGTTATAGTCCACTCTGGTTTGGAGCAGGAAAAGATACACGCTCAAGGCTGGGTGTTGCCTGGAAGACTACTCCCTGTCTCTCTAAAGTTTTTTTTTTTTGGAGTGTTTCCTGTCTCCAATAAGCAGTTAAATTCCTTCTGAAATAGATAACATTTAATAGTAAGAACTTTTCCTTGTGAAAAAGTGCTATACTTGTAGGCCTTTCCTGTTTAAAGTCTTATGCATTTTGTCTGTAGGTTACACCTAAACAAAATAATATTTTTATTTTGGTGTGTGAAGGCTGACTCATGACTACGAAGACTAGGTGAGTAATTTTGTTTGCTTACAGTCCCAAGTATTTTTGCAAAATTCCCACACTTATACCACAGGGCTGTGTGTGGCTGTGTATATGTACATTTAAATTTTATGTTTTATTTTATGTACTTTTTTAACCACATAGAAGAGAGCTTTGATTCTTTTTCTTTTTTTTTTTTTTTTTTTGAAACAGAGTCTTGCTCTGTTGCCCAGGCTGGAGTGCAGTGGCATGATCTCGGCTTGCTGCAACCTCCGTCTCCTGGGTTCAAGCACTTCTCCCGCCTCAGCCTCCTGTGTAGCTGGCATTACAGGTGTGTGCCACCACACCTGGCTAATTTTTGTATTTTTAGTAGAGACAGGGTTTCACCATGTTGGCCAGGCTGTTCTCAAACTCCTGACCTCAAATGATCCACCTGCCTCGGCCTCCCGAAGTGTTGGGATTACAGGTGTAAGCCACCGTCCCTGGCCAGCTTTGATTCTTTTCTGATCTTCAGTTCTGCCTGGTCATGTAATGAAAGTGTGAGAGATGATTACCCAAATGCAGTGTATAAGATGACTACCCAAATGCAGGAAATAGCAACTCAAAGAGTTGACTTGCCTGAGGCAGAAGTAATTAAGCAGCAGACATAGGACTAATTAGGTGATTGTCTCACTAGCATCTCTTCCCTCTTCTTTCATCAGTAACCCCCTAGTTTCATTTGGGGAACCATGCCTTCCCCATCTTCTGTCTGTGTGGACTGGATGAGATTCCTTTCATAATTTCAGGAGTGTATCTTGTCCTGCAGGTCCAAGACAATCTTATCCGCATTGCCAGGTCCCAGTGATGAGTTCAGAATAGGCAAGTGACTAACAAGGACTCATCCAAAGGGAGGCTAGGCTTTCGGGAAGAGGTATAGGAAATATATCCTTTTGTTTTTTCTGGGCTTAGTTTTGGGAATTGGCGAGCTAAAGCTGCTTACCATCACATGGAGTCTTGGACGAAAGCCAGGAGAGCAGAAGGCAGTGCCAGATAAGAAGAAAAAAAGAAACGACCTGCTGGTAACATTTGAGCACCTACCGCCAGCCACACCTCAAAGTTAGCCTTACCTTTGGACTTTTTAAGTTCAGTGAAAAGCCTTTTTCTGCTCAAGCCTGTCTGGGTTGGGTTTTCAGTCCTAACTGGTATAATTACATAGGTGAGTAAGTCACAATTCCAATTTTCAAGGACCTAAATTTCTCACTCTAGAAAAATGAATGTGCTTTTATAGTCTGTTGTAGCTCTAAAGTCATGATTCCATCTTGATCCTCTAAGGCTCATCTCAACAACATGGTGAGATGAGAACTAATAGGATGGATGTATACATAAAGGGGAGTTTATTTGGAGTATTGACTCATGTGATCACAAGATGAAGTCCCACAATAGGCCATCTACAAGCTGAGGAGCAAGGAAGCCGTTGGAGTCCCAATACCTCAAAAGTAGGGAAGCCAACAGTGCAGGCTTTAGTCTGTGGGCAAAGGCCCAAGAGCCCCTGGCATTCCACTGGTGTAAATCCAAGAGTCCAAAAGCTGAAGGACTTGGAGTCTGATGTTTGAGGGCAGGAGGCATCCAGCACAGGGGAAAGATAAAGGCCAGAAGACTCAGGAAGTTGGCTCCTTCCACCTTCTTCTGCCTGCTTTGTTCTAGCCATGCTGGCAGCTGATTAGATGGTGCTCACTCAGATTGAGGGTGGGTCTGCCTCTCCCAGTCCACTGACTCAAATGTTAATCTTTGGCAACACCCTCACAGGCACACCCAAAAACAATACTTTGCATCCTTGAATCCAATCAAGTTAACATTCAGTACTAACCATCACAAGTCCACCCCTTGTCAACTTGAGCCCATACACATCTCCTGAAATCATACATAATTTCCAAATAAAGACAATAATAAGGTCATAATTATGCCTAATGTAATACAGCTATCCCTCAGACAACTGGAAGTGCACTAATCCTTAACCTAAATGTTGTTACATAAAGTTAACAACACTTAAAATGCTGATATGAAGTCAATAAATCTTAAGTCATGTGATAAAAGAAAAAGAAAGGAAATAAAATGAAGACATTGTCTTAGTACAAGTGTATACATGCACAAACATATTCTTAACAAAATAAGGAGGAAATATTCATGACAATTACAGTCCTCGTTTCTGCAGCTGGTCACTTGGTTGTAGCTGGTATTGATGACTACATTTCTACTACCCATTCCACATTCCTTTGCCGTCTGCAAGCACCTCAGTGAGTTATGTTTTTTTTTTCCTGGTGGAGTGACCCAAACCTTCATTCCTGAAGGGTTTGGGCCATTTTTAGCCCTGCCTGGATTGGGTTGTTATAGTTTCTCATTGACCTTAATCACAGGGCATGGTAATACCAAGAGACGTCCTAATGGATCTCCTGTATTCCATGCATACTCTTCCTTACCTCCATTGTGGAATAGTAGACTGATTTTGTCTTGATAATTTGGGTCAATCACCCTAGCCCACACTGTAACTCCCTTCTTAGCCTGTCGATTTAGAGATAAGAGGAGCCCAAAGTGGCCAGGTGGCAATCTTAACTTCCAGTTTAGTGGAATCATTGTTGTGTCTCTTGGTGGCAGCATTCCTCTCTCTGGAACTAGGATGTCTAGGCCAGCAGAATGTAATGTTATGGGAACAGGAAGCAAGAATTTTGCTAGTAGATCACTAGGGGTGTTGGTGAGTGGTGCCACTTCCACTTCCACCCCTTGATTCCAAGATCCCTGAATACTGGCTATGGGAGAAACAGTACCATATATTGGATGCTGATTCAGGGCATACACAGCCTTCTGGAGAACCTTGCCCCAGTCCTGCAAAGTATTGTCACCTAGTTGGCATTGTAATAATTTAAAAGGTCATTCCACCGTTCTATCAATTCAGCTACTTCAGGATGATGGGGAACATGGTAAAACCAGTGAATTCAATGAGCATGAGCCCACTGCCACACTTCTTTAGCTGTAAAGTGAGTGCCTTGGTCAGAGGCAATGCTATGTGGAATACTACGATGGTGGATAAGGTATTCCATGAGTCCATGGATGGTAGTCTTGGCAGAAGCATTGCATGCAGAATAGGGAAACCCATATCTGGAGTAAGTGTTTATTCTGGTGAGGACAAACCGCTGCCCTTTCCATGATGGAAGAGGTCCAATATAATCAACCTGCCACCAAGTAGCCGGCAGATTACCCCGAGGAATGGTGCCATATCGAGG
This sequence comes from Homo sapiens, assembly GCF_000001405.40. NCBI lineage: Eukaryota > Metazoa > Chordata > Mammalia > Primates > Hominidae > Homo > Homo sapiens. The sequence goes on from NC_000004.12 coordinate 18,109,033, forward strand.
GCTCAGTGTTGGTCCCTGCTTCTGGCAAATTGGGCTCTCAGCAGTAGCCATAGGCAGATCAGCCTTGGGACAAATTAAATGTTTGACAATTTCCAGATAGTGATTATTTGTGGTTCCCTAAACACTACAAGATGTTTCATATTTCTACACCTTCACATATGCTGTTCCCCCAGCCTGAAATACCATTCCTTCTCTGGCAAATATAACCTTGCACTTTGTTCTACCTGGGGTCCTACTCTAGGCATTTGATTGCTCTGTTCATGGTCACACTATGGTGCCATTTTTTTTTAAACTGTAGAATCAGTCAAAATATATTGCACCATCTTTCTGCTCCCGGTGTCTCTGCCACTGCATTTTGAGGACCTTGGATTCTACGACTTGCTTGACCCTTCAAGTGCCCAATACGTGTTTGCTGGATGGATAAATAACTTTTGTGGTCCTCATTTGAGTGAACCTTCTAACATAATTATAATAGCTACCCTTCTGGAATACCTAATAATAACCAGACACTATATATTATAATTAGTTATAATTTAATTTTTAACCCTGCAAAGTTTATATTATCACTAACCCCTGTTTTGTAGATAAGAAAACTGAGGCTCAGAGAGGTACAGAAATTTGCCCAAGATGCCACTAGTAAGTGGTAGTGCAGCGATTAAAAGCCTGTGCTATTTCCTTCACATTATATCGCCAACTTTGCTTGAAATAGTTATTTAAAAAATTTTCTAAAATGCTTCCTTTTGAACATTCCTTGAATATTCTCTTGAGGGTTCTGTTTCCTGCTAGATTTGTGCTACCTGCTTCCATCTGCAAAATCAAATAAACCACTTTGTGCAGCTCCTTCCTCAGGAAATCTGGAAAACTGAGCTGTTCTTTCTAGGAACACTAACAATTCATCTCAATTTACTGGCTCAGTTTATAATTTTTAGTTTAACCCACTGTGGCTCATGTTCCCCTGGGCTGGTGTTGTTAGCATGCTAAGTCTAAAAAAGTTTCCTTTGCCAGCAAATAGAAGCCAGAAACAAAAGCAGAATTCGGGGAAGGCTGGCCGAGAAAGCAGTTATTTCAGTAATTGAAGCCAAACAAATGTTTTTATTAAAACGATCTTACTAATTCCAATTCTTACTTTGCTCTGCCAGTGCAAGTCTGGTCTACACCTGTTATACTCTGCAGTGCACTTTACTCCAGCAATTGCCAAATGCTGGTCTGTGAATTTGTCCCGCTCAAGGCTTTGATGAGGTTTTCACTAGTCTGAAGATAAACTAGAAACAAAGGGACAGTGTTATATATGCATGTGAATATACGTATACATCTGCACAGCACGTGCGTGCACGCACACACACTCACACATATTTTCTCTCTCTTTTACAATCATTGGTTCCCTTTTTGATAAGGATTCTTTTTTTATTCTATAATTATGTCTTGCCATCTTTTATTGGCATTAAAATATCCTTTCTTTTTAAAAATTATGGTGTGAGTAGAGGGTAGGTAATTTTGTTAATGTTTCCATTTGACAGAATAGAAATGTCTCAGAAAGCCCTATTTCATTCCCTCGATTTTTAATCACATTTTACAGGTCTATGAAATTCCAGAGTCCTGGAACCACGTCTCACTTCCTTTTTTTTTTTTTCACCTTTTTTTTTTTCAGCCATAAAATAACAAATTTGCTCTCAAAGAGGGAAGACTAACATTTTCAAATGAGTCCTTCCTCTGAACTCTAGTCTCACCTGTTGTCTTTACCCTCCATTGGCAGTTAGAATATGACACACTGTATTATTAGCTATAGATTTATGTCCTAGCTAATAAAATAGGCTGTAACTGACCCTACCCAAGGCAGGAAGCATCGCTCTCTATGTATTGCCAGAATCTACACATAATCGATGTTCAGCTGTTTCAATATAGATTTATTGTCAGGAACTCGAGGGCAGAGAAGTAATAAAATCATAATGACAATAATTACAATCAATATTTATTAAGTGCTGTCTACACACTAGCCACTATTTTAAGTATTTCATGTGTGACTCACTTAGTCCTCCTGATGGCCAAAGGAGAGGTTTCCTTGTCACTGCCTTCATTTTACAGGGGAGGAAACTGAGATAATAGAGGGTTAAGTAACTTGTCTAGAGTCACATGATTGTACTTGGTAGTACTGGGATTTGAACCTAGATAAGCTTAGCTTGCATGCTCGACATTCCTAACCACCACACTATGCTGCCTTCTGCAAGAACAGCTCCGGGAGCTGCATCTGGAGAATGACAGTAACAGCAGTCGCAACTGCAACAACTAGAATTAGGATGGCCCCAGGGCAGCATATGTGCTAAGAACCTTATGTGCGTTACTTCATGCTCACAACTTTTGCAACCTGGGTCCTATGATACCTGTTTTACAGATGAGGAAGCTGAGCCACAGAGGTCTTAAGTGGATTGCCCAAGACTGGAGAGTGGCAGAATTTGAACTCAAGCACAGTAGTTTTGTCTGACTCCAAACCCTGAGAACTTATATGATGATGATCTGTTTGTACAAGCCTGGGGTTTGGAGTGAGAAAATTCCTTCTCCAGGCCCTCCAGTAGCTGAGTGGCCATGATCATATTACTGGACTGTCTGAGATTGCTGATCATCTATAAAGAGAAGGATACGTGTGTAAGGTGCTTAATAAACAACAATGTACTGCTTAAATGTAATTTATTTATGTATGTATCAGAGGCTTATTCCACCTCCTGATCCTCTGAGCATCTCTGTAGGTCCAGAAGATCACTGTCCTTCATCTTTGCTTCCTATACTAGCAACCACCTCAGAAAGGTTGGGCTCCTCTTCCTGAGTAGCTCTAGGAAATACATTTTGAGTTGCCGATCACCTATAGCCACAGAAAGAAAATCAAAGCCGACAAGCACTGTGCTCATTAGGCAGACGTTCAGTTTTATCCAGTCATGAAGATATTAAGAAAAGATATTTATAGCTGACCTTTCAAGATTAATAATTTCAGTGAAAGAGAAACTGTGGTATTCAACACAATTTTTAAAAATCCTTAATATTGAAGGAAATCATTATTTTACTGCTTGTAGTACAGTTTGTCATTTATTAAAAATTTAATAAAATGCATATGCATTTCCAGCAGACTTTAAAGACAGTAACAAATAGTACAAATCAGTTCAGTTTTCTAATTTAAAATTGTATGTGTAACATTCTTATAACTCCTAGTTATTTTAATATTTTTAAAAAATATGTACATTAATCTTGTAATTTGAGAAAGTGAAATTCCATAACAACCAGTTAATAAGTAACTCAAAATTGGATCACTTAGGCATATTAAAATCAAACCCTAAAGCATTCATGATTTTAAACATTAGGAAATAAAACTAGAAAAAACACAAGGAATTAACATATTCCCTTTTCTTAACCTTTGATCTTCCCTTCTTTTTTTCTTCATACTCCACAATAGATTGGCAAGTAATCTCATGTTTACATAGCTAGCATGTGTCTGGTGAAGATCTTATCTTATTGTCTTGAAAAGGCGAGAATCAGGAGAATCCATTTTGTCTCCAAATAAATATATTCTCATTGAGGTAGCTGCAGTTGAAACTCCTTATACTGTAAGTAATGAAATAGTCCGTGCTATGAACATAAAGTACGGCATATGCTGAGTGCAAAAACTCACAACCCTTCTGGAGGGGAGTAACTTGAGTTTTTGAGGTGTGGAAAGTGAGGGAGGAGATACCCAGGACCCAGAGTAACTTAACATTGTGGAAATATTTGCTTAAGTGCTGCATTTTTGCTTAAGTATTACATCTGGTTTGTTGTTTTTAGTGGAATACGAATGTTGTTATAAATTTAGCTGAAAAGCAATTTAAAATAATTTTGTAAACATAAAAGAATTTCCTGAATTTAAACCTTATTCCTTTTTATAAAAATAGCAACTTATGATAAAACATTTAAAACAATTTTGATTAAAAAATCACCATGAACACACCAGCCATTTTATTATATATATTCCTTTAAAGTCTTTGTTCACATATTATAATCAGAATCATCAATTTTATACTATTTTTAAAATATGCAATGTCTTACATTTTCTTTATTATTGCCATTATGAAAGTCTATTTAACACCTTGATTTGGTTAGTCAGTAGTTATTTAACCATTCTTTATTTTTTGATAATTAGATTTTTGTTTATTTATTTTGCCTTTCCGGAAATCACAGCTACACATTCTAGATTTTCTAAATATTTTGCTACCATTTCTTAAATTTTCTTTGTATTTGTGTGTCTTGCTTTTTGCTTAAAAATATGGTCTTGATAATCATAGTTAAAAATGCAACAAGCCTCTATATGCCTACAGATTTTTTTTCTGTGGTGAGTTGTTTCTTTAAGACAAAATTTCCTCCCTCTCCTTGTTACTTTATTTTTTTGCCACATTCTCATCATGAAGTCCTACTAATTATTTAATATCCAACTTAAATATCTTTTTGTTGAAACTTCTATTGATATTCTCTAGCAGTATTTGTCATTCTGTCTTTTATATATTACTTGCTTAAGAAGAGAGTACATTGTGGTGTCATCATGTTTAATTTCAAATACTTCTGCCCCTAATACACTATGCATTTGTTAGGACAGGCTCTGAGTATATTTTGCACATATATTCCAACTTTATAGAACAGTTTTTGACAAATTCAATGATTATTAAAATAATTGAATGAATGAATTAAATAAAAGAGCGTACAAGAACCTGGAAAAGTGGAAGAAGAAATAAGATTGTATGTTAGAGTAGTTAAGGGAAAGGCAAGACAATTACAGGCTGGAGGAGAAGAAGAAGGGGAAGGGGAAGGGAAAGGGGAAGGGAAAGGGAAGGAAACCTGTTTGTATTGAGCTTTGTGTGTATCAGGCACTGTGCCAGGTACTTTACATGTCTTATCTCATTTAACCCTGAGAACAACTCTGAAGTAGGTTCTGTTGCTCTCATATTGCATATTTCAGATAAAGAAATTAATGTTTAGTAATTACGTAAGGTCATTCTATTAATAAGTGCCAGAGCTGGGAGAATGACAGAAAAAGGGGAGTTTTGCTGACATTCAAAAGAAGGGATGGTTGGGTGGATTCTGCAGAGGCAAATGCCCACACACAGATGGGAGAGATCAGCTAGTTTTTATAGGTTACCAAGGAGGCCAAGCTGGCTGACTTGGAGAGGTTTTATGAGGGTGAGAGATTGGTAATCTGGGTTCATGATGTTACATGCTTTAAGAATTATTAAGTCATTAAGGCCTCTGACAGAGTAGAAGGAGTTAAGGCTCTGCTGAAGGGTGCATCTATATAAATAATGGTTACAACTAGGTTGAGCCTGGGCAACTCCTGATACTCAAGGTAGTTCATATTCTCACTACTGCACTATTACCAGATGATTACACTGAGCCCATAGGAATTCATTTACATTGGCCAGAGCCTTTGTGAATACCCAGTTGGGGGTTTTAATGAAACAAAAGAGATAATTGAACTAAGGAAAATAGTTCAAGATAGAAGGTAGACTCTGATATTTGAAGGATGACATTAAAAATCAAAGTGCTTTTAAAGGGAAAAGAGGATTAACAAAAGTTGTTCGTTTAATCTCCATTTTTCTTGTCTATAGGAACACTTGTAAAATGAAATGCAGCTTTTAGGCATGGGTGGTTATGGGCACCTTTTTAAATCAATGGCTTATCATTGTGTTTTTGGGTCCCTACAGCCATGACCACCAAGTCATCATCACTATCAACAAACATGGACCTGCTGATGTGCAACACTGGGCATAAGGCCCAGTCTCTGTTTCTGAATGGCCTATGACTGAGGACATGAGGTCTTCAAGGAAGGCAATAAGGGAACAAACATGTATTGAGCATGTTCTATGCGCGGTCCACTTATGCGAAATACATCACATGAGTAGAGACTGAAAAATATCACTCTCTGGACAGCTGGCACAAGAGTTATTTTAGGAAGGAGAGAGTATTTAGAAAACACTGTTAGGCTAGTTAGTGGTAGAAAGTGAGGCCTGGAGAACTGGTCTGGAAGAAGACTGTGTTACAAAGCAATGGCAAAAGTGAAAATTTAAAATTTGGGAATTAGATAAGCAAACATGGGAGAGGTGGTGTAGTGCTCCACATTTCTCTCTTCTGAAGTGAAATATAGATGTTTGATAGTTAAAATATAGAGATCAAATAGAGTCTGATTGTATTAATTCATGTCACATGCTTATATGTGCTTATCCTCAAACTGCCTATGCAAGGGGGACTAGAAAAAGGAGTTTTGAATTCTATCTTGGAGAGGTGAGAGATATAATTTGGAGCATTCCTGAAACACACAAAAGCTGTTCAGAAGATGCTGGGGGGTGGGGTCGGGGCAGGCAAAATACCATAGGTTCCTTAGAAATAGAAATCCTCTTTTGAATTTATTTCCATCCCTTCCTTCTTGAATACAGAGACCCACAAAAAAATAGTGCTGGGGGACACCATGTACAAAGAGGAAACATGACTTCTTGGGGTGTACCACTCAGATAGACTCTGATATGAATGGCTCTACTAGGGTTGTGCGGCTTGGAAGCAGTTGAGGTTCCCCTTGCATTTACAATATTAGTTAATAAGAAAAAGCATTACTGAGTGCCTACTGTGGTTCAGGGACTGTCCTACATGGAGAGGTCCAGTACCTGGACTTTGGGGTCTGATAGTCCTAGGTTTGAATTTCACGTGTGCTTCTTATTAGCCATGAGGCCATGGTCAAGTTAGTTAAACTCTCAGAATCCTTCTTACTTTGTCTGTCAAGTGGAGGTCCTCATCGTGTTGTTCTGCATACCTTGCCCAGAGCGAGCACATGGGAAATGGTAGCTCTAATTATGATGCACAAGCATTTTCTCATTTTATTCCCTTTACAGTCTTGTAATTCACTTCTAATTCGTGGGTACATTGAGGTTCAGAGAACATGGGACTTGGCCAAGATAAGACAACTGAGTGGCAGAGGATTAATTCGAACTCAGATTTGGGAGCCTGTGTTCATTCTACACTAAGTCGATTTTTACCTATTTCCAAAGATGAATCTCCAATCTAAAGTCCTTTTCCTCCAAGCCCCTCTTACCATGTCCAACATAAATATTAATGCAGCTACCATCTGCCACTACGTAAAAACACTTGGTCAAATCTATTTTAGCAATTGAAGCAAAATTGCTTTTTGTTTGGTTAGCGTATCTGTGTTATGCTTTCTTTTGACTATCCAGTCCATTTTTGAAGTGGAGTCTTGGTTACCTAGGGAACTAGCATACAGCATTGGTAATTTTTTTTAATGAGATGTAAGTTCAAAGTTGTTAGAATTGTTGGCTGAATTTCAAGTGGTGACCTCTGTACTCACTGGAAAGTAACATAACTATATGTGTATATATATATATATATATATATATATATATATATATATATATAATTAAAAGTGTAAGAAAATTAGGGGAGTTGATGAGAGTTGGTGAAAAATAAGATTTTTAAGTTGCAGATATTCTGCCTGTAGTGGGAAGCTAGATAAATCAATATCTTTATTTCAGGCTATATAATTTGCACATAATTCTTATTCCTTTGAGACATGTTTTATGTGTTTTTAAATGGAAGTAAATTTTGTGTGCTATGTTATAGGAAATATGTAGCCATGAATGGTTTTGAGTTCCTTTCTGGAATGGCCCTATAAAAAGTCCACAGGATTTTGCCTCTCTCTAGCCTTTGCTTTCTTTTTAAAGAAGCTGGGCTTAGTTCAGTAATTCAAAACTCTCACATTGCACGAGCTATCATAATAAAGATAATTGAAAGAAAAAAATAAAAAAAAATTACTCAGAGCCCCTTCCTCTGCCTCAGATAAAGATAAGGTCAAGGTAGAAGGATCCATCCTGAAGGACTTTGAGAACTAAAGGCATGAGTCAAAGCAAGTCTTGTCTGAGAAATCCAAAGCACTTATCCCAAGAAGTATATCATGGGTGCCAGCTTAAAGGGCAGGGGGATGGAAATCTAAGGATTCAGAATGAAATATTTGCAGCTAGGTAGACTCAAAGTTGTGAACCTGAATTGCCATTGAATGAGGAGAAAGTCGGGTGGTATTTGTCTTTAATGACAGCAGATGATGGAAACTTAGGTTGATCAACCTATGTTAAAAGGCTAATGTTGACAGAAGGATAAATATTGCATGTTCTCACTGATACGTGAGAACTGAAAATATTTTTTATTTTATGTATTTATTTATTTAGCTCATGGAAGTAGAGAGTAGAACTGTAGGCATTAGAGGCTGAGAAGGGTGGGAGCAGGGGAGGATGGGGAGAGGTTGGTTAACAAATAAAAAATTATAGCTAGATAGGAGGAATGTATTCTGGTATCCTATAGCACTGTAGGGTGAATATAGTTAACAATAATTGTTTGTATATTATCAACATACATTAGAGAACTAGAAGATTCTGAGTGTTCACAACACAAAGAAGTGACAAATGTTTGAGGTGATAGATATGCTAGTTACCCCAATTTGATAATTATATATTTTATACACATATCAAAATATCACCCTGTATCCCATAAATATGTACAATTATTATCTGTCAACTAAAAATAAAAAGAAAATAAAAAAGATCAGTGTTGGGACAAACATGTCCTCACCAAGCATGTGTTTTAGTTTTTCCATGTTTCCTTCTTATTTACATGAAATAAAATTAAGCTTGACTATGAGGGACTCAGTCAGGTTTCCTAAAAGCAGAGCCTGAGGACATGGAGCCTGGGGACGTATGCGAAGAAGTCCAGGGCTGAAGTTGGTATGAACAGCCAAACATAGAACTACCCAAGCATGAATTTAATGAGTCTGGGCAAAGGGAGAATCAGTTATGTGGTGGGAATCAGAGACACCAAAACAGAGCTGGTGGAATGGGAACATAAAGCAGGAGGTACCCCAAGGTGCTGGGTGTAGCCACAAAGGTGTATTTCCTAAGGAGCCTCTGGCCTGGCTGGTGAGAGCTACGCAGGAAGTCCTTAAGACTTATTGGACCTTGAAGATGGATAAGGTCTGATGGAGTAATCTAAAGGGGAGGGCATTTCAGTGGAAACATACCCATGAGGAGCCAATATGGTAGGGGTGGTTGAAATGTTCCGTAGATCTCTCTTAACCGTTCTCCTCAGCTGTGTGACACCAACATAATGCCATGTAAGAGTCACTTTTCTGGCACATCTGAGACCTTTCAGCTGAGCCCTTGCCTTAGCAAATGCTGAGATAATAAAGCCAGCAGTTGGTGACGCCATGGGTTAGGAGGGTAGCCATTAACATTGTTCTGAAACATCTCCTTCCCTCATAATGTTATTCTGATTGGTGGTGAAATACCACAATAAAGTAACCTCTCCCTATTATTTAAAGACATTCAGACTGAATAGACAAAGGATGTTCCAGAGGAAGTTCACTGGCAGGCAAAGTACTTTCAACCTAAAAGGGGCAGTGGCAGTGAAGTGCAATGCCTACTAAATGCAGAAGGGAAATGTGTTCAAGGATCAGCAATTACAGGAGAAGGGGACGGTGAGCTTCTAAGAGCTAGTCCAGGAGGAAGAAAGTCTGAGTAATACTATAAAAGGGCTTGAAGTAAATGCAGTGGGAGTGTGTGGGTGCCCTGCAATCCACACAGGAGGAGTCACAAGGAAGGGAACACAGGCTAGAGAGAGCAGCAGTCAGACACCGACCGCCATGCCCAGAGGAAGTTTGTGGACCAGCTCCTGGTGGGAAGAAGAACTGGCGATCAAAACAGAAGACACAGGTGCTTCATATGTACACGACAAGTATCTTAAATAATCGTTCAGCAAAAATTATTTAGTATGTATATGTGCTATTCCCATTATGTGTTTTCTAAAAAACTTATGTGCTCCAGTTGAGAATACCAGTAAGTTAATGAAACACCTCAATCCGGGTGGATTTTTCTAGCCACTCATCCCCTGGATTAATGCTCAGACTGGACAGTCTCCCTTAATTTATATCAAAGTATATCCTTGTTTTCCTGATCGGAATGAAGGGGCTTTGGGTATTTACTCATACATTTGAAATAAATGACCTTTGATGTAATGGAGTTGTGTATATTAATGTAGACAAGCTGCCTACTCTTAAAAATACTTCACTTTTCAAATGCAGAAAGGTGTAAATTTAATGGCAAACTTACATAAATAAATCACTCCATATGCACTTGGTGATATGTGAATCTACAGTGCTTTCAGAAACAAAAATCGACTAAAATGTTTATATGAACATGTAAGTTCTTCATATTTGAAAAATGTGACCAAGGACATGAAAATACTTGTAGAGGCCCCTTTTTGGCAGAACTGACATAAGACTTCCTTCCCTGCAACAGACCATATATAATTGTTATGAGGAGGACTAGAAATATCTACGTCTTTGTCCTCCACAACAGGTATGAAGGCAAATGCTGTGTTGGAGGACCACACACTTTGAAACCTGTTCTGAGTGAATTGTTGGTACACTATAAATCTCCTTGAAGCACTGAATTATTAGATTTAAAAGAGCAAGCATGTATAGTCGTCAAGTAAATGGTTTATAATCTTGTTATAGTTACATGTGGCTCTATTTGATAATCTAAAAAGCATGTCTCGGAGGCATAAAAATGCATCTTTGAATAAGGTGCCAAGGAGAGAAAACCTTCACATTAGTGGTTTTAATATTTCCATTTTCGGATATTTCTGAGTCACCCTGGAAATGCATTAAACGTAGGGCTTTGCCATGGTGCATATTACGTAGAACTTATTTTGGCCACAGAATCCATGTTAATAACCTTGTAGTTTATTTATTTCTGTCCCTATACAATTTTTATACATTGGCTGGAGAGGATGTGGAGAAATAGGAACACTTTTACACTGCTGGTGGGACTGTAAACTAGTTCAACCACTGTTGAAGGCAGTGTGGGGATTCCTCAAGGATCTAGAACTAGAAATACCATTTGACCCAGCCATCCCATTACTGGGTATATACCCAAAGGATTATAAATCATGCTATAAAGACACATGCACACGGATGTTTATTGCAGCACTATTCACAATAGCAAAGATTTGGAACCAACCCAAATGTCCAACAATGATAGACTGGATTAAGAAAATGTGGCACATATACACCATGGAATACTATGCAGCCATGAAAAATGACGAGTTCATGTCCTTTGTAGGGACATGGATGAAGCTGGAAACCATCATTCTCAGTAAACTATCGCAAGGACGGAAAACCAAACACCGCATGTTCTCACCATAGGTGGGAATTGAACAATGAGAACACTTGGACACAGGGTGGGGAACATCACACACCAGGGCGTGTCGTGGGGTCGGGGGAGGGGGGAGGGATAGCATTAGGAGATACACCTAATGTAAATGACGAGTTAACGGGTGCAGCACACCAACATGGCACATGTATACATACGTAACAAACCTGCATGTTGTGCACATGTACCCTAGAACTTAAAGTATAATAATAATAATAATAATAATAAATCTTTATACATTGGAAGGGGGTCAGTGGAAATTTCCTGGTTATACTTGACTCCATTTTTCTGGGAGAAATTATATGTTGCAGTGACATTCTTAAACATTCCTCATGGATGTTAAGGGTCTGTCATATGAATAAACATACGGAAAACATTTTTCCATTGTGACTGGAATTCCAGAGAGGGAACAGAACCTGATAACTATGGATCATTAGCACACGAGGCAGTGGTCTGTGAGTGGTAATAAAGAAGTTATATGACTTGCTGTCTGTAGCTATTCTCCAAGGTGGCTTCTGTGTTTAATCCCTAAAGAACAAAAATGATTCCAAGGACACAGGAAAGCCAAACCTGATCTTTGAAGGCTCAAGTTCAAAGACTAAGGCAAAGATAGAGGGCAGTTGGCTGCCATGGTAATAAGAGCAAGGAGAGCAGGGCATCTGATATCCAGCATGGGTGCTGAAGAACGTGTTAATTAATTTGATTGTGGTAATCATTACCCAATGTGTATGTCTATCAAGTCACCATGTGGCACACCTTGAATACAGTCAGTCTTTATATGGCAATCCAATATTTTGGATAAAAAGCGTGGAGGATAGGAATTGAAAAATGGTCAGGGTTCACAGCAGCAAATACAAGGAATATAAAAGAAGGAGAAAGATTGGAGGTTGACCATACTGCCTGAAAGTAAGATCCTGATCTTTCATTAACAGGTGCTTGTATAATCTCTTTTTAAATACTGCTCTTAGAGATGAGACAGTCTATTTTGGTGCAGTTTTCATTTTTTAAAGGTTACCTTTTGTATATTGAATACAAAGCTTCATTTTCTTTTTATTTATTAGTACTAGATAATTTCCAGATACCTCATAATTCTTTCTTTTCCTAAATATTTATGAGGACCTGACACCCGCAGGCACTGTTATTGGTGTTGGAAATACATTGTTAACAAGAAAGACAAGGTCTAAAGACATGGAGCTTACCTTTTAGTGAGGGCAGACAAAAATATGCAAGTAAACAAGTGAACACAAACAAAAACATCCAAGAGTGAGGAGCAGTGTGCAGATAATTGAACGGGTGACATGATGTGGAGTGACTGGGAGGCCATGGGAAGGCTTCCCTGAGAAGTAACTTACAAACTATGCAAAGACTGCACGCTAACTTAAGAGACAGCTATGCTAAGCACCTAAGGTGCTCATGAACTTTGTTGTGTTGGAGGAGCTTAAGCAAGATTTTTGTGGTTGGAGTATAGTGTGTGAGGCAGAGAGTAGCCCAAGGTGAGGGTGGAAAGGAAAGGCAAGGGCAGATTGCAGGACTTTGTGAGCTAGGAAAGGGGTAGGCTTTTATTTAACTGTGATAGAAAGCCATCAGAAGTTTTAAACAGGGGAATGAGGCCATGCTACATGCCTTACAAAAGGATCATCCTGGCTGCTGAGTGGAGAATGGAAGTTAGGGAAGCCAGAGTGCACGGGCAGTGACACCAGGGGACTATACTGGTACTTGTGGTGGGAGATAATGGGGGCTTGGATTAGAAGGGTAGTGATGGAACAGTAGAAAAATGAACATATTAGAGATACGTTTTGGAGGACTTGATGGATAGATTGGATATTGAATATAAGGAAAGAGAGGAGTCAAGGATAACACCTAGACCCTTTGCTTGCAAAATAGGTGGATGATGCTTCTGTTCCTGAGAGGGAGAATATATATTGTCATTTCTCCTCTGTACTTAAATATAAGTGATATGGTTTATAAATGAATTTGACATATCAGATTAAGAGCAATTAGGAAGATGCTTACCATTATAGAGTTTATTCTATTCTTGCTAGAATCCAAATACTCCTATGCGAAATTTATTTATCTAAAATTTTACATTCACTTTAGAATTCTAAAGTTGTTGTTAGAGACAAAGTGTTTATAGCACACATTAATGTTTTCTTGATATGTAAAAACCTCATAGTCAGTACTTAACAAGGAAAAATTACACATTTTGAAAAGTTTTAAAATAAAGTGAAAAAGTATGAAATATCAGGTGATAAAAAATACTCAGAGATTATTTCAATAGATAAGATTGATAAAAGGTTAAAGTGTTCAGAAATCCCTGCGACTGGGTAATTCATAAAGAAAAGAGGTTTAATTGGCTCCTGGTTTTGCTGTCCAGGCATGGGGCTGGCGTCTGCTTCGTTTCTGGGGAAGCCTCAGGGAGCTTTTACTCATGGCAGAAGGCAAAGTGGGAGCAGGCACCTCACATGGCGAGAGCAGGAGCAGAAGAGAGGGCAAAGCGAAAGATACCAAACACTTTCAAACAGACAGAGCTTGTGAGAACTCACTATCATGAGGACAGCACTAAGGGGATGGTGCTAACCATTCATAAGAAATTTGCCCCCGTGATCCAATCACCTCCCACTAGTCCCCACCTCCAACACTGGGAATCACATTTCAACATGAGATTTAGGGGGAAAAATATCCAAATTATATCAATTAATATCCTTAATTTATGAGATATTTTTACCAATCAATTTTTTTAAATGACAAGAAGAAAAATGGGCAAAGAACACAAAAAGGCAATTTACAAAAGAAAAGGTCAATAGCATGAGAGAAAGCTAAACCACACCCACAGCAATAATCCAATCATTCAATATGTTAAAATAATAAGAGAAACAGCACCAATAGTGGATAAGAACACAAACTGTAGAGCTAGAATTTCTGAGTTTGAAGACCTACCTCTAAAATTTACTAACTGGGTAACTTTGGGCAAATACCTTGATCTTTGTTTCAGTTTCCTCATCTGTGAACTGGGGGTCATTAGAGTACCCATGTTATCAGGTTGTTTTGTGTGTTAAATGGGTGTTAATACAGGTAGGTTACTTAGAACAGTGCCTAGGGTATAATAATTGTGTGAGTTTTAGAAATTACTGTTATTATTGCTGTTTAGTATTTATATTATTCTTAAATGTTTATAAAATGACAATACCTAATGTTGGCTAAGTGGGGGAAATGAGTATTTTCATACATTGTAGGTGAAATTATATATTGGATTATTATTTTGGGAAGAAAGTTTTGCAATATGTCTCAAAAGTCTTAAACTAAGTGAAATCTTTAATAAATAAAATTCTACTTTTGGGAATTTAACCAATAATCTATACAATTATTTGCCCCAATGGCTAGTCACAGCAGCATTACTTACAATGGTAAAAAGTTAGCAAAAACCTGACCTCCAGGTAAAGAGGTGGTTTGGATTTATTATTTTCATTTACTCTCTAAACTTCATTAAAACTATAGTAAAAGTATTATTTTATTGAAATTTATTTTATTTTATTAAAATTTACACACAGGAGAATATATTAAATGGAGAATTTGATGAGTTTTGAGAAATGTAGACACCCATGTTAGCAAGCTCCCAATCAAGAATATCTCCATCCTCCTAGAAAGTTTCCTTTTGCCCTATTCCAGTCAATCTTCACCTCCATGGACTACACTGTTCAGATTCCTCTCACTATAGATTAGTTTTCCTTATTCCTGGACTTCACAAAAATGAAATAATACAGTGTGGGCTTCTTTGTGTCTGGCTTCTTTCATTGAAGATACTATTTCTGAGAACCTTTTTATGTCATTGTTATATCAGTAGTTATTCCTCTACTTTTGATTCCCATATCCTCTGTTCCTTTATTGCTGAGTAGTTGCTAATAGAAAAAACATTCGATTTTTGAATATATTATAATTGGTTTTTTCCATTGCTGATACACTTTTTGTTGTTTTTGACTGTCATGAATAAAGCTGTTATGAACATTCTTGTACAAGACATTTTGTGGTCATATTTTTTCACTTCTCTTGGGGGAAGATAAATACTTAGGAGTACAATTGCTAGGTCATGGAGTGAGTATATGTTTAGTGTTATAATAAACTGCTAAACAGTTTTACAAAGTGATTGAACCATTTTATACTTTCACCAGTATTGTTTAATATATGTTGCTTCATTTCTCTGTGAACATTTGGTGTTGTCAGGGGTTTTTTTTTTTAAAAGCTATTTTCCTATGTGTGAAGTAGTATCTAATAGCAGTTTCAAAGCATTTCTCTGCTGAGCACCTTTACATGTGCTTATTGACCATTCACACATCTACTTAAAACTTTTGCCTAAAGTTGTAAAGATGTTCTAAATTTTCTTATGGAAGAGTTACAGTTTTGACTTACACATTTAGGTTTATCGCATATTGCTAATTAATTTTTGTGTATGATGTGAGGTAGAGATTGAGGCTCATGTTTTCATAGTTTTTTTCTGGTTGTTTCAGCTCAATCTATTTTAAACTTTCCTTTCCCCATTGATATTTGGGTATCTTGGTTGAAAACTAATTAACACTAAATGTACAGGTTTATTTCTGAACTCTATATTATGTTACATTCATCTATTCATTCTTACACTACACTCTTGATTATTGTAACTTTATAGAAAGTCTTGAAATCAGATAATGTGAATAATCCATTGTTGTTCTTCAAAATTGTTTTGACTGTTCTAGGTCCTTCAAATTTCCATATAAATTCTAGAATCAATGTGTCAGTTGTTTCCTAAAAGCCTAGAGATATACTTGTATACAGTACAAAGACATACAACTAAGCGTAGTCATTTTTTTAGTTTGATGTAGCAAATGATTGAAAATAATCTAAATGCTGATCAACAAGGAACTGGTGCAATATAGTACATAACATTTACACAATGAAATTTTATGCAACCATTAAAGAATAAAATAGATCTATATGTTCTAATAAGGTAGATCTATATGTGCTAATTCTAAAAGATATATTAAGTGAGAAAGTCAATAGGCAGAACAGTGTACAGAGTATGCTCTCATTTGTTTTAAAAATAAGGGTATAGATGCATATATATGTACATATATATACTTTCTATATATGCATAAAACTAATTGGCTCATTTAACTGAAAAGTTGAGGGTTGAGTTGTCCTTCAGACTATGTCCAGGGGCTCACAGGATGTTACTAGAAACTGCTCCTCACTCTGTAGCTTGACTGCACTTTTCTCTGTGTTGGCTTCATTGTCAGCTTCTTCCATGCCATGGCAGCTCCAGACTTTCACAGTTACTGCAGTTCATGGCAGACACTATTGATCTCACTGTTCCTTTATTAAATATAACAGAGGATTTCCAGTCTTGTTTGAGTTATTTGCCCATCCTGTGGATCCCTCACTGTGAATGGAGGGATGAAGAACCTTGATTGGCCAAGTGGATCATGTGCTTACATCTGTAACTAAAGGAGAGAAGGACACCACGGGGGAAGGAGCCATTCAATGGAAGGGACAATGTGCAGATTAAACCACATATGCCCAGATACTGACCTTAATAGTGTCTTTTTTGTTCATGTGTAAATATGGCAATTTTCTATAAAATTGTGGCTAAAATTGTACTTCTGTATTTCAAGAAATTCTTTCATGCTTTGCCTTTCACTGTCCAGCTTGAGCACACACATCATTCTCTTATTTCCCTGATTTCCAGCTGTGGGCTCTTACCTGTTTCTCCCATTTTGCCTAGTCCATTTGCACTGATAACCAGCTTGCTTTTGACCCTCAGATCATACAATTTGGCCTAATGCAGTAGAGCTCCTGGGAAAATACACTTTACCTCTGTGATTAGTCTCACTTGAGTTCAAACTCTGGGTTGCCCTATGTTTGGGTAGGAGATCAGACAAGATTGTTTGATCTCTTATTCTGGTCACAAGGGTCCTTCTGGTCACATTAATCCTTAATGGATCTGCCAAAGTGGCTGCTTTCAAGCCTGTATGTCCCTGCTAGGTTCTCTTGATTCCTATGAAGTTGCATGAGTGGACACGAAACTGGAAATAGCACTTGACAACCTGCTTGTTTCCCAGTAAGAATCAGGTAATATTGCTGTGTGATAATAGATATTAAATTATTCTGTAATATATTCCTATTTTATTTAAAAATATATTTTATAATAACTGAAAGAGTAGATTTGGAATGTTCACAGCACAAAGAAATGACAAATGTTTGAAGTGATGGATATCCCCATTATCCAGATTTGATCATTACATACTACATGCTTGCATCAAAATGTCATATGTACCCCATCAATATGTACAACTATTACATATATATACAAATTATTTTGAAAAAATAATAGGGAAAAATTGAGTAGCTAGTTCTGTTTCTGAATGGAACAATTTATTTGTTGTAGAATAATATATTAATCTGGAATTGGTTGGAATTAAAATTCTTCTAATATGATTATCACTACCTAGAGAGGAGCCAAAGACAGTGAGATAAAAATAAGTCAAGAGATGATATAATAGTAAAATAAAAAGGATAAAATTGAATATTTGGGTGAATTTTAGGATTTTAAAAATATGTGTTAAATGAGCTGAGCTGTTATCCAGATTAAGACAACCAGTAGATACAAGAAGCTCAGAGAGCAAAGCTTCTAATTATAGAAATACATCTATTCAAATAATGCATTGCTAATTTTGAAATAAATTGGGGTGCAGAGAAAGGGACTGCCTTGGCTTACAGTTCCCAGATAAACTAGCAAATGTAGTAATTAATTTGCTTGATACATTCATTCACCAATTCTTAACTAACCAGGGAAACATATTCTTTAGTCATATTTAGTTTTTAAATGGAAAGGATGATCAACTCATTATAGAGCTGAGAACATGTACGAGTCTGCCCCTGCAAATAATCCCCTACTTCCCTCTTTAGGACTGAGTCACACTACCGTTTTGCTTGGCCTGGCTCTTTAATCTTTGGACTAATGTACTCAGGCCATCCTTTTAGATATTTTATTTAGATTTCCTAGCATATTGCACTATCCCACTGGAATATTTAAAATTTATATTATGCATCTAATTTTGTTTATTGCAGAAAAACGAGCAATAGGTAGAAGTTTAAAGAATGAAATAAAGACCAATTTTAATTCTAGCTATGCAAAAAACTTATCAATGTTAAATAATTAATAACATTTTACTGTACATCATCAAATCTGAGACCATTGAATATAATTTGCATTGTTTTGCTTACCACTAATAGAGAAGAAGTGCTGTAAATTTAAGTATGACATATTGCTCTGTTTTTTATTTAAAAAATTATACTCATTTAAAAACTTCTCTTTAGGCTGGGCGTGGTGGCTGGTGGCTCATGCCTGTAATTCCAGCACTTTGGAATGCTGAGGTGGGTGGATTGCTTGAGCCCAGGAGTTTGAGATCAGCCTGGGCAATGTGACAAAACCCTGTCTCTACAAAACTTAGCTGGACATCACAGCAAATGCCTGTAGTGCCAGCTACTCAGGAGGCTGAGGTGGGAGGATTGCTTTAACCTGGGAGGTTGAGACTGAAGTGAGCCGTGATCATGCCACTGCACTCCAGCCTGGGTGACAGAGTGAGACCCTTTTGATACAGACTTCTATCACATATGACTTTGGAACATATATAAGAAAGAAAACATAAGAAAAATACATTGGGTAAAGTAGTCCTAAAACCTCTTCACATTCAGAGTCTAACTTTACTATGTCATTTTTTGAATCCCAGTTGTCAATATCTGTGTTTTTGCTTAGATTTTCATCCTCTGTGCTATCAAGAACATTGACAATGTGGCATTTGTTGAAAGGGTGCTCCACTCTTGTCTCCTAAATTTTCATCCAAGCCCATCCATTCTCTTCTTCCTTTTAGCATCAAAACTTTCCACTTTCCAGTTTAAGGTAAGCATGTAGTAGCCCAGCTGGAGACATTTCTGAGCCTCCCCTGGTAGCTTGGCATGACCAAGGTCTGACAGGTGAAATAGGAGAAGAAGTGGTATGTAAACTTATAGTTCACATCCCTAAAAGGAAGCAGCTTTACTTGCCACTTTCTTTTCATCCTTTCTTTGGGCCAAAATGCAGATATAGTGATAGTGAGTCAGCCTTAATCATGTAGAAGAACATACCCTACAAATGATGGAGCAACTAGATAGAAATAACCTGGATCTCTTTGGATTACCTGTGGAGCAGAGCTGCCTACCTGCCAAACTGCACAGCTACTCTTACAGAAGGGGAAAAACAAAGCTTCCATCTTGCTAAACTATGGTTATTGTCAAAGCAGCCAAATCAATATTCACATTGTATGTGTTTAAAAATTCTTCTATTTAATATCATATTGAAGAATACTTCTATATGGCATTAACTTTCTATGGGTTTCCATGGGTTTTTACAACTTTAATTCGGACATAGTACAATAGGCAACTCCAAAGGGCTAACTTCTGGGCTGCAGCAAAAAATCTGTTTTTTTTTTTTTTTGAGATGAGAAATTACCTTAGCAGTGCTGATCTAGGTTAGGCCTATATGTTATTGGCCTAACATATAGGCCAATCAAGATTAGAAGATAAAAGAGTTATTGGCAACTATCAATCTGTTTTAAATGAGTAAGGATTTGGACTGACTTATGAAGCCTTAAGATGGCCATATTTGTATGATGTTGCTCAACTATGGCAGAGGTTAAAACATAAGTAAATACAAATTATACCAAATAATGTAGAATAGTTTAATAACTGTTAGATCTGTAGAGCATGAGGTATGCTTGCTAGGGAAACAAAAACAACTTGTTTTAAATATATTTAATGTAAAGATATAAAGAAAGATAGAGAATCACATTTTTAGGAAGTAGCTTATGCAGATAAGTTAAGCCAAATTACTTTGGTGATTTCACTCAGATTTTTATGACCTCCAAAAATAGGATCCATCCTCCTGATGTCAAAGTCTGAGATTCTCAAAAAAGAGTAAGTCTCAGCTCCACTGAGTTTTTCAGTGATGATACTATACATAGATGCGATAGAGCTCTAAGGAGAGTAAAATATTCACATTCATTTTGGAGGGTTAATAGCTGAGAAAACTGACTAGCTAAGCAGCTATAATAATTCCAATAGAGAGCCCCTTTACATTTTTCTAATAATATAATTCATGTAATTCTTTATACTACATAAATCTTTTCCACATACTTCCAGATCTTTGGCTTCAATATGCTCTGTAAAAGCTGGAAGATGAGTTCAAATCTTCCTTTTCTCTGATTTTTTTTATGAGTTAACTTCTTCCCATGACCTGTAGTAAGACGTCTTGGTGGCTGAACTTAGAACCCTGAGTAATTTTTCCTCCTTTCTCCCCACTTTCTTTTCTGACAAATGCTAAGCTTTATTATTTAAATATATTTCTTACATATATTTTATTAAATATTTTGCATTTGGTAGCTCACCACATCTTCATTTCTTATTTTTTAGTTGGTGACTAAAAGATAATGCAGGGCTTTACTACAAAGGCAAATAATTGCCACAAAAAGAGGATTGTCATATTTTCCCCAAGGAACTCTATCTTGTTAACTCCTTAAAATTGCTGAGCACGTTTTTCTTAAGGGATTTAGCATTTATTTTTTCAGTACTTTTATGTGGCTAAAAAACAATTCTATGTGTTGAATAGAGTGCTAGTAATATCTGTGATGGCAGTCTTGTCAAAACACTCAAAATGTATCTCACTTGTTATGGAAATTTTGAAAACCTCTGTCCCTTCAAAAATGTATATTTTGCTTTGGAAGCTATACCAAACATCTTAAATTTCAGAATGCCATTGGGAACAATCCTCATAGAACAATCCTCATTAGAAAAAAAAAAGTTTTCTAATTAGACAGTGCAGGACAATGTTACAGGAACCAGCCTAGATAACATCGCTTTATCTAAGACAATTCTAGTAACACCTTCTAATACATCCCATGCAGCAGAGAAATTTCCATTTTCTAGCATTGCCCTAACAATATATCGGCAGCTTAAAGAATTGCAGTGCCTTAAATGCAAGCCATTGAAGATCCAAATGCTGTGAATTGGTCCTTTCTGACAGAGGAGAAAGACCCATGAGCCAGTCCCAAATGGTGTAAACAGGAGCAGTGCATAATTAAAAGCCATCTGCATGTCTTGTGTGCCCCTTTCTGTAAGTGAAATAGGGCTAGCACTATGTAAGTACTTAAAAGCTCCTTTCAAAAATTTCAAATCCTTATTGAGACATTACCCTACAGTGCAGAGAACAAGACAAACCAAAGTATTCATGACCAACCCCCTCCCACTTCTTATTTTCGCATAGGATTTTCTCGTAAGATTTATAACCAAATTAACATAATGCCATACCACCACATTAGATGTGTTTATTGTAGATTTTAAAATATTCTATAGTTCATGAAAAAAAGTTGAGCTGTAGGAGCTAGGAAAATAACTTTGTTGTGTGTATCCACCAAGATTATACTCAAAAGTTCATTCTGAATTCGAATGGAGGCTGTGCCCTACTCCCACAAACAAATGCTAGTTCCTAAGCCTTCAGATTCAGAAGCTTTACTTTTTAATTTTTTTTGTCTTGGAAATGTTATTGTTTTTTTTAAAAAAAGGCTTTATATTTTAAGAGAAGTTTTAGGTTTACAGCAAAATTGAGAGGAAGGATCAGAGATATCGCCTTTGCCCTCTGCCACCACATGTATGGTTTCTCCCATGGCAACATACCCCCACACAGAGCAGAAGTATTATTTTATCTTCTTTAGGATGAATTTGACTTCTAGGCACATGTTTAATATTTTTTCTTTGCTAGGAAGTAACTGGTAAAGGAGTCTATTCATTAGTTCTTGTAATAAGTTTGAGTTATAACTAGGTGGTGCTCCTATTAATTCCAAAGTGATAGCCTGTCTTGCTTGAGAATAGATGTGTTTAGCAGGCAATTTTAGAAGATGGATTCATTCTACACAGATCATCAGTACTATCCAAGGACACATTTTGTTGTGTTCTTGTGGTTTGGGATGTTTAGGGGGGAATCTGAATTGTTATGAGGGGAAGTTGGCCCTGATATCCTCAGAAGTTCCTTCCAACTCTTAGATGCTATGACTTTATGAAAATTTTATTTTTGAAATGCTGTATTTCCAGTCAGTGAAAGTAGCAGGGTCCTTATATAAATACATATAAGGATACTCCAAGATCTTGAATTTAAAAATGTTTACCCTTAAATTTTTAAAAATTAAAATAATTTTGCTTTCTACGTTTTGTACCTGTAGAATTTACACCACGGTTCCACTCTCTCAACATTTCCCATGACATGGAATTCTTTAATATGAGACTTCAAGCATAACTTTTGAGGTTCCATTTAATTCTTCTTTTCAAGAATAACTGATACTGTGTTCAGGATGGGATACAAATGACTGATATTCTAAAATGTAACTTTTTTTTACACTATCTACCTGGAGATAAAAAATGTAACAATTCTGAATTCCCACAGACCCATAAGTTAGCAGAGCATGCAGTCAGTCTTGCCTTACAGTCTCTCTATTGATTTGCCTCATAATCCTTGGGCTTACTGGTGTCTCATTGGTCATTTCTGGTTGTTTTTGTCATTCATGAATGCAGCCAGAATTCAGCCCCTCCCACGCTTTTGAAGTCAGAGGACTTGGTAACCCCAGAACATCATTCCTTGTATATGTGGCTCCTGCTGTTACTGCCACAAAACTCCGTCTTCATAGAGCCACTTGGTCTTAGTGTGGTTTTATGTGGCTTAGAGGTGTAGTACCCAATGCATTCCATGCCTCCCTGGAGCTCAGAGTCTTTGTCCAGTTGGTTTTAGCTCTAGGGAGAGGAACAAGTCTTGCCTTTCTCCTGTCTTCCAACTCTGTTTTCTGGCTCAGGACTAATCTAATGGGATGATTGAGAGGAATGATGCATTTCCTGCAGACAAGTCCTTATCCACTACCTCGAGAGAGTGGTCTGGCTTCTACGGACCTGAAAAGACAATTAGTAACTAACTTGACGTGCATATCAGGGTTATGTGGCTACTTCTTATGCATAAACAGTCTAATGAAGGGACTTGCTGCATTGATATTTACATAGACCTTATGGGGAAGGAAATGCAGGTGTGTTAAATTCTTTTCTTTTTTTTTCCTTTATTCAAGACTACTCTTTCTAATTTAAAAAAATTGTGGTTTCCCCAAATTTTGTACCTCCATGATAACTCCCAATTCTAGAGTGCTCTTTATTTAACAGTGATTATTGTAAGTTCCACTTAGGAGAGAACAATCACAGGCTCTGTAACTTATTCAGCAATAGTTATGTGGCTCCATTAACTGAAATAATATATAGGTGGTATCAAATTTCATTAATTCTATAAATATATATTTTATTTCTACAAGGTGTCATTGCTGTTACAGATCTGTGGAGACTGTGAAGAGTATGAGAAAACCTTGAAGATCATTGTTTACATTGGAAAACCTGGGAGTAAAGTGGTTATAAAATGATTCACATTAGTTCAGAGTCAGAGTCAAGGGCTGTATCTGTGATAATAATATGAAACAAATGGTTTATTAAAGAAATTGTTTTCAAAGAAGTATAATAAATGTCTATGGAAATATGGATGAAATTCATAATGATTCTAAAAGCTATGAAAATTAATGTGGCAAAGATCTTGTGCACTGTCACTTACATAAAAGGGGAAAATAAATTTTTCAGATAATTTCTGCTTTCTGTTTTCCCCTGGCTATGTTGCTGCCTTGCCTTATTTTCTCATTTTTTCCCAAGCTGTAGCATGAAAACAAGGCCTCTATCAAAAGCACTAAAAATGTTTCATTGCAGTAGTTTAGGTTGAGGAAGCAAGGTCTATGGATTCATTGTCTGAGTAGTGTTTTATGTGATTGGAAGGAATGGCTTCAAGGATGTTGGTAGTGAAAGAAAATTTAATTGCTGATTTCATTTACATCTGTGACTACTAACATTGAGGGGATTAACTCTTTTCTTTCAAAAGTAGATGTTTGCTGCTTTTAAAACCATGTTTTAAAATATGCATTAAATTAAAGATTTTATTAGACTGAATGTTTGCCATCAGAAATGACAGGGAGCTAATATATATATATATATTTTTAGGTCACATAGTACTTTGTGCCAGTCACTTTCCATGTATTTCTTCATGTAATTTTCATACCTTTAGGGGGAAGCTGCTCTCTAATCATCTACCCATTCATCCATATATCCAATAAATGTTTATAACATGCTTATGATGAACTAACCATAATGATAGCAATAATAATTACAATAGGGATGTGTCTTGTGAGTTAAGAGAAAAGTCTGCTTATGACTGGAGTGATTGGAAAGGGGAGGGCTGGTTCTGGACTCAACACATCATTGATGCTAGCCAAAATTTCTCTTAATCCCACTCCTTGAGGAACTGTTATAGGAGGCAGCAATGAAGACAATTATTGAAAGTTTGGTTGGAATTTCCCAGCATGCATGGGTTTAATGTCTATACCATATGGATAATCAGCATGAGGGAAGAGGTCCTTTTCATGGGCTGATGATATTCTTTGGCAGTGGGACTATTGCTATGGACAGAGAAAGCAGCACTTGTAATCCAAGGAGTGTCTAGAAGGAGTATGGACTGAGATTCACAGGATGGAATTTGAGATGCACAAATTTGGACATTAAAAGAGTGACATCACCGTGTGCACAGGGTAATAAAGGTGGACATATGGGTTGTATACATTTGAAGAAAATGAAGCTTTGAGAAGTCATAGGAGATGATAAGCAGAGATACTGGGATTCAAATCCAGGTTTATATTACCTCCTTTGATAGTTTTTTAAACCATTTGTAGACACTGGTCTGAAATACTTTCCTCAAAAACTGCCTTAGCTATTGCAGGAAAAATAATCTGTATGAAGTGGAACACTTTTTGTAACAGTAATATCTTTGGTAAACAGTGAGAAAGTCATTCCAAGTTGTACTCTGACTCTCTGTCCTTTGTCCAAATTGTACTATTCACATATCCAGAGACAGAGTGTCTCTATGACTTAATTATGATGAGTATAATAATTGAGAGTAGGTAGTTATATTATGCCAGAGGAGATAATTAAATGGGGGAATTGCACTATTAGCTGGGCTTTTAGTACCATGCATTATCCTTATGAAAGATGATATTATGATTCCACTATACATTGCTCAGATAAAAAATATTTACCGAGTCAACACTTCAGATCAGAGGTCATTAAGAAATACATTAGAAATAGAAGACATCCTAGAGAAATCATTAAAATACTTTGGAAATTTTACAAGCATAAATGCAGGGCATAGATTTACTTTATGACCAGCAGTTTTATTATCAGTAGGATTGGCAATTCTTCCTGCACCCACAATTTTAGCAGAAATAAATTAATCATTCAAGTGAATATTATAGGAGCATAGTGCATAGTGGTAGCTTAGGTCCAAATATTCCCACTTCTTTTCTTGGAAATCACATACACGAAGAATAGAAAAAATTGTCCTCACATTAGATTCTCATCAATGCTAGGAAACAGAGAGAATCTACAAACTCTAAGTTTTGTATTATTGTAGCCCAAGCAAATTAAATCAGCATTAACTTCATGGAAATGATGGGGCTTTTAGGGGCTGAAGGTGAGATGAAGAATGGAAGGCAGGAAGGGGCCTATCAGTGGCAGAGCTTAGAAATCAGAAGGAAATACTAAAATATTTACTCCCAGAAGGAGCGGGCCCCTCTCTGGATTTTGCTGTGAATTGGACTGATACACAACAGGGTGCAATTGCTAAGGAAGGTGGGTAAAAAGTTGCAGAAAGCAATCAGGCAAAATCAAGAGGTGACCGAGTTGTTTTAGAAAATTCCATGTTCCAGATTCAATGCCATCCCCATCAAGCTACCAATGCCTTTCTTCACAGAATTGGAAAAAACTACTTTAAAGTTCATATGGAACCAGAAAAGAGCCCGCATCGCCAAGTCAATCCTAAGCCAAAAGAACAAAGCTGGAGGCATCACACTACCTGACTTCAAACTATACTACAAGGCTACAGTCACCAAAACAGCATGGTACTGGTACCAAAACAGACATATAGATCAATGGAACAGAACAGAGCCCTCAGAAATAACGCCGCATACCTACAACTATCTGATCTTTGACAAACCTGAGAAAAACAAGCAATGGGGAAAGGATTCCCTATTTAATAAATGGTGCTGGGAAAACTGGCTAGCCATATGTAGAAAGCTGAAACTGGATCCCTTCCTTACACCTTTTACAAAAATCAATTCAAGATGGATTAAAGACTTAAACGTTAGACCTAAAACCATAAAAACCCTAGAAGAAAACCTAGGCATTACCATTCAGGACATAGGCATGGGCAAGGACTTCATGTCTAAAACACCAAAAGCAATGGCAACAAAAGCCAAAAATGACAAATGGGATCTAATTAAACTAAAGAGCTTCTGCACAGCAAAAGAAACTACCATCAGAGTGAACAGGCAACCTACAAAATGGGAGAAAATTTTCACAACCTACTCATCTGACAAAGACCTAATATCCAGAATCTACAATGAACTCAAACAAATTTACAAGAAAAAATCAAACAACCCCATCAAAAAGTGGGCAAAGGACATGAACAGACACTTCTCAAAAGAAGACATTTATACAGCCAAAAAACACATGAAGAAATGCTCATCATCACTGGCCATCAGAGAAATGCAAATCAAAACCACAATGAGATACCATCTCACACCAGTTAGAATGGCAATCATTAAAAAGTCAGGAAACCACAGGTGCTGGAGAGGATGTGGAGAAATAGGAACACTTTTACACTGTTGGTGGGACTGTAAACTAGTTCAACCATTGTGGAAGTCAGTGTGGTGATTCCTCAAGGATCTAGAACTGAAAATACCATTTGACCCAGCCATCCCATTACTGGGTATATACCCAAAGGACTATAAATCATGCTGCTATAAAGACACATGCACACGTATGTTTATTGCGGCATTATTCACAATAGCAAAGACTTGGAACCAACCCAAATGTCCAACAATGATAGACTGGATTAAGAAAATGTGGCACATATACATCATGGAATACTATGCAGCCATAAAAAATGATGAGTTCATGTCCTTTGTAGGGACATGGATGAAATTGGAAATCATTATTCTCAGTAAACTATCGCAAGAACAAAAAACCAAACACCGCATATTCTCACTCATAGGTGGGAATTGAACAATGAGATCACATGGACACAGGAAGGGGAATATCACACTCTGGGGACTGTTGTGGGGTGGGGGGAGGGGGGAGGGATAGCATTGGGAGATATACCTAATGCTAGATGACGAGTTAGTGGGTGCAGCGCACCAGCATGGCACATGTATACATATGTAACTAACCTGCAGAATGTGCACATGTACCCTAAAACTTAAAGTATAATTAAAAAAAAATAAAAATAAAAATAAAGATATAAACTTTATTTCATCCAAAAATAAAAAAAAAGAAAATTCCATGTTCCAGAAAAAGGTGAACACTTTCAAAGGCAGGAGGTATACCCCTTAATAAAGTGACAAGAAGAGGACCAAGGGAAATTATAGCTGGGAGTAGAAGCTCTTCTGAATCAGGTTAGGTGCTAAGAGACAAAGGAGATGTGGGTTGTATTATAAATAAATAGCCTACTACTATTTTAACAATATCGGGGAGAGCTGTTGAACAAAGAATCCTAGAGAATGATCTACTGGCTCTCTTATTAATAGCTGGCCCAAGAAATTCCAACTCATTTAAACATGAAAAAATGGAGTAAAAATATAGACAAAAATAGTTTAAAAAGTGTGCAAAAGATCACCCAAAATGTAATAAGAAAACTCATTAAAATGTCACCCTAAAGCAGATAAAAATTTTACAATCCAAAATTTCAATGGGAATTAACAAAATTAATGTAGAAATTGCAGCTGTGAAGGAATACCATGAAGCAGAAATCAAATAAATCAGGGAGAAATTGAGCAGTCAACAGAAGGTTTGAGCCAGACTGTCCAAATAGTTGAATCAGAGAGTGCTATATTTCAAGAAGGAATGAGAAAGAAATTATGTAGATGTTAATACTAAGTTTTAAGGAGCAGGAGAGAGAAGAGACATCTTACGAAGCACAGTAAAAGTCACAGGAAAAATAAGTAAGAAAAACAATGAAGTATAAATAGAAACAATAATTAGAGAGAAAAGAGAGAGAATAAAGACAAAGGAGATCTACCATATGCAGAATTGGAGTTTCTGAAGGAAAACACCGAAAATAATGTAACAATTATATAAAATATAATTATAAAAAGTCTCCTGAAAAAAAAAAGAGAAGAAAATCTGAAGTAATGTGTTGAAAGAGTGCACTAAATTCCATGGAAATGTGACCCAGAGTGGTCAATGCCAAGATACAGCAGAATAGGCTATAAAGATAAAGGATCTACATGAGACAAATAATTGTGTCATCTATAAGTGAAAGACAATCAGGCAGTCAGACTTCTCCACTGCAACATTGAATTTCAGGTGACAGTGGAGCAACACCTAGAAGTTATTCAAGGAAGTAAGTGTGACTCAAGAATTTTATATTCAGTCTAGCTGTCTGTGATGGTTAATATTAGGGGTCAACTTGACTGGATGGAAGGATGCCTAAATGGCTAGTGAAGTATTGTTTCTGGGTGTGTCTGTGAGGTTGTTGCAGAGGAGATTGACGTTTGAGTTGGTGGACTCGGAGAGGAAGACCCACCTTCCTCTGTGGGTGGGCACCATCCACTCGCCTTCCAGCCAGCGTAGCTAGAAAAAGCAGGCGGAAGAAGGCGGGATAACCTTGCCTGCTGAGTCTTCTGGCCCTCTTCTTCCCATGCTGGCTGCTTGCTTCAGGTCCTCCTGCCCTTGGACATCAGACTCCAGGTTCTTTGACCTTTCGACTCTGGGACTCATGCCAGCAGCTTGCTGGGGCTCTTGGACCTTTGGCCACAGACTAAAGGCTGCACTGTCGCTTTTGGCTTCCCTGGTTTTGAGGCTTCTCTCTTCTCCAGCTTGCAGGCTTATCATGGAACTTTGCCTTGTGATCATGTGAGCCAATTCTCCCTAATAAACTCCCTTTTATATATACATGTATCTTATTGGTCTGTTTTTCTGGAGAACCATGACTAATACGTTGTCTTTCAAGTATACAGTTTGAACATGTAAAAACTGAGGGCCGATTGTTCATATAATCCCTTCTTAAAAGAATCTGCTGGAGGATAAACTCTGCTCTATTAAGGGATGATAAAGGAAACTCCAGCAAAACAAATAAGCATTAAACACATTTAACTATGGTTCTAAGACAAAATCGTAGGTGAAACAAGGGTGTGAAAGTGACACGTTAATAGCATGAGCTCTGACAATGTAAAAATATAGCTATAAAAATGGCTGAGAAGAGGTCTGAGACTACTATCCTTTAAAAGTCCTGCTAGAAAGGTTGGTCCTTGGACTGCATCTGGGAACTTGAATTTGGGAAGCATTCCCACCGTTCAGAGCTAATAAAAAGGCTTACGGTGTCTAAACTGTTTGTGCAAACATTATGATTTGTACTGAACAACTGCTTTCCTTTCAAAAGTCTGAAGCTTTGGTATGTGCTAGGCAGAAAGTGCCTGTGTGACCTGCCCCTGCAAAAATCTTGGGCTCGGCGGGGCGCGGTGGCTCACGCCTGTAATCCCAGCACTTTGGGAGGCCAAGGCGGGCGGATCACAAGGTCAGGAGATTGAGACCATCCTGGCTAACACGGTGAAACCCCGTCTCTAATAAAAATACAAAAAAAAAATTAGCTGGGCGTGGTGGCGGGCGCCTGTAGTCCCAGCTACTCGGGAGGCTGAGGTAGGAGAATGACATGAACCCGGGAGGCGGAGCTTGCAGTGAGCTGAGATAGCACCACTGCACTCCAGCCTGGGCGACAGAGTGAGACTCCGCCTCAAAAAAAAAAAAAAAAAAAAAAAAAATCTTGGGCTCTTGGGCATAGAGGCTTTAGTGAGTTAGCTTTTCTGGTAGACAACATTTCACACATGCCGTTACAACTTGCTGCTGGAGGAGTGAAGTGTGTCCTATTTAACTCCATTGGGAGAAGAATCTTGTATGGCTGTACTTGCTTTTCTCTAGACTTTGCCTCATGTGTCTTTTTTCTTTGCTGATTTTGTACGTATCCTTTCACTATAATAAATTCAGCTGTGAGTACAACTATATGCTGTGTCCTTTGAGTTTTTCTCATGTGTCATTGAAACTGGGGGTGGTATTGGAGACCCCAACACTGACCGAGGGTAACCATTGAAACAAAATACAAACCTTCTGAAATATCAGAAGAATTACTATAAAAAGAAAGTAAGAGGCCACATAGAGAGTTTCTGTCTATCTATCCATCCTTCTACTTGTAACATGATAGAACTAAAATAAAAAATCAATTATAGTAAATCAATAATTGTAAATGTAATTAAAAGAAAAACAGATGTTCATTTTGGATCACTAAACAAAACCCAATTCTTTGCTGAATCCGAAAGACATACTTAAATTAGTTCAGAAATGTTAAAAATAAAAGCATAAGCAAATGTATACAAGCAAGTGAAAACTAAAAACAGTAAGCAGGAATCTGAAATATATATCAAAAAATTTAGACCCAAAGACATTAAATGAGAAAAAAAAAATCATTCAATTTACTATGAAAATATAACAGTTATCGTGATGGTTAATTTTGTATGTCAACTTGACTGGGCCCAGATAGCTGGTAAAAAACTGTTTCCAGATGTACCTGTGAGGGTGTTTCCAGAAGAGATCAGCATTGTAATCAGTAGACTGAGTCAAGAAGATTGCCCTCGCCATGTGGATTGGCATCGTCTAACCCACTGAGGGTCTGAAGAGTGAATTTGCACTCTCTTCTTCAGCTGGGCTGTCCATATTTATCTGCCCTTTGACACTGGTGCTCCTGGTTCTGAAACTGGACTAAGACTAGGCCTTATACCACTGGCGCCCCTGGTCCTCAGGCCTTTGTGCTTAGATTGCAATTACAACACCTGGGCTTCCAGCTTGCAGGCAGCAGATTGTGGGACTTCTCTACCTTTTCATAGTCTTATGAGCCAGTCTCTTGCAATAAATCTCTTTCCCTGTATGTATATCTAATTGATGCTATTTCTCTGGAGAACTCTGAGGAATACAGTTATATAATGTTGAAGAATAAAATTCAGAATGAAGATGCAATTAAAATCATTTTCTATGTACCAGCTAGCACAATTTCATGAAGAAGGGAATAGATGCGATTAATAGAAAATAGACAAAACACATTAGTAATAGAAAGCTTTATTTTTCTATGAAAGATGTGTAAGATCAAGAAGTTAAAACTAAGTATATAGATAACCCACAACATGTAATTAATAAGGTACCTCTGTTGGGATGTGCATCAAACTCTGTACCTTGATAATAGAGAATATCTTCCTTTTGAATTTCTTTGAAACCATCATAAAATTGACTATATATATTAGGCCACAATTCCAAAAAGAAGAAAAAAATCAGATAACATTAGCACAATACAGTTATATAGTAATTAATAACAAAAGCACAAAATGAAAAAGCTTTTCCACCTTGAAATAATTTTTAAAGCTGTATTAAAGGACTCTTGATGAAAAAGAAAAATTTAGCAGGAAATGCAGAATTTCTTGAAAAAAGTTGTCAAAAAACACCACATATCAGAATCCATGAGATAATCCATGCTCAGAAGAAAATTTATAGCCTTAAATACTTATAGCAAGTAAAAGAAACAGTAAAAATATGAAAGGAAAGGTTGTACTCACATCACAAAAATTGATGTCAGAGTTTTCCTTCTTTCTCAGCACTCTAGAATAGATTAAATAGTAATAGAAGCATCTGCATGTTAAAGTTTTTGTAATAGTCCCCTGTAAATCTGTCAAGGCCTGGTGCTTTTTTTGGGAAGTTGAAGTGGGTGGGTAAATCTTTTTCATAATAATTTATAGTGGGCTATAAAAAATAATAAAATAAATTTTAAAAAGTCAAAGGAAAGGATTAGTGACGATAAAAGCAGAATGAAAGTTAGAGAATCTAACGAATAAATAAAATAAAAATCTGGTGATTTGAAAAATAATTGATTGAACAAATAAATTACTAATCTAATTAAGAAAAAAGGAAGAAAGCACAAATATACAAGATAAATGACACAAAAAAAGAAAACAAAAAGAAGACCCTAAAACATGAGGTATATTTTGTATAACTCTATGAAAGTAAATTTTAAAGCTTGAATAAAATAGTTTCCTAAGAAAATATTGTTTAGACATATGACCTAGGGGAGAAAGAAAATCCCCTTTCTTTCTTTCTTTTTTTTTTTTTTAAATTTAATTTAATTTTAAGTTCTATGATACGTGTGCAGGACGTGCAGGTTTGCTGCATAGGTAAATGTGTGCCATGGTGGTTTGCTGCACCCATCAACACATCATCTAGGTATTAAGCCCCACAGGCATTAGCTATTTATCTTGATGCTCTCCCTCCCCCTGCAGGCCCTCCACCCCTGCCAACAGGCCTGAAAATCCCCTTTCCATAGGAATAAAATAAAGAAATGGAGAAACTCAGCTTTCCCATATTTACTGTCCCTGAGCTCCAAGTCCAACCTTCTAAATTTTTCTCCGTTGTGCTGGGGCTGGGGCCGGTTCCCAGGTTCAAACTGCAGTTCATAGGTTCCTTTGCCTGCTTTCTTCTGTCAATAGGGAGCACTGAAGGAGGTTGGGAGGCAGGAGCACAGGGAAGGAACTTTCTTGCAGTTTGTTGCTGTTTATGTCTGTTATCCCTGCAGCTACACTGCCCCAGTAGGGGTGGTTAGTTCTACTCTTCTGCTTCCAATGGAATCCTTGGAAATAGCTTTGTTTTTCCCCTGAGGTATGAGCCTCCACTCTTCTAGCCTCCTCTTCTAAGGTCCTAGGTTCTTATAACTCAACTCTGTTTCCCTTTGCAGCTTCATTTCTAGGGATGGTACCAGCATTCTGCAGTTATCTCTTGCTGTACCTCACTGCTCCCTTCTTGTTCTTTCATCTTTTCAATACCTATGTAATTCATTCCCTATTTTAAATTCCAGCTGATGAAATATGCAGTGGTTCTTTTCCCCTGACTTACCTTTTTGTGGTTCAGTTTCCTCAGACGTAAAATGGAGATGATGATGGTGATGACAGTGATGATGACTGACAGTGATGGTGACAATAATCCTTAACTCCTTAGCCTGTTGTAAAGATTAAGTGAGTTAATGTATGTGAGTTCTGAGAACTATGGCACAGAGTAACCCCACTATAAATTATTATGAAAAAAATTTACCCACCCACTTCAACTTCCCCAGAAAAGCACCAGGCCTTGACAGATTTACAGGAGACTATTACAAAAACTTTAACATGCAGATGATTCTATTGCTATTTAATCTATTCTAGAGTGCTGAGAAAGAAGGAAAACTCCCACATCAATTTTTGTGATGTAAGTACAACCTTGATAACAAAGCTTAAGAAAAATTTTATAAAAATGATAATAGTCTCGCTTTACAAATAAAGATGAAAAATCTTAAATAAAGCATTCACAAAGAAAACTTCCAGCACATTAAGGAATAATACATCATGACCATGTCAGAAATGAAAAAATTCTCAATATTAGAAACTCTCTTAACATAATTCATCATATTAATAAGTATCATTAGTGTAATTTACTGTTTGAGGCCTCAGGCCTGGCTTAGTCTGTGATATTCTTCTCTCTATCTTCACTCCCTTGGAGATCTCAAGTTCTCTTGACTTCAAATGCTATCCATGTCCTGTTTTTCTATAGACTTCAAGTTAAGAATTGCTTTTACATTTTTTTTGTAAAAAATAATAGAAAAACAATGAAAAAAAGCCCCAATAGAGACCATGTGTGCCTCAAAAAGCTTAAAATGTTTACTATCTGGCTGTTTGCAGAAAAGGTTTGACTGCCCTCTTGGATACAATATAATGGCTTTTGGGGTGGACTGACTTTAACATTTAAAAAAATTTAAACATAGCACACATTCAGAAAAGTGCACACACCCTATGTGTACTGCTGTATGAATTTCACAAACTGATCACAGCTATGTAACAAGCACTCAGCTCAACAAACAGAATATTACTTGGTCTCCAGAAGCTACCTTGTTTTAGCAGTGGCCTGGCTTTTCTACTTCATTATAATCTTTAGAGTACAGTTTTCAAATGTGTCCTCATATTCTTGATTAATTCTTTACTAATTCCCTTCCCACCAGAAATAAATATGCCTTAATTTTATCATCTTGCAAAATTCATTTTAACAACTTGAAAATTTTAACAGAAAAGAAAATTCAAAACTATATCAAGTTGAGCAGCATGAAACTAACACAACAGCATCGTGTAGGATGGCAGTTTATATTTTTTCCTAAATAGACCAGAACATAACGCTGAGAAATAACATAGTACTTCACTTTAAATAGATGAGAGGGAATTATGCTTTGTGTCTTCAAGGTAGCACATACACAATTTAATGCCAAAGTCGCTATGGAAACTATTGAATGATAGGAAAAATAGTTGCATAAATCTGTATAATTCATGAATTTCTGAGAATTTTCAGCTTTAAGTTTATAATACACAGAACTTCTTACCCAATAAAGCATTCATCTATTTGGTAAACAAATTTTTTTTTGTCTATATGTGCTGAAATACTTCTATTGATTGAATTAGGCTGAAAAACCTACCTGAATTTTCAAAATTCTGTTTTGAAGTCTTAAAATTGTTAAACATTTTTTATTTTTTTGAGGAGCCTCGCTCTGTCTCCCAGGCTGGAAGCGCAGTGGCACGATCTCGGCTCACTGCAACCTCCGCCTCCCAGGTTCAAGTGATTCTTGTGCCTCAGCTTCCTGAGTAGCTGGGACTACAGACACCTGCCACCACGCCCAGCTGCTTTTTGTATTTTTAGTAGAGACGGGGTGTCACCATGTTGGCCAAGCTGGTCTTGAACTCCTGACCTCACGTGATCCACCTGCCTTGGCCTCCCAAAGTGCTGGTATTACAGGAATGAGCCACCTTGCCCGGCCCATATATATATATATATTTTTTTTTTAAAGAAAAATATACACACATCTTTTACTTATGTAAAGAATCAGTAAAGTTCTATCAATAATTTAAATTATTATATTAAAGGCACTGTTTAGCCTTTTAGAAATGTAACAGGGATAAGTGATCTGTGGGACAATGAGAAGCCTGATCATTTAGAAATCAATATATTACAAATACTAATTTTTGATTCCAAAGTGGATCTGAAATCAGTTTAGAAAAGATGGGGGGAATCTATGTCCTAGACTACAGAGAGTTTCATTTACCTTTTAATATGAAGTTGTTAATTCAATAAGCCTTTACTGAAGCCTTCTTTCTCAGCGTTTATCCAGGCACTGAGGATAGGGCAGAAAACAAGACCTCAGGAGCAAAATCACTGTTCTCACTGATGCTTTCCTTCTGCCAGTGGTAGACGAATGATAAACAAAAATATTAGCTAGTAATAGGTGTTCTAATGAGAAGCAAACAGAAGGGCTATTTATTTTACTAGTGGGCAGTCAGGGAAGTTCTCATCAGGGGATTACATTTGATCTGAATTCTGAATTGCAAAAAGGAGGCAGTTGGGTGAAGATTTGGGGAAATACTACTCAGGTGGAGGAAAACCTGGGACAAAAGGCTCTAGGAAATGGATGAGTACAAGAACTGCAAGCCACTTTTAGTACTTAGCGTCCAAGTCCAAGTAAAATTCAGAGATCATTGTGTTTTTGGACATTTGGGGTATGCCATTAAAAGGAAAGAAAAGTTTTGCCTTTTCTGTTGACTACCTTCTCTGCAATCACAGCCTTGATGCTTCAAAGTGATCTCCTGCCCTCAGATAGAAACAGAGTATTCAACCACAGTATTCTAGCTCAGCATGCACACTTAGACATAAACATATCTTTTTCTTTTCCATTGCCTCCTTTTCCTTGCCCACTCTCCTTCCTGCCTGCCTTCCTGCCATCTTTCCATCTTTCCTTCTTTCTTTCTTTCCTTCCTTCCTTCTTCCTTCCTTCCTTCCTTCCTTCCTTCCTTCCTTCCTTCCTTCCTCTCTTCCTTCCTCCCTCCCTCCCTTTCTTCCACAAACATCTGTGAAGTGCTCAGAGTGTATGTATGTGACAAAGACACAATAGAGGAAGTTTGGAGGGGGCAGATTCATCAGTTGGAGTTCACCAAGAACAGGTGGTCCTCATCCAACAAATTCAAATGCACAGCTTGCTTCAGCCTTGGCTGATTTTCCGAGGCAGAATTTAAAAGTTCCAGATTCCTAAATTTCAAAACACAATAACCTCTTCTGTTTGTTTCACTTATTATAGCAAATGTCTCTCATTTGTGAGATCAACATTTTTGGTGTGCACATTATGAGGTAGGAGTGTGGGGGAAAGTGTTATGCCAACAGTGAGGGGGAAACCAAACTTCATTCTCTAGCATGAAAATAATGACTCATTCCTTTACATCAGGGTTGGCCTTTGGGATATTGGTTTTAAAAACTTAACTCATTGGCGGCAAAAATGTAAAAAATAACATACACACAACAGACATACCCACGAAGCCATTAAAAAGTCCAAAGTGGAAAATATGCTGAAGATGACTATAAAGACATATCATAGCATGTAGCTCATCCAGACAGGAATACACTTTAGAGCATCTTCACAAGGGTCTTGGGAAGGATGACTTATCTGTTTTACCCCCTCTGGGTTACACAATGTTGAATACAACTGTTAACAGTGTCAACAGCATTTGGATATTATTATTACTATTATTGTTGTTTTAATTAACGCTATGAGGAGCTTCTTTAACTGGAAACGTTATGAAGATAATTGAAGGCTTAGCTGAGAATAGCTGAATCCACATTAGCAAGTGAAAACTATGTACGGTTTATTCACTACATATATAACTTAATTTGAAGTTCATTATAAATAATAACTAGATATTAACTCTCTATCTCCCTCCACTAAGAGGTAGTGTAACCCTTAGTTTTGCCTTGCAAGGGAAAGGGCAGCTCTGGGCTGATGTGGATTCTCTCTTTCTTCAATGTCTATTGATCCACGCCCGGCCCCCCACGAGTTGGTCATGGAAAAACTGCTTCAGTGCACTTGGCATATGAGGTCAAGAACTATTTGGACAATTCTCAGTCTCTGCTTCTCCAATTTTGGATGTTCAGTCTGTAACCACAGTTTTTGTTGCTTTTCCTCAATGTCCTTTTAAAAACACTGGCTGCTCCAGGCTGCTGTTGTGTGGCTCAGTGTTCTCAGCAACATCTCTCTTCTCTCTCATGGGCCCTTCTAGACCTGAGCATGGGGAGGGCTTGATCAATCCTGACTTTTTTTGTGTGCAAAGCAAACACACAAATGATTCCCCTTTTCAGTGACTGTCTGTAGACCCTGCACTTCTCCCTGGTGCCTTGATGAACACCCCCTCTAATTGCCTATAATCTCTGGTCACTGTCCACCTACTTCCACCTACCTTCCTACCTACTTCTGCCTACATTCTTGCTCTCTGTGCTTCAGATACGCAGGACTTTTCCTAGTTCCTGGAAAAGGTTGCACCACATTATCTCCTGTCTCAGTGCTGTCTTACATGCTGCTGCCTCTGCCTGAAAAGCTTTTCTGCTGTGATCAACCTTTTCCTCTGCTCCAGCATCCCTGCCTGCTTGTGCTAGCTGATTCCTCCCCATTTCTCAGATCTCTGTGAAGTGCCTCTGCCGTAGAGATGCTGTCCTCGGCCGTGTAGTCTATACTGGACTTGCTTACAATATGTTCTCTACATTAGTCAGGGTGGTGCTAACTGTTGCAACAAATAAACTTCCAAATTTCAGTAGTTTTACACAAAGTTTATTTCTTCCTTACTGTTTTAGGTTCTTAGGACTAATGTAACAAAGTACCAAAACTAGGTGGCTTAAAATAACACAAACACATATTGTCTTACACTTCTGGAAGCTGGAAGTCTGAAATCAAGGTGACAGAAAGGCCATGTTCTCTCTGATGGTTCTAGGGGAGAATCCTTCCTGGGCTTTTCCAGCTTCTGGTACTTACCTGTAATCCTTGGCTTGTAGCCTCATCACTCCAGTTCCATGGCCCTGTTCTCCCTGTGTCTTCACATTATCTTCCCTCTGTCTGTGTCTGCCCGTGTGTCCAAATTTCTCCTCTTTATAAAGGACATCAATACTATGGGATTAAGGCCCACTCTAATGACCTCATTTTAAGTTGATTACCTTTCTAAAGACCTCTTTCCAAATAAGGTCACTTTTTGAGGTACTAGGAGTTATGACTTCAACATATCTTTTTGGGGACACACTTCAACCCATAATACCCACAATACTTTCAATGTTTTTGGTCAGTGGGCAGCTTTCCTACCCATGATGAAGGAGGAACCAGACTCCTCGCACTTTATTGCACTACTGCTCCCTTACGCTTTGGCATCATCTGTGTCTAGCTGATGAACAAAGAAAATGTGCAAAGGCACATTACCCCACACCCACACTGGCCCAAGAGGTGGTAACATCCTTCTCATCCACACACCCTTCTGGAGGACGGGTCTCAGGGCCTCACCTAGATGCAAGGGGAGAATGGAAAACGTAGTCCCTGCTGGGCAGTGCTTCTTAAGCCATCTGTGGTGAAGAGCTGCTATTTCTATTTACAATTCATCACAGGCCAATATTTTATAAAACAGAATTAAAAATGTACTATATTTAAAAAATGAATGAAAAGCATGCAAAATACAAATTCCATTTTAGAAATTATTAAATTTAACAAACCTAAAGTTACTTCACCAAAATTCTGTAAGTTGCTAAACACTTAAATTCTCAATTTCCACACGTATTCTTGTCATCGACCACTAACAGTTTGCAGATGGGCACTAGTCCATGGCCCACACTTTGTGTAGCACTGCCTTACGTTGTGGAAGGAAGTGTCATATTTGTCATGTAGATGGCCTTCTCTGCCTCACTCTAATAGCCCCTGGCACTTACCCTAACCCTGTTGTCAGACTTTAGTATGCTTATCTGTTTGACAGTTGTCTTTCCTGCTCATCTAGACTCCAAATTCTGTGAGGTCAGAGACCATGTTTGTTTTGTTTATGGCTGTGTCTTTAGCACTCAGTTGAGTGACTGGCATAAAGTTAGAGATTAAGAAATACTTGACAAAATTTTGTTTCTGGTATGTACCTGGAAGAATCCCTAAGAAAAATATGTTTACATAAAATTTGTGACATTAATTTACTTAACAGAAGCTCCATTATTTTCATCTGCTTTTAAATGTTTTTCTTTTGCCTTGTTTATCAAACACTCATGCCCTAGTTCTATATAGTACAGAAAAGAAGGGGCTCTTTGAAACAATGGGCCAATGAAATGACAAGCAGGGGGTCAGGCTGGATGGCTGGCCTTTGTTAAAGCAAGAAGAATGGTAATAGTTTTCCAAACTCTTGCTGAAATTAGGAAGAATAATTTTGTAAGCAAAGTAAGAATATTTTGCTAAAGAAGTAAATACTGAGAAATAAAGAGAGGGCCCAGTTAGTTGCCATAATCAATGAGAATTCTTCCATGAAGACAGAAAAAGAAAATTATAGATAATAGCGTTTGAAAACATGTACCTATGGAGAATGGAATATTGCTGAGTTCTGTAAGGAAAAATTTAGTGACTATTCTAAATGCAAAATTCAGA
Source organism: Homo sapiens (assembly GCF_000001405.40). Classification (NCBI taxonomy): domain Eukaryota; kingdom Metazoa; phylum Chordata; class Mammalia; order Primates; family Hominidae; genus Homo; species Homo sapiens. The sequence goes on from NC_000004.12 coordinate 18,149,059, forward strand.
AGTGGCCCCGTTAGTCAAGCAAGAATCTAATAAATGATTTGAGCAGGATTATTTGTAATATTTTTCTCCAATAGCTGGAAATACTATTGTTTCGTAGAAAGAACTTTGGTGGATTTTTTTTTTCTAATTTTATATCTCATAGTCTTTTTCAAGAGTATAGTCGCTACACACAGAAAGGAACATATAGTTAACATGTATACATTATGAAACATAGCTAACATTTATTCAGAGATTACTTGTGTCAGGTACTGAACTACATACTTTTCTTTTTGTTTTGTTTTGTTTTTGAGACAGACTCTCACTGTGTCACCCAGGCTGGAGTGCAGTGGCGCAATCTCGGCTCACTGCAACCTCCACCTGCTGTGCTTAAGCGATTCTCCTGCCTCAATCTCCCAAGTAGTTGGTACTACAGGCACCTGCCACCACTGGTATTTTTAGTAGAGATGGGGTTTCACCATGTTGGCCAGGCTGGTCTCGAACCCCTGACCTCAAAAGATCCACCCTCCTCAGCCTCCCAAAGTGCTGGGATTACAGGTGTGAGACACCATGGCTGGCGTACATACTTTTTATGCATTGTTCATTTAACCTCCACTATAGGTCTACAAGGTATTATCATCTTCATTCTACAGGTGACAGAACTGAATCTGCAAGAATAAGTAATTTTCCAGAGGTCTCCAAACTAGTTAAGTGAGAAATATTTACCCAGTTATTAATAACTTCCTATTTGAACAATGAATTCAATCAACCAAAAGTCAGTCCTCCCCCAAGGACAAATCACCACAGATTTCTTTTAGTTTTAGAAACAGTGACATCTGTGAGCATTTATTTTCTTTCTGAAACTCTTTATATGATCTTAGGTTATATTATGTTGTGTTGTGTTATACCATATTGTGTTACTTATTTTGGGTGACAAAGATTTTCTTAACTGATAACTGTGATAACTGATGTGGGATCACACAGAATTTTCAGAGCGAACACAACTCAGAGTCACAGGAACAAGATAATTTATAAGAATTTAAATTAACGTCACTCAGGGTCTCATAGGCAACAATTGCTTTCATATATTACCCCCAGGAGAAGATCTTGGGGAGAGAGAAAAATGTGAAACTCCAGCGACAATAAACCAGCAAAATAATGTGTTAAAAATATTTACTGAAGATATAATTTGATGAAATAAAAGTTGTTGCCGCAAGAAAGGAGATAATGGTGACTTTCAACGACTTAATTTCCTTCTGGAAGCTAAATGTGTTTCAAACTCCTAGGCTTCTGTTGTGTATTGCTTGAGTTTCCTGTTTAGCAATCTCATTGATTTAGTATGTCATGGCCTTTCTTTATTCCTTTAAAGAGACAATCAACTCAGGTTTGCATGTTCCTTCCCTTCTTTTCCTCTGTATCCTCTGGCTTTAGGACAGATGTGTGTCTCATTAGTTTTGCAGGCATTTCCAGGCCACTTGGAAGTGAACTCTGCAGTTGGAAGGCACCTTGCTCGGCGTATTGTCTGGGATGCAGTAAACCATGATACAGTGTGTTATGTCTCTCAAAGTACTAAGCATAATGGGTGGACAGAAGAGGGAATTAGTTATATTTATATGAATGAGGACACATTTAACAGACAAGAACAATTTTAAGGCTGAGTTTTCAATACCTCAGACAAATAGCTCCATGAAGACAAAGCTACTGCTATCTGTTGATCACTGTATTACACAGAGCTTATGACAATTCTTGAAACATAACACATTGAAAAAATATTTGCTGAATGGATCAATAAATGATTTAAAAATCATTGTGGTGTAATGGAGAAATGTAAGACCAGTAAAGTTAAAAATTCTAGGATTATTTCCTTCTTGAGTGTGCTCCTCATGGGCTGTGCAGTCTTGGTAACGTCACCTACTTCTGAATGTTAGCTTCCCTCCCTATGAAAAAGGAGAAAGCAAAGTAAATGCTCAAATATTATTGTGAATATTAAATGAAGTAAAATGTGTCAAAACCACACACAAATACACACACACACACACACACACACACACACACAACATACCAAGATCTCTGGGATGCAGCAAAAGCAGTATTAAGAGGAAAGTTGATAATGTTAAATGCCTACCTCAGAAAGTGAGAAAGAGCTGAAATTAATGATCTAACATCACACCTAGAGGAACTAGGAAAACAAGAACAAACTAACCACAAAGCTGGCAGAAGAAAAGAAGTAACTAAAATCTGAGTAGAATTGAACAAAATTGAGACCCCAAAATCCATACCAACAAATCAACAAAACTAAAAGTTTGTTTTTTGAAAAGATAAATAAGACTTATAGACTGCTACCCAGATTAACAAAGGATAAAAGATCCAGATAAACACAATCAGAAATGAAAAAGGTGACGTTACAACTGATCCCATGGAAATACAAAAGATCCCCAGACTAATATTAATACTCTACACACAGAAACTAGAAAATCTAGAGGAAATGGTTAAATTCTTGGAAACACACAATCTCCCAAGATTGAATCAGGAAGAAAGTGAAACACTGAACAGAACGATTTTGAGTTGTGAGATTGAGTTAGCAATAAAAAACCTACCAACTAAAGAAAAAGCCCAAGACCAGATGGATTCACAGCCAAATTCTATGAGACCTGTAAAGGAGATCTGGTATCAATTCTAGGGAAACTATTCCAAAAATCTGAGGAGGAGGACCTCCTCCCTAACTCATCCTATGAAGCCAGCATCACTCTGATACCAGAACTTGGCAAACGCATATTAAAAAAAGAAAAGTACAGCCAATGTCCCTGATGAACATAGATGCAAAAGCCCTCTACAAAAATGCTAGCAAACCAAATTCAACAACATATCAAAAAGTTAGTTCACTGTAATCAAGTAGGCTTCATTCCTGGGAAGTAAGGTTGGTTCAACATACACGAATCCATAAAATGTAATTCACCACATAAATAGAACTAAAAACAAAAGCCACATGGTCATCTCAACAGATGCAGAAAAGTTCTTTGAGAAAATCCAACCTCCCTTTATGATAAAAACCCATAAGAAGCTATGAATCAAAGGAACATACCTCAAAATATTAAGAATTATTCATTATTTTGATGATATATCCACAGCCAATTGCATACTAAATGGGTGAAAACTGGAAGCATTCTCCTTGAGAACTGGAACAAACAAGGATCCCCACTCTCACTATTCCTATTAAACATAATATTGGAAGTCCTAGTGAGAGCACTCAGGTAACGGAAAGAAATAAAAAGCATCCAAATAGAAAGAGAAGTCAAACTGTCTCTCTTCGTGGATGATATGATCCCATGCCTAGAAAAACTGCAGACTCACCCAACAAGTTTCTGGAATGGATAAATGACTTGAGTAAAATTTCAAGGTACAAAATCAATGTAAAAAAATCAGTAGCATTTTTATACACCAACAACATCCAAGCTGAGAGCCAAATCAACCATGCGTCCCATTTACAATAGACACACACACACAAACACACACACACACACACACAGAAACATCTTTAATCACACCACTTTGTGAGACCAAGGCAAAAAGATTGCTTGAGCCCAGCAGTTCAAGACCATACTGGGAAACATAGGGAGAACTTCTCTCTACAAAATAAATAAATTAAATAAATAAATAAATAAATAAATATTTTGGACATGGTGGTGCACACCTGTGGTCCCATCTAAACTCAGGAGAATGAGGCAGGAGGAATATCTGGGCCCAGGAGGTCAAGGCTGCCATAAGCCGTGATCACACCACTGCACTGTGGCCTGGGCTACAGAGCAAGAGTCTGTCATCAAAAAAATTAATAAATATATTAAAATAAAATATACTATAATTTACAGAATACGGTTCATGTTGTATTAAAACTCTTGATACTTCAGTTACGTGCAAAGAAAATAATAAAAACAAAGCAGTGAAAAAAATAAAAATATGGTATTATAATCTTATGGGACTGCTGTCTTATATGTGGTCTATCATTGACTAAAACGTCATTATGCAGCACATGACTGTATACAGCCATATACAGATATATAGGAATGAGGAAATATATACACACACATATATATATGGGCATATAAAAATGAAGGAATGCAATTCCTTCAATATAATAAAGTATAAATAAATGTAACCTTAATATAATGAAGGCCACATATGACGAGCCCACAGATCATATCATACTAAATGGTGAAAAGCTGAAAACTTTTCCTCTGAGATCAGGAACAAGCTAGGGATGCTCGCTCTCACCATTTCCATTCAGTATAGTATTAGAAGTCCTAGTCAGAGCAATTTTAGGCAAGAAAAAGAAAAAAAGGCATCCAAATTGGGAAAGAAGAAGTTAAATTGTCTCTGCAGATGACATGATCTTATGAAATCCTAAAGACTACAAACAATAAAACTATTAGAACCAATAAACAAATTCAGTAAAGTTGCAGGATACAGAATGAGCACACAAAATTAATACACAAAATTAATAACATTTTTATACACAAACAATGAACAAGAAAACAATCCCACTTATAATAGCATAAAAATACTTAGGAATAAAGTATTTAACCAAGGAAGTAAAACACTTGCACACTGAATAATATACAATATTGATGAAAGAAATTTCAGATGGCACAAATAAATGGAAAGATACCCTGTGTTCATGGACTAGAAGAATTAATATTGTAAAAATGCCATGTTACCCAATGTGATCTACTGATTCAATGCAATCCTTATCAAAAATCCAGTGACATTTTTTCAGAAAAACAGAAAAAAAACCCCTAAAATTCATATGGAACCACAAAGGACCCTAAATAATCAAGGCAATCTTAAACAAAAAGAACAAAACTGAAGACATCACACCATCTGATTTTAAAATATACTGTAAAGCTATAGTAGTCAAAACAGCATGATACTAGCATAAAAACAGACATATAGCAGAATGGAAAAGAATAGTAAGTCCAGAATAAATTCATGCATTTATGGTAAATTAGTCTTTGACAAAAGTGCCAAGAACACATAATGGGGAAAGGACGATCTCTCCAGTAAATGGTGTTAGGAAAGCTGGATGTCCACATGTGGAAGAATGAAATTTTACCCTTATTTCACAACATAAACAATAATCTGTTCAAACTGGATTAAAAACTTAAACCTGAAACTGTAAAACTACTACAAGAAAACAGGGAAGAATCTTCTTGACACTGGTCTGGACAATGACTTTTTGAATATGACCCAAAAGGACAGTCAACAGAAGCAAAAATAGACAAATGGGATTACACCAAACTAAAAAGCTTGTGTATAGTAATGAAAACAATCAAAAGCATAAAGAGACAATTTACGAATGGGAGAAAATATTTGGAAAACATACATTTGATAAAAGCTTAGTATGCAAAGTATATAAGGAACTCATACAACTCAATAGCAGGAAAACAAAGTAACTCAATTAAGAAATGGGCAAAGGACCTTAACAGACATTTCGTAAAAGAAGATATACAAATGGATAATAGATATTTTAAAAAGCTCAACATCATTAATTATCAGGGAAATTCAAGTGGAAATATTTTGTTTTAAAATGGACTCTTTCAAACTTTTCTTAGGGTTAGTTTTCAATTACTATTTTAAGAAACCTTTTAAGCAGAAATACACTTAGACATCACCCAGTGTTGTATAGTAAGTGGTGATATAAAAATAAAATATTTCCTCTCATAAGGGCAGGTATCCTTTCTTCTTGTTGGGAAGTGGCTCAACATAGACAATTTACATAACATATGTAAAAAGTGTGCTGTCATTTTCTAAATACAAATATTGATTTTTTTCCCTGATTGACTGTATTCATTTGAAAGGATATAATTAAGGAGTCTCATATGACAATACTTGCAACTAGACCATTAGAAATGCAAAGAGCTTATCACAAGCTAATCAGGCCTTTTCCATGGTTTAAGACCTGTGTCTATGAAATCTCTCTCTCTCAAATAAACCGAGAGTCCCAGTGTTTGGTTTTCTTACGAAACACAATTCAACAAAAATATTTAAGTTAAAGAGAATTCCATTATTTATTGTCACTTCTAAAAATTATTAAAAGGATTCAAACTTACAGGGCAATGAACAGTACAGTATTTTAAGATGACTGCCAAGATTCCCATCCTGTGGTTCACATATTTTATATAGTCTCTGGAGCCTATGACTATGATGCAATATCATTCACATGATTGGGTTACTAATTAACTCTGAGTTACTCAAAAGGGGGGATTATCCTGGATGAATCTGATCTAATCAGACAAGTCTTTAGAAGAAGTACTAATGTGATGTGATGATGAGACATGAGGCAAAGAATTGAGAGTGCTCTCCAGCCTCTAAGAGCTAGCAAGAAAATGGGGACTTTTCCAGTCCTGCAACCACAAAGGGAATCCAGTCAACAACTGAATTCAGTGAACACCTTGAAAGAACTTGGAAGAGAGCCCAATGCTCCAAAGGGGAGCTGTAGCACAAGAGGCACCTTGATTCCAGGCTTGCGAGAGGCTGGACAGAAGATCCAGCTAAGGTGTGCCTGGACTCCTGACCCAAGAAAACTGTGAGATAATAAATTTGTGTTGTTTGAAGTCTCTACGTTTGGGGTACTCTGTGATGCAGCAATAGAAAAACAAATAATACAGTTTTTGCAACATTTACTAGAATCCCTTTTCCTGCTCTATACTGTTCTCTCACCTCCACAGGCTCATTCAACTCATTCACTTCTCTAAAAGCTTCCTCCTTTATGTCCAGTCTGATTAGCTTTCTTATGCTTTCCTCCCTTCTAATGCCCACTCAGCATTTTAATAGGAAGATTAACTTAACTTTCCTTCCAGCAGAAATCTTTCCTCCCCTAGAAGAAGTAAGGAGGTGGGTTAGGCAGGCAATTTTAGGAATCTCTTGCACCCAAAAAGGAGTGGATTAGTCTATGTCCAGTCTTTTGTGACAGTTTTTGGACCTATGTGCACACACTTACACAGACTGCACATGCATGATGATGCTTAACCATTTGCTTTTGACTTCTAAGTGAAAACAAAGCATATTTAGCCCACTCAAGTTTTTCCCCAGACATCCAAGAATGGCTTATCTTCATTTTGGATCCTTGGTGAAAATGGAATTCTCTTCCAATATCTCTTCACTTTTTTCCATATAGTAGAAGTTTTATCATTGAGCACCTGACCAGTCAATTATATAGATTACCTTTTCTCACCTCTCTTATAGCTAGGATATGATGAATAGGATGTATGAGAAGGTGATATTTGCAACTTCTAGGGCATGTCTATAAAGGAAAAGGGTTTGCCATTTCACCTTTTCCATTTCCTATTGGCAGGAATGTGGCAATGATGGCAGGGCACTGTTCAGCCATATTGGATGAAGAGATGGAAGTCACATGAGGACAATCGCAGGGCCACAAGATAGAAGAAACCTGGGTGCAAGGGAATTTAAGGGTAGCTTCTTGTGACAGCAGCTACTAATTGTCCCCAATATTTGTTCTCCATTTCTTCTCCTTTTTAGTATTGGGTGTCTGCCTCCAGACTTATCTAGACACATAGGAAACCAGCTGGATAACTCATTTCCTAGCCTCCCTTGCAGTATGGTCATGTGACCAAGTCCTCATCCATGAATTTTAAGCAGGAATGGTGAGCTGAAGTTCTGCCTTTTTCTAATTAAAACATGGTCATTACCCTTGTTGTCTTTTTGGGATAGAAGTTAGGTCAGTCCAGTCCTGGAGATAACCAAGGTGGCTTACTGTTTGAAATTTTTGTATCAATTGGACAAATCATCTAGTATCTGTTACCAATATGTAGAATAACAATAGCAAGCAGGCCATTTGGTTTACCTGCTCTTCCTTTAGGCTTCTTTGGTTCACTGTCAGACCTTTATAAAATACTATACTGGCATTGTTTCTTTAGTTGTCTGTTTTGTACACTAGATTGTGGTTCCTGGAAGACTAAAATTTATCATCATATTTCTCTGAATTCCCAGTTCCTGGAATAGCACCTGATACACAAAAGGCATCCAGCCAATGTTTGCTGAACAAAGAAATGAAGGTAATGTTTGAAATGAAGGTAATGTATGAAGTTGAGAGGGAATGAAGGGAAGGCAGAATAAACACAGAATTGAGAATCAGGAAAACTTGAAGAGATTATTTCCAAAGCTCTTATTGGTTACAGAGTTGGTTGGTGACATATCCAGAATATGATTTTGCTGGCTAACTTCTAGTCTATACTTTTACTACACCCATGTAGCTACAATTACATTCAGATCAGGAGACGTTTAGGAAGGACATCTTCTTTCTTTCTTTTTTGAGATGGAGTCTTGCTCTGTTGCCCAGGCTAGAGTGCAGTGGCATGATCTCAGCTCACTGGAACCTCTGCCTCCCAGGTTCAAGCGATTCTCCTGTCTCAGCCTCCTGAGTAGCTGGGATTACAGGCACCCACCACCGCACCCAGATAATTTTTGTATTTTTAGCAGAGACAGGGTTTCATCATCTTGGTCAGGCTGGTCTTGAACTCCTGACCTCAGGTGATCCACCTGCTTTGGCCTCCCAAAGTCCTGGGATTACAGGTGGGAGCCACTGCACCTGGCCAGGAAGGACAGCTTAAGGAGAGGTTATAGACAGGAGCAGGAGACAAAGGAGAATAGAAGTGGGTACACATACCAATGAGCATGGGTGTTGATATGGTTTGGCTGTGTCCCCACCCAAATCATCTTGAATTCTAACTCCCACAATTCCCTTGTGTCATGGGAGGGACCCAGTGGGAGGTAATTGAATCATGGGGGTAGGTCTTTCTTGTGCTGTTCTCATGATAGTGAATAAGTCTCACGAGATCTGTGGTTTTTATAAGCAGTTTCCCCTTTCGCTTGGCTCTCATTCTCTCGTCTCATGCCATGTAAGACATGCCTTTTGCTTTCCACTATGATTGTAAGGCCTCCCCAGCCATGTGGAACTGTGAGTCAATTAAACCTCTTTTTCTCTGTAGACTGTCCAGTCTTGGGTATGTATTTATCAGCAGCATGAAAACAGACTCATACAGGTGTGTACCCCTAGAGTGGATTTTGGCAGAATACATTAATGCCTGAATTTTCATTTCTCTATTTATCCATGCCCATTGCCATGTAACTTTTCCGTTTATTCCATTAAAGAGGCAGAGTATGTTTCTCTGCCCCTTTATTTTGGGTTTAGTCACATGACTTGCTTTTGCCAGTGGAATTTTTGTACTAATGACGTGAGCAAGCTTGCTCTATTTTGTCTCTGCTATGATCACAAAACATGAAAGGCTGCCTGCATTTACTAGGAGAAGGATGACAACCACATGGAGCAGAGAAGAGTTTCTATGGTTGAACCCAGGCCGGTGTGTCCGGAATTGGTGGGTTCTTGGTCTCACTGACTTCAAGAATGAAGCCGCGGACTCTCGCGGTGAGTGTTACAGCTCTTAAGGTGGCGCCTCTGGAGTTTGTTCCTTCTGATGTTCTGATGTGTTCGGAGTTTCTTCTTTCTGGTGGGTTCATGGTCTCACTGGCTCAGGAGTGAAGCTGCAGACCTTCGCGGTGAGTGTTACAGCTCCTAAGGCGGGGCGTCTGGAGTTGTTGTTTCTCCCGGTGGGCTCATGCTCTCGCTGGCTTCAGGAGTGAAGCTGCAGACTTTTGCGGTGAGTGTTACAGCTCATAAAAGCAGTGTGGACCCAGAGAGTGAGCAGCAGCAAGATTTATTGCAAAGAGTGAAAGAACAAAGCTCCCACAGCGTGAAAGGGGACCTGAGTGGGTTGCCGCAGCTGGCTCGGGCAGCCTGCTTTTATTCTCTTATCTGGCCCCACCCACATCCTGCTGATTCGTAGAGCCGAGTGGCCTGTTTTGACAGGGCACTGATTGGTGCGTTTACAATCCCTGAGCTAGATACAAAGGTTCTCCTTGTCCCCATCAGATTAGTTAGATATGGAGTATGGACACAAAGGTTCTCCAAGGCCCCACCAGAGCAGCTAGATACAGAGTGTCGATTGGTGCACTCACAAACTCTAAGCTAGACACAGGGTGCTGATTGGTGTGTTTACAAACCCTGAGCTAGATACAGACTGCCGATTGGTGTATTTACAATCCCTGAGCTAGACATATTCTCCAAGGCCCCACCAGACTCAGCAGCCCAGCTGGCTTCACCCAGTGGATCCCGCACCGGGGCTGCAGGTGGAGCTGCCTGCCAGTCCCGCGCCGTGCCCCCGCACTCCTCAGCCCTTGTGTGGCCTATGGGACTGGGTGCCGTGGAGCAGGGGGCGGCGCTCGTCAGGGAGTCTCGGGCTGCACAGGAACCCACCCAGGCGGGGGAAGGCTCAGGCATGGCGGGCTGCAGTCCCGAGGCCTGCCCCGCTGGAAGGCAGCTAAGGCCCGGCGAGAAATCGAGCGCAGCGCCGGTGGGCTGGCACTGCTGGGGGACCCAGTACACCCTCCGCAGCCGCTGGCCCGGGTGCTAACTCCCTCATTGCCCGGGGCCGGCAGGGCCGGCCGGCTGCTCCGAGTGCGGGGCCCGCCAAGCCCACGCCCACCCGGAACTCCAGCTGGCTCGCAAGCGCAGCCCGCAGCCCCGGTTCCCGCTCGCGCCTCTCCCTCCACACCTACCTGCAAGCTGAGTGAGTGGGCTCCGGCCTTGGCCAGCCCAGAAAGGGGCTCCCACAGTGCAGCGGTGGGCTGAAGGGCTTCTCAAGTGCCACCAAAGTGCGAGCCCAGGCAGAGGAGGCGCCCAGAGCGAGCGAGGGCTGTGAGGACTGCCAGCACGCTGTCACCTCTCACCGGGATCTGCTGCGTCCCTGTCCGCCTTCAGATGTGTTAATGAGACCAGGTGAGAGCAGTTGAGTGGCTCAGTTGAGTCCAGGGTAAATCAATCTACACTGTAGCCATGAGATAAATTTTTAAAAATCCCTTTTATTGTATGCTGCTGATATAGCACAGCACAATCATAACCATAATTACCTGATGGGGGTTATGGCTAGAAATAGGTGATATGGATGAAGGGGAATGATGTCAGCAAAGCTCTCTTGAAAAGGACTTGTTGGAATTTAGGATTGCATTTCAGTGGTAGGGTGAAGCCTGTGAAATGCCACATTTGCATGTTAGTCTCCTAGGGGTGTCCTCATCACACATATTTCAGTTCTAGATGACAATATTTCAATGTAGGAGTGATTATTTTCATTTTACAAAGACCAGAGTCATGAAATAGCACCTTTCCTGAACTATGCCATAAAGGCTAGATAGGGATAAATGAGAAACAAGATAAATAATTAACTGACTCTAACTGACTCTCAATTATTGCTACATGGTTGGACAATTAGAGGAAAATGTACTTTATTAAAAGATGTGGAACTCAAAATTATTTGTAATATTTGAACAATAAACAGCCTTTGCTTAATGGATAGAGATACTATTTCACTTCACCAACACGTTTGCCCTGTATGATTGGAGAACTTGGGCACTGCCAAAAATACATTATTGGCTTTAAATTATCGTAGAAAAGTGAAACGCTCCTAGCTAGGTATTTTTCGAATTCCTCTTAATTTACGTCCAGGGGCTCAATACTGAGAAGACACTCTTTTCTCCCATTTCTCCTTCTTCAGCCAAGTCCTCTGCCTCTATCATCCTTAAATCTCTTCTTTTTCTTTCATTTTGTTTTTGCCTCTAGAAGGAATTTCCTCCCATCAAAAAGGCTTTTTTTTTTTTTTTTTTCTTTTTGAGATGGAGTTTTGCTCTCTCACCCAGGCTGGAGTGCAGTGGCACAATCTCAGCTCACTGCAACCACCACCTCCCAAGTTCAAGCAATTCTCCCATCTCAGCTTCCCGAGTAGCTGGGATTACAAGTGCATGCCACCATGCCCGGCTAATTTTTGTATTTTTGGTAGAGACAGGGTTTCACTATGTTGGCCAAGCTGGTCTCGAACTCCTGACCTCAGGTGATCCACCCGCCTCGGCCTCCCAAAGTATTGGGATTACAGGTGTGAGCCACTGTGCCCGGCCCAAAAAGGCTTTTCAACTTTAGTATTCTCATATTCCCATGCCTTTTATTCATAACTCATCCCACATCTGGTTCGTTCCAAGAAAAATACCAAATTCAGTTAGGGTAAGGCTCCCCAATTATCTGAGAAGAGGCCAAGCTACTATAATAAGGAGACTCCTAACTACAGAGGCTCATGGAAGAGAGGTTTATTTCTCTTAATTAATGGTTCAAAGGGAGGCAGTAGTCCAAGACAGGAAGATCACTCTGCCTCACGAGGGTCAGCTGGGAATCCAGTCTGGGTCCTTTGATCATGTTGTCCTGCTATTGACTAGGGTGTTGTCTGCATTTTTGACAGTGGTGTTCTATGACCACATTTATGTTCTAGTCTATAGGAAGAGGAAAGCAGAGAAGTAGAGGAAAAGTGATTCCCATTTAATGAAGTGATATAAAAGCTTCATGCAAAACTGCTGTTTACATTCCACTAGTGAGAACATAGCCACATTGCCATATTTAGCTGCAATGGAGTCTTGGAAAATGGATTAGACAATTAGTGGACTACATGTCATGCAAAACTGTGTTGTGGGGATGCAATATTAAAAGAGAGAAGGGAAGTCTGGATATTATGGTCAATTAGCAGGCTCCCTTAATTTCCCGGAAGGGCACACGTATATATTGCATGAGTGCTTTTCTCTAGTACTAAAACTCCTTAGTGGAGCTAAGGGGTAGATCTTGATAGACCAGCTACTCCCATCTTATGAGGGATAAGAAATGCTGTAGAAATCTTCCAGGTCGGATTTGAAGATCTTGTGATGCTGAGCCTACAAGCCAGTCAGTGAACTGCCCCCTCCTTCAACTGAACTAGTCAATTAACTACTTAAAATAGGAAAATGAAGACATCACCATACTTATAAAATACATAGGGAAGAATTACAGAAAGTCTTTTCTTCCTTCAGAAGTACTTCCCTTGAACAAAAGGTCTGAGGAAAAGTTTAGCAAAACATATTACTGTATAGTAATTGTGAATCCTGTTTCACCAAATACTAAAGCATCCTGAAGATGTTATCTCCTCATATATTGCAATGATAAGGTCCCTAATAATTTTCTGGTTTATTTGGAGAGGTCTTGGTTGGGGGGGTCTTTAAATTTTTTTTTATACATTCAGGGGGTACATGTGCATGTTTGTTATAGGGATATATTGTGTAGTGGTGGGGTTTGTGCTTCTAGTGCACACATCATCCAAACAGTAAATATTGTACCCACTAGGTAGTTTTCAACACTCACTTCCCATTTTGGAGTCCCCAGTGTCTATTATTTCTCTCTGTATGTTCATGTGTACCCATTGTTAAGCTCCTACTTACAAGTGAGAACATGTAGTATTTGATTTATTTTAATTAATTAATTAAATTGTAATTAATTAATTAAATTTTGTTAGAGACAGAGTCTTGCTATGTTGTGTAGGCTGGTCTTGAACTTCTGGCCTTAAGTGATCTTTCAACACCTCACTTGGGGCCAGGAGTCATTTAGGATAATGGCCTCCAGCTCCATCCATGTTGCTGCAAAAGACATAATCTTATTCTTTTTTAGGGCTGCATATTATTCCATGATATATATGTACCACATTTTCTTTACCCAATCATCCGTTGATAGACACTTAGATTGATTTCATGACTTTGCTATTGTGGATAGTGCTGCAATAAACATGAGTGCAGGTGTCTCTTTAATATAATGACTTCTTTTCCTTTGGGTGGATACCCAGTGGTGGGGTTGCTATGTCAAATTATAGTTCTATTTTTAGTACTTTGAGAAATCTGATTTCCACAGTTTGCTCTAGTTTACATTCTTACCAACAGTTTATAAGCATTCCCTTTTCTCTGCATTCTTGTCTACATCTGTTGTTTGACTTTTTAATAATAGCCCTCTGATTGGTGTGAGATGCTATCTCATTGTAGTTTTAATTTGTATTTCTCTGATGATTAGTGATGTTGAGCATTTTTTCATATGTTTGTTGGCTGCTTGTGTATCTTCTTTTGAGATATGTCTGTTTACATCCTTTGCCCACTTTTTAATGACATTGTTTTTTCTTGTTGAGTTATTTAAGTTCTTTGTAGAGTCTGGATATTCTTTGTCAGATGCATATTTTGCAAATATTTTTTCTCATTCTGTAGATTATTGGTTTACTCTTTTATTTCTTTTTCTGTACAGAAGCTTTTTAGTTTAATTAAGTCCCATTTATCTATTTTTGTTTTTGTTGCATTTGCTTTTGAGGCCTCTATCATAAATTCTTTTCCTAGGCCTATGTCGTGAAGAATTTTTCTAGGTTTTCTTCCAGGATTTTTTATAGTTTCAGGTATTACATTTAAGTACTTCACCCACCTTGAGTTATTTTTTGTATATGATGACAGATAGGAGTCCAGTTTCATTCTTTGGTATATGGCTATCTAATTTTTTCAGTACCACATGTTGAATAGGCTGTCCTTCTGTGGGGGATCTTTGAAATAAATGCAACTTTTTCATTTTGCTTCATTCTGTTCATTTCATTTTACTTTCCATTTAATTCCAGGCACATGTTTTTTTCCTTTTTCTTTTTAAATTTGTATAAATTTAAGGGAGTACAAGTGTAATTCTGGCACCTACATATATTGTATAGTGGTGAAGTCCTGGCTTTTGGTATATTCATCACCTGAATAATGCACACTGTATCTATTAAAATTTCTCATGACCCTCCTCCCTTAAACCTCCTTACCCTCTGAGTTTCCAGTGTCTATCATTTCACACTCTATGTCCACATGTACACATTATTTAGTTCCTGCATATAAGTAAGAATATGTGGTATTTGACTTTGTTTCTGAGTTGTTTCACTTAAGATAATGGCCTCCAGTTTTATTCATGTTGCTGCAAAACACGATTTTAATCTTTTTTATGGCTAAATAGTTTTCCATTGCCTATAAACACCACATTTGCTTTATTCAGTCATACTTTGATGGATACTTAGGTTTATTTCATATGTTTGCTATGTTTTTTCCCTCCCTCCCTCCTTCCTTCCTTCCTTCTTTCCTTCCTTCCTTCCTTCCCTTTGTTTCTGTTGTAACAGTCAATGTTGAGTCGGGAGACAGACCTCATTCAGTTATTTATTTTATAAACAATCTTATTGACGTAGAATTGATTTATAGTGAACTGTGCATATTTAGTGTGTAAAATTTGATGTTTTGACGTATGCATACATGTACAAAATCATTACTATAATCAAGATCATGACCATCTCTGTTATCTCCAACAGTTTCTTTGTGCCTCTTTGTAATTTCTCTTTTCCTTCTACCCAACACCTGTCTCATCCTCAGGCAACCACTGATCTACTTTTGTTATTGTAGATCACTGTTTGCATTTCCTAAAACTTAAGAAAAATGGAACAATGTGATATAAGTGTATGTTTTCTGTCTTCTTTCATACATCATAATTATTTTGTGAGTAGTCTATGTTGTAGCATGTATCAATAGTTCATTCCCTTGTATTGCTGAATAGTACTGATGTAATTTGAATTTATTGGCACATAATTAGTCACAAAATTCCTTTCTTATTTTTTAATATCTGTAGAATCTGTGGTAATTTCACTTCTCTCATTCCTGATATTGTAAGTTGATATTGGTCAGGCTAGAATTTTATCAATTATTTTCATTTTCTCAAAGAACAACATTTTGGTGTAATTGATTGTCTCTATTTTTTTTCCTATGTCATTGATTTCCACTCCAATTTTTGTTATTCTTCCTTTCTACTTAATTTGAGTTTAATTTGTTCTTCTTTTTCTAACCTCTTAATGAAGAATTAAAGTTTATATATTTGAGAACTTCCTTCTTTTTAATGTAGCATTTAGTGCCATAAATGTCCCACTAAGTACTGCTTTAATGGCATCCCACAAATTTTTACGTGTTGTGTTTTCATTTTCATTTATTTCAATTAAAAACACTTTCTAACTTTTCTTTTGATTTCTTTTTTGACCTGTGTGTTATTAGAAATTTGTATTTACAATTCAAATATTTTTGTGTTTTCCAGAGATGTTTATACTACTGGGTTCTAATAAAATTCCACTCTGGCCAGATAACTTACCTTTAAATTCATTAAATTTTTTAAATGCCCAGAATATGATAACTCCTAGCAAACGTTCTGTGTACATTTGAAAAAGAGTTTACTCTGAGGTTGCTGTGTGGACCATACTACAAATATCAATTAGATCAAGTTGGTTGAAAGTGTTGTTCAAATCTTCTGCGTTCTTACTGATTTTCTGCTTATTTGTTCTACCGATTATGGAGAAAGGGGTATTGAAATATCTCATTAAAATTAATTTCTTTTTTTCTACCTTCAGTTCCATCAATTTTTGCATCTTATGTTCTGAAACTCTGTTATTGGTGAATAGACAAACCTAAATATGAAAGCCAAAATGTTAAAACTTCTAGAATAAAACACGGAAGTAAGTCTTCGTGACTTAGAGTAGGCAAAGAGTACTTAGGTCAAGCACAATAATCATGCATCAGAAAAGAAAAACTGATAATTTGGAATTCAACAAAATTAAAACCTTCTGTTCTTGGAAGACACAGGAAATAAAATGGGAAGCTCTGGTGTATTCGTTGGCTTGGGCTGCCATAACAAAATCCCATTGGTGAGGTGGCTTAAGTAACTTATTTCTCACAGTTTTGAAGGTTGGAAGTTTGATCAGAGTTACAGCTTGGTTGGTTTCTGGTTAGAGCTGTCTTTCTGGCTTTCAGATGGCAGCCTTCTTACTATGTCCTCAACTTAGCAGAGAGACAGCTCTGGTATCTCTTCCTCTTCTCATAAGGGCACTAATCCCATCATGAGGGCTTCACCTCCTGAGTGCATCCAAACCTAATTATCTCTCAAAGGCCCTATTTCCAAATTCTATTACACTGGGGGTTAGGGCTTTAACGTTTGAACTTTGAGGAACACAATTCAGTCAGTTGAGCATGAACTCTGAGAAAATATGACAGTATATAAATCTGATAAAGAAGTTGCTCTTAGAATCTATAAAGAACTCTTGTACATCAATAGCAGAAGACAAATTACTTAATAAGTGGACAAACAAAATATTTAAACAGGTACTTTACAAAGAAGATATCTGACTAATAAACATTGAAAAAATGCTAACAATTATTAGTTACTAGAAAATGCAATTCAACCACAATGAGATACCCCTACACACCCCTGGAAAGATGAACATTAAAAGATTGACCACACCAAATGCTGGTGAGCGTGTGCAGGAGCACAAAGGTACTTTTTGAGATGATGAAAATGATCTGTATTTTAATTGGAATGATGATTACTTTAGTATATGTGAAAACAAAACTTTAAAATGGAACTAGAACTTACATGCACTGCTGATGGGAATATATTACAATCACTTTCAAAAGCAGTTTGACAGTAAAGCTAGATATACAACCACCATATTACTCACCAATCTCATTACTAGATATTCACCCAAGAGAAATAAAAATATGTCCATTCAAAGACTTTTACATGAATGGCATAGTAGTTTCATTCATAATAGCCCCAAACTGGGAACAGCCATATGTTCAACAACAGGTGACTAGATAAATAAACTATAGTACATCTATGCGAAGAAGTATTATTGGCAACAAGAAAAACATTACTGATTCTTGCCACCATGTGGATGAAACTTTAAGACTGAGACCACATTTGCAAAATTATGACTGAGACAGTGAAAGAGATCTGACCTAACCAACTCCATCTTGCTTCTAACCTCTAAGCTATTCTTGTTCATCCTTGGGTGTAGGCTAAACTTACTTTGGGAGAAACTTAGTTTATAATTTAAAACAAAGACAATAACAGCCCTTTCCCAAAGCAGACCTCCTTCTTGTCTAGGGACTAGATTGCCTTTGCAGGACTAATACTAGCCACAAGGTTAGAAATTATGGTTTAAGAGTCAGGCAGCTGGAGGCTACAAGATTCTGACCCTCCCTAAACTGCTCCTAAGATCAGTGACTGAAATATTTTGCAGACTCTGCACTTAATGGATCAGTTGGCACCACCCAGATTGATTAACTGGCTCATCTAATCTTGTGGCCCCCACCCAGGAACTGACTCAGCACAAGAAGACAGCTTCAACTCCCTATGATTTAATCTCTGACCAATCAGCACTCCTGGATCACTGGCTCTCTCCCACCCACCAAATTGTCCTTAAAAACTCTGCTCCCCGAATACTCAGAGACTGATTTGAGTAATAATGAAACTCTGGTCTCCTGCACAGCCGCCTCTGCGTGAATTATTCTTTCTCTATTGGAATTCCCTTGTCTTCATAAATTGGTTCTGTCTAGGCAGCGGGCAAGGTGAACCCATTGAGCAGTTACAATACATTATATTCAACAAATGAAGCCAGACACAGAAAGATACATACTTCATGATTTCAATATACGAAATTGTAAAAAAAAAAAAAAGGCAAAATTAGACAATGGTGACAGAACATACATCATTTGTTTTCTGAGACCATCTGTGAAGTGGGGTATTGATTGTAAAAGAGCACAAAAGTACTTTTTGGGTGATAAAAATGACCTGTATTTTTATTGGAATGAAGATTACATTAGTATAGGTGAAAACAAAACTATTAAAATGGTTACATTTTATTTTATGTAAATTATTACTTAATAAAGTTGATTGGAAAGAAATATAGGGAATTTTGAAACCGATTGAAACTCAGACTTTAGTGGAGGTGCACTAATTTCCTGGTACTAGTCTCACCAAGGTGGCAGGGTGAGGCTGGTTCTACCTGTTGGAAAAAAAACCCGAACTGCATTCAGCTGCTGTTCTAGGAAAGAACTGCTGGGAAAGAAGCTTTTTTAAGGTGCTGTTCACCTAGGAATGGAGAAGAGACAGGATGTCAACAGGAAGCAAACAAAAATGAGCAATTCCTTTCCTCCTCTTCAGGCCTTGTATTCTCCCTCTAGTGTGCCCCAGAGCAGAAGTGGGTTGCGTAGTCTTGATTCCAGCGTCATGTAGTGACTATAGCATCACAGGTTTGGAGGTGAGAAACAATGGCTTAATAGCTGGCACCCCTAATATGCGCCAAACAGTGTACTAAGCCTTGCAGGTTGGACAAAGATGGAGAGGCTAGTGTTTGCCTTCAAGGAGCTTACAGCATCACAGGGCATATAAATCTCTGTGTCAATAGCTGTAACCAAAGTTACAGTGAGATATTGCTATTCTGGGATTGTGGAAACAAAGTGCTGTGGGTGTCCAGAAGGATCATGAGTCATTTTCAGATGGGGATTTGGAGAGAGTTCTTTAGGACAAGTGGTGTGTCAACTGGGGTGGGAAAGTTGGATAAAATTATGACTGTTAGAAGTCAGGTGACAGTGGAGTTGATGGTGAGGATGGTAATGGGTATAGCAGGAAGAGCATTCTACCCTGGCTGGTAAAGTTCATGTTATTTAATTCGAACTTAGGATATTAGAAGAGCAGCCCAGAGGAATTGAGATGAGTTGAGGCCAGATCATGGGGAGTCAGTCATAAATACCATGCTGAGAAATTTAGGCTTTTTTTGTACAGGCAGTGGTGTGAAGTCAAAGCCTTCTAACTTGAACCATAAAAATTATTGTTTTATCATTTAAACTAGTGATTTTAAAACCTGAGTGTTTATCAAGCTCAGTTGGGGCAACTTCTGGAACTTTCATACACTCAGGTACTATTCCAGACTTTCCTGAATCAGATTGATAATCAGCTCAAACTCCATTTTTCTCACGGAGTACTTTCTTGATCACTGTACTGAAAGTGGCTCCCCAGTTATTCTATATCACATTTTATTATTTTATTTGCATAGCATCACTTAATCGTCATTTGTACTGATCTTGTTTACTTATTTGATGACTTGTTTTTGTTTGTTTCTCCCAAGTAAAACACACGTTCCGTGTAGGGAGGGACATGGTTGTCTTCCTCACTGCTGAAACCATGGTGCCTGCAGTGGTGCTGGACACATGACAGACCATCAGAATAATATTTTTGGTGAGTAGATGAAAAGTGCAGGTTGTATTTTAAGAAAATCTGTTTTAAAAATGCTCATCAGTCTATTTCTGCTTTATTTTTGAACCACCGATTTAAATAACCCCAAATCTGTTCCAATTTAGATGACAATAAGATATAGCGGTAGTCACTCTAGGAAATTAACTATACTTTCAGGGTTCCTGGGGCTTTCTAAACCTTAGAATATCAGGCTGGCAGGGGGAAGATAAATGTTAATTGAATTAAATTAAATTATTTTAAGTTCATCCAAGTGAGCGTGAAAACTTCTTGAGCAAAGAAGCCATGTTTCTCTGCTTAAATGTCTTTAATTCTCCAGGTGACTTCTTATTCTTCTTTCAAGAGTCCTTGGAAAGGTCTTCTCTTTTGGGAAAGCTTCTGTGACCCTCAAAGTAAATGGATGTTCTTTCCCTTGCATTTCCATAAAAGTAATACCTAGCACTTATTAAACATTTATTATGGGCCAGACCTGCACTGTCTAAACTCCAACGTAGGTATTATTGCTTTTAATCTTTACAGTAATCTTATGAAGTTGTTCCCATTATTCCTATTGTATCAAGGAGGTAGCTGAATATAAGTAAATTACTTTATTGATAATAAGGGCGCAAGGCATCAATTCAGTCCCTCTGACTCTGGAATTTTGCACTGACTTATCAAATTTGGCTGATTTTCCACTAAGCTCTATTCATATCTTCATTAGAGAACCTTACTATATGCTTGTTATTTGTATAACAACCTGTCTTCTTTGGGTTTGTTTTATAAAGTATTATTCAATTTTCCAACCACAGTATCTAGCCCAGGGTTTGGGCACAGTAGTTCTTCCATAAAGGTTTTCTGAGTGGATGAATATGGTTGCTTCTATAGTGCTTGGATTGTAGGAAGGAAATTACATAGTGGTTCCAACCTAGTAGACTCAAAGAACAGGGGAGTATATAGCACTCAGTGTTCATCCAGGAAAATGGAAAACATTAAATATTTAAAACAGAGGCAATTTAATGCGGAGGGTTGGTTGTGTGAGTTTTAAAGGAGGAGCTGGGAAGTCAAAGAATGATGTAGCAACCTCACAATTAGCAATGGCTGGAAGCCGTCACTGCCTTAGGCAGAAGGGACACATGGAGGAGGTGCAGGTGGAAACAATGCCAGGCCTGTGCTGAGGGGACTTGAGGATCTGAGGAGTTTCACTGGCTACTGGAGATTCAGCCTAAGGCAGAGTGGGAAAGTGAGGCCTGTCCTACTTCTCTTTCTTCCTGTCTTATAATCTTTTTCCACTACCTTTCACTGGCTTTCCATGGGCACCTGGGAAACTGAGCCTGCAGGAGTCAAGGCCCCTCTAACACAAAGCAGAGCAGGTAGAAGGTGAGAAAGATCTCAGGGCAAGCAGATCCAGCCCTGGCACAGAGTAGAGGGCTTTGGCATCAGCAGAATGTGGGTTGAAATTTGTAGTAGGCTGCAAAATAGCCTCTCATGAGGTAAAGGCTCTCTCTACTGTGAGCTTAAATCTGGGCTGGTTTGGGGACTGGGTTTGGCTAATGGGAGAGTAGCAAATGTCATGCAAGCAGACCATTAAGGGGCTTGGGCTGTAATCCTGAAAGACCTAATCCCGAATGCCATAACATCAAAAATAAAATTCTGGGAAACAATTTAGAAATTATTTAAAAGACATTTATTTTCATTTATAAAAGGGGACTTACTTGAGAAACATAAGAAAACATGACAGAACACTTCATAGGCCACTTTAAATGATAAAACAGGTAATAATAACCTACATATTTTTGTAAGCATAAAGACTCAGGTACACTGACAGTGCCAGGAGTATAACAGTTATGGGTAGATGAACCATAGTCATAAAGGAATAGCTTATATAACTGTGGTCATCTGAAATACCATGATGAACGACCTGTCTTTTGTTGAGATCAAAAAGAGCTGAAGAAAAGTCTGTCCCAGCGCTCAGAGGGAGACGGATTTTCTTTCTGTGTGTGTTCTCTCTGGGCCCCTGGTCAATTGGATGTTGCCCACTGATATGGTTTGGCTGTGTCCCCACCCAAATCTCATCTTTAATTGTAGCTCCTATAATTCCCATGTGTTGTGGGAAGGACCTGGAGGGAGATAATTGAATCATGGTGGCGGTTTTCCCCATACTGTTCTCATGGTAGTGAATAAGTCTCATGAGATCTGACGGTTTTACAAGGGGAAACCCCTTTCATTTGGTTCTCATTCTTTCTTTTTGCCTGTTTCCATGGAAGACATGACTTTGCTCCTCCTTTGCCTTCTGTCTTGATTGTGAGGCATCCCCAGCCATATAGAACTGTGAGTCAATTGAACCTCTTTTTCTTCATAAATTACCCAGTCTTGGGTATGTCTTTATTAGTAGCATGAGAACAGATTAATACACCCACCAATATTGAGGGCAGATTTTCTCCCGTAGTCCACTTAGACTCACACAGTTATCTCTTCTGGAAACACTCTGCAGACACACCTCAAATAAGGCTTGACCAGGTTTCTAGGTATTTCTTAATCCAGTCAAGTTGACATTTAGAATTAAGTTCACAAGTCTACCCCTTATCAACTTGGCACATATATGTATCTCCTTAACTTTACTAAATTCCCAATAAGATAACAACAAGGTAATAGTTCCACCTAACATGATGAAGGTAACATGATGCAACTATCACATATACAATAAAAAATGCACTACTTGTGATTTTCAGAATTTTAAGATGCTAGATATTTCAGACTTTAGGGATTTAAATTTTAGGGACTTTGATCATTTGGGATTTCAACATTTGGGATTGTGTCTTTTGAGATTATGATTAGTACGGAGGATCAAAAAGTGTGAGCACATTGAGACTTGCCCTCTCTAGCTGTGAGTGGAACCCTGCAACTACCATATGAATGAGTCCAAGCTAGGTTTCTGCAAAATGGGAAGCCACGTGGATGAGAATCCAGGTATCCCAACTAGCCAATAGCTGACTGCGGGCACATGGGTGAGGCCCAGGTGAGATCAATTGAGTCCAGACCAAATTGCTGACCTAAGGATTTGTGAGTTAAATAAATGGTTACTTTCTTAAACCACTACATTTTGGAGTAGCTTGTTATGCAGCAAAGCTAACTGATAGATAATCCCAGCTCTGCTACTTACTAGCTATATGACTTTGTGCAAACTATATAATCTCTAAAGGTCACTTTCCTTCTTTGTAACATGGGAATAATAGTAATCCTGGCACCACAGGACACTTGGGGAGATTCAATGAAATAATGCTCGTGAAATAGAGCCACAGTGCTGGACACATGATGAGTGCTCAATAACTGTAGCCAGGACAATGATGATTTTAGGCTTTTTCAGCCTATCTGCTCTAGTTGTTGACCCTCCCTATGTGAAAAAAAAATAAGGAGGTTATTACTTAACAGGATAGGAATTGACACAAATGTCTTATTAAGAAGCTGTCTTAATTTTCCTACTGGCAGGAGGCAAATGAAGAGGGAAGATTTTTTGTTAATTAGAATTTAAAAAATACACAATTGTCTCATCAGAATAAGTCTATATGTAACTCTAAAGCTAAATCTCTGAAACAGAGAGGACATTCACTAAGGTGTGGCTTGAATGACAATTGTGATTCACATGGATTGTACATTTGTATTAGAGATGCTGTGGATAATATTATGTCAAAAAGTGCAGGATTCTAAATTGCTGAAACTCATCAGTTCACAGAAAACCGACATGCACTGCCATATTCCAGATGCTTGATTGTGGTTCTTTAATATAACGAGTTGCCAGTTCCTCTCTCTAGAGAACGATTGACAGATTGTAATGCAATCTGTTGATGTTCTTTGATGGTGATTCTCAGTCATTGCCACCACTACTAAGGAGCTTGGGAGTCTGACCACGGAGCTTTGCTCTGGAAACTGTGTGTCAGTGTTGGGTGTTGCGGCAATTCCAATTGATATTAAAAAAGATAAACTATCAGCTAAAGAGTGGGATTTGAGGATCTTCAAAAAATAAGCAGAAACTGGCTAAGTATATTACACACAGAAGCCAACAATTAAATTACTGTGTGTGTTTTATGCAACAAGATGTCTTCACAGGAGACAAAGAAAAGCTGATAAAAATGAATTATAGAATGAATTATAGGAGGATTAAAAGACTGTAAAATCTAGATCTTGTTGAAGCTTGTATCTTTAAATCTTTGGGCAGGGGTGACGCTGGGAAAAGTCTTGGTGTGGCTAAGAAGGTAAGCCTCCCCCTGGGAGGAGTAAGCTCACAGGTCGCAATGCTATTGATCTTTGGTTATTATACATAATGTTGCTTTCAGTTGATATTTAAATATTATTTTATTTAATCAAATTATAAAAAAAGTACATGTTCATAGGTGGTAGTATGGTACAGTAGTTAGTTGTAGAATCAGCCTGCCTGTGCTCAAATCCTTCATAGCTATGGGATTTGGGGAAAGATATTTCACCTCTCTTAGTCTTGTGTATATTATAGGAAAAATGGTGGGACTTGCCTCATCTGCTCGTTTTGAAGATAAAATGAAATAAAGCTTGGAGACTGCTTAGAACAGTGTCTGGAAAATAGAAAGCACTCTACAAATATTAGCTATTAGAGAAAACTTGGAAACAACAGCAAGGATAATAAAAAAATCACCTATCACCCAGAAAGCAATTACCATTAATATTTTGATGTATTTCTTTTTGGAGTTCATGCCTTCTTAAAAGGATGTAGGTGAACTCAGAGAAACTCTGAAGAGACTGGAATCTCTATTACTTAGAAGAATTTCTTTAGGGAGAAAATGGAAAATAAAATCAGTTCAAATGAAAACAATTTATATACTCTAGCAGGCGGAGATTTAATAGAATGCAAATTCAGAAGATGCATTGGGATTGAAGGATCATTTTTATAAGATGTTTTTGAACATCTACAACATGCAAATTTGGAAAGTTCTATTATAAACAGCGTGGGTGACGGTATGGGGAAAAGGATTAATTTTAACACTGTTTTTGGAGTGAAAATTGGTGTAGCCCTTTGAAAGGGCTGTTTGGCAATGCCATTTTTAAATGTAAGATTTTAATGTACATGCTATACCCTTAGACTTAGCAATATCATGCTTGAATCTTTTCAAAACAGGGCAAACCCAAGAATTGGCCATTGTTAGCAATAGTAAAAGATTAGAAACAACCTAAATGGCTGTTTAAAAAAAGGGGTAATTATGACAAATGATGGCATTTCCATAATATGGAATACTATGCAGGCATTAGAATTAGTGAAGTAGGTCTACCTAAATGGCTTCGTAAGAATACCTGCACCATAACACTTTAAGGGGCAAAGGCCAGTTGCAGAATAATACAGATATTACTGTATTACTCCATTCTCATGCTTCTATAAGGACATACCTGAGGCTGGTAATTTATAAAGGAAAGAGGTTTAATTGACTCACAGTTCCACATGGCTGGGGAGGCCTCAGGAAACTTAACAAAATCATGGCAGAAGGGGAAGCAAACATATTCTTCTTTACATGGTGGCAGGAGAGAGAAGTGCCAGCACTGGAAATGGCAGAGGCTTATAAAACCATCAGATCTTGTGAGAACTCACTCACTATCATGAGAACAACATGGAGAAAACCACCCCTATGATCCAATCACTTCCCACTTGGTCCCTCCCATGACACATGGGGATTATGGGAACTACAATTGAAATGAGATTTGGGCGGGAACCCAGCTAAACCATACCAACTACAATAGCATTGATGTTAAAAATAAAAACAAGTCGTACATTTCTATGTATACACAAGGTGAAATTGAACAGAAAAAACGCTGAAATGATACACATCAGACTAAGTGCTTAACTCCAGGTCAGGGAGGGGAAGAGGTGGGGAATTGGGACTCAAAAAGGGCTTCACCTTGTTTATATTATTTGCATTATTTACAGGGAGAGGGCAGTTATGTATTTTTTGAATCATTATTAACTGAACAGATTAAAAGTTTACAAAAACCTGAGTGTAAATTTATAAAAATATTTTTATGGAAAATGACACTTCTGATTATGTTAAGACATATTTTCACAAAAGTCTCTAATTTTGCAAAAGGCTGGGGAAAACCATATTTAGTACATTTGGCAAGTCATTTATAAATAAACAGAAAAATACTCAAATATAAGATAGTTTTTATAGTTCTGATTCAGAACTTCTCCTCTATCTCCATTAAGAAGTTTTTAAAAAAAAGAATTAGAATTTCTTTTTTTTTTTTAATTATACTTTAAGTTTTAGGGTACATGTGCACATTGTGCAGGTTAGTTACATATGTATACATGTGCCACGCTGGTGCGCCGCACCCACCAACTCGTCATCTAGCATCAGGTACATCTCCCAGTGCTATCCCTCCCCCCTCCCCCAACCCCACAACAGTCCCCAGAGTGTGATATTCCCCTTCCTGTGTCCATGTGATCTCATTGTTCAATTCCCACCTATGAGTGAGAATATGCGGTGTTTGGTTTTTTGTTCTTGCGATAGTTTACTGAGAATGATGATTTCCAATTTCATCCATGTCCCTACAAAGGACATGAACTCATCATTTTTTATGGCTGCATAGTATTCCATGGTGTATATGTGCCACATTTTCTTAATCCAGTCTGTCATTGTTGGACATTTGGGTTGGTTCCAAGTCTTTGCTATTGTGAATAATGCCGCAATAAACATACGTGTGCATGTGTCTTTATAGCAGCATGATTTATAGTCCTTTGGGTATATACCCAGTAATGGGATGGCTGGGTCAAATGGTATTTCTAGTTCTAGATCCCTGAGGAATCACCACACTGACTTCCACAATGGTTGAACTAGTTTACAGTCCCACCAACAGGGTAAAAGTGTTCCTATTTCTCCACATCCTCTCCAGCACCTGTTGTTTCCTGACTTTTTAATGATCGCCATTCTAACTGGTGTGAGATGGTATCTCATTGTGGTTTTGATTTGCATTTCTCTGATGGCCAGTGATGATGAGCATTTCTTCATGTGTTTTTTGGCTGTATAAATGTCTTCTTTTGAGAAGTGTCTGTTCATGTCCTTTGCCCACTTTTTGATGGGGTTGTTTGATTTTTTCTTGTAAATTTGTTTGAGTTCATTGTAGATTCTGGATATTAGCCCTTTGTCAGATGAGTAGGTTGCGAAAATTTTCTCCGATTTTGTAGGTTGCCTGTTCACTCTGATGGTAGTTTCTTTTGCTGTGCAGAAGCTCTTTAGTTTAATTAGATCCCATTTGTCAATTTTGTCTTTTGTTGCCATTGCTTTTGGTGTTTTGGACATGAAGTCCTTGCCCATGCCTATGTCCTGAATGGTAATGCCTAGGTTTTCCTCTAGGGTTTTTATGGTTTTAGGTCTAACATTTAAGTCTTTAATCCATCTTGAATTGATTTTTGTATAAGGTGTAAGGAAGGGATCCAGTTTCAGCTTTCTACATATGGCTAGCCAGTTTTCCCAGCACCATGGAGGCTGGTTCAATATACGCAAATCAATAAATGTAATCAAGCATATAAACAGAGCCAAAGACAAAAACCACATGATTATCTCAATAGATGCAGAAAAAGCCTTTGACAAAATTCAACAACCCTTCATGCTAAAAACTCTCAATAAATTAGGTATTGATGGGACATATTTCAAAATAATAAGAGCTATCTATGACAAACCCACAGCCAATATCATACTGAATGGGTAAAAACTGGAAGCATTCCCTTTGAAAACTGGCACAAGACAGGGATGCCCTCTCTCACCACTACTATTCAACATAGTGTTGGAAGTTCTGGCCAGGGCAATGAGGCAGGAGAAGGAAATAAAGGGTATTCAATTAGGAAAAGAGGAAGTCAAATTGTCCCTGTTCGCAGACGACATGATTGTATATCTAGAAAACCCCATTGTCTCAGCCCAAAATCTCCTTAAGCTGATAAGCAACTTCAGCAAAGTCTCAGGATACAAAATCAATGTACAAAAATCACAAGCATTCTTATACACCAACAACAGACAAACAGAGAGCCAAATCATGAGTGAACTCCCATTCACAATTGCTTCAAAGGAATAAAATACCTAGGAATCCAACTTACAAGGGATGTGAAGGACCTCTTCAAGGAGAACTACAAACCACTGCTCAAGGAAATAAAAGAGGATACAAACAAATGGAAGAACATTCCATGCTCATGGGTAGGAAGAATCAATATCGTGAAAATGGCCATACTGCCCAAGGTAATTTACAGATTCAATGCCATCCCCATAAAGCTACCAATGACTTTCTTCACAGAATTGGAAAAAACTACTTTAAAGTTCATATGGAACCAAAAAAGAGCCCGCATTGCCAAGTCAATCCTAAGCCAAAAGAACAAAGCTGGAGGCATCACACTACCTGACTTCAAACTATACTACAAGGCTACAGTAACCAAAACAGCATGGTACTGGTACCAAAACAGAGATATAGATCAATGGAACAGAACAGAGCCCTCAGAAATAACGCTGCATATCTACAACTATCTGATCTTTGACAAACCTGAGAAAAACAAGCAATGGGGAAAGGATTCCCTATTTAAGAATTAGAATTTCTGACAAGGGGAAGATTTTCAAGCTTTCAGTAAGAGTTGTTACAAAACATTTTTGTTACAAAAAATGTTCAGTAAGGTGGAGCATTTTTTGAGTTATTTTTTGAGATATTAGTGTAAGGATTATGGGTGCTTTGCAACAAGGCTCTTGGCTTCCTCCTCTACTTTGCCAGTTTCTTTCAAGAATTCTCAGGAATCCACTAGACTAGTGGTTCTCAAAATATGGTCCCAGCGACCAGAACCTACATTACCTGGACCCATGTTAGAAATACAAATTCTCAGCTGCACTTCAGCTCTTCGGGTGGGGTAGTTGCTCACTAATGTTTGAGAACCATTGTCTTAGACAGTAAATACTTCGAAGTCAGGGGCCATTGAATTGCCAGATGCTCACTCAAGCCCTAGGATGCTATATTTATTCAATGAATGAGCAAGTTTTGGAGATGGAGAAAGTGTGGGTATAGCAGAGAGGTGTTTGTAGGCTACAGAGGTCAATGTGATAAATAACTAACCTTGGAGGTACTGAGTTAGCACCCATCATACTGGAAAATTAAATAAAAAGTAGGGCAAGATCTCTATTTTCTGAGAATAGAGATCTTGCCCTACTTTTTGTTTAATATTCCAGTAGAACTGTATATTCTTCCTGGAAGGAAAAAACAAATATATGTGGAATATTCAGAGGCTAATAGAAGTGCCGATTTTCTCATTTCTTAGGTTGAGTTTAGAAACAGGAGAATTTTCTGATGGGTTGAATCTGAATTGGTCTTTCTTTGACCTATTTACTAAATTGTAGACTATTATATATTGCACCTAGGAAACTAGTAATGGTTAAATAAAATAAGCATGCTCTTTTAAAATACCAATCTGACGATGCCATTCTCTTGCTCCAAGTTTTTTTTTAAACTATATGCCCACTTTCACAGTGATTTTGCACATTAGCCTTTAAAAATACAAACCTTCATTCAATTATTCACTTATTCATTCATTTTTCACAAATATATATTGAGCATTTCCCATGTGCCAGGCAAATAATATTTTTTCCAAATGTGAGTGATAGTCCTCAAAGTGCTGAATTTAAAAAATGTAAATGATATGTAATAAAATCCTTCTTTGCCTCAAGTGAAATCGCTCACTCATATAATCAGTCCCATTATGTAGTGAAGATTTGGTGATTATTTAATAAATTTCAATCACAAGGTCAAATGGGAAAGCTGATGCTGCAGAGTTGGTTCCCTGGATCAAAAGACCTGATTTTGTTATCTGCAAAGATCAAATAAATGGAGAATTTCCAGATATCTACTTTATTTTGTGTTTGGTGGATACAGACAGAGATGAGCAATAAAGCTGAATTTTAAAAGATAAGAAAACCAAACGCCGCATGTCCTCACTCATAAGTGGGAGTGGAACAATGAGAACACATGGTCACAGGGAGGGGAACATCACACACCGGGGCCTGTCCGGGGCTGGGGGGCTGGGGGAGGGATAGCATTAGGAGAAATACCTAATGTAAATCATGAGTTGATGGATGCAGCAACATCAACACGGCACATGTATGCATATGTAACAAACCTGCACATTGTGCACATGTACCCCCAAAATTAAAGTATAATTAAAAAAATATAATTTCAAAGATGGAATAACACTTAGGGGAATAAACTTTATGTTATATGAAGAGCATTGATTACATTAGGTCAGAGGGAGCTGGGTTGATAGACAGGAAGACCAGTGATCTAAGACTCTGGAATAATCAAGGGGCGTGCTAGCAAGTGGTACAGAGGACACTTGGGTATTAAAGTCTAACCATTAGGAAAAAGGCCTCCATCATAAAATGTCTTTTGTTTGCTGCTGAAACCTTCAGATTCAGGTACAATGGGATGAATAGATCAAAGTGAGTTTTCTGTGATCTCAGATTTGGCACTTTTATTTGTGACCCAGAGTTAGTGGCTGGTAAACCTGGCTTTGGAGTTTACCAGGAATGGAGAATTCAAGATTGTTTTTAGGTGGCAAGATGGGTCAGAAATCATAAATTGCTCACAGTTCTGGTCCGTGATCTCCTCCAGCACAGGGTCTGTGTCCAGCTCACCTTTGTATTCTGGGGGCACCCAGAACCAGCTTAGTGAAGATCACTAAAAGTCATTGGATTGACTGAATCTCTTGTTTCTTTATCACTCTTCAGATAAAGTCCCCTCCTGAAAGAACTCTTCCCAAAGCTGGAAAGACCAAGAATACCCAAGAAAAAAACACTTGTTTCTGAAGATATATTTTCACCTTAGAATGTCATCTTTATAATTTTAATAGCAAATATCTGACCATCAGTGCAATGAATTTTAAAGACTTTTAAAGAGTTTAAAAAAATGTAGCAGCTTCTTGCAAAATACACACTGATTTATTTACTTTAATATTTATTAAAGTCACCAAAAGTAATTTTTAAAACTTTTTAAAAAAGTGGTAAAAAATATTCTGACTAGTTTATTTAAATTCCTCCCTTTGCTATCTTAGTGTGTTTGGGCTGCTATAACAAAATCCGTGAACTGGGTAGCTTATGAACAACAGAACTTTATTTCTCACAGTTCTGGAATCCAAAATCAAAGTACCAGCAGATTTGGTGTCTGGTAAGGGCTTGCTTTCTGACTCATAGATGGAGCACTCTAGCTGTGTCTTCGCATGATGAAAGAAACAAGGCAGCTCTGTAGGACAGCTTTTTAAAGGGCTCTAAATCTCATTTATGAAGGTTCCACCATTGTGACCTAGTCACCTTCCAAAGACTCCACTTCCCAACATCAACACATTGATGACTACAACGACTACAAATTTTGGAAGAACACAAACATTCTGACCATAGCAACCGCCCACAAACATCCAAATACTACCCTGGGGAGTGAGATGGGAGGAGAAAACCTGAAAAACTGAAGATTTTTCAGAATCCTTCAGGAAGACACTAAGATTTCTAAAGAAAATAGTAGGGTGTGGGAACCTGGCCTATACTCCTTTGATGAGCTTGAGGCAATTAGGTAAAAAGTTTGTCTTTACCTCTTCAAATCCCAGCTCCTCATCTTTCTCTCTGTGCCTTTCTCTGCAACAGAAAGACCAGATGAATGAGGCACGTGGCTAAAGAAGGGACTGAAACTTCCTCTAACAGAATATACTTGGTGCCATTGCAGTACAGGTGGACTTAAAGAACTGCCTGCCCCTTTTCCTATCCTCCCCTGCATGTCTTTCTTCAAGACTCGACTTTTATATTATCTTGAAGACTTCATTCCCTTAGGTAGAATTTCACTTCTGGGCAAACTGTATTGTAATTATATGTCTTCATGTCTATATTCATGAAGGCAGTGAGTCTATAAGATAGCACTTTCTGATTTACTGTTGTATCTCCAGTGACAAGTAAGGGCCTAATCTATAAAAAGCATTCAATAAACTGAATGAATAAATTAGTCATAGGTTGAAGCATCTGCATTGGAAACTATGACTTTTCAAGCTTAAACATTAAAAGGGGCATTCCATGAATGAAGAACCCATGAAATGTTAAGATCTTGACATCATAGCTGGGACATGTTTTGAGCCCAACAGTTGAGTGTAGGTCACTCTAATTTAAAGAGTTCTATGAAAGGTTTGAAAAACTGCTCTAAAACTTTATTAAAAGTGACTGTAACATATTGTATGCAGAGGAGACATTGCTTCTGGCCATTGCCCAGAACTCTTGGGAGAAGTGGATGAGAAAAAAATCAAATGACAGATTTATACAGTGCTTTACAGTTTATGAATTCTTTCCATAGGTTACTTCATTTGATACTCATAAAACACTGTGAAGTAGGCACAGATTTTTGTTCTCATTTTAGAGATATGAAAAGAGAGGGTCAGAGATGGTAAATGACTTGCCTAGGTCTCAGAGGCCTGTGCTTTTGTCATTTCACTTAGGCTCTGAAAAGATGCCATCTCTTCCACCTCTTTTATCTTTATTTTTATATGTCTGAGCAGAGCCAACATATAACTTCTGTGGTGGAATAATAAGAGCTAACATTTACCAAGTAGCCATTTTATGCCAGATGCTGAGTTAAACACTATTTGTGCATTGACTCATTTAATGCTAATAAAATGCATCATTATTGCTATGGTTTGAAAAGATCTGGATAGACATTTCTTGAAAGACATACAAATGGGCAACAGATATATGAAAAAATGCTCAGCATCACTAGTCATCTGGGAAATTTAAATCAAAACCACAATGAGATATCATCTCGCCCCACTTAGAATGGCTTTTATAAAAAAGACAGGGAATAATGGATGCTGGTAAGGATGTGGAGAAAAAGCAACCCTCATACACTATTGGTGGGAATGTAAATTAGTACAGACACTATGGAGAACGGCGTGGAGGTTGCTTTAAAAACTAAAAGTAGAACTATTGTATGATCCAGCAATTCCACTGCTGGGGATATATCCAAAAGAAAGGAAATCAATATATCAAGGGGATATCTGCACTCCCATGTTTACTGTGGCACTATTCACAATAGCCAAAATATGGAGTCAACCTAAGTGCCCATCAATGGCAGACTGGATAAAGAAAATGTAATATACATACATAATGAAAGTTTTTTTAGATATAAAATGATGAAATCCTGTCATTTGCACTAACATGGATGGAACTGGAGGTCATTATGTTAAATGAAATAAGCCAAGCACAGAAAGACAAATATCATATGTTCTCACTTGTATGTGGGAGCTGAAAAAGTGAATCTCATAAAGATAAAGAGTAGATTGGCGGTTGCCAGAGCCTGGGAACGGTATGGGGGAGAGAGGGATAAAGAGATATTGATCAATGGGTACAGATATACAGTTAGATGGAAGAAATAAGACCTGGTGTTCAATAGATCAGTAGGGTGGCTATACTTAACATTAATCTATTGCATATTTCAAAATAGCTAGAAGAGAATAGTTCAAGTATTTATAGCATAAAGAAATGATAAATATTTAAGGTGATGGATAGCCTAATTACCCTGATTTGATTATACAAATATATTAAATTATCACACATACCCAGAAAAATATGTATCTATTATGTATCAAAATAAATAAATAAATAAAAGGTACAAAAGAAAAAAAATAAGCACATAAAATACTATATATAGTATGCCACAATTTGTGTGATAGAGGAAAAAAAGAATGTGCATACATTTATGTTTATAAATTCACAGAATCTTTCTGGACATACCTATAATAAACTGGCATTAGAGGTAGTCTTAGGGAGAAAGATTAGGAAGCTGCACACAGCAGAGAAAGGAAGACTTACTTTTGACTGCATTCCATTTTGTGGTTTTAAAACTTTTTACTATATATCTATATAACCTCTTCACAATAAACAATACATTAAAACGAAATTAAATATAATAAAATTATGAGAATTTTTCTTTTTAAAAAGATTAACTTCTGTTCTTTATAAATTACTCATTCTGTTGTTATCTGTTACAGGAGCATAAAATTGACTAAGACAATTATTATCCCCATTTTATAGGTGTGGAAACCAACACATAAAGAAGTTAATCACCTTGTCCATGTTTGTGTAGCTGCTAAACAGCAGTGCTGGGTTTAGAATTTAGGCAGTCTGAC
The DNA here is from genome assembly GCF_000001405.40 of Homo sapiens. Classification (NCBI taxonomy): domain Eukaryota; kingdom Metazoa; phylum Chordata; class Mammalia; order Primates; family Hominidae; genus Homo; species Homo sapiens. Next base: position 18,183,240 of record NC_000004.12, read on the forward strand.
TTCAGAGAACACACGCTTAACCAGCCGACTACATTGTCATGCAAGAATACAGGTTCTGAAGTTAGACCACCAAGGCTGGAATACTGGCTGTTACTCTTGCTAACTGGGTGGCCTTGGCCAAGAAATGTAATCTCTCTAAGCCTCAGTTTTCTGATTTATAAAATGAGATTAGAAGAATGAAATAAGCCATACCATCTGGCACACAGTAAATGTTTATCAAATATTAGTCATTTATTTTGTCATTTATTATTATTTATTCTGCTTTTCAGCCCTAGACCTGTTAATGGCAGACAGTGACAGAAAGTCATTTCTGGAACTCTAAGAGTTTGGTCCATGAAATCAGAACACAACAGATGAGAAAAGAGCCCTGTAACTCACTCTAAGGAGGGAGAATAACTCTCGGGTTACCAAAACTTGATGATAGCTTTAACAATAGAATGCCAAAAAGTGTGAGGATGAAAGAGCAGTTCTCAGCAAGGAAGTACATAAATATATACATTGATACATGAATGCATGCATAATTCATTTAGAGTGGCAACACTTGGGTGTGTATGGCCAACACTGTCCAGGGAAGAGGACCTAACTTGGCTATCTCCTTTCTGGTGCTTGGAAGATACATCAATTAAGGATTAAGTATGGCTGCATAAAATACAATGCTGACTCCCATGACTTAACCCAGTGGAGGATCATTTTTCTCACATGGAAGTCTGGTGATAGACCATATGGGGCTGCTACTACCAGAGATCCAGCCACCTTCCATGTTTCTGCTTTGCTGTCGTTGGCTGTCATCCTCAGTTTGCCTCATGGTAACAAGATGGCTGTTATTCCTCTAGCTTCTGTGTATTCAGGTAGGAAGAAGAATAAATGAAGTACAAGAAAGAAGAAATGGCATTTATATTTGGAAGAGAAAACATTTCCAAAAATTCTTTTTTTTTTTTTTTTTTTTTGCGATGGAGTTTTGCTCTTGTTGCCCAGGCTGAAGTGCAATGATGCGATCTTGGCTCAATGCAACCTCCACCTCCCAGCTTCAAATGATTCTCCTGCCTCAGTCTCCTGAGTAGCTGGGATTACAGGCGTGCGCCACTATGCCTGGCTAATTTTGTATTTTTAGTAGAGACAGAGTTTCACCATGTTGGTCAGGCTGGTCTCGAACCCCTGACCTCAGGTGATCCACCCGCCTTGGCCTCCCGAAGTCCTGGGATTACAGGCATGAGCCACTGCACCCGGCCCATTTCCAAAAATTCTAAGCAGACTTCTTACATGTCGTTGTCCAAAACTGTGTCAGCAGGAGCTATTAAAAAGAAAATAAAAACAACCATGGGAAATAGATAAGCAGTTGTGCAGAAATTTTGTCCCCGTTGATCCATTTTCCAACCTTCTCCATTCTTTCTGCTTGTGGAAGCTGATCTTTATGGATTGCATTATTGTGCTCCCAGACCTTTGGCTTACAGGCAGGAGACTGGAGGGAATAAAGGGAGAGAGGTCAGGGTATATTTCTTCCTCAGCTCTTTCCATGCAAGGTTACCCAGGGGTGGCTGTGCCCTCAAACAATGATCATGCATTTTCTCAAGATGGCCCTTTATATAAACCTTTTTCCTGGGTTCCAGCAGTCATTCCTTCCCTTGTCTCTTGAGGCTTATGAGGTGGCGACAGCCTGAGGATTATGCAATTTTCCTACATCTTCCCCACACTTTTGTAAATATTAATATTCCCCTTATTAAATTTCCCTCAACTCATCCTAACGTACATGTATGCTCTTAGTTTCCTGATGGAACTTTGGCTGACATAGTAATTATCAGTGTCTTCCACACAATACATATTCTTATGATGGAAATAGGTACATTAAATAACTACAGAAAGTGCCATTATTTATTTGGCCAGTATTTATTGAGCATCAATGTACCAGACACAATGCTAGATAAAAGTTCAATTTCTTTCCCTCAAGTAGCTCACAGTTATTTGGACATATATGTCACCCAATTCACTCTTTTTGCTTCCTTTCTAAGCTTCTTGTCAACTCTAAAAATGACAATTTGGCTTTTCATGTAGCCAAATGGGCTGGCATAAAGACTGAATTTAATATTTATAGGAAAATTGAAATTGAAAATTGTATGGCATTAATATTTGGGAGAGAAAACATTTCCAAAAAAAATTCTAAGCAGACTTCTTCTTACATGTCATTATCCAAAACTGTGTCAACAGGAGCTAGTAAAAAGAAAATAAAACCAACCATGGGAAATACATAAGCAATTGTGCAGAAGTTTTCCTATAGGTATAAAATTCACTGCTTATGCTATCCCAAGATCTGGCTGACTAACAATTATATTCTTACTGAAAATGAAGACATCTAACATGGTGTCTGAGCAAGAATTTTGGAGTCAGATCAACATTCAAAATGAACTCACCAAATGTGTAACCACAGGCAAATTACATAATCTCTGTGAACCCAAGCAGCCTTACCTAAGATGGGGGCTCACTTGCATTTACTTCCTCTGGTTGTAGTGAGAACTAAAGGAGTTCATGTAGTTCATGTCCACAAAGCTCTTAGCACAGTGTCTTGTTCAATAAATAAATGGCAGCCATTCCAGGTTATTTATTACTTTCTTGTGAGTTTGGTCGAAGCTATCCTTAAATGGCTGATCGTCATTTGAGAGACTGACTGCTGAATTTCTTGACCTGCACAACTTAGGAACAGATCCCGGTCTCTGATGACCTCAACCAGAAAATGCGACCAAGGAAGACTTTGTCTCTGGGCAGCCAGCAAGTTAGTCTCAGTCCTTTGCTTTGCTTGAGGATCCAATCCACCTTAACAATAAAGTCCCAGTCATTGGAAGTTTGGAGTTTGGAGACTAGATGAGGCATGATAGTTAAGCAGGTAGGAAGCAGAATATTGAGGGTGAGCACAGGTTAACAGGACTAGATAGAGGCAGTAGGGCCAGGCAGGCTACAGGCAGGGGGCTATTTGAGTTCAGGTAAGTCAGAAAATGAGGGAGGGAAGCATCAAATAGCTTAGACGAGCTCAATCCAGGGTACAGGAAATCAAAAGGCTAGGAAAAAATGCCTCTCAGGCAGGGGACACCAAAGATGAATCCTGACTACTTGCTTTCTTCAATCTTTTATGTTTTTTGCTCTGGCATAAGCAGGCAAGTTCAAAGATATGTGATTTTAGCCAGAGGAGGAAAGAGAATTGAGAAGGTACAGTTTGAATCGGATGAAAGCAAGAAGAGAGGGTTAGGAGTTCCAGAATTTTTTCCAGTAAGACTTTGGACAGTTAACAGCCTATTTTGAAAGAATTTCTTCCTGCTTGGCTATTTAATTCACATAACCAAAAGGCTGGAAATAATTCGAAGAGTCTCTCATCATTAAGAATCCACAGAAAAGCAGCATTATACTCATACTCTTCTATGTGGTTTTGATTGTACATTGTTTTTAACTTAATAATACCTTATGACTCCATAGCACATTATAGTTTTCAAAATGTTTTTACTTGGATGATCTAATTTAATCCTTACAGCCACACTGTGTGTGTGTGAGGTAGTTATTATTATCAGTCTGTTGTAGATTCTGATCAGCTCAATTCCACTGAATGTTTATGGAGCACCTATTCTGTGCCTGGCATTCTGTTTGCTGCTGCAGCTTAACTTCCTTCATGCATAAACAAAAGCCACCCTAATGAGACTAAACAAAGGTTATTTATCCAGAGCTTGCTATAGCAAGGGAGTCAGCTACCATTGCTCATGTTTGGCAGATCTCAAAGGCAGTTAGAGGAGTGAGAAAGCTTTGGTGTGAATAAAGAAGGTTTCAGCTACGTCCTGATCGGAGTTCATCACAGGGACTCTGGAAGTGGGCTATCTAGAAGAGGGTTAAGGGATAATAATATCTCTAATATTGGTTAAGGGAACAATATTGGCTTTCTTTGGTGGGCCTAAATTGTAAGTGGGGACAAAAATTAGGAAAGCCATTAATTATTTATCAAATCCTGGATAGTATGGGCAAATTGCTACAGAGATTGTGGTTCATCTCTTGGACTGGTGGCTGCTGAGATTATGGGTCAGGGCTCTATATCTATAGATGGTCTGGCTATTGTCTGTTTATAGCCAGTTTATATATTCAGTCTCTTAATAGTATGGGTGACAAACATGTAATGACACTAATCGGCCAAGGAGCAGTGAGCATCTGCCTGAGAGGATGAAGACATTGATGCAGGGGTGGAGGGCTGCTGATTTGCCCGGAGTCATGAAGCAAATGGAGTGAAGAGCTGGAGTTTGAATCTGGATTTTCCAACTCTCTGTTTTATGTGCTTCCTGATCATGGCTTCAGGAGTGTCTAATTAAGTTTGGGGAAGAGGCGAGCACAGAGCTTTCTTTTAATTTAATAGCAGGCCACTTCTGAGCATGAGTAAAATGTGCCTTTTGTATCTTCTATCTGTGTGGCTGTAGATGATGATCAATGAGACAGCTTCCTATGTCTACTGAAAATTTGGCAAGAGAAATCTGGTACAATTAGCAAAGATGTTGCAGAGACTAGCACCAGATCTCTAACTTTCCAGCCCCATGTCTCCTTTTGGGGGCTGCTTGACTGTTTTCCATTCTCCTGGAGATTATCACCGTTATTTGCTAAACTCCTGGACAGACTCTCATTTCTTTTTTGGTTTTAACGTCTTTCTATCTTACCCTACACTCCATCTCCCTCCACCATCCTCAGAAAGTGTGACAACTGTGCTGACCACTCTTCCGTTATTATGGCTTCACACATCCTATCTTGTTTTTTTCACTAGACAAAAATTTAGCAGGCGATGACTAGGTGTCAGGGACTGTTCTATTGTGAGGAATACAGAGGCGAAAGATAGTAAAAGTCCTTGCCCTAGTGGTGCTTACACTCTGGGGGAAGCAGACAAGACACAGATAAGAAAATGGATAAATATGTTATGCCAAGTAGTGATAAGTGCTATGAAAAATACTAGCAGAGGTCAGAGTAGTACGGTCTGGTGTGTGTGTGTCCATGTATGTGGGTGCAGTTGCTTTGGGTAGCATGGTCAAGGTGGTGACTTTAAGCAGAGGCTTGAATGAAGAGAAGGAGTGAGCCAAGGGATGTTCTAGAGGGACATCATTCCAGTTAGCAAGAACAGCAATTGCAATGACCTGGGAAAAAGTTTGGTGTATTTGAGGACTAACAAAGAGGTTTATTGGCCTAGAGTGGGTTAGTGAGGGAACTTGTGCTATCAGTTTAATAAGTAAATTTTGAATCTGAGAAAGAAGTGTCAATAAAAGCAGGAGAGCATTTGTTTGCTAATCCCACTGGTTAAACGAAACACACATAACTGATGCCCATTATGTTTTTGGTAACGAGGATGCATGTGTCTCTCCAGTTCATTGCTCCTTTCTATTAGGAATATTATCATGTGTTAAAGAATCAACTTTGAGAAACATCATTTTTTAAAAATTTTATTGTGTTTTGTTATTATGCCCACATTTTTTGACCTTGACCTAAAGTTGTATATTGTTCATGAACTTGAGAATATATATTCAATAAAGAAATATATATTCAAGAAATACAGCAAAAAAATGAGAGGCATGAAAGGAACCTGGCATATAGTAGACGCTGTTGGGTTGCCTACCTGGCACTTCCTCCTCCTTCTTACAGCACTGCCTTGCCCTTTCATCTGAGAAATGTGCTTAACTCCACACCAACTGTGTAGTTTTAATAAAGCTGCCATCTTCTTCTTATGAAAGTCCCTCACCCCCTCACTTCCAAACTCTAGGCTCTTCAGCACAGTTGATGATCCCAGATGGACAGTTGAACTAAGCTAGCTAAATAGAGAATTTTCATAGATGTTTTCTGGGCTGGAGCTTGAGAAAAAGTTTCGAATCCACTTGGATGACAAAACCCGCAGATGAGTGGAGGGTTGAGATTTATTCATAGCCATGTACTTGGCTTTGAGGAGGTACCTTCCCAGAGAGAATGAAGCAGACAAGCTGAAAATAACAAGGATGAGAGGCTGGTGGCATTTTATCTGGTTCTATTAATCTAAGAAGCCTGTGTTCTTATTCTTCCCTTGGTAACCTGAGCCTTCACATTCATGTCTCTTTTTAGTTTAAGCAGGTTGGAGTTGTCACTTTCAATCTGAAGAGTTCTAAGAAATGCAAAGTACATTGTAAAATATATAATAATGAGTTTGGGTACGTGGTTTTTTCTTTCAAAATTGTGGTTGCAAGTACAGTCATCCCTCAGTATCTGAGGAGGATTGGTTCTAGGACCCCTGCAGATATCAAAATCCATGGATACTCAAGTGCCTTATATAAAATGGTGTAGTATTTGCCTATAACCTATGAACATCATCCCATATACTTTAAATTATCTTTAGATTACTTACAATACCTAATACAATGCCATCACATCACTGCATGGCAAATTCATTTTGATTTGGAACTTTGTGGAATTTTTTCCATTTGCGGTTGGTTAAATCTATGGATGTGGAACCCAAGATATGAAGGGCTGACTGTAATCCTGTAAATACCTGAAGCAATCCTTAGAGTCAAGTAGAACAGAGCTTCTCAAATTATAACGTGCATGCAAATCACCAGGAAATCTTGTGCAAATGCAGATTTTGATTTAGTTGACCAAGGTGTGTCCGGAGAGTTTGCATTTCCAGCAAGCCCCCAGGGGCTGCTGATGGTGCAGGTTTGCAGACCACAATTTAATAAGAGAGGAATCAGACTGCAGAAGTAAATCACCTAGCATAGAGGACTGGTGGTCACAAATCTCCTCTGTTACATACACACCTGTTGAGCTAAGAGAAAACTTTCAGATCCCCAGCGATCTGTTGAGTTTGGATAATTACATGATGCCGTCAACTGGAAAAACAGTTTAATACTAGCCATTATGAAGTTTACACACCAGAAAAACACTGTTTTTGTAAAAATATTTGGAAATGTAAATAACAAATTAAAAAAAAATCCTCTGACAAGCTGAGACAGAGTCTTTTACAGGGACTGCACTGTGCAGTGGAAAGAACAGTCATTCCGGAGCCACGCAGCCTGGGGTTGGAAACGTGCTCCGTTACATTCCAACTGTGAGTACCAAGAAAGCCCTAGTTCTCTCATCTGTCTATTATGGGTAATTTTATGGTGAAAAGTACAAATATGAAATTTTCTTTGTTTCTCTACAACTGAACTGAGCTTAATTTTAAAACCTCCCTGTTTTCCTAAGAGCAGAAATTGCAATCTTACCAAACCTACATATATTCAGTCACATTTCCCTTAGTCCCTTTGGGATAAAATTCACTCAATTAAAGATTCCTTCACCCCACTTCTTGTCCTATTCTCTCAGGAGAGGTCTCAGTTCTGGAGGGCTCAGGTATGGTCAGGCATTGTTGGAAGGCACCTCTACTTCTCACGCTCAGTCATTCTCATTTCTGTGACGGTGTCTGATGCTACTGTCTTGTACATTCCTTATCAATCTCTTTCCAGGAAGTATCTGTGGCTAAAGTAGCTACAGTGCCCTGTGCTTCTGAGTCCTAGTTCCTAGTTCCTTGCAGGCCATTTTGCATCCTTTTTGCCTACTGGACGACCTTTATAGGTCAACTGACACATTCTTGAGAACTCTCGAATTTCTCAAGGATGTATTTTATCCATCTTTTATGTATTGTTCAATAAATATCAAATGTCTACTATATAAAAGCCCTGTGTTAGGCACTGAACCAATATTCTTTTTTTTTTTTTTTTTTTTGAGACGGAGTCTCACTGTTGCCCAGGCTGGAGTGCAGTGGCGCGATCTCAGCTCACTGCAGGCTCCGCCCCCCGGGGTTCACGCCAATATTCCTAACATAGTACTTAGCTTACAATAGATGTTTACTGAAAGGTTATTGGACAAACAGGTATTTATTAACATAGAAAACTTCTAAGAAGAAGTGGAGATATTTGTACAGATAAATGTTACCCAATATAACAACTGGTCATCTATGAAGATAAGTTGAAATGTTTCAGAATATTTTATTTAATACAATACAGTCTTTCCAATGGCAGAGTGAAAATGTCCTCTGATATTTTAACAGGGCACTGAAGATGCACATTTGGATTATATTTGAGGCTTTAATGATGTCAGACTTTAGGCATGGGTAAAAAGTTCTACAGTGTTCAACTGTGGTATTATTATTAATATTTTTTGAGATGGAGACTTGCTCTGTCACCCAGGCTGGAGTGGAATGGCACGATCTCTGCTCACTGCAACCTCCACCTCCTGGATTTAAGCAATTCTCCTGCCTCAGCCTCCTGAGTAGCTGGGATTACAGGCGAACACCACCAAGCCCAGCTAATTTTTGTATTTTCAGTAGAGATGGGGTTTCACCATGTTGGCCAGGCTGGTCTCGAACTCCTGACCTCAGGTGATCCACACGTAGTATTATTGACCGACTTAATTGAATCCTTGATTTACTTCAACCTTAACTTGCTTTTAAAAATGTCACTAATTTTAATACTTGATCATTCAAGACTGTGATAGTCTCTGCTTCCTGCCCCTTCTCCTTTACCTGGGCTGTATCCATTCCTCTGTGTGCATTTTGTCATTTATCAGCAACATTCATGCAAGTGCATGGGGAGGGACACATCACCAGACACACTTATCAACATGGAACATGTCTGATTGTGTTATTGTGACATCTCTGTCGCATGCTATTCTTGAGTCTTGAGGGCTTGAGGAGAATTGGAGTTGCTCAAGCTTTCTTTGCCTAAACATGGCTCTTCAACTTGTCTGTGGCTACTTGATGTTGGAGCATGCGAGGGATCAGGAAGGGGGCTTCATCTGGAAGGAACTTACAGATTGCCTCTCCTCAGGAAACACCTAGCCTACATGGAGGTTTTACTAGTTTTTCTTGATCTGGCTAGATATGGGCAGAAGGGTCCTTTAGACAGCCACTACCTAAAATTAAGTCTTATTCCTTTGACTTCTTTCCTTTACTAGCTTTTTGAAATTTAATAGCTTTTTATTGAGAAAAAAAAGAAAGAAAGGATTGTGAAATACACTTTACTATATACTCTATTTTGTAGTTGATGTTATAAATTTTCTTCTCCGAGTCTCCCAAGCCATTAGCTTTTTAGGGTTCAAACTCCACTTTCTCTCTCTAAAAGTCTGACTTTAACATAGGAAACTTCAGCTTTCAAAACGATTTCCCCAGCTCTGAATTTTAAAAACTCCATTCAGAGCCTCATTCCTGGCTCTTAGCTCTTATTGCTAGGAGGGCTCTTATTTGCCCTCTTAGCAAAGCTTTTGAATCTACAGGGCAACCTGAAGATTAAGGGGAAGATAAACCTCATTCATTTTCCCAGAATTTTATCTCTTCACATGTAAAAGGGGCACAGGGTCATGAAATAGCCTGACATGGGGCAGGGATGGCTTTCTCCAACAGGGACATTAGTACCTCTTGGGCTTCCAGAAATGCACTACAAAGCATGGAGAGGAAAGAATAAAGGCAATAAAAGAAATGAGCAATCAATTTTTATCACCTGGTTAAGTAATCTAAACTTTTTAAGCACATACTTTATAGGTACATGTATGTATAGTAAAAAGTTTTCTTCAAATTTCAAGGTGACACTCATGATTAAAATATTAAGCTTGAGGTGGACTATTTAAGCCTCTCCCTCCAGCCCCTGAAGGTACCTGCTGGTGCTTTTCTGCTATTAGGTGTACATAGTGGATGTCTTGCAAAAAAACTGGATAAGGAAATTGTTTTAAACTGCTTGGCTGTGTATTAAGACTTAATTCGCTGCTCCCTCTTGAATTAAATCCTCTAGTTTATCAAATGGCTAAAGCCCAATCTGTCTAAAAGAGGGAGCTGGCTGTGCTACAAGAATTTATGTTTCCATCCTCCCAAGTCCCATCTGTGCCCCGGATGTCACCTGGAGAGATGGTGTTTGGAAGAGCAAGGCAGGGACAGGCCAAGGACAAAACGTGGATGAGTCAAGCAGGAGCCATCAGCAGGGAGCAAGCCCTCTTCCTTGTCTTCTAACATTGTTCCAGAAAATGGGGGGGTGTTGATTTTAACTTTCCTTCTTTCTGCTTTTGGAGGGTGCTTTGTGAGATTGCCAAAGCTGTCTGAGACCTTTGGAAACTGCATGTTTACTTATCTCTGAGCTCTTTTGAGGTGGAACCCAGAGACATTTGATTCTCTCCCCAGGATTATATTTATGATTTTAAGGTTGTTTCTAATGGGCCATGATTGAGAAAAAACAGAAAAAAATAATTTTTTCATGGAGTTCCCTTCCCCCTACCCAATACACACACACATGCACAAACACTGCAAATGGGAAAAATGTTCGAAATAGCGGCAGACTCTAATTACCCAGGTTGGAAGAGGGCCAGGATATTGGTCAGTGGATTCTCTCTCTTCTCCCCCCGCCCCCTCCCCCAGTTTCTTTTCTTCTCCCTTCTGTCATCTTTCTCCAACCATCAGGTGGGTGGGTGGGTTGCTGGCTGGCTGCTGCTTGGCAAACAGAAATAGTTTAGGAGCAAGTGTTCTTGGGGTATGTTCACTGAAGGATGAACCAGAGCAACAAAGAATGATTTTTCTCTCGACATTCAGCCAATTTACATCCAAGGAGAGCAGGTGGGGAGATGTGATGCATAAAGGACGCAGAAATTTAAATCTGAGTGAGTGATAGTAAGACTTTCCAAAGTGAAGAGTTGGAATGTAGAAATTAAATAATCTTGGAGAAATATAAGCAGGATGGGAAGTGTTTGACCCAAAGAGCAATAGAGGATGCACATATCTATCTCTGCAGACAATAAATAAGTCCATTCTGATGGATGCAGGAATGAATGTGGATGCTTCAAAAGAAAATGAATTCCACTGTGAGACGGGCAAGAGGGTAATTAAAACCCATGAAGTTGAAGACACCAGAAGTTGAGCAACTAAAGTGGGCCAGGTGTGTTTAATTAAGTGGTTATTTCTTGTTCGGTGATAAGTCCTTATGTTAGCAACATCACATTGTGTGTACAAAAAAATTTCGGTTCGCAGATTAATTCAGTCATCAAAGATACTCCAAGTGAGTGTTACGATTTGTAATATGGATTTCAAAGCTGCAGTCTGTTGATGTTCAGACAGTTTAAGAGGATTTGCTCAATAAGCAGAGATTTGTCTTGCAACAAGACTGTCTGGGCCACCTACAGAAGAAAGCAAGTTACACTCCTCAGATTTGCCTTTGAAGAATTCTAGCAACTGGCTGTCTCACACCTACCCTTGCACATGCGTTGCTGGTTTCGTTCAGCTACATGATCCCTTTGCTGTAACTAGGATGGTCTCCTCACCACCACCGGCACCAGTCTGCCTGATTCTGGTCAGTGTATCTTGGCTGATGGTTTTTCTCTTTTTCTTCAATCTTGGCCAACGTGCGTACATAATTTTTCTCTGGGCTTCTCTTTTGGAGAAGCCTATAAAACATTTCCATTCTGGGATGACAGAAACTCCTGCTTGGGAGGGAGAGATCTCAAAGATTATCTACTGGAATGCACTATGCATTACACAGTGCAGCGAAAGGGCACAGCCTTCGAAGCGTGAGCTCCACTCACTACATTAGCTATATAGTTTAGGCATTTCATTGAGTCATAAATAGTCACTATCTCATTTATTCCTCACTAGCAATCCAATAGGAGAAAAATAAAGCACAGAAAGATTAAATAACTTGCCGGGGTTCTGTAAAGTAAGTAATTGATCCGGAATTATAACCAAAATCTATCTGACTCCCACGCCCAATGCCTGCTGTTCCTCTTGTCATTTTGGCTTTGGGCAAGTTATTTTCATTCTCATTACCTTCTGGGCCACATTCATCAAATGTAGATGAGGATTAGAGACTATGCACATTAAACACCTAGTACAATGCCTGACAGTATGAGGTGTTTCCTAAATGCTCATTAGATTGTTCTTAGTTTTCATGTGTCTAGTTCACTTTTTTAGTTTGGTGTGTGGGCTGGCAGCATCAGCTTCACCTGAAACCTTGTTAGAAACACAGGAACTTTGGCTGGCCCCAGACCCACAGAATCAGAATCTGCATTTTAACCAGATGCCCAGGTGAGATCTGTAGGCACTTTAAAGTTTGAGAAACACTGGGCTGGCCTATGCGTCTGTATCCACTAAAAATGAAATTTGCTACCTTTTTTTCTTTACTCTTTATTTAGAAATAATTTCACACTTACTGAACTATGTCAGTAGTACAAAGAATCCTGGTTTCTTTAGTGGAGAATGGTATTTATAATTTAAAAGACATGTGCCAGGTGTGCCCAAAACCATAGGATTCATTCCAGCTTCCCCTCTTTCTGTAGCTCCCTTCTCTGATGGTGAAAAACTGTCTCCATTACCCTCATAATGTATATGCATTTGTTCACTCCATTCGTGGGGTACCGATTTTTCTGATCTGCTTATCTTCCCATTTGACCACCTGCCTTGTGAGGGTCCCTCCCTCGCCTGCCAGCTCACCATTCTCTACCTGGCAGCCTGTTTGTTCCTTCTTAAAGCAGCTTCTTCTAGCCCAGAACAGCACGTACCAAGAAAAGATTCTTTCTTACATTGAACTAAAGCCATCCTCCTGTAGCTTCCTCTCCCTGCTCCTCCTCCATAGGAGTCTGAAGCGTAAGTGTGCTTCGATGTAGTGTGATGTGGTTGCAGAGAGTATGGCCTGGGGCGTGGAGACATTGCTCTATACTTGGTTCCTTTGAGAATTGCTCAAGTTATTTAATCTCCTCTTGCCTTCGTTTCCTGCAAAACTAGAGATAACATGTCTACAGACGGCCCCCAACTTAGGGTTTGTCGTGAGATTTCTCCACTTTACTATGGTGCGAAATTGAGATGAATTCAGTAGAAACTATACTTTGAATTGTGAATCTTGACCTTTTGCTCAGTTAGCAATATGGGGTATAATATCCTCTCATGACACAGGGCAGTGGGAGTGAGCTTCAACTCCCAGTCAGCTAGGTGATCACGAGCATAAATAACTGACACTCTACCATGTCTGCGATACCAGTGTTTTTTGTGATATTGTCTTTTGTGTTTTTGAATCCCTTCATGTCTACATAACACCCATTTTCCACTTAAAATATTTTCGACTTAACAGTGAGTTTATGGGGATGTAACCACATCACAAGTCAAGAAGCATCTGTATTTGCAGGTAATTGGGGACAAAATGAGAAAAGAATATAAATGGCATGGCAGAATGCCTGGCCCATATTAAGGCCAAAATAAATGAGCTCATTTTTCTTTGCCTTCTTCATTGCTTCTTTCCTTCCCTTCCCTCTTCTTTTTGCTTTCCTCCTTTCCTTCCTTCCTTTAATAAAATATGTACTAAGTGCCTAATATGTGTTGCGTAGCAGTAAGCTAGACAGTCATGGTTCCTTCTCTCACGTATCTTACAGGATAGAGGATAAATAGGTATTTTTTTTAAAAAAAATTACATAAACTTGCAATTTGAAATTTTGAAAAGTATATATTCTAGGTCCTGGGATACAGAAGCAAGCTGAGAGAGAAGCTCTGCTTTTGTGGAGCTAATACTTTAGGGGATGAGAAAGATAATAAACAAGAAACAAACAAAGGCATTAGGTGATATCAGATGATAACCAGTGCCGTGAAGAAATGCAAGCAGAGACTGGAGCTCAGTGGGTGAGGAATGAATGGTGTAAGATGGGGCTGGAGAGACAGCTCCAGCTGGGTCATGGACAGCCTGGGAGGCAGAGTGGGCTGTATTGTGCCATGTCACCATAGACAAGAAGTGCAGTCTTTTCAGTGCTCTGTTTCCCTGCCTATAAAAGGGAGATAGGAATATTTGCCAAACTGACTTTGTAAAATTTGTTGTAAATATCAGCCAAAATGAAATATGAGAATTTTGTAAAGCACAACATGATTTTTGTTGTCATATCTAGTAGGCATTTGATAAAACTCTTCGTGGGTAAAGAGAGATGAACAAAAGAATAAGATAACAAAGGTGTAAAAGACGGCCAACTGTGCAGTCTTTCTTTGTCATTCCTAGAGGGAAAGAACGAGAGGCTCTTGGAAAAGGGCTACACATTTGAGATCACAAGAGAAAAAGCTTTTTTTTTTTTTCAAACAGAGACATAATGAATTTTTAGAGTACATTTTCAGGGAGGCAGGTAGACAGCATTTAAATGGCTTGACAGAAACACTTTCTTTAAAATGCAGAAGTAAAAAGGTTAACAATTTGAATCTATCTTGACATTTCCGAGTGTCAGCCCCAGGGCTATTTTCTTTCTTGCTTAGAATCATCATCTTTCATGTTTGTTTGAGATTGCTATTTCCTGGGCTGGACCATCCGCCCCGGAGTGGAGGCTGAGCATGCATGGAAGTGTGGAAGTGGGAACCGTGATTGGGCAGCATCCACACCCTCATGTGCTTTTCTCTCCTCTTCCTTTCACTTCCTCATCCTGTGTGATTGTGACCTGGTGGCCACACGGACCACTGTGGTCTTGGACTGGAGCCTATCCTTACATGTGCTACAAACATGCCTGCTACATGGAGCAGGTCCTGTGCGCCATTGACACCTAGATGGCCCTCCAGGGAGCTTGGAAACCAGCATATCTGGTAACCTTCAGGAATTGGGTTTGTCTTAGGCAAAACCAGGAAGAAGGCAAAGGTGTTTTTCCCAATTTTGTCTTTAAAAAAACAAAACCAAAAACCCAGGGCAATGCTGTATATCTTCCATTGGCTTCTCCTGACCCCCTCTCCATTCTCTTTTCCCAGTTCTGTGCCCCTGGAGGCTGACTTCTATGGACTACATCAACAGAGCTACCCTGACTCCTGGCTTCTAGTTGGTCTGCCTAATGGGTCCCTGACAGGAGATAGAAGGGAGAGAGGAGAGTAAGGTTAGAATACTTTAGCCTTGTGCCTTGGGCTGAAGGTCACTACTTCTCAGGAGGGGGTGATCTCCTTCTTCTGAAGGTTTGGGTGACCACCCCCTCCCTTGATCTCTTTTGGCCTAGGGATGATAAATAATTGTTGCTGCAGTTAGTTTCATGTTGTTGCACTATCCCTATAGTTCCTATACACCCACACTTTTATGAACTGTCCCTTTGGTAAATAAACAGTTTTCAAATCCTCCCTCCTATAGTTAAGTGTCCTGTCTGTTTGGGACCCCATTGAATACAGATGCTAGAGTTCCTGGCTGACAAAGCCTGTAAGCACAGCCTGTCCTTGGAGGAACCCCAGCTTTGAGCGCACGTGAACAGTGTTTGAGTTCAGTTTTGTGACATCCAAGTTTGTAACTGGGCAAACTGCGTAATGTTTCTGGTCCCCAATTATAAAAATAGGATATCTCTTTATAGAGTTGTTTTAATGATTATGTAAAATGCTCACAAGTAGAAGAGCCTCAAACAGTGCTGGTTTCCCCTATTTTATCAATGCTCTTTTATCCAAGACAAAAGGCCAAATGGGATTAGGAAAGAGACAGACAAGCAAGCTGATGAAAAGTCAAGTTAGGCCAATGCCTAAAGATCTCTCAAGCCAGCTGCAGCAGCCTTTGTTTCTGTCTTTCCAGCAGGCCCCTCTGCAGTTGAGGGACTGAGGGTGGGTGTGTTTCTCGTCAGGGTGGGGACACGTTACGTCTGATTGGAGAAGTCCTTCTCAAACAGCCAATCAGAGCCAAGCTCAGCCACCACTGTTGTCACCCAGGCAGGGAAACGCTAGTCTCCTGGTGCTCAGCACGTGGCAGCCATGATTGGCTGCTATAATGAAAATACCACAGACGAGTGACTTAACCAACAAACCTGAATTGGTCACCATTCTCAAGGCTGTGTTGTCCTAGAGCAAGGCATGAGCAAATTTGATGTCTGGTCAGGCTCTGCTTCTTTATTCCTAGAAGGTCGTTTTCTCACTGCTTCCTCACATTGAGGGCAGGGGCCAGGCAGCTCCTTCAGGCCTCCTTTATAATGGCACCCATCCCATTCATGAGGGCTCTGCCCACATGACCTAATCACCTCCAAAGGCCCCAACTCCTAGCACCATCACTTTGGGGTGGAGGATTTCAGCATGTGAATTTTGGGGATACACAAACATTCAGTCTATCACAGAGGGTGACTGGTTTAGCCAATGGTGATACCGGAGAGTGACTGGGTTCGAAAATGCCCCTTAGACTTGGAATTGTGTTGAACTTCTCTCAGATGCCACATGTCTGTGGCCATGTTTTGCCTCACAGAAGATTTGCTTTTCATGGTCATCAAAAGTCTGCTTTTGAAGAGCAGAACCAAGGGATACTTGGGGTAGGGAGGGCAGCTGTAAGCCGCTTCCCCATAACCTCTATCTGCGACCCCATTCCAAATCAACACATGATTTAACAAAAAAACTGAACTCTTACACAAATTCGAGCCATATTTTTGTAGTCTCACCTAAGTATGCTGCCCCTAAGTCCTTCCCCCTGGGAAATTTTGGAGGCCTCCAGGGCTTCTCTCCGCTTTTCCTGAACCATCCCTGAATTCTCATGTCTTATACCAGTGCCCACCTTGAAAGTTCTCTGAGATCTCCAACTTTCTGAAATAACTGACAACTTTCTGAAATAACTTATTACTGGATGTCTGATACAGAGCAGATATTTTATTTTCTTTTTTCCTGTAAGCTTCCAGAAAGCTACATACAACCTGATTCATTTGGAAAGCTGGGGGCCATCTAACCATCTTCTCCTTCCCTCTTTTCTGAATAAGTCTGTCTCAAAAGAATTTGGAGACACTCCAAAAAATAGTTGTTTTCAATTTTTTTCCCTTCTCAACAAGCATACATTTTTGTTTTGTATAATGATTAGTGTTCACATGTATCAAACGCTACTAAGTGAATACATAGATTTATCATTTACATTGAATAAATGCATTCTGAGCATCTATGTGCTAGATTCTGTTTTAGGCACTGGGGGATATAGCAGGCAACAAGGCAGATAAGGGCCTTGACCTTTAGAAGCTTCTATTCCCAGAGATTAACGATCTCTTCCGCTAGTCAGCAATAAAGCAAAGCAAAGCAAAACAAAAACACACAGAAGTACAAAACAGGGTACCTCAGCCTTTTCTTGATGATTGGAGAAGGGACTTCAGTCATTGCAGTTGGTGACAGGACATGCAATAGGAACTTTGCATGTCCTGCCACCTCCCTAGGTATTTGTCTTTGGTGGTCGAGTGAGCAGAATCTGTTACACAGAAAAATGAGGATGCCCCACTGGTTTATGTTACAGCCTTATGGCATTTTTTTCTATTCCCTATTTACTTCTTAATACAGCATAATTTATGCACTTTTTTGATCGTGGCCATGCATTCAGCAAATGTCTTTATTGGGTGGTCCATAACAATGCCTGGATCTGTTTCCTGTGAGGTGGCTATAAATTTAGATTTATTGGTATGAGAGCATTCTGGTCTTCTCTCCAAAGTTCTTCTATTGAAATCTGAATGTGAAAGATTAACACATTTAATTAATAGACAAGACTCATTTGTTCCTAAGGCTGACTATTCAAATGGGAGATACTCATTTTATAAGATATAATTCTAATTGTGGGCTAGGAATTTTACTGATATTTCTTTATAATGTATATAAGCATGGTATGGCAATTTGAGATGTTATTATTCCTCAAAAGCAATTACATATGGAGGTATTTTTGAATGAATCAAATAGTCTCTGACTTTCTCTGCTTTTTGTTTTACACACATTTAACACATGTACATGCCTTAAATTATGACACATGTGTACACACACTCATACCCACACATGCACTCACACAATGCTGTTGACCCAAATTCAATAGAGTAGGTGATTTTTCCTACCCCTGCTAATAGATTTTTACTGATTTATCCATATCATTTTTTCTGGTAGCTGTAATCATCTCTTTTTGGAATATCTTTCCATCCTCTGTCTCCTTAGAGATTCTTTCCCTCCTTTAAAGCTTAGATCAAATCCCACTAGTAAACCCTGCTTTGATTGGCCCACTCTATTTTCTCCCTTGTTTTTGTTCACATGAGATTCACAGTCAATAACATACCACCTGAGATGGCAGTTACTATCTAACTGCTTCAGGTGAATTATGTTGTCCCAAAAAGATTAGGAATCCATGAAGAACTCTGATGAGATGGATCTGATAGTGCCTGGAATAGAGTAGGTCTCCAAAAATTTTAGTTGCTTCCAATATGAAATAGTAACTGTATTATTTCATTTTCCCACTGCTACGAAGAACTACCTGAGACTGGGTAATTTCTAAAGAAAAGAGGTTTAATTGATTCACAGTTTTGCATGGCTGGGGAGGCCTCAGGAAATTACAGTTGTGGTGGAAGGTGAAAGGGAGGCAAGGTACGTTTTACGTGACGGCAGGAGAGAGAGGGATGGAGAAAGTGCCACACATTTAAACTATCAGATCTCATGAGAACTCACTCACTATCACGAGAACAGCATGGGGGAACTGCCCCCATGATCCGATCACCTCCCACCAGGTCCCTCCCTCAACATGTGGGGATTAAAATTCAAGATGAGATTTGGGTGGGGAGACAGAGCCAAATCATATCAGTAACACTTTTTGTCGTTTTTATAAGCATTGACTAAAATTCTGGGGCTACAACTGATGTCAGTAAATATTTTTGTGGGTGATTCATTGCTAATTAAGTAAAGACAATAGCCTGTGATTAAATACTAGACTAAGAAAAATTGCAACATGTTTAGCACAAGGTAATTTTTTTCCTAGAACAGGAAGTTTTTCACCAACATAGTTTATATGAAACTACATGTGCAGGAGTAGCCTTTGGGGGTGTTTAGAAAAGATTTGTCTCTGAAGACTTCTTAAAAAGCTGGCTTACAGTCAACATTGCCTCTGGGTTGTCCTCTGCAGGGAGAAGCTGATGAATGCAAAGGGCTGGAGGAAGCAAGGGCTGGAAGCAAGTGAAAGGCGACAGGATTCCTCTGTCCTGGTGCAACAAGCCCATTTTTCTCAGTACCTAGAGTGGCGCCTGGCCCTAGTAGGGATGCGATAAATATTTATTAAATTAATATAGATATACTTTACCAAAGCTGATGTCAAGCAAGTTTTGTGATTTCTTAGACTATTGATCATAAATATTTATGCCATACAGTACTTCTGGAGGAAATTACATCTACAGAATGTGAAGTCCCAAGACAATCTTTGGATAACCAGTTTTTTGGTTTTGTGTTTTGGTGTTAAGCACTGACATGTTCTATAGATTACTTTACATGGTAAAATTACAATTTCAATACCAGTTAGGAACTTGAATAAAATGTGCCAGCGTCGGGACCTGTATATTTCTATCAGCTGGTGGATTCCTGTTTATTACTTACACAATTTACCGTTTTGTCTAGAGAAAAGGCTTACAATGCAGAGAAGCTTGTAACAGGTGTAGTGTACGTTCTTGTTTTTCCTAGTAGCAGATGGTGCTGAAAGAAGATCATCTCTGTGGGGCCATTACAGGATAATGCACAGAAATAAATAAGCACAATGATAGGTCTCAGCAAATGCAGCCAGGTCTTGGGGTCGGTCTAGCATTTGGAAGTGATACATATACACAGAGTGGGTTTATCTATCTGCTCAGCAAGGCCTATTTAAAACTCGATTTCTTTCCTTTTAATTTTCCTCCATATAAAATCCCCTCCCCTCCCCGGATAAATCAACCAATCTTCTCACTTGAATTATAGGTAGTATATTAAAAAGGATCTAAATAAAGGGAAGTTCTTTCTGACAGTGCTTTGTACTAAAAGGGAGGAGGTAATTTTCTTTGGAGTTCTTCCCCAGCCCCCAGCAATTTCTGTTTTTATATTAATGGATTTTATGGGACCTTGTCTTTGATCTTGCCCTCTTAAAAACCAAAGGAGGAATGGAAGGTTAATTCCAGCAATTCTACCCTAGTGTACCTCTGCTATTTTGCATGAAGAACACAAAATGAATATAATTGAGCCTAGAATTGTACTGAGGATATGATTATTTTCTTCTGTGCTAGGATAATTTTCATCTTTCCTGAAAAAAAAGAACCCCCATGGTTCTCAGTATATATATATTATATGAAAATATTGACTAAATAGTATATATACTGATATATATTATATATATATAAATTCAGTAGATGTACTCATATATTTCTCATATTTAAATATATGCTTAAAAACTTGACAATGCCAGGGCAGTATTTAGCAGGACCTAGGCTCAGCTTCTCTCTCCCCTTGTATAAATTTTATTTCTTATTATCCTAGCCTCAGCAGTATTTGAGGAATATTGTTCCCTTGGCCTAATGCAATTTTTTCCACATGATGTATTCTTGGTCTGTCCCTTATCTCCCCTTCACTTGCTGACACCAGTGTTTAGTCCATTTGGAACTAAAATGCATTGAAAGCAGATACATACTATTTTAACATTTTGCCTGATTCTTTAACGTAGCTGTGTTCATTAGCAACAAATTCTGTCTAGCAAGTTGGTTAAATGGCCTTCATCCCTTTTAAGAAAAAAAGGCAAGAATTTTGTCAAAGACGTCTTTGCCAAGTGTGGAGCCTAGATACAAGCTTCTCAAAAATATTAACATTTTCCAAAGCATCTGAGTGTGCATGTGTGTGCATGCACATGTGGCTTTATGTATATAATAATTATTCACAACTAGATTTATTTTTCTTATTTCTCAACATCCTAATTATTGACATTTCCTGAAATTTCATTGTGTATCTGAATCTAATACCTATGAAAGTTTTTCATTTCCTATATTTAAAAAAATTATTGTACTTAATACAAGCATTTAAAATGTAGCTTTTGTGTGGCCAAACTTTACATTAATGTAGGTGTTTGCCCCATGGTTACCCTCTGCAGTGCAAACTTCTGTGGGCCCCAGTGGGTTAATTTTTTGATTGCCTGCTCTACCTGCATCCTCGGAACTGAAAGAAGCTTTCGTGCATGAGAAAGAACAAAAACAGACTGTCTTTGTGATGTCACGTGCATCTGCCTCTAAATTTCAGTATGGAACATAAATGGCAACAAGAATTGAAAGAGAAAACAGAAGAGAGCTCTCTTAAACTGGGAATATTCCAATTTAAATCTTGAAATTAATTATCTCTTTAGGTTTTGCAATTTCTCAAACACTGGGTGCATGGCATGTATGGGTGGTGATGGGGTGTGTGGGGCAAAAGAAGATTCATAAGAATTGGCTAAATCTGAAAAAATCCTGTGTCATCTTCCTTCCCCCTACTCCCTCCAATTTGGCTAAATTGCCAAACAATAATCACTGGAGTATAAACAAAGTTAAGATAATAATTTTTTTTCAAGGACTTGTGTCAAACAGTAAGGAACACACAGAGAAGCAAAATTGTTGTAATGCTGATCATATAGACTAAGCTTATTAAATAAAAACAATACATTCTATAACAGAATCACATAGAAGAAAATCACTGCTTCAGTTGGACAACTCAATATGAATTCCTTTTATTGTTTACCATGTCTAATTAGTCTTAGCTCCATTTTATAGGCAATATTTAATTCTTGGTATTTTTAATTTATCTTTTTGTTAATATTATCATCTTACCTTGAGTACAATTATCTATTCCTGTCTAGTAGGAATAAATTTGCTCAGGGGTGACAACAGCAAGATAAGCATTGCTTAGAAACCATAATTTTTCTATTGTATTTGTCTAGTTAATAAAGAGAGGCATTTTATTTTTCCCTGGTGACCACTTGTACTTTGTTCAGTAATTAAGGAAGTAAGTCAGTGCTCCTAGATTTTCACCTATTCCATAACCTCTGCAGATTTGTCCAGGGTGCCAGAGGCAATTGTGTTATGTTGTTGGGTAGTTATGAAAAAGCCTGAGATGAAACCAGGGAGGGTTCTAATAGTAACACCTTAAACTAGTATCAATAATTTTCTCAGTATCAAATATATCAAATATATTCTGCCTGAGAGTAATCTGCAGGTTTCTTTTCAGCACTTATGTTTTAGATTTTTCAGAAACATCTCTTCAGCCTCAGTGAAATAAGTTAAAAAATGCATGTCATCCCTGTATATTTTCACGTATACATTTGCTTATAGGGGAAGCTGCACCTTTGCTGTTAAATGATGGTTTGAATCCTAGCTCTACTAGTAATTAGCTGCATGACCTTAAGCAAGTTACTTAACCTTCTTAAGCCCTTGTTTTCTCTTCTATAAATTGATACTAATGACATTACTTACCTCATGGTATTGGGGTGAGGGTTAAATGAGGCAATGCACGTAAGATACTTTCTATGGTGCTTAACACACAGTAAGTGTTTAATAAGCATTTTAATTATTACCATTGTTAAAGTGTATTTATATATAGACATATGGACTCTGCATTGCACTCTGAATTAATGATGCTGATTTTTGCACAAAGTTCATAAATTCATTCTACTTACATTCTTCTCACTCTATCAAAACAAAACAGTTACTAGCAATCGTCGTGAAGTGTGCTTTTTTGCCTTGTTTTTGCCTATGTTTGAAGTCTCCACACTGGTGTCCTCCCTTCCTGGAAGCTTCTCCTTACTCCACTCCCTCCAGCTGGTACCCTTTATTCTGCACAGCACAGAACTCTGAACCCACCTTGGTGAAGGCTCTGTCATTATAAGGACATCGCTGGTTTCCCTGTCTTTCTCTCCAGACGGTGAACATCATGTCTCGTTAATCTCAGCATTCCTGCTGCTTTGTGCAAATGTGGTTATAGTAAGAGACCAATAAAGGTTTCTTGAACAAATGAGTGTAAAATACCACTATTTATGTTATGCAAAGACTGATCTTCTTTCAGTGTTGTTGTCCTCTTTTATATTACTTTTAGCTGTAGTTTTGTTTTTTATTCAAATAATCTTCAGAACTTGTGGCACATCCTTTAAAAATTTTATGTCAAAGTGAAAGGCTTTTACACTGAAAATGACAAAATGTTGCTGAAATTTGAAATGAAAGAAGACACAATTAAATTGGAAGACATCTTGTGTTCATGGACTGGGAGACTTAATACTGTTAAGATGTTCATACTACCCAAAGCAATCTACAGATTCAAAGCAATCCTGATCAATACCGCAATGACATTTTTGCAGAAATAGTAAAAGTCATCGTAAAATTTCTATGGAATTTCAATGTACCCTGAATAGCCAAAACAATCTTGAAAAAAAGATGAAATTGAAGGTCTCACACTCTGTGAATTCAAAACATTGCAAAGCCACAATAGTAAAGAAAGTGTGGTAGTGGCATAAAGACAAATAATCCAATGGAACGGAGTAGAGAGCCCAGAAATAAACCCTCATGTATAAGATTAAAATAATCTTCAGTGAGGGTGCTGAGAGCACTCAGTGGGGAAAGCACAGTCTCTTCAACAAGTAATGTTGGAAAAACTGGATACCTACATGCCGTACATGTGAAAGAATGATGTTGAATCTTTATCTTATGCCATTTACAAAAATTCAATAAAGAATGGATTAAAAACCCAAATGTAAGCTCTAAAACTATGAAACTCCTAGAAGAAAATGTAGGAGTAATTTCACAATATTGGACTTGCGAGTAATTTCTTGACTATGACAACAAAGGCACAGGAAACAAAAGCAAAAATAAACAAACGGAATTACATTGAACTTAAAACTTTTGTGCATCAAAGGATACAATAACAGAGTAAAGAGGCAACCTACAAAATGGGGGAAATATTTACAAATCATATATGTAATGAGGGGTTAATGTCCGGCATATATAAGAACTTCTACAACTCAATAACAACAACAACAAAATATACAATCTAATTTAAAAATGTACAAAGGACTTGAGTGGACATTTCTCCAAAGATAATATACAAATGGCCAATAAGCACATGAAAAGATGCTTGACATCACTAATCATCAGAGAAATGCAAATCAAAACTAGGCAACATAGTGAGACCCTGTCTCTACAAAAAAATTAAAGAAATTAGCCAGGTGTGGTGGTGCATGCCTGTGGTTCCAGCTACTGGGATGGCTGAGATAGGAGGATGACTTGATCCCAGGAGGTCAAGGCTGCAGTGAGCCGTGATCACACCACTGCAGTCCACCCTGGGTGACAGAGCAAGACCTGTCTGTAAAACACACACACACACACACACACACACACACACACACACACCACAAAAAACAAACCACACCCCAGTAAGATATCACCTCACAGCCACTAATTGACTACTGTAAAAAAACAGAAAATATAAAGTGTTAATGAAGATGTGGAGACATTGGAACCATTGTAGACTGTTGGTAGGATTGCAAAATGGTGCAAACATTAGGGAAAATAGTATGAAGTTTCCTCAAAAAATTAAATTACCTTATGATCCAGCAATCCCACTTCTGTGTATCTCTCTAAAGGATATAAAATCAGTATGTTAAGAGATATCTGCATTCCCGTGTTCATTGTAGCATTATTTAAAATAGCCAAGAAGTGGAAGCAACTCTTTTTTTTCAGTTCTGTCATATATATGTATTTTTTCTTTCCAATTTTTGTTTCAAGTTTGAGGAGTACATATGCAGGTTTGTTATGAGTAAATTGCATGTCACAGGGGTTTGGGGTACAGATTATTTTGTCACTCAGGTAATAAGCATAGTACCTAATAGGTACAATCCTCACTCTCCTCCTACTCTCCACCATCAAGTAGGCTCCAGTGTCTATTGTTTCCTTCTTTGTGTCCGTGTTTAGCTCCCACTTATAAGTGAGAATATGCATTATTCGGTTTTCTGTTCATGTGTTAATTCACTTAGCATAATGGCCTCCAGCTGCATCCATGTTGCTGCAAAGGACATAATTTTGTGCTTTTTAATGGCTGTTTAGTATTTCATGGTGTATATGTACCACATTTTCTATATCTAGTCCATTGTTAATGGGCATTTAGGTTGGTTCCATGTTTTTGTTATTGTGCTGCAATGAACATACAAGTGCGTATGTCTTTATGGTAGAAAGACTTACATTCCTTTGGTTATGTACCCAGTAATAACATTGCTGGGTCAAATGGCAGTTTGTTTTAAGTTCTTCGAGAAATTTACAAACTGCTTTCCACAGTGAACTGAACTAGTTTACATTCCAACCAACAGTGTATAAGCATTCCCTTTTATCTGCATTCTCACTAGCATCTATTATTTTTGACTTTTTAATAGTAACCATTCTGACTTGTGTGATTTGCATTTTTCTAATGACTAGTGATGTTGAGCATTTTTTCATATGCTTGCTGGCTGCATGTATGTCTTTTTTTGAGAAGTATCTGCTTGTGTTCTTTGCCCACTTTTAAATGAAGTTGTTTCTTGCTTATTAATGTATTATTAAGTTTCTTATAGTTTCTGGATATCGGACCATTGTCAGATGCATGGTTTGCAAAAATTTTCTCCCATTCTGTAGGTTGTCTGTTTATTCTGTTGATAATTTCTTTGCTGTGCAGGAGCTCTTCGATTTAATTAGATCCCATTTGTCAATGTTCGTTTTTGTTGCGATTGCTTTTGGAGTCGTCATGAAATTTTTGCTAAGACCTATGTCCAAAATGGTATTTCCTAGCTTTTTCTAGGTTTGTTTTTTATAGTTTTAGGTTTTACATTGAAGAGTTTAATGCATCTTGAATTGATTTTTGTATATGATGTAAGGAAGGGGTCCAGTTTCAATCTTTTTCATGTGACTAGCCAGTAATCCCATCATCATTTATTAAATAGGGAGTCCTTTCCTGGTTGCTTCTTTTTGTTAGCTTTGTTGAAGATCAAATGGTTGTAAATGTTCAGACTTATTTCTGGGTTCTCTATTGTGTTCCATTGATCTATGTGTCTGTTTTTGTACAAGTATCATGCTGTTTTGGTTACTGTAGCCTTTGAGTGTACTTTGAAATAGGGTAGTGTGTTGCCTCTGGCTTTGTTCTTTTTGCTTAGGATTGTTTTGGCTATTCAGGCTCTTTCTTGTTTTTGGTTCCATATGAATTTTAAAATCGTGTTTTTCTAATTCTGTGAAAAAGTCATTGGTAGTTTGATAGGAATAGCACTGAATCTGTAAATTGCTTTGGGCAGTATAGCCATTTTAACAATATGATTCTTCCTATCCATGAGAGTGGACTGTTTTTTATTTGTTTGTGTCATCTCTCATTTTCTTCAGCAGTGTTTTGTAATTCTTGTTGTAGAGATCTTTCAACTCCCTGGTTAGCTGTATTCCTAGGTATTTTTTGTGTAGCTATGATGAATGGGATTGTGTTCTTGATTTGGCTCTAAGCTTGGATGTTGTTGGTGTATAGAATTGCTACTAATTTTTGTACATTGATTTTGCATCCTCAAACCTTGCTTAAGTTGTTTATCAGATCCAGGAGCTTTTTGGCATAGACCATGGGGTTATCTAGATATAAAATCATATTGTCTACAAAGCAAGGTAGTTTGACTTCCTCTTTCTTTTAGATGTCTTTTATTTCTTTCTTTTGCCTGATTGCTCTTACTAGGACTTTCAGTACTATTTTGAATAGAAGTGGTGAAAGTGGGCATGCTTGTCTGGTTCCAGTTCTCAAGGGGGAATTCTAGCTTTTGCCCATTCAGTATGATGTTGGCTGTGAGTTTGTTATAGATGGCTCTTATTATTTTGAGGTATTTTCCTTCAATGTTTAGTTTGTTGAGGTTTTTAACATGAAAGGATGTTGAATTTTATTGAAAGCGTTTTCTGCATTTATTGATATGATCATGTGGTTTTTGTTTTTAGTTCTTTTTGTGTGATGAATCACATTTATTGATTCGTGTATGTTGAACCAACCTTGCAACCCAGAAATAAAGTGTACTTGATCTTGGTGGATTAACTTTTTGATGTGCTGCTGGATTTGGTTTGCTAGTATTTTGTTGACGATTTTTGCATCTATGTTCTTCAGGCATATTGGCCTGACGTTTCCTATTTTTTGTCTTTGCCAAGTTTCAGTATCAGAATGATGCCGGCTTCCTAGGATGAGTTAGAGAGACATGTCTCTCCTCAGTTTTTTGGAATAGTTTCAGTAGGCTTGGTACCTGCTCCTTTTTATACAACTGGTAGAATTTGGCTATGAATCCATGTGGTCCAGTGCTTTTTCTGATTGGTAGGTTTTCTTTGTTATTACTGATTCAGTGTTGACACTTATTATTGGTTTTTCAGGTTTCAATTTCTTCCTGATTTAATATTGGGAGGTTGTATGTTTCCAGGAATTTATCCATTTCTTCTAGGTTTTCTAGTTTGTGTGCATGGAAGTGTTCATAATAGTCTCTGAGCCTTTTTGTTTCTCTGTGGGGTCATTATTAATTTTCACTTTGTCATTTCTGATTGTGTCTATGTGTGTCTTTTTTTCTTTATTAGTCTAGCTAGTGGTCTGTGGATCTTATATATTCTTTCAATGCACCAACTTTTGGTTTTATTGATCTTTTGTATGGTTATTCACATCTCAATTTCATTCAGTTCAGGTCTCATTTTGGTTATTATCTTTGCTTCTGCTAGTGTTGGCATTGGTTTGCTCTTGTTTTTCAAGTTCCTCTAGGTGTGATATTAAGTTGTTAATCTGAGATCTTTCTAACTTTGATGCGGGCTTTTAGCACTATAAACTTTCAACACTGCTTTAGCTGTGTTGTAGAATTCTGTTATGTGTTATCTTTGCTTTCACTAGTTTCAAATAATTTCTTGATTTCTGTCATAATTTCATTGTTTACCAAGTCATTCAGGAGAAGTTTAATTGCCATGTAATTGTATGGTTTTGAGAAATTTTCTTAGTATTGATTTTTATTTTTATTGTGCTGTGGTCTGAGAGTGTGATTGGTATGATTTGGCTTTTATTTTTTTGAATTTGTTGAGAATTGTTTTATGGCTGAGGGTGTGGTCCATTTTGGAGTATGTGTCATGTGCAGATGAGAAGAATGTCTATTATGTTGCTGTTGAGTGGAGTGTTCTGTAGATGTCTGTTAGTTCCTTTTGGTAAGTGTGAAGTTTAGGTCCCGAATACCTTTGTTGGTTTTCTGCCTTGATCTGTCTAATACTGTCAGTAGAGTGTTGAAGTCTCCCACTATTATTATGTGGTTATCTAAGTTTCTTCATAGGTCTCTAAGAACTTGTTTGATGAATCTGGATGCTCTTGTGTTGGGTGTATATATATTCAGGATGGCCAAGTCTTCTTGTTGAATTGAACCCTTTATCATTATGTACTCCTCTTTTTGTCTTTTTCAATCAGTTTGTTTAAAGTCTGTTTTGTCTGAAATTGGAATAGCAATTCCTGCTTTTTTGTGTTTTCCATTTGCTGGTAGGTTTTTCTCCATCCCTTTACTCTGAGCCTATGAATGTCATTGCTTGTGAGATGGGTCTTTTAAAGACAGCATACAGTAGAGTCTTGCTTCTTTATCCAACTTTCTACTCCATGCTTTTTAATGGGGTCTTTAGCCCATTTATGTTCAAGGTCAATATTGATATTTGTGAGTTTGATCCTGTCATCATGTTGTTAGCTGATTGTTATGCAGATTTGATTGTATTCTTGTTTCATAGTGTCAATTATCTACGTACTGAAGTGTGTTTTTGTCGTGGCCAATAATGGTCTTTCCTTTCCATATTTAGCACTCTGTGAAGGACCTTTTGTAAGGCAGACCTGGTGTTAATGAATTCACTTAGCATTTGCTTGTCTGAAAAGAATTTTATTTCTCCATTGTTCATGAAGCTTAGTTTGGCTGTACATGAAATTCTTGGTTGGAATTTTTCTTTAAGAATGCTGAATATAGGCCCCCAGTCTCTCTTCTGGCTCGTAGGGTTTCTGCTGAAAGGTCTGCTATTAGCCTGATGAGGTTCCCTTTGTAGATGACCTACCCCTTCTATCTAGCTGCCTTTAATTTTTTTTCTTTCACATTGACCTTGCAGAATCTGATGAGTATGCATCTTGGGAATGGTCATCTTGTATAGTATCTCACAGGGGTCCTATCAATTTCCTGAATTTGAATGTCAATCTCTCTAGCAAGGTTGGGGAAAATTTCCATGGACAATATCCTCAAATATATTTTCCAAGTTGCTTGGTCTCTCACTCTCTTTCAGGTACGCCAATGACTGGTAGATTTGATCTCATATATAATCCCATATTTCTGGAAGGTTTTGTTCATTCTTCTTTGTTCTTTTTCTTATTTTTGTCTGACATAGTTGACTTGAGAAACCAATCTTCAAGCTCTGAGATTCTTTCCTCAGCTTGATCTACTCTGCTGTTAATGCTTCAGATTTTATTATGAAATCCTTGTAGTGAGTTTTTCAGCCCTATCATATCAGTTTGCTTCTTTCTTAAAATGGCTCTTTCACCTTTAACCTTTTGAATCATTTTATTGGATTTCTTAGATTCTTTGGATTGGGTTTTAACTTTCTTCCAAATCTTGAAGATCTTCATTGATTTCCAGATTCTCAATTCTATGTATACTATTTCAGCCTGGTTAAAAGCCATTGTTGGGGGGCTAGGGTAGTCATCTGGAAGTAAGAAAACACTCTGGCTTTTTGAGTTGCCAGAGTTCTTGTGTTAGCTCTTTCTCATCTGTGTGGGCCCAGATCTTGGAGTTGCTCTCCTTTGGATGTGTTTTTTTTGCTTTTATATCCTTTGGTGCCCTTGAAGTTTGATTGTCATATAAGCTGGGTTTAGTCTACTGGCTTCATTTCTGGATGATTTCTGGGGGCCAAGGCTTAGCTCTGCACCCCTGGGCTGCATGCCCTTGGAGGGCTGTTATTAGGACCACAACTTTATTCTCTGACCCCTTGAGGTTATGCACCTGCTGTGCTGGAGGAGCCAAGGTGTTCCTGGTGGGCTGGCAACAACACTTAAATGGGGGTTGCTGGCAAAAGTGCTTTGTTGGTGCATGTGCCACACATGTGGCAGTGAGTTCCAC
Source organism: Homo sapiens (assembly GCF_000001405.40). Classification (NCBI taxonomy): domain Eukaryota; kingdom Metazoa; phylum Chordata; class Mammalia; order Primates; family Hominidae; genus Homo; species Homo sapiens. The sequence goes on from NC_000004.12 coordinate 18,213,065, forward strand.
ATGTGTGTGCATGCTCCAGTAGCAGAGGTGTGGCAGGGTCTGCACATATGTATGAGTGCCAGGGATGGTGGGGCTGCAGGGTCTGTGTGCATGTGCTGGCAATGATGATGTGGTGGTGTCTGTGTGTGTACATGTGCTGGCAATGACAGTGATTCAGTGGAGTGTGTGCGTGCTGGCAGTGGCACAATGGTGGGTGTGCATGCTGTTAGGGAGAAATGGTGGCATTCACACTTGAGCTGGTGGCAGCAATATGGCTGTGTCCATGCATGTGTATGCACCAGTAGCAGTGGTGGCACAGCAAGGTGTGAGTGTGTATGTTGGTGGTGGGGGTTGGTGATGGTGAGGTTTGTGCCTGTGTGCACTGGTGGCAATAGGGTGGTGAGGTTGTGCACACACACCAAAGCAGTGGGAGGCGGCTGTGGGTGGGTGCATGTCAGTGGGGGCCTGTCTGCTTAAGTTCTCCGATGGTTAGGCAGGGTCTGCCAGCAAAGGAGTTATGGTAGTGGCCATCAGGAAGCACCCCAGTTGGACATCTCAGGATGCATTGCAAATAGGAGTGGGCAGGCAGGGACCTTGGAAGAGGCCAGCAGATAGCGGGTGCTCAGAACAGACTGGCCCCATCTCATGGGCAAGACTTCCCTTCTCTGTTCAGGTCCAACAGTCAACAAAGGCCAAAGTCACGTAGAGGAGTGTGTTGAGACTTGGGGGTTGGGTATCCCTGGCTGTGCTCCAGTGCAGCTGTTGCTGTGTCAAACCCTGTAGACTATGCACAGGCTGGAGTATTATCCAAGAAGCAACTCTTAATGTATGAACAGATAAACAGAATGTGGTGTATATACATGCATAGAATATTATGCAGCCTTAAAATGAAGAAAATCACTCTGTGATTGCACAGAGTAAAACTTGAGGGACATTGTGCTAAGTGAAACAAGCTAGTCACGAAAGACAAATACTGTATGATTCTACTTATTTGAGATATCTAAAGTAGTTGAATTTTTAGAAACAGAAAGTAGAATGGTGGTTTCCAGGGGCAGAAGGGAGGGGAAAAAGGAAATTATTGTTTAGTGGATATAGAGTTTCAGATTCACAAAATGAAAAAGTTCTAGAGATCTGTTTCACAACAATGTAAATACACTTAACACTACTGAACTGTACATTAAAAAATGGTAAAGATGGCAAATTTTATGTTATGGTTTTTATTACCACAATAGAAAATGTATATCATATAGAATTTAGGAGAATTACATGTCATTTCATTTTCTCCCTTAAGATCCCATGAAGTAGATATTTATCTGGGTGGGGAAGCAAACGTTTCTGAAATCGTCACATATCCAACTGTTTTAGTTAGTAAGTTGACATGCCAATTGTTAAGACTAAGATGAGCAGAGACTAGAGGAAGTGGAGTAAAAGTGAAATTGTCATTCAGGGATGGCATTGTTTACAGAATTTGAGTTGCTACTTACCAATAGCACAGATGCCAGATCTCCAAATAGGACCCACGAACAGATTTTTTTATCCCAAGGCGAGAAACTGGCTACATGCCTTCCTCAGGCAAGGTTTCATTAGTTTACACATGAACATCTAAGGCTCAGAAGGATCATGTACTTGCTGAGGGTTGCACAAACAGCACAGAATGTGTGGTGATTCAAGCCAAGGTTTATCTGGCTCTAGTCAGGCTCTAAGCTTTCTCTATATAACAGCTTCAGGGTTGAAGTGAAGTCATCATTTCATTTGCCAGTGGGGTCAGCGTAGCCACTCCCCTAAGGTGCCTGCTTGGCCACTGTCTGAAGAGCCCCATGCATTGCTGCAGCATCAGCAAACCTGAGCTGAAGAACACAGCCCTGGAGAGCCTCTTCTGTCTCGGGCTGGGAGATCAGCAGGAGGGCAGGAGCAAGGCTGGGTGGAGGAGCAGCAAGTGGGGAGTTTCCAGGGTTGCCGATCAAAAAAGAGGCACACATACCTGAAATAAATCAGCAAAATACAGTATTTTCTCTCTTGCCAAAATAGACAGCACACCTGGTCTTCCAGTGTGTACATATGTGTGTATTTGTGTATGTGTGTGTGTGTTTGTACTGTGATCTGTCTTCTTGGATGCATGTACAATAGCAGTGATTTAAAGTCTACAGACCCAGCAAAAATTCTGTAACTGAAATGCAAGAGTCTGTGTTATATGTTATTACCAAAATTTCAAGCCCTTAAATATGTGTCCTTAGACTTTTAAAAATATTCCCCTTCCAAACAACTTATAAAAGAAAACTGGAGAGAGAACAAGTATTACACAAAAGTGGGGAAATGTTTTATCTGTGCTCCCTCTGCCCAATTTTTTTTCTGGCTATAACTGAATTTGGCTGTGTCAATAAATTAGTAAATCGATTTATTTTTTATAATTTTATTATGTTATATAAATATAATTATATTTTAATATAATTTTATTAATTTTTTTCCTGCTTCTACCAAATAACTGTTGGATGAATATTTAAAGAATATTGGTTTTGAGGGGTCCCAAATGATTAGCTAGCTCTGGGAACCAAATTGTGTGACTGCTGGGGTATTGTCACAGCCAGGAAGGAAGCTTTGCCCCTGTTGTGGTTTTGGGCATTTGGGTTCTTTAAAAGTTTCTTTCCTTCTTCTTAAAGAACTCCTCTACCTAGCATAGTGGCCCCAGCCCCAAACTTGAACATAAACTTTGATTGTTTCCTCTCTGCTCACCAGCTATACCAGGTAATCCATCAACAAATCCTTTCAGATGTACATCTACTTTTAAAACTTGTCTGAGTTTTATCCATATCCCTTTTCTGCTTTCCCCCTTCCATCTTTTTGCTACCTACTAATGCTTGAATTGAGTTGTGTCCCCCAACCCAATTCATATGTTGAAGCTTAACCCCCTATATAACAGTATTAAAGATAGAGCCTTTAAGGTTAAATGAGGTCATGAGGATAGAGCCCTAATCCCATAGAACTAGTGCCCTTTTAAGAAGAAGAAGAGATTATGGAGATCTCTCTCCTTGTGAGAACACAGCAAGAAGGCAGACGTCTGCAAGCCAGGAAGAGAGCCTTCACTAGAACTCAGTCTTGCTGGCACCCTGATCTTGGACTTCCAGCCTCCAGAACTTTGGGAAAATAAATACTATAGATTGTTAAGCCACCCAATCTATAGTATTTTGTTATGGCAGCCTGAGCTGATTAATAGAACTACCTTAGCTCAAGACCTCACCTGGATTACTATATAAATTTCTTACCTTGTCTTTCTGTTTCTAATATTGTCCTGAGCTTATTCTCAATAACTAGTCAATGCATGACATACTAATTCTTCTTCTAAATATTTACTCAATAAGAAATGAAAATATATGTATATAAAAAAGGCTTGTATAAGAATGTTTACAGCAGTTTCATTCATAATAGTTCAAAACTTGAAAAAATCCAAGTGTATATCAATAGGTGAATAAACAAATTATCGTATTACTATAATGAGAAACTTTAGGGTAAGTAAAAGAAAACAATTATTGATACAGCCACATTGATTAATCTCAAAAATATGCTGAGTGGATGATGCCAACCACAAAAGAGTATTTTCTATATAGTTCAATTTGTATGAAGTTATAGACCAGGCAAAACTAAGCTATAGTGTTAGAAATGAGAGTGGCAGTGTAGGAGGAGTTGTTATGAATTAGAAAGGGGCATGAGGGAAATTTTTGAAAGTGATGGGAGTGTTCTATATCTTAATTAGAGTGGTGATTACATATATGTACATTTGTTAAAACTCACAGAACTGTACACATAAAATTTATGCATGTTACTGTATTGAAATTATATGTCAATTTAAAAACTAGATACACGCAAGAGCTGCTAATGAACTAAGCATACCTTCTCTGGGTCATGGAAATTGTCACAAACTGTAGTCTTTGTACAATTTGGTTCCAAATAGAAGTATGACCAGCGAAGGTAATATTTCAGTATAATATTTCAAATGTTGGCATAATATTTGTAAAATGTAATCGATCCTATTACTACCACTTGTTTCTGCGTTCCCAGCATCCAGACCCTCTTAATATAGTTTGCAATATCCCACTTTTTCTTTTCTTTTTTTTTTCTCAGAGATGGGGTTTCTCTCTGTTGTCCAGGCTGGAGTGCAGTGATGTGAACATTGCAGCCTCTAACTCTTGAGCTCAAGCAATCCTCCTGCCTCAGCCTCCTGAGTATCTGAGAGTATAGGTGTGTGCCACCACATCCGGCTCCACTTTTTGTTTTGGAAGATTCCCCTCAGCATTGTAAGTGATCTTCTTCATTAAGTTGTCCTGACCACTTCCAATAAAATATTGGGCAGATGACCCAAGGAAATCGGTCAATGAGTTATTATTCTCTCCTGGAAACCAGAGTCCCTGAGAAGAGTGACACACAGTTGGAGCCCAGTTATTCTGTTGGCAGTGCCCTAAAATATTTCTCGCTGAAATCCTCAGGACTCCCTGGCTCCTGCCTTTCCTGAGGCTTGGAGTATTAATGTGTCCTTTGTGTCTATGAGTTTCCTTGCATTTTTCCAAAAAATTGTTTGACTTTCTGGTTTATATAGGTGGAGTTACTTTCTGTTGTTTGTAGCCAAAACCCTAAACACTTGTCAGTGGCTTCCCATTGTCCTCACAATAAAGCCCACATCCTTTCACATAGCATTTTCGGTTGGGTTCCCTGAGAAGGAGAACCTGAGCAGGGATTAAGTGTGAGTAGTTCTTTTGGGAAGTGATCTCAGGAAGAACTGGCAGAGGAGTGGCGATGTAAGATGGGGAAGGGAAAGAAACTAATAAAGGGCTCAGAATCACTTCTGTTGACCTGTGGGTGACTGAGATTCAGTTTGGCAGGGAGTTCTGGGAGACAGTGTAAGAGACAGTAAGACCGATTTCACCTGCAAGGTAGGGAAGCTGGAGGTATTTGTTTATCCTCCAGCTCCCATTCATCATTAGTCAAGGGATGCTCCTGCTGCCTGAACTCCCTAGAGCTCTGAGCCTGCTTCTCTTAGGACTGAAAGAAAACTCTCAGGTACAGAGCCACAGATGTGGGTATTAGAATGTGATCAGCATGGACTGGAACAGTGGTGCCAAGATGATCTGGTTGGGCAATGAGGACATCTGCCAGAATAACTTATGGGGCTCCTGACCCATGTAACCTTGACTCCTCCCCTTGTAGCCTATGCTCTCACTGTATAGAATTTCTTTTTGTTGCATGAGTGCACCACACTATCTCAGCCCTCTAATCCTCATGCCTTTGAACAGGTAGAACGTCCTTCAGTCTGGGACACTCTGCCTTTTAATCATAAATCTCTATACAATGAAATTTATAAATATAATTTATACATCTCTTTACAATGGTTAGTTATTATGGAAGAGGACATATTGACGTTGTCTAATCCAAGGACTACAAATAAAAAATCATTGCATAACACCAACTAAAAACTGTGAATATTTATTTATTCTGGAGCAAATAGTTCTCTGTATCTTAGTTTGTTCTCCTCATTCTTTTGTCTTATAATGGGGTGGGAGACACCTCTTTGAGCCTCAATTTTCTTACCTGTAGTAGGCAGAGGGACACGGTAATCACCAATTCCACCATTGGGATAAGTGATAAGATTCAGAGAAAAAGGAGCAACATGCTTGGTGGTAAGGGACAGTTTCCCTGAGGATGTGACATTTAGCTAAGTTGTAAAGGAAGAAAAAGATATTAACTGGCTGTGGGGGTGGGACATGGGAGAGCAGGAAGCATCCTAGTGCCCCGCCAGTCTGAGAGAACCCACGTGTGCCTGCAGAGAGACAATGCTATGGAGAGAAAGGAGATGAGAAAAGTTGCAGGGGCTTATAGACCATGTCAAGAATTTGGGATTTTATCCCAAATCCATGGGAGATCCTGCACACACTGCCAGAGGAGCCTTCCTGAAACATAGCAAATCCTGCCATTTCTCTGCATAGGTACCTCTAGCGATTATACCCCTCAGACCAAAGTTTCAATTTCTTAACTGTGTTGTTGTATTTCTTCATGATTGGGAAATAACCTAGGTGTTTGGATGTTTCTCCCATTTCTCCCCTATGTAGCTCTTACTCCCACCAACTCGTGTATTTCCTATGCCTCAACACTACCCCATAAACGTCCTTTTTCACAGCTTTGGTTACATGAGTTCCTCTTCCTGAAATGTCTTCCCATTTCTTTCTGTCCTTCTACTCCTGGTAAAGTCCTACTCATATATATATATATTTTTTTTAATGTGAATTTTTTTATTATTATACTTTAAGTTCTGGGGTAAATGTACACAACGTGCAGGTTTGTTACATAGGTTTACATGTGCCATGTTGGTTTGTTGCACCCATCAACTTGTAATTTACATTAGGTATTTCTCTTAATGCTATCCCTCCCCCTGGCCCCCACCCCCAACAGACCCTGGTGTGTGATGTTCTCCTCCCTGTGTCCATGTGTTTTTATTGTTCCACTCCCACTTATAAGTGAGGACATGAGGTGTTTGGTTTTCTGTCCTTGTGATAGTTTGCTGAGATTGATGGTTTCCAGCTTCATCCATGTCCCTGCAAAGGACATGAACTCATCCTTTATTATGGCTGCATAGTATTCCATGGTGCATATGTGCTACATTTTCTTTATCCAGTCTAGTATTGATGGAATTTGGGTTGGTTCCAAGTCTTTGCTATTGTGAATAGTGCCACAATAAACATACATGTACATGTGTCTTTATAGTAGCATGATTTATAATCCTTTGGTCATATACCCAGTAATGGGATTGCTGGGTCAAATGGTATTTCTAGTTCTAGATCCTTGAGGAATCACCACACTGTCTTCCACAATGGCTGAAATAATTTCCACTCCCACCAACAGTGTAAAAACATTCCTATTTCTCCACATACTCTCCAGCATCTGTCGTTTCCTGACTTTTTAATGATCGCCATTCTAACTGGCATGAGATGGTATCTCATTGTGGTTTTGATTTGCATTTCTTTAATGACCAGTGATGATGAGCATTTTTTCATATGTCTGTTGGCTGCATAAATGTCTTCTTTTGAGAAGTGTCTGTTCATATCCTTTGCCCACTTTTTTATGGGGTTGTTCTTTTTTGTTTTTTTGTTTTTTTGTAAATTTGTTTACTTTCTTTGTAGATTCTGGATATTAGCCCTTTGTCAGATGGATAGATTGCAAAAACCTTCTCCCACTCTGTAGGTTGCCTGTTCACTCTAATGGTAGTTTCTTTTGCTGTGCAGATGCTCTTCAGTTTAATTAGATCCCATCTGTCTGTTTTGGCTTTTGTTGCCATTGCTTTTGGCGTTTTAGTGATGAAGTCCTTGCCCATGCCTATGTCCTGAATGGTATTACCTAGGTTTTCTTCTAGGGTTTTTTTGGTTTTAGGTCTTACATTTAAGTCTTCAAACCATCTTAATTTTTGTATAAAGTGTAAGGAAGGGATCCAGTTTCAGCTTTCTACATATGGCTAGCCAGTTTTCCCAGCACCATTTATTAAATAGGGAATCCCTTCCCCATTGCTTGTTTTTGTCAGGTTTGTCAAAGATCATATGGTTGTAGATGTGTGGCGTTATTTCTGAGGACTCTGTTCTGTTCCATTGGTCTATATATCTGTTTTGGTACCAGTATCATGCTGTTTTGGTTACTGTAGCCTTGTAGTATAGTTTGAAGTCAGGTAGCGTGATGCCTCCAGCTTTGTTCTTTTTGCTTAGGATTGTCTTGGCTGTGTGGGCTCTTTTTTGGTTCCATATGAAATTTAAAGTAGTTTTTTCCAATTCTGTGAAGAAAAACAGTGGTAGCTTGATGGGGATGGCATTGAATTTATAAATTACTTTGGGCAGTATGGCCATTTTCATGATATTGATTCTTCCTATCCATGAGCATGGAATGTTCTTCCACTTGTTTGTGTCCTCTTTTATTTCATTGAGCAGTGGTTTGTAGTTCTCCTTGAAGAGGTCCTTCACATCCCTTGTAAGGTGGATTCCTAGGTACTTTATTCTCTTTGTAGCAATTGTGAATGGGAGTTCACTCATGATTTGGCTCTCTGTTATTGGTGTATAGGAATGCTTGTGATTTTTGCACATTGATTTTGTATCCTGAGACATTGCTGAAGTTACTTATTAGCTTAAGGAGATTTTGGGCTGCGATGATGGGGTTTTCTAAATATACAGTCATGTCATCTGCAAAGAGAGACAATTTGACTTCCTCTTTTCCTAATTGAATACCCTTTATCTCTTTCTCTTGTCTGATTGCCTTGGCCCGAACTTCCAATATTATGTTGAATAGGAGTGGTGAGAGAGGCCATCCCTGTCTTATGCTGGTTTTCAAAGGGAATGCTTCTAGTTTTTGCCCCTTCAGTATGATATTGGCTGTGGGTTTGTCATAAATAGCTTTTATTATTTTAAGATATGTTCCATCAGTACCTAGTGTATTGAGAGTTTTTAGCATGAAGGGCTGTTGAATTTTGTTGAAGGCCTTTTCTGCATCTATTGAGATAGTCATGTGGTTTTTGTTGTTGGTTCTGTTTATGTGATGAATTACATTTATTGATTTGCATATGTTGAACCAGCCTTGCATCCCAGGGATGAAGCTGACTTGATTGTGGTGGATAAGCTTTTTGATGTGCTGCTGGATTTGGTTTGCCAGTATTTTATTGAGGATTTTCGCATCGATGTTCATCAGGGATACTGGGCTAAAATTATCTTTTTTTGTGTGTGTCTCTACCAGACTTTGGTATCAGGATGATGCTGGCCTCATAAAGTGAGTTAGGGAGGATTCCTTCTTTTTCTATTAATTGGAATAGTTTCAGAAGGAATGGTACCAGCTCCTCTCTGTGCCTCTGGTAGAATTCAGCTCTGAATCCATCTGGTCCGGGACTTTTTTTGGTTGGTAGGCTCTTAATTAATGCCTCAATTTCAGAACCAGTTATTGACCTATTCAGAGACTCAACTTCTTCCTGGCTTAGTCTTGGGAGGGTGTATGTGTCTAGGAATTTATCCATTTTTTTCTAGATTTTCTTGTTTATTTGTATACAGGTGTTCATAGTATCCTCTGATGGTAGTTTGTATTTCTGTGGGATCGGTGGTGGTATCCCCTTTACCATTTTTTATTGCGTCTATTTGATTCTTCTCTCTTTTCTTGTTTGTTAGTCTTGCTAGCAGTCTATCTATTTTGTTGGTCTTTTCAAAAAACCAGCTCCTGGATTCATTGATTTTTTTGAAGGGTTTTTCGTGTCTCTATCTCCTTCAGTTCTGCTCTGATCTTAGTTATTTCTTGTCTTCTGCTGGCTTTTGAATTTGTTTGCTCTTGCTTCTCTTGTTCTTTTAATTGTGATGGTAGGGTGTCAATTTTAGATCTTCCCTGCTTTCTCTTTTGGGCATTTAGTGCATAAATTTCCCTCTACGCACTGTTTTAAATGTGTCCCAGAGATTCTGGTATGTTGTGTCTTTGTTCTCATTGGTTTCAAAGAACATCTTTATTTTTGCCTTCATTTCGTTATTTACCCAGTAGTCATTCAGGAGCAGGTCGTTCGGTTTCCATGTAGTTGTGCAGTTTTGAGTGAGTTTCTTAATCCTGAGTTCTAATTTGATTGCACTGTGGTCTGAGAGACAGTTTGTTGTGATTTCTGTTCTTTTACATTTGCTGAGGAGTGCTTTACTTCCAATTACGTGGTCAATTTTAGAATAAGTGCCATGTGGTGCTGAGAAGAACTTACATTCTGTTGATTTGGGGTGGAGAGTTCTGTAGATGTCTATTAGGTCTGCTTGGTCCAGAGCTGAGTTCAAGTCCCAGATATCCTTGTTAAGTTTCTGTCTTGATCTGTCTACTATTGACAATGGGATGTTAAAGTCTCCAATTATTATTGTATGGGAGTCTAAGTCTCTTTGTAGGTCTCTAAGAACTTGCTTTATGAATCTGGGTGCTGCTGTATTGGATGCATATATAGTTAGGATAGTTAGCTCTTCTTGTTAAATTGATCCCTTTACCATTATGTAATGCCCTTCTTCATCTCTTTTGATTTTTGTCGGTTATAAGTCTATTTTATCAGAGACTAGGATTGCAACCCCTGCTTTTTTTTTTTTTTTTGCGTTCCATTTGCTTGGTAGATCTCCCTCCATCCCTTTATTTTGAGCCTGTGTGTGTCTTTGCATGTGAGATGGGTCTCCTGAATACAGCACACTGATGGGTCTTGACTCTTTATCCAATTTGCCAGTCTGTGTCTTTTAATCGGGGCATTTAGCCCATTTACATTTAAGGTTAATATCGTTATGTATGAATTTTATCCTGTCATTATGATGCTAGCTGGTTATTTTTCCTGTTAGTTGATGCAGTTTCTTCATAGTGTTGATGGTCTTTACAATTTGGCATGCTTTTGCAGTGGCTGATACTGGTTGCTCCTTTCCACGTTTAGGTCTTCCTTCAGGAGTTCTTGTAAGGCAGGCCTGGTGGTGACAAAATCTCTCAGCATTTGCTTGTCTGTAAAGGATTTTATTCCTCCTTCACTTATGAAGCTGAGTTTGGCTGGATATGAAATTCTAGGTTGAAAATTCTTTTCTTTAAGAATGTTGAATATTGGACCCCACTCTCTTCTGGCTTGTACGGTTTCTGCAGAGAGATCAGCTGTTAGTCTGATGGGCTTCCCTTTTTGGGTAACCTGACCTTTCTGGCTGCCTTTAACATTTTTTCCTTCATTTCAACCTTGGTGAGTCTGATGATTATGGGTCTTGGGGTTGCTATTCTTGAGGAATATCTTTGTGGTATTCTCTGTTATTTCCCAAATTTGAATGTTGGCCTGCCTTGCTAGGTTGGGGAAGTTCTCCTGGATAATATCCTGAAGAGTGTTTTCTAACTTGGTTCGATTCTCCCTGTCACTTTCTGGTACACCAATCAGACGTAGATTTGGTCTTTTCATATAGTCCCATATTTCTTGGAGGCTTTGTTCATTTCTTTTCACACTTTTTTCTCAACTCTTGTCGCTTTATTTCATTAATTTGATCTTCAATCACTGATATTCTTTCTTCCGCTTGATCAAATTGGCTATTGAAGCCTGTGTATGCTTCACAAAGTTCTCGTGCTGTTTTTCAGCTCCATCAGGTCATTTATGTTCTTCTCTACACTTGTTATTCTAGTTAGCCATTTGTCTAACTTTTTTTCAAGGTTTTTAGCTTCCTTGCAATGGGTTAGAACATGCTCCTTTAGCTCAGAGAAGTTTGTTATTACTCACCTTCTGAAGCCTACTTCTGTCAACTCATCAAACTCATTCTCCATCCAGTTTTGTTCCCTTGCTGGCGAGGAGTTGTGATCCTTTGGAGGAGAAGAGGCGTTCTGGTTTTTGGAATTTTCAGCCTTTCTACTCTGGTTTCTCCCTGTCTTTGTGGTTTTATCTACCTTTGTTCTTTAATGTTGGTGACCTACCAATGGGGTTTTGATGTGGATGTCCTTTTTGTTGATGTTGATGCTATTCCTTTCTGTTCGTTAGTTTTCCTTCTAACACTCAGGCCCCTCAGCTGCAGGTCTGTTGGACTTTGCTGGAGGTCCACTCCAGGCCCTGTTTGCCTGGGTATCACCATCAGAGTCTGCACAACAGCAAGTATTGCTGCCTGATCATTCCTCTGGAAGCTTCGTTCCAGAGGGGCACCTGCCAGATGCCACCCATAGCTCTCCTGTATGAGGTGTCTTTCTCCCATGCTGGGAGAACCACTGCTCTCTTCAGAGCTGACAGGCAGGGATGTTTATGTCTGGAGAAGTTGTGCCCAGAGCTGCCCCTTCCCCTAAGTGCTCTGTCCCAGGGAGACGAGGGTTTCTCTATAAGTCCTTGACTTGGGCTGCTGCCTTTTTTTCAGATATGCCCTGCCCACAGATGTGGAATCTAGAGAGGCAGTTGGCCTTGCTGGGGTGCGGTGGGCTCTGCCCATTTCAAGCTTTCCAGCAGCTTTGTTTACACTGTGAGCATAAAACCACCTACTCAAGCCTCAGCAATGGTGGACACCCCTCCCCGCTCCAAGCTCCAGTGTCCCAGGTCAATCTCAGACTGCTGCACTAGCAGCAAGAATTTCAAGCCAATGGATCTTAGCTTGCTCGGCTCTGTGGGTGTGGGACGCACTGAGCCAGGCACAGGAGAGAATCTCCTGGTCTGCAGGTTGTAAAGAATGTGGGAAAAATGCAGTATTGAGGCAGGAGTGTATCCTTCTTCCTGGTACAGTCTCTCATGGCTTCCCTTGGCTAGGAAAGGGAAATCCCCCAGCTCCTTGTGCTTCCCAGGTGAGGTGATGCCCCACCCTGCTTTGGCTTGCCCTCCATGGGCCACACCAACTGTCCAACCAGTCCCATTGAGATGAACCAGGTACCTCAGTTGGAAATGCAGAAATCACCCATCTTCTGCGTCAGTCTTGCTGGGAGCTGCAGACTGGACCTGTTCCTATTTGGCCATCTTGGAAGAGTTCTCCCAAGTCCTACTCATATTTTGTGACCTAGTTTCAAGGCCACCATCTCCAAGAAGACTTCGTATATGCTCCCAAACATAAAGGGTCTGTCAGGGCTCTGAACTTGCTTACAACCTGATGCCTTTCCTAATGTGGCTGATCATGTTCTGTCTGGTTATTTCTCTTCTCTCCTGTACTTGATTTGAAAGCTCTTTGAGCACATGGGCTATGCCTCAGTTGTCTTTGTGTTTCAAAGACAAAGACAAACAAAGGCCCAAAAAATTAACCTCATCATTAGCCTCTGTTTATTCAAAGATAAACAAAGGCCAAATAAATTAAACTCATTGCTCAGCCCAAAGTATTGCATTTTAATTCTTTTGTGTGTTTTGTTTTGTTTTGTTTGAGACAGAGTCTTGCTCTGTCACCTAGGATGGAGTGCAGTGGCACAATCTCAGCTCACTGCAACCTCTGCCTCCTTGGTTCAAGCGATTCTTGTGCCTCAGCCTCCTGAATAGCTGGGATTACAGGCATATGCCACCATGCCCAGCTAATTTTTGCATTTTTAGTAGAGATGGGATTTTACCATGTTGCCCAGGCTGATCTCGAACTCCTGGCCTCAAGCAATCTGCCCACCCTGGCCTCCCAAAGTGCTGGGATTAACCATGCCTGGCTGCATTTTTAGTTGCTAATATGATAGTCACTGATGTTATCCTATAAAAGTAAAATAACATCTGAGAGACTATCATTTTTAATTGCAGTTAATTTATAAAATATCATTTACATAATACAATTTTCACATATTTTTGCTGTCACACAAAATGTCACCTACAATATGTTAGAGAGCTAGCAAGTCCTTCCACAAACTAAGAAATATATTTTCTCTATGAGAAAGAGAGGGTGTTTTCAACAGTTCTTGGTGAGTTATTTAAAGAAAGCTAAAATACAAATAATCAAAGCTACATAAATTACATAAAATCTACCCTTAAGCATTTGTTTTTCTCCCTGCCGTTTATATAGTATCTAATCAGTTACCATTAGTTGGTTTTGAACTTTCATACAGGTTAATCTTTCAAATCTACTGTGCACATTCGTTAGAGACTCACCTATGGTTAAAAAAATAATAATTCCCTTTTCTTGGTTTCATACATTTTTAGGAAGAGAGAGACATCAAGTAATTGCCTAGTTTGGACCACATTCTATAAGCAAGACTCTAGGTTTTCCCAGAGACTTGAGCATCCATGACATGCTGAAATATATACTGGGAAAAAGACCCTGCAGCCCCTTCATGAAGGTAAAACATTCCACATCCAATAACATTTAAGCAGCATTTAAGATTTTATTTTTAAAATTTAAAAAACTAGCTTTAAAATTCAGGCCAGAAAAATATATATTTATAATATTAAGTAGAGAAGTATGTGCAGAATTTGGTAAAATACAATACAAAAAAGTCCAAGTTTATAAAGAGACATTATCCTGAGACAGGGTATTGCAGTGTCTTTGAAGTGAGAAACAACTGTGCCCTCAATGGACAATAGTAGAGTTGCTCATAAGAAATTAAGGATCAAGAAAAAGGGCAGTGTATAGTAGAGCATGGGGAAGTGATAGAGTGGGCAGAAAAAAAAACAGTATGCCCATAGTATTGGCAGCAAAGTTACCAACCTGATCCTGAAGCCTTAGGTCTCACCTGTCCATCCACAATTGATACCGCCAACAGCAAACACGTGCCAAGAAGCCAGGCACAGTGCACCATTATGTTAATACTCTTATGTCCACCAACGTGGACCCTCTTATTTCATTCCTACTCTGTCCCTGCCCTGTGCTCATTTATCTGTTTCTTCCATACACTGATTCATTTGGACATTAAGTGCTTAACTGCCAGACTCTGTTCTTGAATGTGGGAATACCTGGTCAATATGATGAGGTTTTGGCCCTCATAGCACTAAGAATATAGTAAGAAATGCAGAGAAACAAACATTTAGTATAGAAGCATTCAGTCCTGGGATACATAAAAGATGGGCTACAATGGAAGCCCAGATAAGGAGGACCTACTCCTGCTCTGTGGTTGGTTCAGGAAAGGGTCACTGGAGCAAGAGGTCTCTAAGCTGAGAGCTAAGGTTAGAGTTAGTTAGGAAAGGACAGAAGGAAAAGAACAAACTGAGATTTTAGTTTGTCCCTTTTGACATTGAGTCCTGGTCTTTTGATTGAGTTGTTTTTCCTCTTAAGTAGAATATCATGAAAAGAAATTAATACAAGTGCAAAAAATGCTGTGTAGTGTGTAGCACAAATATTCAATATTCAATTAACGTATGGAGAAATGGTAGAAGAACAGATAGCCTGACTAAAAGAATGAAATGAAGTCAGATTAGGACATTGATGCACTTCCAACTTCTTAGAGAGCAAGATTTCTTAAAGTCAATTAGAAAAATTGGCTAGGAAAAAAGTATTTAAATCCTGCCTAAATGACCTCAATTTCTATTCCAATAAATTACTGGTCTCTTTTGCAATTAGTCATCCAGCTTGTCAGCCATATGAACAGAGGATTTATTTTCTGTTTCAGGCATTGAGCAGATGGGCAGCCTGCCACACTAGAACCTGGCTGTGCTTCCAGGTAATATGGGGGGAGGGGGCATGGGGGAAAGGAGGTAGGAACTGGGATTATCACCTCGAGAAATTTCCTTGTAGTTCAGTCAGCTCTGAGTTGATATTCCAGCTTTGTTCTGAAATTCAGTTTTAGATCTGTTGTTTGAAAGTTGAGAGACTTTTTCATATTGTTATGTCTGGCTGGAGGCCAGTGGGCAGAGGGAAAACCAGAATGTGTGCAGTCTTAGTCCTAGAAAGTGGTGAGGGAGAAACATTTAGCTCATCACCTGACAGGCAGGGTCTTGAGAGGCAGCCAGGTTTAAGGACTTGGAGGTCACTGGAAGATGCTGTGGTCTGAAGCAGGAGAGGAGCTAGGGATCAGAGGTTGGGAAAAACAGAGAAACAGGAGACTGAAATGTGGCCAGAAATGGTCACAGAGCTGTGACTGATCCTGCCAGAGGATGTTGCTCTTGCCCAGGGTGATGCTCACTGGGTTGTTGCATGGATGGCCATTCTTGCCCATTAAGTCCTCTTGGTGCTTTCACTCCAGATAGTTTCTAAGTTGCCACAAACACCTCAGGTCAAGTTCCCCACCCCAAGTCCTCCAAAGGCACTGTGCTTAGAGTTCCACCAAACCAGACACCATGTGCAGTAAAGTTTCTATGGGCAATTGTATTTAGTCCATTCTCATGCTGCTATAAAGAACTGCCTGAGACTGGGTAATTTATAAAGAAAAAGAAGTTTAATTGACTCACAGTTCCACACGGTTGGGGAGGCCTCACGAAAATGACAATCATGGCAAAAGGGGAAGCAAACATGTTCTTCTTCACATGGCAGCAGGAGAGAAAAGTGCAGAGCAAAGGGGGAAAAGCTCCTTTTAAAATCATCAGATCTCATGAGAACTCACCCACTATCACGAGAACAGCATGGGGGAATCGCCCCCATAATCTAATCACCTCCCATGAGGTTTCTCCCACAACATGTGGGGATTATGGGAACAATTCAAGATAAGATTTGGGTAGGGGCACAGCCAAAACATATCACTCCACCCCCGGCCCCTCCCAAATCTCACGTCCTTATATTTCAAAACATAATCAGCCCCCTAAAGTCTTAACTCATTCCAGCAAAAGTCCAAGTCCAAAGTCCCATCTGAGATAAGGCAAGTCCCTTCTGCCTGTGAGCCTGTAAAATCAAAAGCAAGTTAGTTACTTCCTAGATACAATGTGGGTACAGGCATGGGGTAAATACACTCATTCTAAATGGAATAAATTGGCCAAAACAAAAGGGCTACAGGCCCCCATGCAAGTCAAAAATCCATAGGGCAGTCATTAAACTTTAAAGTTCCAAAATGATCTCCTTTGGCTCTATGTCTCACATCCAGGTCACACTGATGCAAGAGGTGAACTCTTATGTCTTTAAACAGCTCCACTCCTGTGGCTTTGCAGATTATAGTCCCACTGCTGGCTGTTTTCACAGGTTGGCATTGAGTGTCTGTGGCTTTTCCAGGCACAGAGCGCAGGCTGTTTGTGGATCTACCATTCTGGGTTCTGGAAGACGGTGGCCCTCTTCTCACAGATCCACTAGGCATTGCCCCAATGGGGACTCTGTGTGGGGGCTCCAACCCCACATTTCCCTTTCACTGCTGCTGTAGCAGAGGTTCTCCATAAGGGCTCCACCCCTGCAGCAAACTTCTGTCTGGACATCTAGGCGTTTCCATATATCCTCTGAAATCTAGGAGGAGGATCCCCAACCTCATTCTTGACTTCTGTTTACCCACAGGCCCAACACCACATGGAAGCTGCCATATTCTTTACTTAATACATTTATTTATTGTCTGCTTCTCTCTAATGTAAAGTTCCATTGGGGCAGGGATTTTTGTTTGCTTTTTATTTTAGTTTTTAAAATGTATTTTCAGTACCTGGTACTATGCCAGGCATTGGAAGGCATGCAATACATATTTTGATAAATACATAATCTTACCTTGGGCAGGGTTCTCGGCTTTTTTTTTTTTTTTTTTTTGACAGAGTTTTGCTCTTGTCCATTGTACCATGTGCCTGGAAAAGCCACAGACACTCAATGCCAACCTGTGAAAGCAGCCAGGAGTGGGACTATAATCTGCAAAGCTACAGGGGTGGAGCTGTTTAAAGACATGAGAGTCCACCTCTTGCATCAGCGTGACCTGGATGTGAGACATAGAGCTAAAGGAGATCATGCAATGGCATGATTTTGGCTCACTGCAACCTCCGCCTCCTAGATTCAAGTGATTCTCCTGCCTCAGACACCCAAGTATCTGGGATTACCAGTGCCCACCACCACCCCTGGCTAATTTTTGTATTTTTAGTAGAGACGGGGTTTCACCATGTTGGCCAGGCTGGTCACGAACTCCTGACCTCAGGTGATCCACCTGCCTTAGCCTCCCAAAGTGCTGGGATTACAGGTGTGAGCCACTGCACCTGGCCTGCTCTTTTTGTTTATTTATTCATTCATTTCTCCATCCATTCATTTAAATCAACAATTCATGACCTAGTCTCTCATGACTTCCTCTCATACTGCTTTCTTTCTTTATTATTCTCCAACTTTATTGGCTTCCTTTTTGTTTCCTTATAAATCCAAATTGGTTCCTTCCTGAAAGGCTTTGCACATGTTTTCCCATTGCCTGAGGAGCTCTTTCTCTAGGTCATCTCATGGTGAGTCCATCATACCACTCAGATCTCAGTTCAAATGTTCTTTTTAGAGAGGTCTTCCCTCACCACCCTACATAAATTCTTCTCTGGTCCCCACCTCAATCACTCCTGTCACCTTCACATTATCCTATTTTAGTATCATTATTTTGATAACCTATTATGATCTGAAATGATCATGCTCATTTATTTGTTTGCTTGTTTAATGCCTCTGTCTATCTCCTCCTGTCTTGCCCCCTGGTAGAATATAAGTTTCAGTACAACAGAGAGACCCCAGTGATTTTGTTTCCCATTGTATACCCAATCTCTAGACCAAAACCTGGAGCATGTTTGATGCTTAATAAATATTTGTAATTGTATTATTTGTAGTTAATAACAAATATATGATCAGGATTATGCTTCTTACACTGCCTATATTGAAACCCAGTTCTGCCATTGACTATCCCTGTCACTTGAGAACAATGCTTGACTTCTCTATGCCCAAGTTACTTACCAATATACGAGAACTATAATAGTAAATGTGCCCTGTGATTGTTGTGGGGATTAGTGATAGCAATAATAACAATAGTAATAACTACCACTGAGCAGTTTCAATATGCCAAGAACTGTTTTAATCCCTTTACCTGCATTTGATTGTTTAATTCTCATCACAACCCTATGAAATGGGTGTTATTTTAATTCCCATTTTTTGGTGACTCAGTTAAGATTTGGAAAAGCAAATAACATATAGTTACTAAGAGGTGGAAAAGGGATTGAAACCCAGGCAGTTTGGCTCCAGAGCCTGTACTTTTTCACATGTGCTAGGAACATAGTAATCACTCAATAAATGTCAGCCATTATCATTATTAGCTATGCAACATTACAAGTGAATATACTATAAATCTTTTTTTTCTCAAAGATGTCAACTGTGAAACAGGCAGCTTAATATTAGATTCTATAAAAAGCAACAGGAAATTCATACTGATGTAAAAAAATAATTTGAAAATACAATCTTTTCATTACATGGGGAGCTATTAAAATACATATAAATAATATATTTCATATAAAATAAATATATTTTATTGAACATTAAATCTTATTGAAGATATGGCATGTGCTGCATTATACTGGCAACTGATATCTGTTAAAAACAAGCTTCCAGAACGCCAGTTTGGCTTAGGTAATTCTGTGAAAGAGGTTCTGGATTATTCCCCAACAAAAATATCTTGGCAAATTATGACATACAAGCTTTCAGACTTGCTTGTGAATAGTTAAAACTGAACTGCAAATCCTTAAATGTCAAGGGAATACTATGTTTTTTTCCTTGTACTTTGAAACTTGTATTATGGACATTTGTATACTTATCAATATTTACTATATTGCACTATTTTTAAAAAGCAGGTAATAAATATTTTCTTCATTATTTTTCTCATTATATTTATGTGAGTCTTGCATTTAGTAGGGAGTATATATATATATTTTGCCACTCATTGTTAAATTGTGCATACTTGGGTTTTCTTTTTTATATTCAGGAAAATCGTTTTCCTAAAATTAAATCATGACATTGAGTGATTACAAGTGTACATGTGTCAACTATGACTTACAGCAAGTAACCCAACTCTGTTCAAAAAGATTTATTTAGATTCTCTATTTAGGCAGTGGGTTTACTGAATGAAGGAATTTAGAAAATGACAGGATTTTAGAGTTGGAAAGGACATTGGAACACTATAATCCAGGTTCTCTCTTTTATAGGTGGGTAAATGGAAAATCAGAGAATTTAAGTGACTTGCCTAAAATCTCACAGCTAGTTGGTACCAGAACTGGGACTGGGAGCCAGGTCTCCTGGCTCCTGTTCTGATGCTTTGTTGGAGGGCAGAGATTATATGCTCCAAGAATTTTGCTTTTCTGTTATAGACAGTAGAACTTAGAAAATCTAGATGAATGGATAATGTGCCCATTAAACCATCTGTTTCAAGGAATAAATGTGTTAAGCAAAATTTTCATGAGTCTTTTGATTGAATTTGCTATTAAAAATCTGTGAGTAGAGATATATATTATAGTTTTACTAGAAATAATAAATTTTCCCAATTAAAGTAATTCACATTCATTATAGAAATTAGTAGCATATAGAAAACCATGAAGGTAAAATAACAGGACCCATCATTTCAGCACTCTTAGACAACCATTGTTAACTTATGGCTATTTGGTTTCTATATTTCATGTTATATTTGTGTGTATAAATATGTGTATAAAATAATTATAAATAGTATGGATTATATTTAAACATATATATTAGTATCTATCAATACTAGGTTATATTAGTATATGTAAAACATATTATGAAATGATATATAATTAACATTTGTTTAATTGGGATCATATAATATAATACATTATTTAAAAATTTACAAATGTGTTTGGGAATATTCTTTTTTTTCTTATCCTTTGAGTTTATTTAACTTTGGAATTATTTCACAGTTTGGTAGAACATAATTTGGGCATAATGATTTTTGAGGGGTAGATGTTTTAAATATGAACTCACTGACTCTTTTAAAAGTAGGGATTTATTCTATATTTCTACCTTTTCCTGAGTTACTTTTGCTATGTAATAATTTTCAGTATGTTGGCATACATTTATTTGTACTATTCTACTTTTGAAATTTTTTCCCTTAGTTTTGTCCTATTTTTTTTTCTAATATTTTTGACCTTTTTTTTGGTCTCATTTATCTTGTTTACTTTTGGGTCAGACATGTCAGATGAGAGTCAGTTTTATTACACGTTTCAAAGAACCAACTCTGCTGGACATAGACTTGCACTGCCCAGAGTTTTCTTTCAGGAAGACTTTGTTGCCCCAGCTGCTGAATGTACCACCTTTGGCATCTTCAGCTGTCAACCTGTTTAGGTCCCCCCTCAGCTATAGAGAACCACCTTGGCTAAGGCCACACCCTTTCTTAGGGCATATCCAATGACTGATTGAGATGGAGGTATATAGGCCAGCCATTTTAGTTTAATGTGGGAAAATTTTGATGGGTCAGTTCCTTTTCAGAGCTCCACATAGGGTCAGCTGAAGTTCTTTGGCTTATATTGCAAATCAGTTTCTCTATTTGCACAGTTCTTCTTTCCCTTTCTCCCTTCCACAGGTGTTAATCACAATAGTACTTTCTAACAAATATCCTAAACATTAAACTCTGTCTCAGAATCAGCTTCTTGAATAACTCAAACTTTGGCAGGTCAAGAAAGCTGGTATTAAGATGGGATTTTGGAGTTGTACTATTTACAGCCCAGATGGCAATGAGGATCCCATCACAGGTGGTAGGAGGAGCACAGATAGCCCCTGGATAAAGGTGGTGGTCCAGTTGTCAAAACTTCCATTGGTGATGATTTGGGATATTTTGTTAGAAAGGAATGCACTAGCTGGTGTGAAGTATTAGACATTTGTCAAACATGTTGGAAATAGTAAGTAAAAGACAATGGGATTGGATAGCTATTTTTATGCTTTACTGAAGCTCTAAAAAAAGATACTGAGAGACTGAGAATGAATAAAAGGCTATTTTGAAAGCCAAATGTGAAAGTCAGAGGCCTCTTTTGCAGCCTGTAAAAAGGATCACATCTCTTGCAATGAGAGAGGAAAGAAAACTGAGCAATATGCCTATGACTTAATCAGAGTAGTTGAGCTCCAAAGAGTAAACTTACAACCAAAGCAAGTCTACTATACCAATGGCAGGCCCTCAAGGTGGGAATGAGAGAGACCCTGACACTTGAAATGGGAGCCTCTAGATTCATCCTCCCTTTCCCAGACCTTCATCTAGGAATCATCTGAGTGTGCCTAAGGAGGCTATTATATGAATTAAGAGCCAGCACCTTATCCCCTTGCCTGAGGCCAATGCAGTAGACCCTTTTCCCAGGATAACATGTGTCTCTTCAGAATCTTCTCTCACTTCTCCTGGTCACTAGGCTTATAACTAGGGTTAAGTTGCTGAATAACCCAACTGGGAATATACTAGGCCTGATAAGGGAAGAAAAAGACCATACCCTTAAGGAGCCACAAGACCTAGCCAATATGTACTAGCAGAAGCCAGGAAGGAATATATGAGACTGTGTTCTGAGGGTGCAACTGTGTTCTGAGGGTGCATAATGGAGGTCAGAACATAAAATTGAATAAGGAAGAGTTTATTGATTTTAGAATGCTCTCCTGAAATACAAAATTTGGGACCTTGGCAAGGACTCCTGGAGATAGTGTGAACTTGCTACTAGAATGGCTTCTGTGCATGCTCAGTGACTCAGAGTATTAGAAATCCATGGTAGACAGCAGAAAAAGGTATTAAAAGACCCAGGGAAGTAATCAGATTGGAAAACTATGTGAAGACTGGATAACTCGCAAGATGATTATGTTCCAAGGGGAAGCATGGCATACGGTCCATTTACCAAGACCATCATGTATGCATTGGTGAAACGGACACCAGTAGCATTACAAATTTCACTGGTACTCTGCTCTATAGGCCAGGGGTGTTGGAATGAGAGGCTACTACAGAACAAGACTCACTGGTAGCAGTAAGAATATAGACCCCAAAACAATAGAAGTAAGATGACACTACCTTACCATCAGAAGCCAAGTGGATACGACTGTTGTAATGAGTGACTAAGTCAGAGTGGCACCCAAGGGGGACTGAGTTGCAGAGAGTTATAGAGATGGTTAATAACATTGATGTCCCTAGATGGGTATCCAATAGGGTTCAAAACCATCAGAAGAAATCAATAACAGATGGTCAGGAAGCTGAGGGCAACCACCACAATGAAATTACTATCCTTTGCCCAGTTTTCAGATCTGAGCCAAATTTCCAGAGCTGGAATCTACTGACTGAAGGAGAGGCTGGTGATAAAAAATATAATTACTCAGTTGACTGAGAAATAAATAGAAAACACGAATAGTTCTGTAAGTATTAAAAATTGAGTTGGTAGTTAAAAGTCTTCCAACAAATAAAATAATCTTAGAAAAATCTATAGGTGAGCACTATGAAACAATCAAGAGACAGAATCCCCTGGGAAAGGCAAGGAAGCAGATTTTCCCCTAGAGCCTCCAGAAAGAACATAGCCTTACTGATTCTCTGATTTTAGGATATCTAACCTCTAGTACTGTAAGAAGGTAAGTTTGTGTTGGTATAAGCCACTAAGTTTGTGGTAATTTGTTACAGCAACAATAGAAAACTAATACATAAGCTATTTCCAAATACATATAACAAAGGTGTCTGAAAACTTTATGAAGGGAATTAGTAAAAATGATTAAAGAATTTAAATGGAGATATGTAAGTGGAAAGCTATACCATGTTCATAGATAGAAATACTCAGTATCATAAAAATGTAACTATAAATTAGAGGCAGTTTTACTAATTGAATTATATTCCCTCAAAAGGACATGTTGAAGTTTTAACCCCCAGTACCTCAGAATGTGACCTTATTAAGAAAAAAATAGGGTCTTTACAAAGGTAACCAAATTAAAAATGAGGTTCCTTGGGATGAAACATAATTCAGTATGACTGATAAACTTATAAAAAGGGATTATTTGGACACAGAAATGAGCACGCATAAAGGGAAAATAAGGTAAGGATGGAGGCAGAGATTGGAATTATGTTGCTATAGCCAATGAATGTCTGGGACTACCAGAAGCTGGAAGAGGCAGGGAAGGATCACAATCCTACAGGTTTCAGGGGGAATGTGGATAAATTTGCTACCTTGATACAGGCTTCTAGCCTACAGAATTGTAAGGAAATAAATTTCTGTTGTTCTGAGTGTCATTTTGCTACAGAGGTCCTAGAAAGCAGACACAGAGGCAGTATCAACAAAAGGTTATGAATAGAGTTACTGGAGTGAGACCACCTGTATTTAAATTTTGGCCCTATTACTTATTAGCTATGTAATCTCAGTATTATTTCATATATAATCTGTGTAACCTCTCTCTGGGCCTTGGTTTAATTATGTAAGATTGTACATAAATATACTTAAAAGAGGGCCTGACACATAGTAAATACTATGTAAGGGCTTGCTTTTAATGTTATTCTTTCCATATTAATCTGAAATTCAGTGGAATATCAATAAAAATTCCCAGGAAAGTCTTTTACTGACATAAAATCAACAAGCTTCTAGTAACATTTTTAGAAATAGTTAGGACAATCCTGAAGAAGAACAATGGTTTCAGAGATGCAGTGGGTGCTTGCCCTACTTGGTCTGAAGAATTATTGCAAAGCTTGAATATATAAGATGGTAGTATACTGGTATAAATTTAGAGCAATAGCACAGTGAAAGATAAGAACATGTTTTGAAATAGACCCATACATATGGGGCACTTGATATATGACAGAGTTAGCATTGAAATCTACTGGGGAAAGATAGATTACTCCATCAATACTCGTGGGACAAATGATTTTTTAGGGGAAAAACCTGATGTCTTCTTTACATCATAAAAGTCAGTTCCGGCTGGTGCGGTGGTTCACGTCTGTAATCCCAGCATTTTGGGAGGCCAAGATAGGCAGATCACAAGGTCAGGAATTCAAGACCAGCCTGGCCAACATACAAAAATTAGCTGGGTGTGGTGGTGTGCGTCTGTAATCTCAGCTACTCAGGAGACTGAGGCAGGAAAATCGCTTGAACCCGGGAGGCGGAGGTTGCAGTGAGCTGAGATCGTGCCACTGCACTCCAGCCTGGGCGACAGAGCAAGACTCCATCTCAAAATAAAAACCAACACCAAAACCAAAACAAAAAAGTCAGTTCCAAGTGGATTCAAGATTTACATTTATAGAAAAAAATTTTAGAACTTTTTAGAAGCTATAGGATAATCTCTTAATAGCTCTAGCATAAGTAAAGTTATCCTGCACAACACACAAAACACAAAAAACATTCAGTAAAAGACTGATAAGTTCAAATATAAAAATTAAGATTTAAGGAATCTTATGAAAACAAGAAGGAAGTGAAACTAGAAGCTACAAATTGATATACAAAATTTCAACACATAAAATAGTCAGGATATTAGAATCTAGATTAACAACAACAACAACAAAACTTTCCTAAAAATCAATAAATAAACACAAATAATACAATAGAAAAAAGAGCAAGAGACCTGAAGTTTAATTTCATGAGTAGGAAACAAGAATAACTCTTAAACCTATGGAAAAACATTAAACCTCACTAGTAATCAGAAAAATATTAGTGAAAACTACAACTAGAAGACATACTTGATGCCTATAAGTTAGCAATAAACAAAATATGTTGCAATAAAAATCGCCGATGAGGCTTTTAGTTACTGTGGGTGGAATATACACTGAAAAAACTACTTGGCAAAACCCTTTGAGATGATATTGTATGGTTTAAGCTGAAAGTGGTAGGTAGACTCTAAGGCAGCTCCCAGTGCATCCCTCCTCCTGGTATTTATGCCCTTGTGTAAGTTTCCTTCCCTGGAGTGTGGATAGGACCTGTGACATGCTTCTAACCAATAGAATATGGCAAACGTGATGGGTCGTCACTTCTGTGAATAGATTACATAAAATCTGCCTTCCAAGTTGTTCACAGATGCTCTTTCTTGCTGGCTTTGATGATGCAAGCTGCCATGCTCATGCTGTGAGTTGCCCTATGCTAAAGACCATATGACAAGGAACTCAGAACAGACAGTCTACAAGAAAATGAGGCCTTCAGTCCAACAACCCACAAGAAATTGAATCCCATCAAAAACCACATGAGTTTGGAAGCAGATTCTTCCTCAGTGGAACAGTCCAGTGAGACACCCACTCTGGCCAATGCCTTGTCTGCAGCCTTATGAAAGACCCTGGAGGTGAGGATCCCACTTGTATACAGATTCCTGACCCAAGAAACAGTGAGATAATAAATGTGTGTGGTTTTATGTTGCTAAGTTGGTGGTAACATTGTTACATAGAAACGGATAACCAATACAACAAATTTCCTATAATTCAGCAATTCCATTCAACTAGAAACCCTCAAGAAAGTCTTACACTTCTCCAGGAGACATATACAAAAATATACATTACAGTATTATTTGTAAAATACAGCTGTAAACATTTGAGTCTAAACATAGGATAATGGATACATAAATTTTGATATGCATATTATCAAATACTAAAAAGTGTCAAAATAAATGAACTACAGTCACACACATGAACCTGGATGAAGTTCACAAATACAGTGTTGAGCAAGACAAGAAAGACGCTGAAGAATACAAACAATGATTTCATATGGAGTTCAAACAGTGCAAAACTAAACAATATGTTGTTTGGGGATGCACACTTTTGTGAAAGGTAATTGTAAACATAGAATTGAAATAATTGTTATTTTGGGGTGGGTTATTATAGGAATTAATATTTCTGTAGAAATTTGATTGAAGAGGGGCACATAGTAGCCTTAAGAGCTATAGATAGCATTCTATTTCTTAAACAGGATTAGTGGGTACCCTGATTTTTAAGAAAACTATTCTTTATGTCTTAACATATATTTTATATATGTTCTTTTATCTGTATAAAATATTGCACAATACAAATAGATTCAAGACTGTTCCTATTGTTAAAAAATTTATAGAGAACTATATTAGGAGGGGCTTTTTCTTTGACTTAACTACAACATAGCTCTAAATACTCAAAAAATTTATAGATTCTTGGCTGTCCTATCAGGGACTTAGGGTTAGTGAATACCTTTATCTTCTAGTCTAGAGACAAGGCTTAGGAACTTAGTATCTGCTAGACTTTTAGGGGCTTTTCCAGGTTACTTTTAGTTGTTTTTTTTTTTTCCTGAAACAATTACTAAAAAGGAGAAATGAGAGCATACAATATATATCTAATAGGAACTTGAGGTAGAGACAACTGGAAAGAGGTCATACAGGACAGATACAGACTTGAATGGCACGAACACTAAGGTTCAGGAAATAAAAAAAAAAACTTAATCAGGTTAAATAAGACCCAATCATTTATAATACAATTGTAGAACACCAGAGGAAAAAGAGATCTGAAAAGTAACCAGAGAGAAAAATCAGATTACTTACAAATAACTCTTGTTAGAATGAGAGCTGTTTCATGGTAGCAACAATAGAAGTTAGAAGGCAACAGAATACCTTCTCAAAGAACAGTCTCCAGATTCCTGGAGAATGAAACACTACATATTATTATGTTTAATTATAATCCCAAGTCAAGAAGCTTCTGGTAGAAAACACTGGAGAGAGTAAGATTCAGAGAGCACTTGATTGACATTTATGACCCACTATTTAAGATCATAAAAGCAGCATGTTTGTTTCTTATTGCTATTAAAAAATTATCACAAATTTAGTGGCTTAAAACAACAAAAATGTATTATCTAACAGCTTTGGAGGTCAGAAATCTAAAATAGGCTTTACTGGGCTAAATTCAAAGTATTGGACCATATTCCTTCTGGAAGCTCTACAAGACAATCTGTTTGCTTGCCCTTTTGTGCTTCTAGGGGTTGCCTGTATTCCATGAGTCGCAGCCCCTTCCTCTATCTTCAAAGCCAGCAATGCCTGGTTGAAATTTCCTGGTGCCCTATCATTCTGATACTCCTCCAATGTAATAAAATCTCACTGTGCCTTCCTCTTATAAGAACATTTGTGATTATACTGGGCCTACCTGGATAATCCAGGATAATCTCCCATCTCAAAATCCTTAAATTAATCCCATCTGCAAAGTCCCTTTTACTATGTAAGACAACATGTTCACAGATTCTAGGGATTCAGACATTGAAATCTTTGGGGGCCATGATTCGGTCTAACACAAGCAGACAGAAACCTTTAAGATCAGTATGTCTAACCCAGCTATATTACAATGTGAGGAATGATAGATTGTCAGAGAATCAGGGTGCATTAGTTTCTTCCCTGTCACTAAAAACTATAGAAGTATAGTGACCTTGGGGAGGTCCCTTCACTCCTCTGAACCTCTGATCTTTCCTCCTTTCCTTCCTATATTAATTCAGTAAATATTTCTTGAGTCATTCCTCTATGCTAGGTGCTATTGTAGGCTTTGTAAAATGGTACTTTTTCTTATTCTAAATGAATGAGAAATAATATATATGCTTAAAGCATTCAGTAAGGTGTCTGGCATATAGTGAAAACTTAATAAATGAAAACTGTAATTATGATTCTGAATTGAAATAGAGAATTAAGATATTTAAATTGCAACTATGTCTTTAGAAGTTGAGTCCAAGAGGGTAAACATTTGCATGGCATGCATTTTTGCATAGCACCTACTGTGTGCATTGTGCTAGGCATTGGCAATACAAAGATGAGAAAGCCTTGGTCCCTGCTTTTAAAGAGGATGCATGCACACAAGTAACTCTATACAAGGTAGAGAGTCATAATTTTGTGGTAGAAGTACAGAGGAACTGTCATAGGAGCACAGAGATGAAATCGCATAAGCAGAACCCCAGACTGAGCCTGATCTGACTCCAAGAGGTAGAATTCTTCATTTTATTTTTTATTTTGTTATAATTTCAACTTTTA
This sequence comes from Homo sapiens, assembly GCF_000001405.40. Classification (NCBI taxonomy): domain Eukaryota; kingdom Metazoa; phylum Chordata; class Mammalia; order Primates; family Hominidae; genus Homo; species Homo sapiens. The sequence goes on from NC_000004.12 coordinate 18,241,231, forward strand.
TTTTAGATTCGGGGTACACGTGCAGGATTGTTCCATGGGTATACTGCATGATGCTGAGATTTGCAGTACAAATGATCCTGTCATCCAAATAGGGAGCATAGTACCCGATAGGTAGTTTTTCAACCCTTGCCAGCTTTCTTCTCTCTCCCCTCTAGTAGGTCCTAGTGTCTATTGTTCCCATCTTTATGCCCATGTGAACCCAATATTTAGCTCCCGCTTACAAGTGAGAACATGTGGTATCTGGCTTTCTGTTCCTGCATTAATTTACTTAGGATAGTGACCTCAAGCCACATCCATATTGTGGCAAAGGACATGATTTCATTTTTCTTATGGTTGTGTAGTATTTCATGGTGTATATATACCACATTTTCTTTATCCAGTCCACCACTGATGGGCACTTAGGTTGATTCCATGTCTTTGCTATTGTGAATAGTGCTGCAATGAACATACAAATGTATGGGTTTTTTTTGGTAGAACCGTTTATCTTCCTTTGAGTATATACTCAGTAATGGGACTGCTGGGTCAAACAATAGGTCTGTTTCAAATTCTTTGAGAAATCTCCAAACTGCCTCCCACAGTGACTAAACTAATTTGCATTCCACAAAAGGTGAAATTTTTCTCCTTATAAATGAATCCCAGTTACAGGAAAGGCCAGTCAAGCTGAGGGCTCCACATACCCTTTGTCTTTTATGCTCTTGCCACTCCCCAGCCTCACTGGGGTTGGCTTTCCCATTACCACAATGTTGGCATGTGTGGAATTACCCTCGTTTTGTGCTTTGCTTGTGCTATTCCTCTTTCTGTATATTTTTAGATCCTTACATCAGGGGAGTTCCCTCTGCCCTTTGAAATTTAGATCCAGGTGACTGAAGTCCTATTTTTATATTCACTGGGAAGTTCAGTTCTCTTCCACAGGTCTTTACTCTATGGTGACTTCTGGCTCTGAACACCTTCCTCAGCTGAACTCCGTGTATATATATTTTTTTGTTTTGAGACAGGGTCTTGCCATGTTGGCCAGAGTGGTCTTGAACTCCTGGGCTCAAGCAATCCTTTTGCTTCAGTCTCTTGAGTAGCTGGGATTACAGGCTTAAGCCACCATGGCCAGCTTCTATATTATTTTTGTCTCGCTTTCCATGGTAGTTTCTCTCTCTTTTCCATGACACACCACATATGGAATTGTTTTTGTTCTTTTTCCATGGATTTTTCTCTAAACTACTAGGCGTTCGTGCTTGAAATAGATGATTATTTGCTTTCATTCATATTTTTTTCCCCACTTAACTTGTGAGTAACTCTGGGGAGGGACTAAATTTTACTTTGTATAAAACCAATGTGTTATTTATGCCTGGTCCAAAGTGACTATGAATTGACGATTGTTGAATGAATGCATTCTTGCAGTATTGATGCAGTACCTTAAAACAATTAGAAGGCATGCAGAATTGAATGGACTTCTTTTCTCAAAACTCAGGGTTTCTCACATTTAAGCCTGCCCCAAGAAGGAAGCCTTGCCTGTTTTCTTTGTCCTTTAGGCCCATTTGTATTTATTTAATAAAATATTTGTCAGGAACTTTATATGTGTTACCTCCCACCATCCTTAAAACAACCTGATCATGTGAATATTAGTATCCCCATTTCAAAGATGTCAAAACTGAGGCTAAATAACTTGTTCAAAATCATATAGTTAGAGAATGGTAGAACAAGGATTCAAACTCAGACCTGTCTGACTTTAAAGAGCAGCCTATTCCATTGCATTCCATTCTTCACTTGCCTGAGTTGTGCAGCCGAGATGTGATCACTTGGCTTTCTTTGGGGAGTAGCCTGGGGGATGACGAGGGTCAGTTATGACACTGCCAGAGGGCTGGTGCCATCACGTTCAAGAGTTCATGATGACTGCTGCTGTCAAGATGATCTGTGACCACTTTGAGCAGAGGCCTGGCTGCTGACTGCCTCTTGGGTTAGCAGAATGTATTTTTTTTCCTAAAATAATCCAGTAAGCCTGGTTGCTTGAAGTAGTGCTTTGGTCTGTCTTTATAGCCTTCCTTCTGTCTGCCTTGCTTACAGCTGCCTACTCTCACTTGCCATTCAGTGATATTTTAGACATCCCACAGTGACTACCTGGAGGATACTGACAGCCTTTTCACTGGCAAATGCTCCTGACATATTGACTGTTCTGGAGGCGATCTTAACTAATGTTTCATGATACTAATGAAATTGTTCCTGCTTGAATGATTGGAATTGCATTATTGGAAGATTAATCTGGCAGGCTTGGGAAGGATAGATGGGAGTGGGGAGAGATAGCAAGTAGACAAACCAATTAGGAAAGCATTGCAACTGTCTGGGAGAGAATAGATCAGAGCCTGAACTAGAGTAGCAGCAGACACAAAATAAAAGGCAAATGCAAAAGACTCTGGGGACGTAACTGAGGTGATAGTTGGAACTGTTCCATATCTCTCAAGCATACAGAAGTCAGGGCATTGCTACTGCCTTATCTCTTTACTTTGGTGTTGAATTTGATTAGGCATAAATTCAACTTAATTTAACAACTATTTGTTGAGCACAAGCTATGTGCCAGGCAGGCTCTTAGAGGCTGTGAGACCTTCTCTCAAACATCTTAGAATGTAGTAAGTGATAAAAATAAGATGGTAAAAGATACTTCACCTGAACTGGGAGAACTGAGGGAAAGCCTTATGAAGTTGTTGGTAATAGAGATGGGTTTGACAAGTGGAAATGACTTTTAACAGGCAATAATAAAGGAGGAGAGAGAAGGTATTTGGGTGGAAAGAGACTGTGTGAGGGCAAAAATGGTGTTAAATTTGCAGTACAGGTATCCACAGGAGATAAAACTGGAATCCAGGCTTTAGCCATATTTTTAAGGTGAGGAATTTTATTTCACTTAACAAGAGGGAGTCATTGAAGAGTTTTATGCTAAGGGACAATAATATGTGCTGTATTTTAGGAAGATTAGAATCTGGCAAGCATGAGACAGCATGCTGTTAGGAAAAAACTACCAGATGGGAAGCTGTGTACTTGGGTCCTTGGTCCAGCTATTTTATTCATTAGTTGAGCAACCTTAGATAAATTATTTAGTATCTCTGAATTAGGATTTCCTCATGAACAAGAACAGATAATAATTTCTGAGTTCCACAAAGATTATTATGAACTGATATCAAATAAGAAGTGGGTGAAAGATTTAATAAGCAAGTAAGATAAATAAAATTATTTTTAAAGATGAGAGTGAACCTAGAAAAAAATGGGAGACCAGTTTAGAGCATATGGTTGCTGTTTGAGGTAATAAAGAAATGGATAGGATCAACTGAATTGGCAATAAAGGAAATAGACAGAAATAATTTAAACTAATAGTAGCTAATACTTTCATAGTACTTAGTAAAAGATGTTCTTTCAAGCACTTTGCCTATATTAATTTAACAACCCTATGAGGTAGGAACTATTACTATCTCTACACTTTACAGAAAGTTTAAAAGTCTTTCCCAAGCTCATTCCACTGGAGAGGCTGTGATTTGAACCCAGGTAGGTGGCTCCAGATCTTCTACTTTTACTACTATGGTACTGACTTTCAATGTTGGATGATTTGATTAGCATGGAGCATCTGTCTTCAGTTTTGCTCTTAACACTTGTGTAGAAAAGAAAATATTGTATAATGGTTAGTCTCATGAATCTGGAATCAGGCAGTTTGGATTTATATTCAAGCTCAGCTAGTTTTCTCAGGTCTCTGACCTTTGTTTTTTTCCACCTGTAAAATGGGGATTTCTTTAGTACATGACTCCTAAGTTTGTTGCAGAGATGATTTAAGATTATCTGGTGAAGCGCTTGGTACAAAATTGCCCAGTCAATTTTAGCCACGCTTATTTTTGTTTTCTGAGCTTATTTTTCAAAGCATCACTCAATTTAAGTTACACTCCTCTGGTTGATTTTTTTCTGTTGCATTTGTGTGTACCAATTCTTCAGTATCCTTTGTATTTGGATTTCAATGACAGCTGCATTGCTCAGTACAAGCACTCCACTACTTGTGAAGCACTGTTGTCTTTCATTGTGTGACTTCCGGTAGTGCACTTAACCTTTGTGGGTTTCAGGTAGCTCCTTCAGGAAATGTTGCATACTGCTCTGCAAAAAACTCATTTCACTGGTATGGAGTCAGGGTGGCTTAATCCTGGATGAGAAAGAGTTTCAGAAGGGTTATGAAAGTGGTCAGAGACTTTGATTCCAAGGAAGAGGAAGTGACAGATGGATTGGTTTCTCTCATTTATGGTTTTAGGCCTACAGAGAAAAAGATATTGGTCTGAAGGAAAAGCCACCTCTGGATAGTGGAAAAAGACTGGAATCACATAAACCTGAGTTTCAATCCTGCCTTTTCACTTATTGTTTGACCTTGTGACTTGACATCTCTGATCCTCAGTTCTCCCTCTTTAAAATAATAAGAATAATGATAACCTCATGAGGTTACCATGAGGATTAAATGAGCTAAAATTTAATGGGTCTGAAATGGAGTAGATACTAATGCTATGATCAATTACCATATTTAGGCTACTGAATGAGAAAGGAAAGTATGTGATGATCATTGCATTTTCTCATATTTTTCAGAATGACTCTAAATGCCACAATATTGCCCACTTAAATGAGAACAATTTGAAAAATTTTAGAGAACCATTTCTTTTCAAATTTATTTGGGATTACTGAGGCCATTGATCTTAACTTCAATTAAAATAAAGTTACCTTGCAGAGATATAGCATACCAAGTGACCAACCTTAGCACCACTAATAGTGGGGCACTCTGACATGATGGGTCACCTTGTGTCTGGAGTTGGTTCCTGCTGGTGGGTTCATGACTCTCTCTGACTTCAAGAATGGAGCCGCGGACCTTCGCGGTAACTGTCACAGCTCTTAAAGATGGCACAGACCCATGTAGCAAGGTGTATTGTGAAGAGCAAAAGGACAAAGCTTCCACAGCAAGGAAGGGGACCCGAGTGGGTTGCCGCTGCTGGTTGGGTGGCCAGCTTTTATTCCCTTATTGTCCCCTCCCATGTTCCGTTTTTGTCCTATCAGAGTGCCCTTCTTTCAATCCACCCCGCGACTGGCTACTTTTAGAATCCTGCTGATTGGTGCCTTTTACAGAGCGCTGATCTGTGCATTTTACAATCCTCTTGTAAGACAGGAAAGTTCCCCAAGTCCCCACTCGACCCAGGAAGTCTAGCTGGCCTCACCTCTCAACCTGATGCCATAGGAGTTCTTAGCATCACCTAGAAAGCATTCTCAATAAAAATATTTAACCTGAATTTGATCAAGCTTATATAACTCACCTCTAGTTTACAAGAAACTCAAAGGACAGAGAATTGAGAAAAATGACATGATTAGGAAACAATGTAGAATATAGAATATTCTTTAAAACAGCTGGTATGGACTTTAAAAAGTCAATGTCATGAGAAAAGAAAAGGCAGAGAAATTGTTCTAGATGTAGAGAAATCACAGAGACATGACGATTAAATGTAAGGTGTGATTTTCAACTGGAAAATAAAACAAAAGAGGTATAAAATACATTTTGAAACTTATATTAGTCCATTTTCATGCTGCTGATAAAGACATACCCGAGACTGGGCAATTTACAGAAAGAAAGAAGTTTATTAGACTTACAGTTCCACGTGGCCGGGGAGACCTCACAATCATGGCAGAAGGTGAAAGGCATGTCTCACATGGCAGTGGCAAGAAAGAGAATGAGAGCCAAGTGAAACAGGTTTTCCCTTATCAAACCATCAGATCTCATGAGACTTATTCACTACCACGAGAACAGTATGGGGGCAACTGGCCCCATGATTCAGTTACCTCCCACTGGGTCCCTCCTGCAACACATGGGAATTATGGGAGTGAAATTCAAGATGAGATTTGGATGGGGACACAGAGCCATACCATATCAAAGCTATTGATGAAACTTGAATATTTAAAAATTAGATGTTGGAAAAAAATACTTGACATCCCACCCCCCATCCCATCCTGCCACCAATCTCTACCTCTACCCATATATTTTGATTAGTTATTCAATTACTCTGTGATGGGGCCAGGGCATCAGTAGCTAGTAAAGATTCGACGGGTGATTTTAATGAGCACAACAGCCCTAAAAATAACTCTTGCACCTGTGCGCCAGGAAACACCTAAGAAATAGCTCATAGCAGCAGTGCTTGTAATATCACAAAACAGAAACCACCCACATGTTCATCAACAATAGAATGGATCAAGTGTGCTATATTTATAAAGAAGGAAAGTGATTGCTTTAATGCCTAGGAATACTTGATGGTTAACTTTTTGTCTCCTCCCACTTGAATTCCCAGTTTTCATTTGATCCGGACTTCAGCATTAATTGTATATAATAATAAGGACATTTCTAGACATTTCTTTTGGAGATGGCCTTTACCCTTAATTTCTGCAGATTTCACCCACCAGTTATCAACTTCTTTAGAGTGAATTTTGTCCTTCTGCTCAAATAGATAATTCCCATCTTCCAGTTTGTGGTTTTTGGAGAACAGGAAACGGCTTGCTTCTTTAAAAGCCATTTGCAGTAGTCCGCCTGGAATTTAAAATTTTATGGCTTATTCCATCAGTCCATGTGATATTACCCTATCTGAATTTAGCTAACTGAGCTAATGTATAATTAGCATTTCTCTCCACTCATCCCTTTGCTCCCTAATGAGTTGGGAATTATGTTTTCACAGTGTGTACTGGGAAGGCAGACATGTCTGGGCTGACATTCTGAGCTGCTATTTCCCCTGTTTACCCTGTAAACTCCCACTTTGCTATTTTGGTTATCATTTTTTAAAAGTTTTATTATAGCTGATGGAAATATTATTGTTTAATAGACTTCTCAGGTTTGTGGTTCCTCATAAGCCCAGGTTCCAGCATTCTGACCCTCACTACCAACTTAATTAACTGTGTCTCTCCTAGTGAAAGCAACAGTATTGTTTTATTTCTTACTGTTGAGATGTGTTAATGACTCATCAGCAGGGTATTAATGTTCATTTTCATCCAACAAGGACCAAAGATACACCTTTCACAGTTTATTAATTTTAAGGTTCCCTGGATCAGAATCATCTATGAGGGTTAGAAGCCACTTAAAAATTGTAATGCACTTACCTGGTTCATGATAATTGGATCCCATATTTGTTTTGACAAAGAGAAGTATATTAGTCCATGAAGAGATGATAGTGTGTGATCAAGGTAAACACCTTTGTGAGCTTTCGAGATAATACCAGATGTCACTAATTAAAAATCTATGATTCAGGTGCATTTACCTCTATTAGAGAGAGATCTGTGATAACATTTGGATTTCATTTTTAAAATATTATAGGAGATAATATTGTGGCCCAAAAAAGCATTATCTATAAAAGCCAAAAGGTCTTTATTTTCCTAAAGTTTTTTTCAGAGCACAGGGCTAAAACTCTTTTGTTATTAGTAGTAAGTATATCAGTTAGTTTTCGCTTCTAATAATAAACCACCCTAAGGTTTAGTGGTTAAAATGAAAATTCTTTTTTTAGTTCACAATTCTGTGGGCTGGCAACTTGGGCCAGGCTCAGCTGGATAATTCTTTTGCTGGTCTGAGCTGGAGCTCACTCGTGTGTCTCTGGTCAGTTAGCAGGTTGGCTGGAGGCTGGTTGGTCTAGAAGAGACCTATCATGGGATGGCTGGTCTTTGCTTCATGTGCTTTCACATGGAACAAGCACATGAAGAGGTGCTTCTTTCACATGAAGAAGTTTAGCTTTGGCTTCCTCAAGTGGAGATGGTAACAGGAGCCCCAAGAACATCAAGACAGGGCAAGCCTTTTCAAGTCTTTGCTTGCATTGTGTTTAGCGTTGTCCTAGCGGGCAATGCAAGTTCCATGGTAAAGTTCAGAGTTGGTGTGTTTGGGGTGGGGTCGGAGGATGAGGTAGAGGGAGGGTTGGCTACCAAGGGCAGGGATACAGTGGAGTGTGAACAAACTGGAGCTACTATTGCAAATAATCCACCAGAGTGAGATAGGACAAATATTATTTGTCTAAACTGGTATAGACCAATATTTTACCAAGTGGATTCTAAGGAATTCTGGTTCAGGGAATATATCTATATGTTACCAAAAGGGGAGTTCTAGAGTTAAATCATTTTGAGCAATGCTAGATTTAGCAAAGCGAAAGAGATTTATTTATTGCAGGACATCTCATAGCCATTAATATGCTCAGAGTCATGATCAATCTTCAAAAGTAGATGCATAATTTCCCAAACTTAGACTACAGAATTCTCTGTTCCCCACCTCCACTTTCCATGGGTAATCTTCAGAGATAGATGCACTTTAAAACATATTTAAAATGCTGCTGTACAACAAACAATGAGCTCCTTGACTAGCCTTTTATTTCTCAGTCTTTGCTTTGACAAAGGACAAAGATTGAAAAATAACTATATTACGTTCATGTAATCACCACATTTTTTGTGCCTATTTCTCCAGGATTAAAATAGGAGACAATAAATTGTACTATCAATTTTCTTAGGAAACAGAACAAAACAAAACAATGTGGGCCTCCAATGAACAGTGTGCTTTTGTGGCTGGGCTGGTTGCATTCTCTATCATTGTCTCAGGAACCCATTTGCATGCAATTTTACTATGATTAGATTTTGAATATGGAGACTTTTCTATAATTTGAGCCTTTATTAGAATACTTTTCTCCTGATAGCAACTGCAATAAGCCAAGATTCAGGAGTAAGCGATCTCTATATTTAGCCTTTGGGAAGAATTTGCAGTATGTTTTCCATCAATTGATTTGGCATGTAGATAGTTTATTCCAGTAGAGATGAAGCAGGATGAAAGATATGAACTTTGGGGTCTCCAAGTAAATCTTGGGCTAGTCACTCTTCAGCCCTATGACTTTGAACACATTTCTCAACTGCTCTAAGGTAGATAGAACAGTATCTATCTTTCAGAGTTCTGAGATTCAATAACATAATGTGAGTACATTTTTTAAAATCTTGGTTCTTCGAATATAGAGGATGCTTAATAAAGGGTAGCCTTTTCTCTTGAGGAAAGAATCCTACTTTTGAAGGTGTGATGGCAAAAATTTGGGGCCTTATGATGGATTGGAGTTCAGCCTGAAGCTCTGATTTTGCAGGGTTATGACAGAGAGACTTTCCAGCTCTCACACATGCCAAAGCTTGCTTTGACCCCAGGGCCTTTGCACTTTTAGCTTTCTGCCTGAAATAATGCTCTTCCCAAGGTTTGTGCATGGCTTCATGTCATTTAGGTCTCACTTCAAAATTGGCTCCTAGACACCCTCTAGCCACATTCACTGATGTAGCCATTCCTTTTACTAATTGCCCCTCCCCAATCTGTATCCCATTACCCAACTGCTTTACTATCCTTATAACAGCACTTTATGATATGACCTTATGCATGTATTTGTTATGTGTTTGTTTGCTCCTGTCCAACTAGAAATTAACCTCTGTGAAACCTTATGAGCCCCAGGCCTAGAATGTGGTCTGCCCCATAGTAGCAGGTCTCAGTAAATATCTGTGGTTGGGTGTAGAATAAGAAATGACTGAACAGAAAGCTCATCTTGTGGATTTGGCAGTGAAGGTGTCTCAAGAAGCAGTCCCTGAGCCCCACCCTCCTTCCTGTGGCTATGGATTTTAGTACTAGGAGCATGCACATTTCTCTGTCAGCTTAGAACCTGGAGCAGGCAGAGACCTCCATGTAGAGAGGCCAGAGAGGCTGTAAGTGGACATATCTGTGAAGATTCAGGGACAGCAGAGATGAGGAGGTAAAGTGTGGCCTGATGCAGAATATCCTACACTTCCCCAAACAAGTCAAAATGTTTCATGGCTCACTGCTTTTGCTCAGGAAGCAAACCTCCTTGTCTGTGGAGCAAACACCTACTAACCTTTCATGACCCAGTTCAAGCATGACAAGCCTTTTCTGATTTCCCCTCCCATAGATAGATTTAGCTCCTCTCCTCCATGTCCTCCCTGTATTTTATGCACAGTCCTGTAACCTGTAACTCTTTACCGCTCGCACTTCTCCTTTGTTTGGGATGAGCACTTTGATTTTTTTTTTTTTTTTTTTTGGTTCATGCTCTCAGTTCATACAGTTTAAGTGAAGCAAACCACTCTCCCTGCCTGGGGTGGCAGGCAAGATAACTGGTCCATTGGCAATACCATGTCCTTGAGCAGTGATTGGTTCAGAAAAGGATGCATACAACAAGCCTGATGAGTCAAGCCTGGTACGTTTGCTGAAACTATTAGAAAAGGGATGTTCCCTTTCCACTGGTGTTGCCAGGCTGGTGGAATATAAGTATGGAGTGGTTGGAGGTGATTTTGCCACCAAAAAACATAAAAACAAAAACCAACATGGAAAAAAGCATAATTTATGATGGAGAGAGACAGAATTCAGTTGGATATTTGAATATCTGAATCCAGAAATGCCCAAAGCAACTGAACTTTTCAATGGCATGATGGTTTCTCTTTTTTGTTCGTGTCAGCTTGGGTTGAAATTGTGCCATTTTGTAATCAGTGTCCTGAGTAGTGCAATGCTTTTTTTTTATAGCACAGTGGGAGCACCTTGACAGCGGAGACTGTCTCTGCTCTTGTCTTTTGTCTTGACATTGCACTATGTGCTCAATATCTGTCTTCTAACCTGATTGGAGTGATTGAATGAATTCGTGAATTAAATTAGTAGGTAACTGGACACATCTTTAATGACAAATTCAGGATCTGGGGTTTTTGTCTTTCCTGGTTTTCTCACATAATTAATTCACAGTATCCTGGCCCCATGTCAGCAACTGAAAGTATTTTATTTTTTTCTGGCTTCTTTAAAATGACCATTAGCTTGTTTCACTGTCATCTGATTCTTTCTCTTTGTGCTGAGGTGCAAGGAAAACAAATTCTCTTTAATTGAGGGTTGCTGTTATGAGGATTTGCATTATTGCTTAGTTTTAACAAACAGGATATTATAGCAACTGGTGATTAATGTGATGGGAAAGAGCGAACATGCTACATGAGTCATTACATTAGACTCAACATGTTTAATGGTCTGTTATGCTGAGCAGGGAGCAGCAAAGAGCCTGCTGGGGAAAAGAAAAGGCAAAAAGCTTAGACACTTTTTTTCAAGCTGTCTATCTTACAAACAGAGAGCTGTCATCATTCTCCTAACTGCAAATTAGGCAACAAATCTGAGAAATTATTTTTTTTCCTCTGACCAGTGAATATAGAATGTAAGTTGACCAATGCTGTACAGAAATATTATAAAGTGATACAAGGATGGTCGTGATAGTCAACTCTTGTGATGAGATAAACTCATTAATTCATTAACTTCTGCTTTCCTGCCTGGAAAATGGAAAAGTAATAGAGAACCAGTTTATAAATTCATCAAACTTGCATAATGAAAACTGGGTTTGCTAAAAGGTTCATTTTTAGGAGAAAGGCAATGTAAATCAAAGTACAAAAGTATTGAAGTCTTGGTTTAGTTTTGGCTCAGCCTCTATTTGCATGAACCACTTTTGGTAAGATAGTTAACATTTTGATCTTTAGTCATCTCACTTGCCTGAGAGGGTTTGTACTCTCTTTATCACAGAGTGGCATGAGTATTGAGAAAGAATTTGTGAAATGTAAGCAATAAAATATGTAAAGAAATTTGATTATCATGTAATAGTATTATTGATAATACTGCAGTTCACACGAGATGTCTAGAATTATGAAAGTATGTTCTCTGACATTTTCCAGAAATGTAAATGAAATTTCCCTCCACTCCCACCCTTGGCATCTCCAGTCCATTCTTTACACTGAAGCCAGAGTGATCTTCTAAAAATATATAAATCTGATTATAACACTCCCAATGCATGATGGACTCCAATGGCTTCTCATTGCTGTTATGTTTGGAACCAAGGTTCTCAACATGGAAACAAGCCTGTATACCATCTGGCACATTTTTATGTCTCTCTTTTCATCTCATAACTTTTTTTTTCTGTCTGGGTTCTACCCACATTGTCTTCTTTCAGGATCTGAGTGCACTGTGCTTCTTATCTCAGACTTTGCATGCGCTGTTCTTTCAGCCTAGAATGCTCTACCCACTCTGCTTCCCAACATTCACCTTGAGTAGACTGAATAATGATCCTCTGTCCCCAAAGAAGCCCATGTTCTAAGCTCCAGAAGCTGTGGCTATGTGATATTACATGGTAAAAGGGGCTTTACAGAAGTGATTAAGGATCTTGACATGGAGAGGTTATCTGGATTATCCAGGAGAGCCCCACTGTAATCACAGGCATCCTTATAAGAGTAAAGAAGAAGAATCAGAATTAGTAGTAGATGTGATGATGGAAGCAAGACAATGGCGTGAATGTAGGAAAGCAGTTACCATAATATGTGGCAGGCCTGCTGGTGGAGCACGGGGGGAAGGGCACCTAAACCATTTTTGAGAGTGCAGTGAATGAAGGCTTCTTACAGAAAAAGACACAAGCAGAGCCCTGATGTTTGAGCAGGAGGAGGGGGCTGCTTGAAGAGGTGAGGACAGAGAATGTTCAAAGTAATATAGACAGCATGGGCATATATTCTTGAGGCAGGAAAACTGCAGAGTGGAGAATACTGGTGTGCACAAATGGTGATGGTTGAGGTTGGAGAAGAAATCAAAGGCCAGATTATTAAGAGCCTTATTAGCCAGTTTAAGGACTTAGGTAATTATAGGCCAGAGGAAGGGTTTTAAGCAGAAGGGATAAATGATAAAATTTGAGTTACAGGGATCAAAGTGGAGAAGGGGAGATAAAGTGGCTGTTTTAGTATTTGGCAAAGAGATGGCTTTGGTCTGAAAAAGTTACGGGCGATGGGGATGAAGTCAAATGGACTGATCCTAGAGATATTTAGGAGGAAGATTCAATAGGACTTAGGCTGATAGAATGGAGGAGTGATGAGAAATGAGGAGCCAAAGATTCCTCCCAGATTAATAATTTGGAAAACTGAATAAATAGGTGGTGATGCCATTCGTTGAGATAAGGGAAAGAGGAATATACTAAAGAGAAAAGTCATGTACTGAAAATGTCTGCAGCAAACAATTACTTGTTAAAAGACTATGAATTCGGTATTAATGTAGACAAGTTAACCTGGATGACAGTTGGTAGAAGGGATTATTGCTTGTGGGTATGGCCTGGAGAGGATAGATTTGAAGGATGGGACACATCTAGAAGATAATTGGGTCATACATTTAAGTTCCATAATTTATCTTCACAGTTTAGGATCAAGGAGATATAATTTCCTAGCACATATAAAATGTTTTATATTTTAAATTAGTTTTTATTTTTTTATTTTTCCATTAGTTATTGGGGTACAGGTGGTATTTGGTTACATGAGTAAGTTCTTTAGTGGTGTTTTGTGAGATTTTGGTGCACCCATCACCCGAGCAGTATACACTGCACCATATTTGTAGTCTTTTATCCCTCACCCCCTCCCATTCTTCCCCCTAAGTCCTCAAAGTCCATTATATCATTCTTATGCCTTTGCACCCTCATAGCTTAGCTCCCACATAACAGTGAGAACATATGATGTTTGGTTTTCCATTCCTGAGTTACTTCAGTTAGAATAATAATCTCCAGTCTCATCCAGGTCACTGCAAACGCTGTTAATTCATTCCTCTTTATGGCTGAGTAGTATTCCATGGTGTGTATATGTTTATATGTGTATATGTGTGTATATATATACCACAGATTTTAACCACTTGTTGATTGATGGACATTTGGGTTGGTTCCACGATTTTGCAATTGTGAATTGTGCTGCTATAAACATACATGTGCAAGTATCTTTTTTGAATAATGACTTCTTTTCCTTTAGGTAGATACCCAGTAGTGGGATTGCTGGAACAAATGGTAGTTCTACTTTTAGTTCTTTAAGGACTCTCTGCACTGTTTTCCATAGTGGCTGTACTAGTTTACATTCCCACCAGCAGCATAGAAGTTTTCCCTGTTCACCACATTCATGCCAACATGTACTGTTTTTTTATTTTTTGATTATGGCAATTCTTGCAGGAGTAAGGTGGTATTGCATTGTGGTTTTGATTTGCATTTCCCTGATCATTAGTGATGTTGAGCATTTTTTCATGTGTTTGTTGGCCATTTGTATGTCTTCTTTTGAGAATTGTCTATTCATGTCCTTAGCCCACTTTTTAATGGGATTTTTTTTTCTTACCAATTTGTTTGAGTTCATTGTAGATTCTGGATATTAGTTCTTTGTCAGATATATAGATGGTGAAGATTTTCGCACACTCTGTGTGTTGTCTGTTTACTCTGCTGACTGTTCCTTTTGCTGTGCAAAAGCTCTTTAGTTTAATTAAGTCCCAGCTATTTATCTTTGTTTTTATTGCATTTGCTTTTGGGTTCTTGGTCATGAAATCCTTGCCTAAGCCAATGTCTAGAAGGGTTTTTCCAATGTTATCTTCTAGAATTTTTACGGTTTCAGGTCTTAGATTTAAGTCCTTAATCCATCTTGAGTTGATTTTTGTATCAGGTGAGAGATGAGGTCCAGTTTCATTTTCCTACATGTGGCTAGCCAATTACCCCAGCACCATTTGTTGAAAAGGGTGTCCTTTCCCCACTTTATGTTTTTGTTTGCTTTGTCAAAGATCAGTTGGCTGTAAGTATTTGGGTTTATTTCTGGGTTCTCTACTCTGCTCCATTGGTCTATGTGCCTATTTTTATATCAGTACTAGGCTGTTTTGGTGACTATGGCCTTATAGTATAGTTTGAAATCAAGTAGTGTGATGCCTCCAGATTCGTTCTTTTGGCTTAGTCTTGCTTTGGCTATGAAGGCTCTTTTTTGGTTCCAAATGAATTTTAGAATTGTTTTGTCTAACTCTGTGAAGAATGGTGGTGGTATTTTGATGGGGATTGCATTGAATTTGTAGACTGCTTTTGGCAGTATGATCATTTTCACAATACTGATTCTATTCATCCATGAGCATGGGATGTGTTTCCATTTGTTTGTGTTATCTATGACTTCTTTCACCAGTGTTTTGTAGTTTTCCTTGTCGAGGTCTTTCGACTTCTTTGTTATGTATATTCCTATGTATTTTATTTTATTTTATTTTATTTTTGCAGCTATTATGAAAGGGATTGAGTTCTTGATTTGATTCTCTGCTTGGTCACTGTTGGTGTATAGAAGAGCTACTAATTTGTGTACATTAATCTTGTATCTGGAAACTTCGCTGAATTATTTTATCAGTTCTAGGAGCTTTCTGGAGGACTTCTTAGGGTTTTCAAGGCAAATGATCATATTGTCAGCAAACAGGGACATTTTGCTCTTTACCAATTTGGAGGCCCTTTATTTTTTTCTCTTGTCTGATTGCTGTGGCTAGGACTTCTAATACTATGTTGAAGAGGAGTGGAGAGATTCTTGTCTTGTTCCTGTTCTCAGAGGGAATGCTTTCAACTTTTCACCATTCAGTATTATGTTGGCTGTGGGTTTGTCATAGGTGGCTTTTATTATGTTAAGGTATGTCCCTTGTATGACGATTTTGCTGAGGGTTTTAATCGTAAAGTGATGCTCGATTTTGTTGAATGTTTTTTCTGCATCTATTGAGATAATCATGTGATTTTTATTTTTAATTTTGTTTATGTGGTGTATCACATTTATTGACTTGTGTATGTTAAACCATCCCTGAATCCCTGGTATGAAATCCATCTGATCACGCTGGATTATCTTTTTGACATGTTGTTGGATTTGGTTAGCTAATATTTTGTTAAGCATCTATATTCATCAAGGGTATCAGTCTGTAGTTTTCTTTTTTGGTTGTGTCCTTTCCTGGTTTTGGTGTTAGGGTGATGCTGGCTTCATAGAATGAATCAGGGAGGGTTCCTTCTTTCCCTATCTTGTGGATTAGTGTCAAAGGATTGGTACCAATTCTTCTTTGAATGTCTGGTAGAATTCTGCTGTGAATACATCTGGTCCTGGAATTTTTGTTGGTAATTTTTAAATTACCATTTCAATCTCACTGCTTGTTATTGCTCTGTTCATGGTATCTAATTCTTCCTGATTTAAGCTAGGAGGGTTGTATTTTTCCAGGAATTTATCCGTCTCTTCTAGGTTTTCTAGCTTGTGTGCATAAAGGTGTTCATAGTAGCCTTCAATGATCTTTTGCTTTCAGTGGTGTCAGTTGTAATATCTCCTATTTTGTTTCTTAGTGAGGTTATTTGGATCTTTCTTTTCTTCTTGGTTAATCTTGCTAATGGTCTATTAACTTTATTTATCTTTTGAAAGAACCAGCTTTTTGTTTCATTTACTTTTTTTTTCAATTTCATTTAGTTCTGCTCTTACATTGCTTATTTCCTTTCTTCTGCTGGGTTTGGATTTGGTTTGTTCTTGTTTCTCTAGTTCCTTGAGGACCTTAGATTGTCTGTTTGTGCTCTTTCAGACTTTTCGATGTAGTCATTTAGGGCTATGAACTTTCCTCTTAGCACCGCCTTAGCTGTATCCCAGATGTTTTCATAGGTTGTGTCATTATTGTCATTCAGTTAGAAGAATTTTTAATTTCCATCTTGATTTTATTTTTGATCCAATGCTCATTCAAGATCAGGTTATTTAATTTCCATGTATTTGCATGTTTTGAAGGTTCCTTTTGGAGTTGATTTCCAGTTTTATTACACTGTGGTCTGAGAGAGTGCTTGATTTAATTTCAATTTTCTTAAATTTATTGAGTCTCGTTTTATGGCCTATCATATGGTCTATCTCAGAGAAAGTTCCATGTGCTGTTGAATAGAATGTGTATTATGTGGCTGTTGGATGAAATGTTCTGTGTATATCTGTTAAGTCCATTTGCTCCAAGGTATAGTTTAAATCCATTGTTTTTTTTTGTTGTTGTTGACTTTCTGTCTTGATGACCTGTCTAGTGCTGTCAGTGGAGTATTGAAGTCTTCTACTATTATTGTGTTGCTGTCTATCTAATTTCTTATGTCTAGTGGTAATTGTTTTATAAATTTGGGAGCTCCAGTGTTAGGTGCATATGTGTTTATGATTGTGATATTTTCCTGTTGGACAAGGCCTTTTACCATTATATAATGTCCCTCTTTGTCTTTTTTAACCACTGTGGTTTTAAAGTTTGTTTTGTCTGATATAAGAATAGCTACCCCTGCTTGCTTTTGGTGTCCATTTGCATGAAATGCCTTTTTCCACCCCTTTACTTTAAGTTTATGTGAGTCCTTCTGTGTTAGATGAGTCTCCTGAAGGCAGCAGATAGTCGGTTGATGAGTTCTTACCCATTCTTCAGTTTTGTATCTTTTAAGTGGAGCATTTTGGCCATTTGCATTCAACGTAAGTATTAAAATGTGAAGTACCCTTGCATTCATCATGCTCTTTGTTGCCTGTGTACCCTTTTTTTTGTTTTTGTTTTAGCTTTTTAACTTGTATTTTTGTTTTATAGGTCCTGTGTGATTTATGCTTTAAAGAAGTTCTGTTTTGATGTGTTTCCAGGATTTATTTCATGATTTAGAGCTCACTTTAGCAGTTCTTGTAGTGGTGGCTTGGTAATGGCAAATTCTCTCAGCATTTGTTTGTCTGAAAATGACTCTATCTTTCCTTCGTATATGATGCTTAGTTTCACTGGATACAAAATTCTTGGCTGATTATTGTTTTGTTTGAGGAGGCCAAAGATAGGGCCCCAATCTCTTCTAGCTTGCAGGGCTTCTGCTGAGAAATCTGCTGTTAATCTGATAGGTTTTCCTTTATAGGTTACCTGGTGCTTCTGTCTCATAGCTCTTTAGATTCTTTCCTTTGTCTTAACTTTGGATAACCTGATGACAGTGTGCCTAGGCAAAGATCTTTTTTGTGATGAATTTCCCAAGTGGTCTTTGTGCTTCTTGTATTTGCATGTCTAGGTCTCTAGCAAGGCCAGGTAAGTTTTCCTCAATTATTCTCCCAAGTATGTTTTCCAGGCTTTTAGAATTGTCTTCTTCCTCAGGAACACCAATTATTCTTAGGTTTGGTCATTTAACATAATCCCAGACTTCTTGGAGGCTTTGTTCATATTTTCTTATTCTTTTTTCTTTGTCTTTGTTGGATTGGGTTAATTCGAAGATGTTGTCTTCAAGCTCTGAAAGCTTCTTTCTTCTACTTGTTCATACCTATTACTGAGACTTTCTATAGCATTTCACATTTCTAAAAGTGTGTCCTAAGTTTTCTGAATTTTTAATTTTTTTAAATTTAAGATATCTACTTTCTTGAATAATTCTCCTTTCACTTCCTGTATCATATTTTGGATTTCCTTGCATTGGGCTTTGCCTTTTTCTGGTCCCTCCCTGATTAGCTTAATAACTAACCTCCTGAATTCTTTTTCTTCTTGGTTGGGATCCATTGCTGGTGAACTAGTGTGATCTTTTGAGGGTGTTGAAGAACCTTGTTTTGTCATATTACCAGGGTTGGTTTTCTGGTTCCTTCTTATTTGGGTAGCCTCTGTCAGAGGGACAGTCTAGGGCTGATGGCTGTTGTTCAGATTTTTTTGTCTCACGGGGTGTTTCCTTGATGTAGTACTCTCCCCCTTTTCCTATGGATGTGGCTTCCTGTGAGCTGAACTGCAGTGATTGTGGTCTCTCTTCTGGGTCTAGCCACCCAGTGAGTCTGCCTGGCTCTGGGCTGATACTGGGGCTTGTCTGCACAGAGTCCTGTGATGTGAACCATCTATGAGTATCTCAGCTATGGATACCAGCGCCTGTTCTAGTGGAGGTGGCAGAGGGTGCAACGGACTCCATGAGGGTCCTTAGCTTTGGTGGTTTAATGCTCTATTTTTGTGCTGGTTGGCCTCCTGCCAGGAGGTGGCACTTTCCAGAAAGCATCAGCTGTAGTAGTGTGGAGAGGGACTGGTGGTGGGTGGGACCCTAGAATTCCCAAGATTAAATGTCCTTTATCTTCCACTACCAGGGTGGATAGGGAAGGACTATCAGGTGGGGGTGGGGCTAGGCATGTCTGAGCTCAGACTCTCCTTGGGCAGGTCTTGCTACAGCTGCTGTGGGGAATGGCGGTGAGATTCCCAGGTCACTGGAGTTGTGTACCTAGGAGGATTATGGCTGCCTCTGCTGAGTCATGCAGGTTGTCCAGGAAGTGGGGGAAAGCCGGCAATCACAGGCCTCACCCAGCTCCCACAGAAACTGAAGAGCCAGCCTCACTCCCACTGCCCTCCTCCAACATCCCCAAGTCTGTTTTCAGGTGGAGGGTCAGATGGGCTTGAAAACTTGCCTGAGGCTTTCTGCCTCCCAACTGCAAGAGAAAAGGGCTTTAGTTCTTCCCCCGCCTGTGATGTCTGCACCCCATATTTGCACGCTCCCCCGAGTTCTGGCCAGGAGGCTTCTTGACCCATTCAGATTGTTACAAAGTTCAGCTAGAAACCTTCTTCTCCCTGTGGAGTTTTAACCCTAGCTCCTCTGGCCACCCTCCCAAGAGATCCCTGTGGTGTCAGGCAGGAATGGGCTTCTTGGTGACCCAGTGAGCACTCAGGGCCTTTCTGCTGCTTTCTCTACTGCTGTATTTCACTTGGCTCAGCTCTCTAACTTGACTCAGCTTCAGGTAAAGTCAGAAACTTCTCCTGCAAACGGACCTTCATCTTCTCCAGTGGGGGTGTGTGTTTGAGAGAGGAGGGTCTCCCTTTCCCAATTCCACAGTTGGGGCACTCACAGTATTTGGGGTATCTCCTGGGTCCTGTAGGAGCAGTCTGCTTCCTTCAGAAGGTCTATGGGTCCTCTCAGGATTGCTGGTTTGTTCTTGCAGTTGATCTGGAGCTAAAATTTTCAGTGCCAGCCTCTACATGTTGTTCTGTCTGGAGCCATAATCTAGTCCTGCGTGTATTTTATTTTATTGTTATTATTTTTTGGAGACAGAGTCTTTCTCTATCACCCAGGCTGGAGGGCAGTGGCCATCTTGGCTCAGTGCAACCTCTGCCTCCTGGGTTCAAGTGATTCTCCTGCCTCAGCCTATGGAATAGCTGGGATTACAGGCACATGCCACCATGCCCAGCTAATTTTTGTATTTTTAGTAGAGATGGGGTTTCACTATGTTGGCCATGTTGGTCTCAAGCTCCCGACCTCAAGTGATCTGCCCACCTCAGCCTGTGAAGGTGCTGGGATAACAGGCAAGAGCCACTGTGTCCAGCCAGTTTTTTAACTGACAAATAAATATTGTATGTATTTATTGTTGTACAACCTATTGTTTTGAAACATGTACACATTGTGGAATGGCTAAAATGAGCTAATTAACATATGCCTCACCTCACATACTTATCATTTTTTTGTGTGTGGTGAAAACACGTAAAATCTACTCTGTTGGCAATTTTCAAGAATACAAGACATCATTATTCTCACAAACTCTATAATATTATGTAGTTTCTACAAAGCAAACATTATCTTTGGTAGTCATATTGGAAGCATAAAATTTAAAATAAACAAGGAGATGTTTCCATTCTACCCTGGGCTGCTTAGTCCATTTCTGGAGTATTATATTCAGTTTTGAATACCAAAGATTAATAATAACATGGAAAATCTTGAGGATATTTACAGGAGAGTATCAAGGACAGTGAAGCAATTTGAAGCCATTGATACGGAGGATTTTTTCAGGAAATTGACAGTGTTTGCTAAGAAGAGAGACTTTGTGTATATTTGTGGGGTATTGGGAAAGATGTGTAATATACAAAAGCTGTAATGTGAAACAATGATTAATCTTATTCTGTACTATTTCAAGGGATGTAAATGGAATCAATGGAAGTAGTTAAGGAGGTCAAGAGATTGACAAGCTTCATGTGCAATACATGGGGAACAGTTTTGCAGTAAGTATTGAATAGAGTTACAGCATTCCATTCTATGGAAAGGGAGACCATTGGAATAATTGTTTTTTCCAAAGGTGGAATTAGCTGCCTCAATTTAATAGTTATGGAGGTTCATAAGGGGAGGTTCATGTTCAGTTCCCAAAGGATCATTGGGATAAATGACTTACTGTCCCTTTTGTCCCTGAAGACTACTGGTTGTGTTGAGGATGAGGGTCTGAGTAAGCAATATGCTCAGCTAGGGGTTCTAAGGACGAGGGGCAGGGAGGAGGAAATAGTCATGGCTCCCAACTCCAAGCATTCATAACTGTTGTATTGGCTTATCTTTACTAGAAACCAAAGGAGTTTGGGGTTTGGGGACTGTACTGTCCTTGAGTGTCTCTGTTTACCATCTGTAGTTTGGCTGAGTGAGCCATGATTATGCACTGAATAGGTTTGGGAAGAAGGAAAACAGAGGCTGTGTGACCTGCACTAGACTGGTCCCAGGGCCAGTCTTGATTGATCTGTTTCATCATTTTTTAAAATGCAATATCCTGGAATCTCAGTGATTCAAAGGACTGTAGAGGTCAGCTTCCCAGGCAAGTTCTGATTCAGAATCTGCTCAGAAAGACGGTGGCTTCTTAGAGACTGGAGTTCCTGAAATAACTCAGGATGACTGAAGAGTCTTGGATGAAAAAAACTAGTATTAAGTTTTGGATAAAATGGAAACATGTATATGAGTATTTTAAAGTCAGTTAGAAATTGCCCTACTACTCCTTTATGGAATATATAACACATGTATAGATACAGTCTGTATCTGCCTACTAATATAAAACATTTGCATTTTAAATGCATTTGGTTATCTGTATGAATTTTCTTTAGTTTCTGACAGCCCCCCAGATAAAATTTTACCAGAAGCTAGGGAGGGGATGTAGGAGATTTTCTCCTCTTCAGGCCCTGGAAACCACACATTATTGCACAAAAGACAGAATTGAGTTCATTGTCTGCTGCTGAAGGGATCAGCTATTTCCCTGTAAGAGCTGTCACGGAGACATATTTCCCCCTCATTTATACTGGAAAGTAGGGCATTTGCTTGTAAGACAGGTTGAAAACAATTTATTTGGCATTTCGATAAAGGTGGAAAATGAACCAACATTTCTCCTTCTCTCCCTCCCTCCGTTTCCTTCCTTTTTTGACAGTTTGCATGTAGGTAAAGAATATTACAACTGTAGAAAGGCTAATTAAAACCAATTATAGCTTCACTGACCTGTCACCACAATCAAAGTACCAAAAGAACAACATAGCATATTTGGAAAACAGTTTCTTCTAGAGCACATATGCCTGATTTGGTCACATTTTATTTTAGGGATCTCAGTACAATGATTACTTGGCCACAAACACCATTTTTCCATGATCTCTTATGTATTTATTTTTCTACAGTAGGTCCTACTTTTAGAAAATCTAAAAGAAAGTGAGGAAGGCATGAGGAACAAAAGGGAAAGTAAGATAAGGAAGTCAAGGTTGCTTTAGATTAATTGGGATAGAAGAGATATTTTTTAGACTTTACCTTTAATTTAATTATTTTTATCCTGTGGTTTGTAGAGTCTTCAAACTCATTAGTGTGCCATAGGGAGCCCTCGTGGTCTGACTGGAACATTTTTCTCCAGCCTCATTTCTTTCTCCAGAACACAATTCATGCCAGACACACCAATATGATCTCAACACTATTTCATAAAAATTTCCAAATCAACTAAAATAGCTGTATTTCATTCCTCTTGATTGTTACATAATATTCCATAATGAGAATGTACCATAATTTATTCAACCATTCCCTTGTCCATGGATGTTTACATTGCTTTCAGTTTTTACCACCACAAACAAAATTGCAGGAAGCAACCTTTTACACATATCATCACACATTTGTGGCTCTAAGACAATTCCAGGAGTGGGGTTTCTGGGCAAAAATATGTAGATTACTAATTTTAATACATATTGTTCAGCTTATTTTCAAAAGAACTGTGACATTTCATATTTACACCAGCAATTTAATAAAGTATAATTTCCCCATATTATCATAAAATAGGTGTATTAGTCCGTTTTCACACTGCTATAAAGATCTACCTGAAAATGAGTAATTTATAAAGGAAAGAGGTTTAATTGACTCATAGTTCCACAGGGCTAAGGAGGCCTCAGGAAACTTACAATCGTAGTGGAAGACAAAGGAGAAGCACCTTCTTCACAAGGTGGCTGGAGACACAGAGAGTGAAGGGGGAAGTGCCACTTTTAAACCATCAGATCTCATATAAACCCACTCACCATCATGAGAACAACATGGGGGGAACTGCCTCCATGATGCAATCACCTCCCACTAGATCCCTCCCTTGAGACATGGAGATTACAATTCAAGATGAGATTTGTGTGGGGACACAGAGCCAAACCATATCATTCTGCCCCGGCCCTCCCAAATCTCATGTCCTTTTCACATTTCAAAACCAATCATGACTTTCTAACAGTCCCCCGAGGTTTTAACTCATTCCAGCATTAACTCAAAAGTCCAAATCCGAAGTCTCATCTAAGACAAGGCAAGTCCCTTCTGCTTTTGAGCCTGTAAAATAAAAAATAAATTAGTTACCTCCAAGACACAATGGGGGTACAGGCATTGGGTAAATATTCCTGTTCCAAGTGGGAGAAATTGTCCAAAACCAAGGGGCCACAGGCCCCATTCAAGGTTTCATTTAATGAGTGCAGGGCCCTCATTAAATCTTAAAACTCCAAAATGAACCTTCTTTGACTCCATGTCTGACATCCAGGGCCTGCTGATGCAAGGGGTGGGCTCCCATGACCTTAGGCTGGTCCACTCCTGTGATTCTGCAGGGTACAGCCCCTGTGACTGCTTTTGTAGACTGTTGAGTGCCTGTGGCTTTTCCAGGTGCATGGTGCAAGCTGTCAGTGGCTCTACTATTCTAAGGTCTGGAGGGTGGTGGGCCTCTTCTCACAGCTCCATTAGACAGTGTCACAGTAGGGACTTTGTGTGGGTGCTCCAACTCCACATTTCCCCTCTGCATTGCCCTACTAGAGGTTCTCCATGAGGGTTTCACCCTTGCAGTAGACTTCTGCCTGGACATCCAGGTATACCATACATTTTCTGAAATCCAGATAGAGGTTCCAAAAATCTCAACTCTTATCTCCTGTGCACCCATAGGCCCAACACCAGGTGGAAACTGCCAAAAGTTGGGGCTTACACCCTCTTAAGCCATGGCCCGAACTGTATGTTGGCCCGCTTTAGCCATGGCTGGAGCTGGAGTGGCTGAGTTGCAGAGCACCAGCTACTGAGGCTGCACACAGTAGCAGAGCCCTGGGCCTGGCCCATGAAGCCATTTTCCTCTCCTAGGCCTTCAGGCTTGTGATGGGAGGGGCTGCCTTGAAGATCTCTAAAATGCTCTGGAGACATTTTCCCCATTGTCTTGGTGATTAACATTTGGCTCCTCATTACTTATGCAAATTTCTGCAGCTGGCTTGAATTCCTCCCCCAAAAATGGGTTTTTCTTTTCTACCACATGGTTTGGCTGCAAATTTTCCGAACTTTTATGCACTGCTTCCTTTTTAAACATAAATTCCAATTTCCAATCATCTCTTTATGAATGCATATGACTGTATGCTTTCAGAAATATCCAGGCATGCATGTAATCTCAGCACTTTGAAAGGCAGAGGTGGGCAGATCACTTGAGGTCAGGAGTTTGAGACCAGCCTGGCCAACATGGTGAAACTGTGTCTCTACTAAAAATACAAAAATTAGCTGGGCGTGGTGGCAGATGTCTATAATCCCAGTTACTCAGGAGAATGAGGCAGGAGAGTCACTTGAACTTACGAGGCGGAAGTTGCAGTGAGCTAAGATTGCACCAATGCACTCCAGCCTAGTCAACAGAGCGCGACTCCATCTTAAAAAAAGAAAAAGAAAAAAAATCCAGGTCACACTTTGAATATTTTATTGGTTAGAAATTTCTTCTTCCAGATACCCTAAATCATCTCTCTCAAGTTCAAAGTTCTACAGAGCTCTAGGACAGGGGCAAAATGCCACCAGTCTCTTTGCTAAAGCATAGCAAGAGTGACCTTTGCTCCAATTCCCAATAAGTTCTTCATCTCCATATGCAACCACTTCAGCCTAGACTTCTTTGCCAATATCACTATCAGCATTTTGGTCAAAACAATTAACAGGTCTCTAAGAAGTTCCAAACTCTCCCACATCTTCTTCTGAGCCCTCCAAACTGTTCCAGCCTCTGCCCATTACTCAATTTCAAAGTTGCTTTCTCATTTTCAAGTATCTTTATAGCAGTGCCTCAAACTCCTGGTTCCAATTTTCTGTATTAGTCCATTTTCACACTGCTATAAAGAATTACCCAAAACTGGGTAGCTTACAAAGAAAAGAATTTTAGTTGACTCACAGTTCCACATCACTTAGGGGGCCTCAGGAAACTTACAATCATGGTGCAAGGCAAAGGAAAAGCAAACACCTTCAGAAGGTGGCATGAAAGAGAAGTAAAGCTCTCCTCAGCAAATGTAAAAGAACAGAAATTATAACAAACTCTCTCTCAGACCACAGTGCAATCAAACTAGAACTCAGGATTAAGAAACTCACTCAAAACCACTCAACTACGTGGAAACTGAACAACCTTCTCCTGAATGACTACTGGGTACATAACGAAATGAAGGCAGAAATAAAGATGTTCTTTGAAACCAACGAGAACAAAGACACAACATACCAGAATCTCTGGGACACATTCAAAGCAGTGTAGAGGGAAATGTATAGCACTAAATGCCCACAAGAGAAAGCAGGAAAGATCCAAAATTGACACCCTAACATCACAATTAAAAGAACTGGAAACGCAAGAGCAAACACATTCAAAAGCTAGCAGAAGGCAAGAAATAACTAAAATCAGAGCAGAACTGAAGGAAATAGAGACACAAAAAACCCTTCAAAAAATTAATGAATCCAGGAGCTGGTTTTTTGAAAGGATCAACAAAATTGATAGACTGCTAGCAAGACTAATAAAGAAGAAAAGAGAGAAGAATCAAACAGACGCAATAAAAAATGATAAAGGGGATATCACCACCGATCCCACAGAAATACAAACTACCATCAGAGAATACTACAAACACCTCTATGCAAATAAACTAGAAAATCTAGAAGAAATGGATAAATTCGTCAACACATACACCCTCCCAAGACTAAACCAGGAAGTTGAATCTCTGAATAGACCAATAACAGGCTCCGAAATTGTGGCAGTAATCAATTGCTTACCAACCAAAAAGAGTCCAGGACCAGATGGATTCACAGCCAAATTCTACCAGAGGTACAAGGAGGAACTGATACCATTCCTTCTGAAACTATTCCAATCAATAGAAAAAGAGGGAATCCTCCCTAACTCATTTTATGAGGTCAGCATCATCCTGATACCAAAGCCGGGCAGAGACACAACCAAAAAAGAGAATTTTAGACCAATATCCTTGATGAACATTGACGCAAGAATCCTCAATAAAATACTGGCAAACCGAATCCAGCAACACATCAAAAAGCTTATCCACCATGATCAAGTGGGCTTCATCCCTGGGATGCAAGGCTGGTTCAACATATGCAAATCAATAAATGTAATCCAGCATATAAACAGAACCAAAGACAAAAACCACATGATTATCTCAATAGATGCAGAAAAGGCCTTTGACAAAATTCAACAACCCTTCGTTGTTGAAAACTCTCAATAAATTAGATATTGATGGGTCATATCTCAAAATAATAAGAGCTATCTATGACAAACCCACAGCCAATATCATACTGAATGGGCAAAAACTGGAAGCATTCCCTTTGAAAACTGGCACAAGACAGGAATGCCCTCTCTCACCACTCCTATTCAACATAGTGTTGGAAGTTCTGGCCAGGGCAATGAGGCAGGAGAAGGAATTAAAGGGTATTCAATTAGGAAAAGAGGAAGTCAAATTGTCCCTGTTTGCAGATGACATGATTGTATATCTAGAAAACCCCATCGTCTCAGCCCAAAATCTCCTCAAGCTGATAAGCAACTTCAGCAAAGTCTCAGGATACAAAATCAATGTACAAAAATCACAAGCATTCTTATACACCAATAACAGACAAACAGAGAGCCAAATCATGAGTGAACTCCCATTCACAATTGCTTCAAAGAGAATAAAATACCTAGGAATCCAACTTACAAGGGACGTGAAGGACCTCTTCAAGGAGAACTACAAACCACTGCTCGATGAAATAAAAGAGGATACAAAGAAATGGAAGAACATTCCATGCTCATGGGTAGGAAGAATCAATATCATGAAAATGGCCATACTCTCCAAGGTAATTTATAGATTCAATGCCATCCCCATCAAGCTACCAATGACTTTCTTCACAGAATTGGAAAAAACTACTTTAAAGTTCATATGGAACCAAAAAAGAGCCGGCATCACCAAGTCAATCCTAAGCCAAAAGAACAAAGCTGGAGGCATCATACTACCTGACTTCAAACTATACTACAAGGCTACAGTAACCAAAACAACATGGTACTGGTACCAAAACAGAGATATAGATCAATGGAACAGAACAGAGCCCTCAGAAATAACGCCACATATCTACAACTATCTGATCTTTGACAAACCTGAGAAAAACAAGCAATGGGAAGGGATTCCCTATTTAATAAATGGTGCTGGGAAAACTGGCTAGCCATATGTAGAAAGCTGAAACTGGATCCCTTCCTTACACCTTATACAAAATTAATTCAAGATGGATTAAAGACTTAATCATTAGACCTAAAACCATAAAAACCCTAGAAGAAAACCTAGGCATTACCATTCAGGACATAGGCATGGGCAAGGACTTCATGTCTAAAATACCAAAAGCAATGGCAACAAAAGCCAAAATTGACAAATGGGATCCAATTAAACTAAAGAGCTTCTGCACAGCAAAAGAAACTACCATCAGAGTGAACAGGCAACCTACAAAATGGGAGAAAATTTTCACAACCTACTCATCTGACAAAGACCTAATATCCAGAATCTACAATGAACTCAAACAAATTTACAAGAAAAAATCAAACAACCCCATCAAAAAGTGGGCAAAGGGCATGAACAGACACTTCTCAAAAGAAGACATTTATGCAGCCAAAAAACACATGAAAAAATGCTCACCATCACTGGCCATCAGAGAAATGCAAATCAAAACCACAATGAGATACCATCTAACACCAGTTAGAATGGCAATCATTAAAAAGTCAGGAAACCACAGGTGCTGGAGAGGATGTGGAGAAATAGGAACACTTTTACACTGTTGGTGGGACTGTAAACTAGTTCAACCATTGTGGAAGTCAGTGTGGCGATTCCTCAGGGATCTAGAACTAGAAATATCATTTGACCCAGCCATCCCATTACTGGGTATATACCCAAAGGACTATAAATCATGCTGCTATAAAGACACATGCACACGTATGTTTATTGCTGCACTATTCACAATAGCAAAGACTTAGAACCAAGCCAAATTTCCAACAATGATAGACTGGATTAAGAAAATGTGGCACTATACACCATGGAATACTATGCAGCCATAAAAAATGATGAGTTCATGTCCTTTGTAGGGACATGGATGAAATTGGAAATCATCATTCTCAGTAAACTATCGCCAGAACAAAAAACCAAACACCGCATGTTCTCACTCATAGGTGGGAATTGAACAATGAGAACACATGGACACAGGAAGGGGAACATCACACTCTGGGGACTGTGGTGGGGTGGGGGGATGGGGGAGGGATAGCATTAGGAGATATACCTAATGGTAAATGACGAGTTAATGGGTGCAGCACACCAGCATGGCACATGTATACATATGTAACTATCCTGCACATTGTGCACATGTACCCTAAAACTTAAAGTATAATAATAAAAAAAACTAGCATTTTTTAAAAATTAAGTTTCTTTCTGACTAGTGTCTTCCCCAAAAAAGTAACTTGTGGATAAAAATAAAGTAACTGAGATAAAGTAAAAAAAAAAAAAAAAAAGCGAAGGGAGAAGTGCCAGTTTCAAACCATCATATCTCGTGAGAACTCACTCACTATTACAAGAACAACATGGGGAAAACCACCCCCGTGATCCAGTCACCTCCCACCAGTTCCCTCCATCAACATGTGGGGATTAAAATTTGAGATGAGATTTGGGTGGAGACACAGAGCCAAACCATATCAATAGATATTATAGTTCTTTTCAATTTTTGTCCATTTGATGATTGTATAAGGTGAATTTAATCTCCATTTTCCTGGCTACTAGCAAATTTAAGTGTTTAAAAAAATTTGGGGGAGACATATAAATTTACTTTTAAGTAAAATATCTGTTCAGGTCCTTCGCCTGTTTTTATACTAAATTTTCTGTGTCAGTTTATAAGAGCTCTTTGTATACAATAGATATTATATTTGAATTACAAAATTTTTCAAACAATCATTTGTCAACTGGCTGTGATTTTATCTTTTGTCACATTTGAATTTAAAACATCTTTATATGACAAATGTTGTCTTTTTTTACTTCTTAAATATCTTCTGGCTTTCCAATCTTGGTTAAAGCTTCCCCCTGCTCCTAATTTGATTATGTAGTTTCCTGAATATATATTCTTGCAATATTTTTGTCTATCTTCTTAGCCAGCTTTGCTAGTTTAATTTATTAAACAGGATATATTATTTCCTGAATGAAACTACTGTGTTTGTCATATATTAAATGTTCTTATATCCTGGGATTATTCTCTATTGCTATGCCAATGTCATCCTCATTTGATTAAAGTGGCTTTATGATATGTTCTGATATCTGGTTGGGTCAATCTTCTCTCAAGGTTGATTGCATTATATTTATCTATTAATTTTAAGATACTTGTGGTTTTATATTAACTATTTTCACACAGGAGAGATGGTGTGTCTTTAAATATATTCAGATCTTGTTTTAAGTACTTCAATAATATTTTATTATTTATATGGATCCTGTGTCTTTCTTGTTAAATATGTTCCTATGAATTTTACAGTAAATGGAATATATTTAGTTTTTATTGTCACTTATTGGTGCTTACTGCTTAAATAAAACTATTAAATATATTGTTTTAAAAAGACTATCAAATATACATATATCCACTTATAACATTTAAAAAAATTAATTATAGCAGTTTTTTTTTTACAAAAACTATAGTCTCTTAATTTTGCCCTTACCCTTGACTGATAGTTTGACCTCTTATAGAATTCTAGACTGAAATTATTTTCCTTCATAACCTTGAAGGCATTAGTTCTTTTGTCTTCTATGTTGCTGATAAACTTGATACTGGTTGGATTCTCATTTCTTCATAGGTATGTTTTATTTTTTCTTGGAGAAAACTTATAGGGTATTTCTTTTTATCTGCAGTGTTCTGAAATTTTACATTTCTGATTTGAAGTATTTCATTTTGCCATTTACTCTGCTGGAAACTCAGTGGAACATTTCAATTTAGAAATTTTGCTTTTTTCAGCTCTATATATTTTCTTCTTTAAAGATGTATTTTGTCATTTCCTCACATTTTTTTTTTCATGAAAGTTCTTACTTTCTCAAATTCTTTTTAGTCTAACATTGAGTGTCCTGAATTCATTTCTTTTGTTTCTATTTTTTTTTATCTTCTACTTTCTAGAAACAGGAATCTGGGCTTAGCTTCCCTGATCCAAACCCTTCATGACCACCTGCATCCCTCATGTAACATATGTAAGAATATGTTTGTTGTAACCCACTGAGACTTCGAGTTGTTTGTTACAGAGCAAAAAGTGACTAAGACGATGTGTCTATTTCTTTGTCTTTTTGCAATATATACCGATAGGTTGCCTTTTAAATTATTTGATATATATCTTTCTATTTTTCTAATTGCCCCTTTTTCATAATGATTTGTATTTTTATTTCTTTGCATTTGTATTTCTTTAATTTCTCTGAGGACAGTATTTAAGTATATCATCTGTTTTTTTTTGAACTGTATCTCTTTGTGATCATCAATTTATAAGTACTCAAGTAGAGTTTAAAGTAAAAGGATTGAAAAAAATAGATCATGAACCACTGTAAGTGTAAGAAAGTGAGTATAGCAATATCAATAGAAGACTAAGTAGATTTCAACACAGAGCATTGCCAGAGATAAAGGGGAGATTTCTTCATGATAAGAGACTGCTTGAAGCTATGATAGAGAAAGACAGATTTTTTTTTCACTGTTGTGGGAGTAGATGAATACTGTATTTTTTAAATCTGGACTTTCACTGAGGATAGAGCCCCATTACAGGTCCTGCTTCATGCAAAGACCTAGGGTTTATTTTCAAGGGGTCATGGTCTCTTCTCTGTGTGACCACCTGTTGTGGTTTTCCTAGGTTCTGTCATTATCACTCATCAGCAGAGAAGTCTTAGCATCTGCATTTACTTACCACTCACTTACAGCATAGGGCTATTTTTTGGTTCTGGTGGATTTATCTTGCTTTCTTTTATACTCAGAAATGCCTTCTAAGCCATATTTATCATAATTCATATAGTATCTACATAATTTTATCTAGTATCTACATAATCTAGTATCTACATACATCTAGTATCTACATAATCTAGTATCTACATAATTCATCTAGTATCTACATAATTTTCAGTGGCAGGGCTTTTTAGAATATCTAGTCCAGGCTACTGCTCAAAGAGGAAGCCGTATCTTGCCTTTCAAACTCTAGCTGCATCATTTACAAGTGATCTTGGGCAAATTAATCTCTATGATCTCCAGCTTCTTCACCTATAAAAGAAGACAGTAATATCTAATTCATACTTTTGTGTTATATGCTACTATAGTATAACTGGTAGCTACTTATTTTTTCTGTGGTTTACATTATTAGTAAAAGTTAGGGGTTAAATGTATGTATCTTGAATAAAGTAGAATCATGAAACATTCTGCTACAGGGGTTGGCAAATGACTGCATGTAGGCTGGTCACCTGTGTTTAGAAATACTGGAACACAGTCATGCTTGTTTGTATTTATATTGTCTATCACTGTGGCTTTACAATGGCAGAGTTGAACAGTTACAACAGAGACTGACACAAGTTTAAAATGCGTAATATATGACCTTTGAGGAAAAAGATTGCCTATCCCTGTTGTTGTATATAGAAGCAATGAATTTTCAAGGCTGAGCTCAATGCTACACCACCTGAAGACTTGTAAATATTTACATTAGAACTTCAATTATACTGTGTGGCATTTAGCTTTTTGAGTAATCCACTTAGTTACTTCCCTTCCATTCCTTCATCAGCCATCAAGCTTTCCACTGTCCTAAACTCAATTTGTCCCACCAACTCCTCAAATAGAAAACTTCTCAAGCATCCTTTTTATCTATTCCTCAGATTAACCTCATCTTAGCTCATTTTCTGTTGCTATAATAGAATACCACAGACTGGATAGTTTATGAAGAAAAGAGATTTGACTCATGGTTCTAGAGACTGCAAAGTCCAAGAGCATGGCACTGGCATCTGGTGAGGGTTATCTCATGGTGGAAGTGGGAAGTGGAAAGTGGAAGTGAGCATGGAGACAGAGAAATGGAGGCTACATTTATCTTTTTATCAGGAGCCCACTCCTACAATAACTAACCCACTCCTACAATAACTAAC
The DNA here is from genome assembly GCF_000001405.40 of Homo sapiens. Lineage (NCBI taxonomy): Eukaryota > Metazoa > Chordata > Mammalia > Primates > Hominidae > Homo > Homo sapiens. The sequence continues at coordinate 18,273,674 of NC_000004.12, forward strand.
AATAACGGTATTAATTCATTCACGAGGGTGGAGCCTTCATGACCTAACCACCTCCTAAAGGTCCTACCTCTTAATACTGTAACAATGGCAATTAAATTTCAACATAAGTTTGGGAGAAAACATTCAAACCATGACAAACCCCTCTTACTATATCCCTTATTTTTGATGTTCTCATGATTTTCAAATATTTTATTTCTTTTTCTTTATTTTACATTTTGTTTCAAACAAAAACAAAAGCACCAAAGTAAAATAGCACATTTGTGTCCAATCAGTTTCCCAGTTGTGACAATTCTTTTCTCAGCCTGCTGTCATTCTCAAATCTGTTGACTTTCTTTTCATTTTAACTGCTACTGCTCTAGTTTACACCTTGTTTCCTCATGTCTGGATGTTTTCCCTGTTCTGGGCTTATCTTCCATTCCATCGTCTTATCCCACTGTAATCTTATACACCTTAAACTCTATCTTCTTGGGGCTATTCACTGTTCTTCAAGCACCTCCTTTCCTTCCACATCTTCTTGCCTTTGTTTCTGTGATTATATCAGGAGGTTTATCAGCCTCTTCATTTCTCCACCCATCAGTATTTTCCTGCTCATCATTCAAGGCTTAACTCAAACTCTCTCTTTTTCTAGAATTCTTTCACTGTCTCCCCTGGAAGAATTTCCTTCCTTTCAATAACTAGTCCTCCCCCAGTACATTAGAGTGCTGAGTCTATTCTTAGTGAATTGTATTAGTATTATTTGTTTAAATCTCTCTCTCTCTGCCACTAGATTATAATTCACCTTAGGGTAAGTGTGTGGTCTCATTCATCTTTATGCTTATTGTGGTGCCTGGTACAGGAGCCTGTTCAATAAAGGTTTGCTAAATAAAAAGGCAAGTTTAAATAGCCTCTAAAGAATTTTAATCAAATTGTGAATAATTGCTCAGAAATACTCTTTTGGGGTTGATGACACAGAAAGACAACCACAGCTTCCCACACAAACACTCAGGACTCTTGGACAAAGCTATTACCAACCCTGGATGGCAAATTTTTACATCCATAAATAATCCTGAGCAAGCTGCTCTGTGAAAATTCCCTTTTCCTTTCGGGAGTGAGTAAGCCAAAGATGTTAATTGTGAAAATTCAGAGAAAAGTTGTAATCTGTAGGATGATGGTTTGAACATCTCAAACTTTAGCTAAAAATTAGTAGTTTATTCAGACACTTTTCCTCTACTCATCTTGAACAGTATAAAAGCCTCATGATAAAGATTCAGTTAATAATTTCCCCTGAAGAGTAAATAGCATTTGGATACATACTACTTACCATTTTTATAAGAAAGGTGTCTATAAATACCATTTTACAGAAGGATAATCCAATGCCCATAAACACTGAAAAAATTAGATCTTTTAGAAAGTCTGTAGGAATTAAGGTTAGACAAAACTTATTTTCTGTATTACTTATTCTGGCTGTAAAATAACCTCATGGGCTCTTGCAGGAGAGCTGGAAAACAAATGCTGGAGGCTATGGAAGTAGAAGGTCTGAGAAAACAATAATAGAATATTTATACTCCTGGCTACCAGACTCCTAGGAGCCTCAGCCGTGACTCCATGCCTAGGGTAGGTTGTGGTTTTGAGTAAGCTTCCTTGGGAAGGTGAGCCTAGTCTAGGGTGGATGGTAGAGCCCACCATTAAGCCTTGGGGTCTCAAAACCCAAGGATAACCTGCTGGCTGCTAGTTTGGTTTGAGCCCAGTGGAACTGATCTGAATAAAGAGTGGACTGCACCTACTAATAACTACAATAAAGTATGATTAAGTATAAAAGTAGAGACATTTATACAATGCAACAAGAAATGCAGCTCCATTTTTCTCAGATGAGGAAATCAAAGCTGAGTATCTTTTCAAGGTCACCCAGTCAACAAATGGCAGAACTAGAATTTGAACACTGTTCTGTTTTACTTATAAGTCTGTGTTTTTTTTTGTTTTTTTGTTTTTAGACGGAATCTCGCTGTCACCCAGGCTGGAGTGCAGTGGTGCGATCTCGGCTCACTGCAGGCTCTGCCCCCCGGGGTTCATGCCATTCTCCTGCCTCAGCCTCCTGCGTAGCTGGGACTACAGGTGCTCGCCACCTCGACTGGCTAATTTTTTGTATTTTTAGTAGAGATGGGGTAGGTCTGTGTTTTAAGTTAGTATGTGACTCCACATTTCTGATAATATATGTATATGTATACATCTTTACACACACACACACACACACACACACACACACACACACACACACACACACACACACATTATTTGCAGTATGTGGTAAAAATTTAAGTGGCTCACCACACCTGGGGGACTCCGGAATCTTTAATCTCCATCTGTGTTTAAGGAATCTGTACTATTTGGCTCTTGCTATGTAACAAATTTTTCTAAAACTTTGTAAAAGCAATTATTGGTTGTGCTACATTTTCTGTGGGTCAGGAATCTGGGAATGGCTTATCTGGTTGCTTCTGGCTCAAGATTTCTCGTGGGCTGTAATCAAGCCATTGACCAAGATTGTGGTCTCAGAAGGAGTATGGAATGAGAGGGGGTTCTACTTCCAACACACTCATGTGGTTATTGGCAAGCCTCAATATTTCACCACATGGCCCTCTACACAGAGTTGCTCCATAACATGGCATGAGCTTCCCATAGGGTAAGCAATCCAAGAGCAAGCAAGAACACTGCAAGACAGAAGCCAGTCTTTCATAATCTAATCTCTGAAAGTGACATATCATTGCTTCTGCCATATTCTCTTCATTAGAAGTGAGTCACTAAGTCCAGCCCTCACTCACTTGGGGAGAATTACTCGAGGGCATGAATACCAGAAAGTGCACACCACTGGGGCCATCTTGGCAGTCTACCACAGGAGATGTTTCTAGTCTTTTTATCATCAGCCTTTTCTAAGAGCAGTTTCCTGGGCTCATCAGTACTTGTATTTAGAGTATTGTAGAATCACTATTGCAGGCTTCAGACAGAAGTCAATGCAATGTGGCATCACATCTTATCATCCTGGGCAATCCTCACAGCTAGTGTTTCTTTCTGGTGACAGATCTGTAGGTAGTAAAGCATTCTGCTAGGATCAAGAAATCAGGTCGTTGTTATTATTAACACAATTGTCTTTGAGAAAAGCAGAGGCATAATAATATTTATCTGTTTTCACACTAAATGAGATGTTAAAAATTTTGTATCCATGTGTTCCATTGTATTGCTAAGAGCAAAATTTACATGAAGAAAATTGGTGCTGTGGCATGGCATAGGAGACTTGGGTCTCAGTCCGGATCCTAGCTGTGTGAACATAATACTTAATCTCTCTGGTTCTCAGTTTCCTTATCTGTAAAATGAGGTGGTTAAACAGGAGCAGAGTTCAACCAAAAGCCTACACAGAGCTTTAGGAAGCAAAGAGAGAGTAAAGAGATCACCTGTAGCACAAAAGGGAGTAATGGAACTATGAGAATTGGAGGATGCACACGCTATCTCAAGAAGACTACTAAAAGTACAAAAATTAGCTGGGTGTGGTGGCATGCACCTGTAGTCCCAGCTACTAGGGAGGCTGGGGTAGGAGAATCACTTGAACCTGGGAGGTGGAGGTTGCAGTGAGCTGAGATCACATCACTGCACTCCAGCCTGGGCCACCGAGCGAGACTCCATCTCAAAAAAAAAAAAAAAAAAAAAAGACATCAGCCCATTATTGTCACAGGGAGACATGGGCACAGTGTTGCTGGTTCTTTTGACTTTTCAAAAGAAGTTGAAAATTCAGGCCTTTTGTACCTTTTTTTATTTTAAGCTTTGTATAGGCCAAACAATATTCAGCTTGTGAGTGGTCAGTTTGAAATCCCTAGAACATATTTTTCATTTAAAGATATAAACTTAGGAATGAATACTATAACATATAACATATTCATTGCATACATTGGGAAAACATCTTTTTAAGGTGAGGCTGTTATAGGTACATGTAATATTCTTTGTCTTCCTTTAGGTGGTTTGTTTTTCCAACATTCCAATCGGTTTAGAAAAATCTACATTTCTGCTCCAAGGAAATCAATAAAGAACCATTAATGTGGAAGACACTTCTCATTTCATTTATATTTGACCCTTAGTGCTACTAGAAAAATAGAATAGGAACCACAAAATGAGAAATTTAAATGAATCTTGATGCTATCTGATAGGAATCTTTACCACTTTGGGTCATGGACTTAGTGAGAACATCTATCTAATACTTGTTAAAATTAAGTCATAAATTATGTTCATAAAGATTTTTATAAATAACCTCACACAGGGTCAATGTCAACAGAAGAAATTAGAAAAGCAATTGAGGAGTCCTGACGAATGAGCTTGTGGGCCCTGGAATTGATGGCGTGATTGTCAGGACCCAATTTTTATCTAATAAACACGCAAATGCCATCGTTAATATTGACACAGGGAAGTTAAATGGAGATACTCTCTATGATAAAATGTCATTTTGGAAGAATTAATATGAATATCATGAGTTTAAATACACAGAAGAGACATAAAATTGAAAATTCAGGGCCCTGTGAGCTGTGAAAGTGATAATTGGGAGGTAGCTATTTCTACAAGGTTCTATGCATTTTCTTTCTTTTTTTTTTTCTAAGTTGGTTAGATGGAAAGGATTGCTATTGCACTAATTTTAGGGAAACTATTGTCTTCATCACCAGTTTCAGGTTTCAGAGCAAGCACATCTAACCCCAAAGAAATACATTGCCATTTCTGCCTTTACATCAGCTGCAGGCCCCCTACTTCTGTGTTGCGGTTTGCCACAGTTGCTACTTGAGACCTTCACTACAACAGTTACTACTGTTACTACTTTAAACCATCAATACGAGACTGAACGAAGGGGGACGAATGTAGAAATGAAAACTTAAGACAAAAGAAGCTATTTTAAAGGAAGGGAAGTGGGGAAGAAGAGGAGAGCTCCCTGATTCTAGTGAGCAAAGGCAGCCCCTGAGCTTCCAGAGCCCTTCTTATTTATTGGGTAGCAAGAGCAGGGAGGAGGAGGTAACGATTGGTCAGCTGCTTAATTGATCACAGGTTCTCGTTATTACTAACAGGCTTCAATTATTACGCCTAATCATAAGAAACACTTGCAACTGGGTCGTGACTGTCCTCAGCAGTCCTTCCAGGCGGCAGACGCAGTTTGTCAGTTTGCCAACATTCTGCACCCAAAAGAAACAGTTTGCTGCCCACTCATACAGCCTCCAGTGGTATACCGAGTTGATCACGACCCTCAATCCTTCTGCCTCCAACACTTCTGGTCCTGTAGGGAGGGCAGTGCACAATATAGATCCAGTGACTTATGTTTCAGGACCAAAGTTGCCTGGAATCCTGTCCAGATCACCTACTTATTGGCTCTGTGGCCTTGGGTAAGTTGCTTAACATCTTTCTGCCTTTGTTTCCTCATCTGTCAATTAGGGATAATCCTCACACATGAGATTGAAGATTAAATTAGTTGATGCATATAAAGTGCTTGTAAGACACAGCATAGCTAACAAACGGTAAGTGTTCAATTAACTTTAGCTATTACCATTACTATTGCTTTTTCCTAATGCATTTGCTCACCTCAGAAGACTTCCCTTTCTTGCTGCATTTGCTGTATCTACCATGGTGCTTCCGTTTGGCTGGCTCGTGTTTTCTGGCTAGTTATCTTTCATTACTATGTGTTCTTTTTTGTGGGGTGTGTGTGTGTGTGTACTTAGAATTGAGTCTGCAGCAAGCAATTCCTGGTGCCAAACTTACTTGAAAGGGGTTTTCAATGGCGAAAATTTCTTACAGATAACAGGTACCTGTCATACTTAATAGATAGAAGGGCTCCTGGATGTGTTTCCGGGGAGCTGGCTTACCACAGAGCTCTGTATGTAGGCCCCAAGATTCTGATAAGAGGCCACCACCACTGATTTGGATCTTAGTATTGAAAAATTTCCAGCTTTCTCTCTGCAAGAAGGGAGTTACACTCACTTCTCTTTCTAGATTTTGCTCATGTTTTACTGTCTTTAAAAAATGTTTCCAGAGTCGTCATCTTTCAAGTAGAATTGACCACTTTCTCTTTGGTGCTGTCACTTCATCCTACACCAACTTTAGGGACTAAAATGACATGGGACGCATGCCATTTTAGTGTAAGGTTTTGTGCCCATGTCTGATCTCCTCTACATATAATTCCCTGGAAGGCAGATATCTCCAGTGCTAAAATCAGGCCTGGCATAGAATAGGCCCTTGGAAAACACTTCTTGAGTGAGGATGAGGAGCAGGTAGGCTGCCAGGAAAATGGCTCTGTTGGTGAGGAAACTTGATGGAGGAACATTCATTTGTTCATCCGAACTGGATCAGATTCTGTTCAGACATCATTTTTTAAGGAAGATTTCTGTGTGACTACCAAGGAAGTAATTCCCAGGAAGGATACTGTCACCTGGACTTGGCACGGCTACCTTTAACAACATTTGAGTAGGGTTATCTATCTCAAGCATAAAATCACACACGCATACACACAGTAATGCACAGATATATAGAAGAGTATTGGGATCTGGTTTTAAATACCAAACTCATACCAACATATTCCATGGTATGCTGGACTCCTTGGCCAGGAGGTTAGTATTTCTTCTGGCCTTACTAAGGTTCTTCTTGTCTTTGGATCCCTGGGTTTTGAGTCTTAACCCATTTGGTCCCCTCTGAGTCTCATGCTAGTCCTCTGGTCTGGAAGCCTCCTTATGTCTGAACTAATATTTTCCATGTAGACAGGTCTCATCCACTTGGTCTATAGGCAATGTTGTAAATTCTTCTAGGTTTTCTAATTTGATTATGCTGAGTATAGCAACTGCATTTCAATGGTCATTGCTATTTTTATAACCAATTGTTATTACATAGTTAAGTTTTAAAAGTTAAGAGATGGCCTAGAATGCCTTCTCATATCTTCTTCATGCCTTCTGAAGTGGTTGTGATTTCAGTTGAGTATAAAGAATACCTTTCAGGTTGACTGATGGCTGCAAGATTGTTTGCTATTCAGATGTCCTCTTTCCTCTCTGTTTTCTGTCTATCACCACAAATGTCTCCGGATAGCACTAGCTGAGGTCAAATCTGTCTGCTCAGGAGTCTGTTACAATATCTCAGTGAATATAACATATTTGGGCCCTTGTGAATTAACTGTTTCATTCCAGTCACATATGGTAATGTAGTTTCGGTACAGACTTGATATCTAACCAAGCAACTGTCCAGTTAAGCCTTTTACTATTTGGATAGAGGGAGAAGATTAAGAGAAGAAGGTGGAAAGGCAGTGTGATACAATAGAAAGAGTGTGAATTAGGGTTATACGGACCTGACTTTGAATTCTAGGCCCATTTCCAAGCCATGTGATATCAGGCAAGTTATTTAACCTCTGTGAACCTTAGGTTTCTCATCAGAGATGTGGGAATAATACATAGTGCCTATTTCATATGAGTATTGTGAGTATTAAATGAGATTATACAAATTCTATGGAAGTCAATGTTAGCCTAAAAAATAAAACCCATCAATCATTGAGGCATTTGTCTGAATTAGATGATCAGATTCTTTCTACTCTGAGAGCAAGCTTGAATTTAAATAAGGAGAAAGTGCAAGTGGGAGAGAGGTCTAGAGACTGCAGTAAGATTGAAGAGCAGATGGGACTTTAGGACAGGGAGTACCGTAAAGGAAAGAAAAATAATGGAGCATTGCCACTTTGTCATAGACCTGGAGCTAGGCTGCTTAACTCATATTATCTCTTCCATTTTTGAAACCTTTTGAGTACACATTCAGACAATTGTACAAATGAGAAAATTAGAGGGTCCCACAGAGAGGGGGAAGGATTTGGGCATTATGTCAAAGGGAAATGATAAAGCTTAAATGACTGAATAGAGATTGACTCTGAAGTTCACAGGCTGAGTTGTAAACCTTTTCCAGAGAGGAAGCTGAGGGGAGTGCTGTGGTGGGATTAAGGGGTCAACCAAAACCAGCTTAATTCTCATTGTTTCAGAGACAGCAGTTCATATGGAATGACATGATAGCATTTGTTCCCCCAGGAAAAAGAGTCCATAGAAAAATTTCCACGTTTCCAAGTGTTTTAAGAGACAGATGATTTCTTGGATGATTTAAGAGACAAGGTTTTGTTGGTTTTTAGTTTTGTACTTTCCTTTTCAAACTCGACCAAAAGGAAAATGTAAGGCCAAGATGCACTCAGACACTTGGTCCTTTTAAAATATTGCTTGAGACTAGCTCCACCACCCACCAAAATGTCATTGGAATTAATGAGTCCATACTGCATGCCAGGATTGTGCTAGGCCCTGGAAACACACAGTTGAGCAAGGCAGCATTGCCTTAGCCCCACGGAACTTTCACTCAAGATGAGAAGACAGGCCCTGAATAATTATGCAGGTAACTCTAATTACAATAATGAGAAGAGCTATGGAAGAAGAGTGAAGATTATTAAGATAATAATATCAGGAAGAATAACCTACACGGCAGTGGGGAGGGATTGTCAAAAAAGCTGCTACAAGGCTGTGACATTTTAGTAGAGCCCTGAAAGGGGAGTAGAATTTATGCAGCAGAAAGGAAGAAGCTCTCCAGGCAGGATACATACTTGTCTGGCATCTGGCATATCGATTTCTAACCTTCTTTTTAAACTTTTTTTAATACTTGCTCATGCTTTGATTTTGGTACCAATCTCACTTTACTCTGAGCATCTTCCATTTCAGATAGAAGGTAATTGTTTCAGGCTTCAATCGGTGACTATCCTTGGCCTCTCTCCCTGGCTTTGGAACTAATTCACAACTCCTTTTATATTGCCTTCTATATGCCTCTTGATTTTTGCTTTCCTCTCTCTGCCTTGTGTTTGCACATTAAAATGAAAAGAGATTTTAGAAAAATACATTTTTCATTTTAGAAAATGCTAGTTGTATTGGAGAGTGGTTCTCTGAGATGCAGATCAAATTTAAATTGCATCTCCTATTTGATGCAACTGCTTGTGAACATAAGAAAATAGCATCCATTTATTAAGGAAGCCATGTGCAAATGCAGAGCATGTTTGCAAAGGCTTATTATAGCACAACAGGCAATTGCTGCCTTGTTTATTTGGTTTGTGGCTAAGTCATTACAATGCTCCTCTTCCAGAAAATAAATATATGTAGACTGAGATGTCTTTGGCAGAATAACTACTTCCATTTTATTTAAAGATAATCCAAATTTTAAAAACCATTGCTGCAGTGGACATTGCTTATTCTGAGCTGTCCCGCATCCATGTTACCTACTCTTAGAAACATCACCCTAACATTATTTGTATGATTGTATTAAAGTAATGCTGACCGCTACAATGAATAAATGGTCAAACTAAGCCTAATAAAAAGTATTTCTTATATGATAGTCTAATATGCATGATCCCAGCAGGGTGGATTCTACTTACTCATTCAGAGAGCCCTGTTCCTTCCATCTGTCTTGGCTCTGCCCTCTTCCAAATTTTCAGAGTCCTTTAATTTTAGCTGGCAGATGGAAAAAATACAGAAAGGATCCCATGTGGGAGGTTGTCATAGGCAAGGCTTTCATGCCATTGGCCGGAACTCAGTCACATTACAACACTTAGCTGCAAGAGAAGCCTGGAAATGCATTCTAGTTATCTGTATGTGAGAAAAAGGAACTACTAGTCTGTGCTTTAGATATCTAACTCTTCCCTATGTTTCAGAAGATACTAACTCCATCCAAAATATATGAAGCATGTGACTTAATCCTTACCTAATCTGGTCAGAGACTGGCACGTGACCTAAACTAGTCCAATCAAACTAGAACTCCAGACTTCTGTTTGGCAGTTGGGTGGCATGCTCATTCCTGTTGGAGATAAACAAGAAAACACACAGTTCTATGGCAGCCATCTTGATATGCGAGACGGATGACAGTAGGTGCCTCAGAGATTGAAGCCAACACCTAGAAGTGGTTGGGTCCCAAAATGGAAACAGAGAAACCAAGTTCTGATTGTTTAGCTGTTTGGTCACACATTTCCTAAAGCCATATCTAGTGTTCCAGTCACATGAACCAATTAATTCCTGTTTTTTTTCTGTCATTTAATTCAGTTTGAATTAAAGTTCCTCTTCTTGAAAACTTGTAGTCTTGCAGATGGTGTCATAAGTGTACAATTTCTCAAAGACATTGGAAATTTGTACTATTTATGTGACTTTATTTGGGACATGGTTTAGTTGGAGAAATGGGCTGTTTCTTAATTTAAGGCATCATAGTTATATCTGATTACGCACTCACTAGTTCGACAGAGACTTTATATGGTGTGTCTATTGTGCCTTTTTAACTCCATCTGGGGCAGTTTATATTATAAACACTGAGTTCCTCACTGTCCACTTCATTGAATTCCTCCTTATTTGCAATATTGGTCATTTCACTCTTTAAACTCATATCTCTAAGTACATTGTGTTTTAAATAAAAGCTAGGTTGGAGCAAGGATCAAACTTCTCTCATGGTTGCACACATGTGGGCAAGAGCATTCAGTGCTTTTATTCAGCACTTCCCGAGGGCTACAAGTTAGTGTGATTGTACATTCAAATCTGTTTGTAAATGCCCTGGTAAAACACAAAAGTTTCCTTCAGTCCCTAGGAAATTCTGAAAGTCTTCTTTGTTACCATGACATCATACATTTCAAACTTTTTTGTTTGAAGAGTGAACAACTATCCAGAGGAGGCATAGCTTATTTTATTAAGTAGGATATATATGTTTTAACAAAACAGATTTTATTATTATTATTATTATTATTATTATTATTATTATTATTTGTAGAGATGAGGTTTCTCCATGTTGCCCAGGCTGGTCTCAAACTCCTGGCTTCAAGAGATCCACCTGCTTTGTCTCCCATAGTGCTGGGATTACTGGTGTAGCCACTGTGCCCGGCAATAAAATGGATTTTAGTTTAAGCAAAGGAGAAGTTTATTTCTCATTTACAGAGATATTTGAGCTGGCATTGTGGCTCTGAAAATTCTTCAGGGAACCAAGCTCCTTCTATTTTGTTGCCTTGTAGCCACCAGGATGTCACTGTTGTTCACAGGTCCCAAGACAGCTCACCATCAAGTCTGAGTTCCAGCCAGGTGATGATGAAGATAAGAGGAGGGAGGATTAGTTGGAATAGGCTAGATTGTGCTACAGTACTAATCATCTTCAAAATACCGATGACATGTGTTGCTCATGTTCCATGTTTGTCATGCGTCACTGGGGGTTCTGCTTCATGTTACTCTCACTGAGGGACACCAGCTGAGGAACCTTCACCATCTGGAGGCTTTCTGGGACCTGTAGTGGGAGAGGGAAAGCTGGGCAGTGTTGCCTTAGTGATGAAATGATTTTGCCTTCTACATGTTGGCCAGAATGGATCATATGGCCACACGTAACTTCAAAAACTCAGAAAGTACAGTCCTCCAGCAGAATGCACATGAGCAGCTCTAATGACTACCACAGAAGGCATGTCCCTTCAAAGCACGACCTGGAAATTGAACACTTAAATTATCCTCACATGCTGTGGTCAGAACCCAGCTGCATGGTTACACTTAGCCAAAAAGGAAGCTGGTAAATGTAGTCTTCATTAATGTTACGGTGATCATGGTTTCCAGCATTTCCTTTGAATTATTTCTTAGAGTTTCCCTCTCTCGGAGCACATTACCCACCTGTTCTTGCATTTTGTCTACTTTTTCCTTTATGGCTCTTAGCATATTCATTGTAGTTATTTTAAGTGTTCTGATAATTCCAGAATCTCTGCCCTATCTGGGTCTGGTTGTTGCTTGCTTTGTATCTTTATACTGCATTTTTTTCTTACCTTTTAGTATAGCTTGTATTTATTTTGGTTGAAAACCGGACATGATGTATTGCGTAATAGGAACCGAGGTAAATCAGATTTTAGTGTGAGGTTTTATGTTTATCTGGCTGATAATTTCGCTCTGTTTATTGTTTGCTCTAGCTGTAGGTGCTTGAGGCTTCAATTTCCTTTTTGTCTCTCTGGTTGTCTTTGGGTTTCCCTAGGTACACCTTCTTAAATAGTGTGTTAGCCTCACAATTCTAGCTGTAATCTTCTGTTACTGTACTGGGAACTTGCTGGTGCAGTGCTGAAGCATGAGAAGAGGAAAGTGTTCTGTACCTCTGTGATTTGCTCTCAGTCTTTTAGTGGCATGTGCCCTTGGCTGTGACCTTTAGGAGTGCTTCTTTTTTTTTTTTTTTTCTTTTGGTTTTCTTATGTAGGTGAGATCGAAAGGTTAGAGAGGGGCTGGAGCTGGATATTTTTCTTCTCCCACATAAGTTAGGCTCTGATAAAGTAGTTTTCCTTAATGGCGGGTAAAGAAGAGAAAACTCTGGGTGTATTTCAAAATAGTTACTTTTCCCTTGGGCATACTTTGACATAGTTATGTCAAAGTATGTCACCTTCCACCTGCTAGAAGCTCAAAAAGAATTTACTCTGATCTTCACCATGAGAACTTGGTGAGGTTCCTGTAGATGCAACTCATAAGATCCTTCCTAAGGTCAGGACCCCAGGAGATGTTAACTCTAAGTTTAGTCCACACTTGGCTTCCAGCAGTTTGTCAATTGCAGTTTAAATTTTCTTACCCATTTCTGGCTCCATTAGCTTTTTCTCCTGGTAAGCTGTGATTCTCTGTATTTTTCTGTCTCTCCAGTTTTTGTGTCATTGGTTTGCTTGTCACCCCAGTTCTCTGATTGATCTAAGAGAAGTTGTTGATTTCAGTTCAACTTTTTTTTGTGTGTGTGTGAGGACAGGAATGATGACTTCTGAGTTATTTACATGTCAAAGTGGAAATCCACTGTTAATGGTGTGTTTATCACTAAAGTAATGTCAACTGGTAAATATGGTCTCGTTCCTGGAAAAACAATATTTTAGCTAACAATCTGAGTACCATTACTATGTAAGAAGATGGTGAGAATGGATACTGGGGGGCATGGCAGTCTCTGACACACCCACACTAAGGGACTCACGGTGAGAATACTGCAGAGCTTCGGTATCTGTGAAGGACCCACGAAACACCCATGAGAGGACAAATCAGCATTTGGAGTCTACTACACACAGAGAGTCCCAATGCTGGTTTACAGCTGTGCCAGTAAAGTTAGAACTTTCTTTCTCTTCCTCGTACAGCTGCAACTCTGGAGAGCCATTGACAGTCTGAGTGGACAAGAGGAGCAGAGATGAGGCAATACAAAAGCTAACTTTGTCCTATTCTCCAGTGGGCATGTGAGAGAGGCTTTAACTCAATGATATTTGTAGTTTTAATATTATAATAGACAAAGCCTTTTATTACTGGCCTGTGACCAGAGGACAATTGAGCTACTAGAAGAGCCGTGGAAGCTGTGGCAAAGATTGCCAGGTGCATATTGACTCTCTCTTTTCTACTTTGTGACAGACTTGGATTTTCATCTAAGCACATTGTAACCTACCTAAAAAACAAAAACAAAAACAAAACAAAAAACCCCCCAAAACCCAAAACCTTATTCTGCCTTCTTTGAAGCTAGATATGGCTGAGCCTCACATAGCTAAATTTCTGGACCATAAAGCTATAGGCAGATGTGTTGCGTCGTACTTCTGGTAGGTCTCTTTAAATATTCCTTTCCTTTCTTTTTTCTCCATCCTACTCCTTGAATGTGGATGTTGTAAGCTGGATCTCCTGCAGCCATTTTGGGGCATGATGGGGTCACACTTTAGGTAGGGGAAGCAGTGGGCAGTCCTTTAGGAACATAACATTGCAATACCAGCCTTGGACATTTCACCCAAAGGGTGGTTTTATATAAGATAGAAATAAGCTTTCATCTCATTTAAGCCATTCAATTTTAGGGTTTCTGTTTATCCTAATAAAAAAATTCTAACTTATATAAAACCCATTCAAGATTATATGCAGGGGAGAGAAAAATAGCTCAGTGGGGGTACCACGGGGAGAGAAAAATGGTTCCATGGGGGAAGGTTTGCAGGTCTGCAGTGTTACAGAAAGAATAAACTTGATTTTTTTAGAGCTTAGCTCATTCTATAAACCAGTTACAAAATAAGAAACTCACCCCTGAACAAGGTCTTTTACACAAACCAGGAAAGAGGAGGTAAGCTGTGTTAGCTCAGGTCCTTTGAGAAACAGATATCAACACAGGATATTATATGCAGAGATTTTATTAGGAGAAACACCTGTATGAGGGAAAATAATGTGGGAACCGAATAAGGCTGGGACAAAAATCAGACTGCTATGCAAGTATGACTTCATGTAGAGAGAAGGGGAGAATGTTGGATGGAAGCATCCCAGATTGTCATGAGTTGAAGAAAGCCTGGGCAAAGCCGCCAAGGAATCCTGGAGCCAAAGCCGACCCTTGGAAGAATCTTGTGTCTCCTAGAAACAAGTCTGTCTTAATATCCCAGCCACACTCAGCTACTGACTGGGGAGCAGCCTGTGGATGGCATACCTAGGCACAAATTCTGCTGAGACTTTAAGAGCTCAGCAGCTAGAACCCTTGTCAATTATACTCCCTAAACTGGGTGATCTGTGAAGTGCATTCTCATGGCCACCACAGAAAATAAGAGTAGGCATCTCCAAATGGTAGGTGCCTAGATGGACACAGTGGGCCACTATGCAAGGGGAACAGACTCATGGTGGGGTGGCTGGGCCAGCCTACATGTAACAGGATCAGGTTTAGCCACCAAGGTTTCCTGCAGAAGGGTGAAGAAGCATATGAGTAATGTCAACTCAAGGGCCACTTCGAGCAGATGCAAAAATACCTTGATGTGGATGGAAACACAGACCGCAAGGACCTATGCAGAAATCAGATGCACTCAACATCAGCTGCAGTAAAATAAGGCTGGCTGCATTTTCTATGTCACATAAGCCACTCAAACCATCACTGGATTTACCAAGATTTTAAATGTACAGTCAAGGATTCTATAATGGTAAAGGTAAGATGATGTATAAAAGTCATCGTAGAGATTTCTCAAAGAGTTGTATGTATAACAGTGACAACATATGATATTAAGGGATTCAGAGATAAAATTATTTTAATAGTTATAAATTTATTTTTAGGATTTCATGGTTATCTATTTTGTTACATGGTGATTTAAAATTTTTAATTTAAATTTAAAATTGTGTTAAAATTTCAATTAAATTTTAAAATTGTGTTAACTTTCAATTAAATTTTAAATGTAGACTTTATTTAGGATTGCACAATAATTTAGAACTTTAACCTATTACAGAGTGTATGCTACCTGATGGGTCTTGTTCTGTTAAGGAATCTAGAGAATGTGGTGTTCATGGCTTGCATACTGTTCTTACGCTTTGGTTTTGCTGGGTCAAAAGGTTTGATATTCAGACTTGTTTTCAGACAGGCTATTGGGCAGATGATCTACAGATAGCACTGATTCTCAGATTCCACCCCTGCCCCCACACCCCCCATGCCCACTCCCATATCTCTTTCAATCAGGAGATGTGTATCTTCTCCAAGAATTCTGGTAGCTATGTTATTTCAACTCTGTAATTGAAAAAATGGTCGATATTAACATAAAACACTGATTCCTCTTTATTATAGCTACACACGATATTTGGCTTATTGTAGATATTTATAAGTGTCTGTTAATTAAATGAATAAGTGTATGTTTCTTACTCCAATTGATATAGACTTTTATGTGTATTTTCAACAATGATTATTATTCAATATCCCCCTATGGTTTGTCAGTTTCTCTGAAGGCAAGTGTATTAGTTTGTTCTTGTGTTATTATAAAGAAATACCTGGCCAGGCGCAGTGGCTCACGCTTGTAATCCCAGCAATTTGAGAGGCCAAGGTGGGCAGATCACCTGAGGTCAGGAGTTTGAGACCAGCCTGACTAATATGGTGAAACCCCGTCTCTACTAAACATACAAAAATTAGCCGGGTGTGGTGGTGCACACC
Organism: Homo sapiens; assembly: GCF_000001405.40. Classification (NCBI taxonomy): domain Eukaryota; kingdom Metazoa; phylum Chordata; class Mammalia; order Primates; family Hominidae; genus Homo; species Homo sapiens. The sequence continues at coordinate 18,289,592 of NC_000004.12, forward strand.
TGTAATCTCTGCTACTCAGAAGGATGAGGCAGGAGAATCGCTTGAACTCAGGAGGCGGAGGTTACAGTCAGCCGAGGTGTTGCCACTGTACTCCAGCCTGGGTGACAGAATGAGACTCTGTGTCAAAAAAAAAAAAAAGAAAAGAAAAGAAAAGAAAAGAAAAGAAATACCCGAATGCATAATTTATAGGAAAAGAGGTTTAATTGACTCATGGTTCTGCAGTCTGTACAGGAAACAGTAATGACATCTGCTTCTGGGGAAGCCTCAGGAAGCTTTTACTCATGGCAGAAAGTGAAGCAGAAGAAGGCACTTCACAGGGCAAAAGCAGGAATGAGAGAGTGGGAGGAGAGGTGCCACACACTTAAATGATTAGAACGATTGTGACAATTCACTTACTATTGGGAACACGGCATCAAGCCGTGAGGGATACACCCCCATGAGCCAACTACCTCCTGCTAGGTTCCACCTCCAACACTGGGGATTACAATTCAACATGAGATTTGGTCAGGACATACTAACTATGTCAGGAAGGGCAAGGTACAGTGTAATAAGCTCAAAGAAGTAATGCACTGCAAGGGTTAAGGAAGAAACACTAGACAAAACATCATAAATCTTGAGTTCTTCTGTTGGCTCTATCAAGAATATTTATTCTAATTAACATTTGTTGCATGCTTACAATATGCTAGGCACATTACATGCAGTATCTTATTTAGCTCTTACGGTAAAGCTATGTAGAAGGTACAACAGGAATGCCTAATAATGCTTAATATTCCACCAGGATTTAGTGTGATGTTTTCTCTTTCTTTGGCACACTGCTAGACACCATCTCTCAGCCCCCTTGTTTGAGGGAGTGGGTGTACAACTATTCCCCTTCATGGATGAGGAACACAAGTAATGTGAGTCACCTCCAGTCAACGTGAATAAGTACTCTTGGGCCTTCTCCATACATTCTTTTCTCTGTCCCCTGACTGAAAGCAGAGATGGGGCCCTACAAAATGATGATAAAGGCTGGGCACGGTGGCTCACGCTTGTAATCCCAGCACTTTGGGAGGCTGAGGTGGGTGGATCATGAGGTCAGGAGTTGGAGACCAGCCTGGCCAACATGGTGAAACCCCGTCTCTACTAAAATACAAAAAAAATTTAGCTGGGCATGGTGGTGCGTGCCTGTAATCCCAGCTACCCAGGAAGCTGAGGCAGGAGAATCGCTTGAACCTGGGAGGTAGAGGTTGCAGTGAGCTGAGATTGCACCATTGCACTCCAGTCTGGGCAATACTGTGAAACTCTGTCTCAAAAAAAAAAAAAAAAAAAGAGAAAAGAAAACGATGATGAAAGTTATCATTATTAGCTCCATTTTATGGATGAGGAAAGCTTAGACTAGAAATATCAAGTAACTTTTATAGAACAAGCAAGTGTCAAAGCCAGGATTTGATTATGTAGTTTAACTCAGCACATCTTCATAGCCACTAAGTGTACAGGCCAGCCGTGCAAACTTGAGTCACTGTGGCTTTCTAAGTCTCAATCTTTTCAGCCAAAAATGAAGATATTAAGACTGTCTTATAGGTATGTATGGGGATTAATGAGTTAACACATTAAAAAAATCTAGAAAGAACACAGTGCAAAATAACGCAAAATAATAAAGATGTGTTTGTGTGCATGTGCACACACGCCTGTATGCACAAGTGAGCTAGCGTGCGTTTGGAACTTTGTCACATCAAGGCTGATTTTAATAAATGGACCATGGTTGAGGCCTCAGAATCTCTTCATCACTCAGGGATTTCTGTTCAGTGACATTTGTTGGATAGGATTTGACCTGTTGTATGAATTATGCCTTCCATGTAAGGAGACTGTTTGGATACTAATTTGCTCGCTTGCTTCTCAGCAACCATGAATACAGAAAGGGTCAGACAACTCCTCAAGCAGTTTTATGGCAGCATTTGTTCCTGGGTCCTAGAGGGAGCTGTGTTCAGTCCTTCTGAGAAGAAGGAAAAGCAGCCAGGCTTAGAATGGCAGAGTGGGAGTGGGGGAGCAAATGCACAGCAGGGCAGGACCCTCCTGCGCTTCAGGACAATGTCGTCAAGATCATCATCCAAAGCAAAATTGATTCAGATTTCTATATGGAATAAAAACATTTCAAGGTAACGTGGTATAGAGGACCAAGAGTCAGAATTGTGGGGTTTTAGCCTTCAGTTGAACTAGTCTGTGGACTCCGGTGTACTTAATTTCTCTAAGCCTCAGTTTTCTTATCTATAAAATGGAGATAACACTGACTCCAACTATCTACCTAGAATTGTTCTGAGGATAGAATGTGGCTATGTTAAGAAGACAATCTGTAAGTGCCAAAGAATTTTATGAGTGTGAGTCCTTGTTGCAGCTATGACATCTTCATGACACCTAAGTGGATATGAATACAGTGATGTGGTAGGTGCAATGATAGAATTAATTCAGGGTACTCTGGAGGAAAAGAGGAGAGGTATTTAATATATCCCAAGGGTTGGATGTGAAGGTCAGGGAAGACTTCCTGCAAGGGGTAACTTCTTGAGTTCTGAAGGGTGATGAGGTGATACTCAGGTAAAATGACCTGGGGAAGATGGGGAAAGAAAGGCATTCTGGGTAGAGGAGTTACCATGATCAAAGTTGAGATAAGAAATAGCACCGTGTAGCGTGAAACCATAAGCAGTTTGGTATTCTTGGGGTATGACAATTGTGTGTTTGTGTGTGTGTGTGTGTGTGTGTGTGTGTGTGTAGGGGTGGGTGGAAAGATAAGGAGAACATGTTAAGAAAATTTGATCCTGAATGGAAATAGAAATATTGAAGGTTTTTTTTTTTGTTTGTTTTTGTTTTTTTTTGACAAGAGTCGCCTCACTCTGTTGCCCACGCTGGAGTGCAGTGGTGCAATAATTTTGGAATACTGCAAACTCCGCCCCACAAGCAAATCTCATGCCTCAGCCTTCCGAGTAGCTGGGATTACAGACATGCACCATCACACCTACTTAATTTTTGTTGTATTTTTAGCGGAGATGTTTTGCATTTTAGCAACATGTTTCACCATGTTGGCCAGGCTGGTTGCAAACTCCTGGCCTCAAGTTGATCTTCTCGCCCCATCCCAAACTGCTGGGATTATAGGTTTGAGTCATGAAGGGTTTTAAGTGGATGGGGGTTGGGTATGTTGTTGGGATTGTTGAAAGCTATATTAGGAGAATTACTGCTGTAGTAACTTTTGTGAGAGATGCTGAGAATCTGAACTGTGGCTGTGGTAGTTGGGATTAATTTTTTTTTTTAAAGAAAATCAAAAGGTATCTTGAATGGAAGATCAGTGTCCCTGGAAGAGGGAAGAGTTATTATTGGATTCTAGTTTCCAGTTTGGACAATGGGGCTGATGGTTTTGTTATCAAATGAGAGGGAAAACTCAGGAAACAATTCAGATTTACAGGAAGACAGTAAATTCAGTATTGTGTTTATTGAGTGTGAAATCAGATTGTGTGTCACCCGGGTGGGATGGCAGCAGGCATTTGGAAACCAGTTGGAGGGAACTTGTGGCTCTGTCCCATGCACCACCGGATCTTCCTGGGCATGTGTGGGTGGACTGGATCCAGTCAGGGACAGGTTAGTAACTAACGGAGAAATTTTCATTCTTTAGAGCAGACACTTCTCCTTGCTCTCTGTGGCAGCTGTAATCTAGATATGGTATTCTCTCAAACTTTCCACCCTTAATTCCAGATAGCATCCTTGTGAATAAAAAGTAAAAAAATGAAATGTGAGGTTCTGTATCCCATAGCAGCAAAGAACTCTGGGCAGGGAGTTGGGAGTCTTGGGTTTAAGTTCCTACTGCAGTTCTGATGAAGTCAGTCAGTTCACCAGTTGGGTCTCTTCTTTTCTATCTTTTCAAGGATGAATTTGGAATTACTGACTTCATGTTTTCCTTTTTTTTTTTTTGAGACAGAGTCTTGCTCTTTCACCCAGGCTGGAGTGCAGTAGTGCGATCTCGGCTCACTGCAAGCTCCGCCTCCCGGGTTCATGCCATTCACCTGCCTCAGCCTCCCGAGTAGATGGGACTACAGGCGCCTGCCATCGTGCCCGGCTAATTTTTTGTATTTTTAGTAGAGATGGGGTTTCACCGTGTTAGCCAGGATGGTCTTGATCTCCTGACCTCGTGATCCGCCCACCTCGGCCTCCCAAAGTGCTGGGATTACAGGTGTGAGCCACCGCGCCCGGCCATGTTTTCTTGAATACTTGACGAGAGCTTCAGGTTCTCTTCAATAATTTCAAGTCTTGAGGTTTTGTGAAAGATCTACACTGTGTTTCTGTTTCATGTACTGACTTTTAACTCTCTGAAATTAGTAAAATATTAAGATATAATATGTCTTAAATAACAAAAAAGCAAAGGTGCAAAATCTTCTAAATTACTGTGTTCCTGGAAACTTGTCATAAATCTGTACACAGCACCCCTCTGCTACCCCGATTTCCATTAACCCAGAGCTCTCTTAACCAGCCCTGCACACACCACATAACCTTAGAGTTGGGATCTAAGTTTATGCTCTCGGTATGTTGATTGATATTCAGCAAGGTTGCCTTGAGGCAATGTGAAAATCCAAAGTCATCAAAGACGGAGGAAATTACGTCCAGCCTAGTTTCAAAGGTGGACGGTATTGCTTTCACATGATTTGAAAATCATTAATCTATGTGTGGTGTATACCAGGGCTCCCTGACCTTTTAGTGAAGAGAATTTTTTAATTTCCGTGAGACAGACTTTTTGATTAACCAGAACTTCCTTTTCACCCCATCCAAATATATTAGATAACAGGGTTTCATATTTACTTATGAGATCCATGGCTATCTTCAGCTTAATTTTATGCCCATCTGATGTTAAACATAGGGGAAGATGAATCCGATCTTTGAGGAACAGTGGGAAGGCCTCTGGATGAAAAGTCAGGAGACCCAAGGTTAAGTCATAGCTCTGTCACTAATGAACTGTGTGGCCTTGGACACACACCACTTTACTTTCCGGGCTTTAGTTTCACTCTCTGCAAAATTAGATGGTTGTGATAGATAATCTTAAGTTTCTTGCAGTTCTAAATTGGCATAAGTATCTGTTTTTCTAATGCTTCAGTTAAATGTAATTGTATTACACAATTTTGCATACAGGCTTATATCTAATCAGCATAATATTAGCTCCATTTTATAACAAAGAAAACTGAGACCTGGAAAGAATAAACATCTTGTTAATGGCAGTGCCAGAGTCTGAATTCCAGTGTTTGGTTTTTCAAGTCCTTGTGTTCTTTCCTGCACACGTTCTGTGGCTCCCATGAGCACAGAGCTGGGTGGCAGACTGGGGCTTTGAGAACAAGAGGATTTGGCTGCCACTGTCTCTTGAGAGGGTGATCTATATTTCAGTGTCTTTCTCAGTTTAAGAAATGCTCTGCACTGCTTTGTTGTGGCTTTTGATTGTTGCTTTCAATCTTTCTTGGATCAAATCATGTCTCCTGGCAGTTGTGATGCTGTAATATGAAGATCAGATCTGCCTGCCTGTCTCAATAGCTGGCAATTTATCTCGGTATTTTTAGGTGCCTCAGATAAAGGTAATATAAATATAATGAAAGAATGAATTTCTTTCTGACACTTTGTGCCATTTGTATGAGAGAATGAAAATCTCCTTTAAGAATATTGTTTTTAAAGCAGCATTTCTCCAAATGTGTTCTCTGGATGTAACTTGATGTTACAAAACCATAAAAGCATTGTACTGACCAAAGAATTTAGGAAATCTTAATGTTAATTCTCAGAACCTTTAAAACAGTAATGTTCAATTTGAATTTAAAAGAGGAGAAAGCTTATGTTTTTTCCCCAACCATAGTTAACTATAGAGTCTTCCCCTAGGCTGTCTTCCTCTCCCAACACAAGAGTACTATAGGGCTCCCTTTCTAATGAACTGACTGTAAGTAGTGCTTGAAAGTACTGTGTGCCAAAAGGCAGGGTAACTACCATTTATCAGCCACCAACTATGCACCGAGTATTTTTACAAATGTTATTTTATGTATCTTTTTCATTTATGAGGTGGTCTTTTGATCTATATTTGTATGTTGAAGAACTCGAGGTTCAGGTGGGTTAAGAAACAGTTTGTAGGGATATAGGCTGGAGTCAGACCTATATCTGTCAAGTCCTACTTGTTCCCTGCACTTCACTGTGTGTATTGAGGTGATGTAGCAATAGTCTAAGGACTTGAGCTAAGGGGACAATATTCTCTGGATCACTCTGACCGCACTGAGACCTGTACACAGCCAGCTCAAGACAACATGGTGGCTCATCGCTAGTGATCTTTCCTACCCATTGCTCTTTTTTTTCCACCCCATTTCTTAGGATTTCTGTAACGGTTTCCTTGATCTCCTGGGAAAATACTTCTTTCTGAGGCTGTGCCTTGATTTGTAACAGTAACAGTGCATCTTCCAACATTTGGTTCCTTTGGAATGGAAAATTTCCCAACAGACAGGAGAAAACCTAAGTGTGTGTCAAGTGTAATAAGTTGCTGTTGATGTCCACATCTTGGATGCATTTCCATGACATCTGAGTTATGCGGGGTGTTTTGTTTATGCTGTTCATTTTGTGACAGTCAGTGGGGGCTGTCTGGAAAGAATGAGGGCATTGGAGTCCAGCAGTGTACCATGTGAATTCTAGCTCCAGCACTTATTTACTTTGAGGCCTTGGATATGTTATTTATGTCCCTGACTCTCAGTTTTCTCACCTTCCTTGCAAGGTAGCTGGAGGATTAGATTAGATGATACATGCATGATTGCTGGCACATGGTAGGAGTTCAATAAATGGTAATAATTATTGCTGTTACTATTGGGTCTATACATACCTGGGCCCTTCCTTTATATATCAGAATAGCTATTCTTTGCTGTCCTTGGTGAAATGGAAATCAAAGGAATCTTCTTGATTATTCACAGTAGGGAGAGTCAGCTGGTGGTCTGTAATCTTCTCAGGATCTCCTCTTTTGACAATGAAAAGGCAAGTTCTTAACCGGGTGATATAGAGCAGGAAGCACTCCTGACACTTCTCTTCCATGGGCTGAGCATAATTGAAGTCTTACGTAGGTTAAAGCTAAAGCTCTTTTTCTACTAAAAGATGAAAATGGGTAACCTACAATCAATTTCAAAGCCCAGGACTATGATGTTACCTAGCAAATCTCTTTCCTGTACCTTAGACATGATTTAGGATATCCCATGGAGATGTATTACATCCCTTTAACCGTTCGTCTTCCTACTGCCCCCTCCTCTGTCCTCAAAGTAGTGTTTTTCTCATTCCTGCTGTCTCCAACACTGGCCTTGGAATCTTCCACTTTTCAGTATAAATAGATTATCAGCTCTGTCTATTTTTCTGTGTTTTGCAAATGCTGCCTCTGTAGGTTGCAGCTAATTATTAAAGGGATTTTCCTTTGTTCAGTCATAAGTGCAGTATAAGTGCTAAACAAGTCTTAAAAGAGAAGGTATATACTGATTTAAAAGTCAAAAAATGATCTAGAACTAAGAGCGATAAATTATCTGAGCAAAGCTAAGATCCTGGAGTGGAGAAAGAGGGAGAAATATTCTCATCTTATTAGGGTGGAGCAAGGAGACGGAATAGAATGTTGTGGTGAAGGAAACTGTATTGTGTTTTCTCATAAGAATAGAGAATTTTTGTGATTATGAGAACAGGAACAGAGAAGGTGGTCTCTATGAAATGCAATATAATAGAACTTCCAAAGAAATAAGGGGAAATAAAATTAATGGCAATTTGATCAAATCAGCAAACAAAAAAAGAAAATTTAGAAAAACAATGTAAAATATCAATCTAAATCTGGAGAACACGGGCAACTTCCTATGGGAAAAAATACTGCAAAGGAAGCTTATTTTCACCATTCTCATGTTGCTAAAGAAACTTTAGTGAGGAATAATACACGTGAAAAAATTGCATCCATTTTAAGTGCACAGATTGGTGAGTTTTGACAAATGTGTACGTCTGTGTAACATACAATAAAGACATATAATATATTCATCACCCCGAATACTTCTTTGTTCCTTTCCAGCCAATGTCTACTTTACAAAAAGAATAAATCATTATGAAAAGAATAAATCAAATCATCCCACAAAATATAAGCAGAGCAGTTTGAGTCTTTCCTTCTAAAAGACAAAGGTTTTTCAAATTGAGTTAATACACAAAACTGAGCTGTATGCCTATATATGTTTTAAAAGGGAGAAAGTAGCATATAAAATTAAGGTGGGTCAAAGAGATACAAAAGCGAAAGAGAAAATGCAAACAGAAAGCAGGAGAGACAGCGTCTGACATGGGGGAATCCAAGGTTACACACATTGAATAAAATAACAAGACATTATGTAAACACAATTTATGAGGGTTATATATATATGTATATAATATATAAATGAATTTGTTCAGCAAGCATTTATAAAACTTAATCACTTACTGAACCATAAATTAAATCTTAAAATATTAAAAAAGTAGTGCTTTTAGGAGGCATATTCTCTGATGAGAATTCAATACAATTGAAAGTAAATAATAAAAAGGCGACAAATAATCTTTTCTTTCTGGGAAATCTGAAATATTCTACTGGATAGAACCATGGAACAAAAAGGAATTTTAAGAGAGAAATTATAAGCTACAAAAACAATGGAATAAAAAACACTGAGTACCAAATTCCGTGAGACATAGAGACGTACACAGAGAAAATTTTAGGGTCTTAAATACCTCTCTTATGTCTTCATCATTAATGAAGAAAAATTATTACTCATTTTCAGAAATCACTAAAATGACAAATCAAACAAAAAGAAACCAAGGAGAAGAAATCAATCAAGGCAAAACTCACTTACAAAAATAAAACAAATAATAAAACAATTCAAGAGTTGATTGCTTAGAAGTCTGCTAAAAATAGATAAACCCACTGTGAGAGTGGTTAAGGAAAAAGGGAGATCAACCATTAGTAAAGAGAAAGAAAAAGATGAAAGAGAGATGAAAGAACTTGAGGAGACTATGACACACACCTCTAGTGGGAGCCATGTTGTGCTACCCAGACCCCCTTTAGGACTGGGACACTTGTTTCCTCCTTGTGGGAAGTGTTGGTGGCTGATGGCTTACAACTGTGTCTCTCTCCAGGAATTGCTTTTGGTCAAGGGGATTGTCTTGTCTAAGCTACCATCCAATGTATAATATGTTGTCCAATGTGTACTGGGGACAACTCATATCTCAAAATGGGTTGACAGAGAAATATAAAATTCTTATCCTCTTGTCTCATTTTGGGATGGCTCCGAAGGACCACAGCTTCCAGTGGAATAGCCAAGGCCTCAGTTGCTTCACAGTTCAATTGCTTCCTCTGCTCAATCATAACTGCCATACTTTCTTACAGGCACTATTCCTGCAGGTACTCCCCAGTAGACCTCCTTCATACCAATCTCCACCTCTGAATCTGTCCCGGGGAGCCTGATGGAAGATACAGCTCAGTGACAACAAGCACACGAAAGTCTAGAGAACATGGACAACTTCCTAGGGGAAAAAATACTGGAAAGGAATGCTTATTTTCACCTTTCTCATGTTTCTAAAGAAACTTTATTGAGCAACAATACACATGAAAAAATTGCACCCATTTTAGTGCACAGATTGATGTGTTTTGACAAACATGTATATCTGTGTAACATACAATCAAGATGTAGAATATTTCTATCACCCCCAAATATTTCTGTGTTCCTTTCCCACCAACCCCTACTTTCTCACCTCTGGCCTCAAGTAACCACTGATCTGCTCTTCATTTTGTGACAGTCAGTGGGGGCTGTCTGGAAAGAATGAGGGCATTGGAGTCCAGCAGTGTACCATGTGAATTCCAGCTCCAGCACTTATTTATTGTGAGACCTCAGACATGTTATTTATGTCCCTGACTCTCAGTTTTCTCATCTTCCTTGCAAGGTAGCTGGAGGATTAGATTAGATGATACATGAGTATCATCCAGATTCAGTTCTGGAGTATGTGCCAGCCACATGTGCTCTGTAGTGTCAGACTTGACTCACATAGCACAATGCTTTTGAGATTTGTCTCAATTCATCAGAGGGCTTTCTTTACCTATTTCACTTCTCTCAAGGATCTTCATCCTGCAATGCTTATTGTCTATTTACTAGATGCAGTTGTTTTAGGTATTTTGTCTAATTATACCTCTTAAAAGCATGATGGTGAATCTGGTATCTTTTAGTATTTATTTTTATGGCTGGAAGTGAGAGCCCTCATCATCCTTACTGAATATTGTCTTAAAAGTTGTAGAGAATATCCTATAAAAATAAAATGAAATAAATAGTTATTGGTAATTAAATATAGGTAAAAAGAAGACAACGCTGTCCCTGTTGATGTTTAGTTTGTTTATTAAAAAAAAATCTAGGCCTAGTGGTTCACACCTGTAATCCCAGCACTTTGGGAGGTCAACGTGGGAGGATCACTTGAGGCCAGGAGTTCTAGGCCCAGCCTGGGCAACATAGTGAGACCCCTATCCAATATGATGGCACATGCTGATACTTCAGTTACTCAGGAGGATGAGGTCGGAGGATTGCTTGAGTCCAGGAGTTCAAGGCTGTAGTGAGCTATGATCATGCCACTACACTTCAGCCAAGGTGACAGAGTGAGACCTTGTCTCAAAACAAAAACAAAAGCAACTCCCCACAACTAAAAAAAAAAAAAAAAAAAACCCTCTAGGGAACCTCTAGGAAGCCTCCTAACAATATTTTATATAGTAAGATAATTTAGTAATTTGCATGAATATAAGATAAAAGTATAAAAGTATAACATTAATTGGTTTTCATTGGTCCAGTAATAAACAACTAGACATGGATATGGGACGATATACTGCTTTTAATAGCACCAAAATCTATAAAATATTTAAGAATAAATTTGATAAGGAAGGCCAGGACTTACAGGAAGAAAACTGAAAATCTTTTTGGTAGACTGAAAAAATGGCTAAGCACTTACTTTGTTTTAGTCACTATTCTACGAGATTTACATGTATTAACTCATTTAACCTTCCTAGAAACCCTGAAAGGATGTTATTATTATTTCCATTTCATAGATGAGAAAATTGAGATATAGAGAGGTTAAGTAGCATGCAGTCCATCCAGTGTGCAAGCCACAGAGCCAGTATTTGAAATCAGGGCTGAACAAATGGAAAGATATCCTATTTTTCAGTGAGGTTTCCTAATGGAAAAATATTTTCTAAAATGCAAATATGATCATGTCACTTTTGTACTTTAATCTCTTTGTTCATGGTCTGCTGCTTTTAGGATAAAGTCAGACCCTTAAGGGTGTCTAAAACTCCAAAATATTTCTCAAATCCATCCCTTCTGTATCACTACTATTGCTGTGCTAGCTCAGGTTCTCATCACCTGCTTATCTACCCATTTATTCATTAAACAAATAGATCATCTTGGTAGTATTGTAATGGGCGTGTTTGAGGGGGCTAGGAGAGACAGGAGTGAGCTCAGTTGAGAGGCTGTCATAGAACAAGCTGAACACGAGAGAGTCCTAGGAATAGACGGGAGGAGTCGTATTTGAAATATATTTAAGAGTTGTATTTGAAATATAGTTGAAATATGTGGCAGCACTTAAAGTCTAATTGGGTGTGAATGTCGACGGACTTGTTTCACTCCCATATAACTCCCAAGATTCTAACTTAGGTGACTGGTAAATACCTTCAAGTCCTCACCTTGTTGGCGAGGATAGGTTCAATGATTGAGGCACACTCTAGAGTTCTTTAGCCAGACTAATATTAATCTATTGATAAATATTCTTTGTTTTAACATCAAAATTGCTTTCATTCCATCAAAAAGTGTATTGCTTCTTTATCAGATTCAGTTCTGATACCTTCAAGATCTAAGCAGTAGAGGAGTAGAACAGTTGAGAAATTTACAGGTGCAAGAAATTCATTTGATACAATGGTTAGAACCGGAAATAGAATTGCCTGGGGCTTAGTTTGTATCCCAGTTTACCACTTACCAACTGTAGTTAGCCTCTCTGTAACTTAGCCTCCCCATCAGTAAAGGGGGGATAAAGTGGATAAATCTATGGAGCTTTGTAAAGACTTTAAAGAGGTGATTTATGTAAAATACTTAGCAAAACACCTGGCACCTGGTTTAAAACTCCCCAAATGCTATCTATTATTTATAACTGATAAAAGTCTGTATTTTTTTACATTTTCCAAAATAAAGCAATAAAACCAGGCTGCAATATAAAGAGACTGTCAATGCAATTGTGTATATGTTAAGTTGTTAAACATAGTGTGCAATGGATTACTATTAGTTATTTCTTACCTGTCAGAGAATTTTTATGTGTGATAAAATATACATAATATAAAATACATTATTTTACCATTTTAAGTGTACAATTTAATGGCATTAAATGTATTTACATTGTTATGCAGTCATCACCACTCTTCACCTCTGGAAGTTTTTCATCATCCCCAACTGTCAAAGAATTTTAACCATTATCCTTTTCCAGAGATACTTATAAATGCATTTTGTCTTTTTGGAGATACTCCAAATATTAAAAGTTAACATGCTCTAATTTTGATCTGCCACCCAAATGTGTTTGATGCCTTTCTTATTTTAGGATTCAAAGATATTGGCTTCTACTTCCCAGTTCCCTCCATGGTCCTGGAGACATAAAGTAATTGTGGATGTTTTATATGCTTTGGTTTGAGATTTGATCTGTAAATCAAACCTTATTTGATTTATATATTATTTCCCAGAAATATCTGGGAAGGTATTCTCCCACCTCTTCCCCAATACCTAGGTCATTTAGCCCTCAGTCTATCCATGAACACATTTTCCCAAAGCAAATGCAGTCAGCCCACCAGAAAAGAGACGGAGCTCCAGATCCCAGGATTCTTTCCCTTTAGTTCTTTTGGAAAGATTTATTGTAAAATTTCTATGCTATTCTGTCATTTTCTATGCTATTTCTGTAACTTTCACTGTCTACTCTTTACATTCCCTACCTCAAATCTTCTTTTTCTAATTATCTTCAACATAATATTATTTCTCAAATAGTGCTTGTATTCTTCCATCACATCTACTCTTCCTCCAGTGTTTCCATGTCCCCATAAATGGTAAAATCATTTATCTACTGCCCTGCCTGTGCCAGATGCCTGAATTTAATGGCCAAATGTTGATTCCAACTTTCTTGGCAATGATTGGTCTAGAAATTAGCAAATGACCCAATCTGGCTAACATGAAGTAGAGACTTAATTGGGCTTTTAGGGAAGTCGTTACTTCTACAAACCCTTTTGAAAGTAATCCCTTTCTTCTCCTGAGTATTGTTGCACATAAGAGCCCATCTTGTCCTCAACCATCTTGTCCTGTAACCGTCTTGTCCTCAGCCTGAAGGTTAGGCCGACCCATGGATTTAGGGTCCACTTCAGCCAACTTTCAATCAAGCCAATGCATTTCCTTCGTGTCCAAGCTAGTCTGAGTTGTTTTCTTTGATTTGCTGTGGACGTTGTTCTAACTGATACTTCACAGCACGGGTTACATTTCTAAAAGTACTGTCAATCAATGGAGTAAATTTTAAGTATCTTGGAAATTCACTTGTGCCAATCTACATGCTATTTTTCTATGATCTTTTTTTTCTCACAGGAGTTTGAGTTACCCTAAATCAAGATGGATGCTATGGTGACAGTCCTGTCTGCATTAATTTGAGGAAACTATGTTTCCCATTTGATTCAGTTCTTGGACAGTTATTCTCATGGGTGCAAAAGAATGCATTATTTAACCTCTTGTCTAGAGCATTCTCATATGAGCTATTGCTTGTGCTCCTCCCTTGGCACCAGAGGACAGATTTTCTGAGTCTTGAGGCCTGCTTTCCAGGGGAATTTAATTATGCTGCATATGGCTTAGCCTTGTGAATTTTCTTCCCATATTTTTCTTCAATAATGATGTCTCTGTCCTTTCCACATTCTAACTGCCCATCAACCTAGGGAAAACGAGATGCTGGGATCATGTTTTTTACTTCTGGACTATTTCTTAATAGATAAAGTGGACTTGAACCTTAGGGACCAGATCAGAAAAATTCTGAGTCATTATCTCTTCAAATATGTTTTTTACTCCCATTCTTTCCATCCTGTTCTTCTGGAACTCCAATTAGGTATTTTTCAACTTTGTCACTTTATTCTCAATATCTTTCTATTTGTCTTCAGATTTTCAGCTCCTCTCTCTATGCTACATTCTGGTAACTCCTTCTGATCTTTCAGTTCACTATTTCTGTCTTCTGTTGTGTCTAAACTGCAGTTTAACATGCCCACTGAATTTCTATTTAAAATGACCATATTTTTCAATTCTGGCAGTTCTACTTTTCTGTCTTCTTCAAATCAGCCTGATCTCTTTAAATAATCTTTTGATCCTTTTTCATACTTTTGATAGCCTATTTTATTACTTAAAACACTTATTTCATATTCTGGTCCCATAATTCAAGTGTCTTTGTTTTTGCAGGTCTGATTCTGCCATCTGTTGCTTCTACTGATTGTTCACACTCACAATGACTGTTTCCTCATGGTTTTCTGGTTCTAATGTCAGTTCATATTCGTTGGAACTTTGTCAATAGAAATCATCTGAATCTAGGGTTTAAGATGTGTTTGCCAGAGAAGATTTGGGTCTGTTTCTGCCTGACTTTTAGTGAGACAAAAATCCAGGCAGAATATTTTGGTTTGGAATTTTTTTTTCAGGTCACACAGGAGTGTGAGTTCTGGCCCTAAATGCCTATAAGTTTGTGGTTAGGAGTTTTCCTTTATTTCCTTTCTACCTGAAGCTGTGGTTGTTCTAGGAGGTATCCTCACTCTCTGCTTATACACACAAAAAAACTGAATATGAGTTTTCTATTTCAGGGTCCAAGCCTTATGTGGAGTCTCTCTTCCAACTGCTCATGTTCTGGGTCTTCTAGTACCTTTTCCCTGTGTCTCTCATGTGGTTGTTGAATGCTCAGATTTGAGGACATCAAATGTTCCCTATGGAAAAATACTTCCTATCTCAATGATTTTGCATTTTCTTGACCTTTATAGCCTTAGGAATTTTTTTGTTTTGTCTTATGATGATTCAGCTATGCATTATCAAAAGACATTTTCCATATTTATCCAGGATTTTGAGTCTCTGGTCTTGGGAGGCATTTTCTGGACATCTAGTCCTCTGTGTTTCCTAACCTAGCAGTGCTCATTTTCATATGGCATAATCTTCCTCCAGATTAATCCCATTTAAAATGTCTGTCTAGCTACAGTTTCTTGGGGCTTCTATTCAGGAGTAATCCACAGCAAGGGCCTCAGGTTCATACTGGCCAAATTGCTTAATCACTGCATTGCTGCCTGTGTGACCGGTGATCCCTCAGAGATTACTGCTGTGCTTGGTGACCATTCCTGGGACAAAACACTGCTCTTCCCTTAGCTACTCTTTTTAGGGCATGGCACAGATCTTATCCATTTCTCCACTTCTGACTGAAGGCTTGGAGGTCTGGAAATAGAATACAAGTTATGTTGCCACTAGAGGTGGCACTCACAGGCCTAAACCTAACCTTAGAATTCTTTACCACGTGGGTGATCTACCTGGACATAGTCACATGCTGGAAGCCCTTCTACCTCATCTGGTGTAGTCACGTGCTGGAGGCCCTTTCATCCTCTATCACTGAGTGTACACACCATCTTCATTCTCCAGAATTCAGTCTAAAGGGAGTGACAGCAGCACCCCCTTTACAATCCCTTACTCCCACATTTCACATCTACCTATTGCCCCATTACCTGTTCCAGGATTTCTCCCTTAAAAGGATAATTGATATGGAAATAGCTATTCTGATCAGGTGACTCCCCTTCTCCTCTCTTAAGAATGTAATCTGGCCACATGGGCCCCCAAGACAATAAACGAGTCACTGCATTTTCTAAAGTCAGGTTTTGTATGTTAAGAGCTCCCCCAACTCCTCTTGTGTAAGGCACAAAACAGTATGGTCCAGGCTATGCTAGGCCAAGCAGAGCCCAGCTCCTTTCTTCAGGCTCTCTGATATGGCTTGGCTGTGTCCCCACTCAAATGTCATCTTGAATTGTAGTTCTCATAATCCCCACTTGTCATAGAAGAGACCTGGTAGGAGGTCATTGAATCATGAGGGTAGCTAACCCTTTGTTGTTCTTGTGACAGTGAGTAAGTTCTCACAAGATCTGATGATATACCATTTACCACATCATATATTATTTATATCATTATAAATGATATCATATATCATTTATATCTGATGGTATATCATTTATAAATATATGATATTTATAAGGGGCTTTTCCCTCACTTCGCTCTGCACTTCTCCTTGCTGTTGCCATATGAAGAAGGACATGTTTGCGTCCCTTTCTGCCATGATTGTTAAGTTTCCTGAGACCTCCCCAGCCATGCTGAACTGTGAGTCAATTAAACCTCTTTCCTTTATAAATTACCCAGTCTCAGGTATGTCTTTATTAGCAGCATGAGAACAGACTAATGCACACTCCTTCAGCACAAGGTAAGAAAAGGCTGGCCCTTTATGTCCATCTGCCAGGGCCTCACTTTTGCCTCTTAGATATGGACAAGGACATGTGCATTTTCTATGAAAAATTAGTATAATTCTGAGAGCTAGGACTGCATCTGTGTTTAGAAGGAAAAAAAGCATTCTCTTACTATACAGGGTACCAGTGTTTAAAGTAACTGTTATGCATTTGTTATGGTTAGTCTTTTGTGTCCACTGGCTGGGCCATGGTGCATGGATATGCAGTCAAACATTATGCTGGATGTTTCTGTGAGACTGTTTTTGGATTTATATTTATATTTAATATTTATATTTTGATTTAAATTTGTATTTAAATTGGTGGACTTTGAGTAAAGCAGATTGTCTTCCATGAGGTGGGTGGGCTTCATCCAATCAGCTGAAGGCCTGAATAGAACAAAAGACTGAGCTCCCCTGCGTAAGAGAGAAATCTGCAGCAGATGGTCTTCAGAGTGAACTGCAGCATTGGCTCTTCCTGGGTTTTCAGTCTGCTGGTCTACCCTGCAGATTTTGGCCTTGCCAGTCTCTATAAGTACATCAGCCAGTTCTTTAAAATATATCTCTTTCTCCTTATATATATACATCCTGTGGGTTCTGGTTCTCTGGACAACCCTAATATAGCACTTGGAAATGGAAGATTTCATTTAAGGCTGGAAGCATCTGCATTCTCTCTCTCTGGGATTCCACAATTCTCTTTCCTGGCTTTTCTTTCTACCACGCTAGCCCTCTCTGCTGTCCCCATTTCCTCTATCTGCTCTCTTGATGTTGCGTCTCTTTGAAAGGAACTGTCCTGTTCTGGTTGTCTCCATCTACTCTCTCTCTCCTAAGAGATTTCAGTTAACCTATGGCTCTATGTTTAAGATGCTTCAATCTATATTTCAAACTTTAATCCATTCTCTGAGTTCCAGATGTACGTAGCCAAGTCCCTACTAGACAACTCCATCTGGATATTTCACAACTCCATCTGGATATCTCACAGACTTCTTAAACTTAGCTTTGTCAAAACAGAATTTACCCCCTCCCAGACCAATTAAGTGGTGGTTCATTAACAATACTTGGGCAAGTTATGTAGCCTTTCTGACCCTCAGGGTCCTGGTCCATAAAATGAAGATAATAGTAGTATGAGGATTAAAATAGCAAATACATGTAAAAACACTTAACACAGTGCTTAGTATGTATCATATGCTACACGCTATTGCTCTGTTGTATTTTATTTTTTTCCTTCAATATGCTACAGCTAGATTATAAACTCCATGAGGTCAAGGATCTTTTCTGCAGAGTCCAGAACAGTACCTTGCATATGAAAGGTGCTCATTAAATATTGGCTAAATGAATATAAAAGAGGAAATATACCCAGGTACTAAAACCTAGGATTTATCTTTGATTTTTTTCCTTTTTTTTTCATGCCCTACTGAACCAATTTATCAGTGAGAACTGTTAACCCTACTTCCAAAATACATCTTAAATCTGTTTCACAAGTACTCCCTAGTCCAGAAAACCATCATCACTTTGTTAGACTACTGTGATAGTCTAACTTTTTTGTTTTGTTGTTTCCTGTTTATTATACAATCTGAAATTTGAAACATATTAGGGAAAATGGCATGGGAGAATATAGGTAGGAGGTTGAAACTGAACACTTCTTCTCACCTAAAAGGAGAAAATGATGCCCAGAGGAGTCCACATCTGGGTATTTCTCAATCTAGGCTCTAGCTGGTACCCTGCTGGCTGGGACCAGGTCATGGCCAGCACCTCTATGACATGTTCAGAGCTGAAGTTATGCTTGGTTGTGTTTCTGAGAAAAGATCTGTCTAGGGAGTGGCTTAGCTGCTTCAGGAGCTGCATCATGATTTGCTTCTGGTCCTTACCAAGTCCTGCCCAGGTAAGCCCTGGTTGTCTGCCCAGTGGGGCCAGAGCTGAGAGTACACTCTTTTGTATGGTGAATGGGATTGTGAAGAAATCCCCCAGTGCAGGACAGCCAGCAGAGCATGTCCTGGGGGCCACAGGCAGCCAAGAGGTCTGGGGTCTGGTGCTGGGGTGGGTGCTGAGAGCTGCCTTAGATATTCTGTGGTTTTCTATCTTCACCTCTGGGCCTTTCCCTATCATCTGTTTAGAGTCAGAAGCATCTCTCAAACAGAAGATGCCACCAGCTCTGTAGAACATGTTCCTACAATTTACCTCCTCGAATGCAGCTTTAGGATAGGGAGAGAGAATACGAGAGAAGAGATGCTTTTGGATAGTCTTTCTATTCCTCCTGAAAACTTTATCCCCTTGTCTTGAAATACCTGCTGAGGAGAAAAGGGAGAGGAGAAAGTCTGCCATTTGGCACTAAATAACTTGTTGGACTGAAATGGAATGAGGATAATGGAGTACGTTCTTCTTGGGAGAACATGACTTTAAACATTCTGCTTTAATATCTGATATCATGAAATTGTTTAGCCAGCTTGCAAATGAATGCTTTACCCAAGAGTGTGTGTGGGCAACAGTGAGTCTCAAGGGATGATGGGTTCCATCTGACAATTAGGTGTCTTTGCCACTGTGGAAGGTTGTGGAATCAGCTGCACTTGAATCAAATAAAATTAGTATTTGCTTCAAACCCATTATATGCTCACTATGGTAACAAATATCAAGAGGATGTAAGGATGCATTTTCCATTGTTACTAGAGAGACAAGAGGTATAGGCTGGGAACAACCTGAATTATGCAAAAATAATATGGTTGCATAGTCTATTAAGGTATCAAACTGTGTCTTTCTTTCTCATATCCTAAACCCATCGGAGTTGTTTTTTTTTTTTTTCATACCCTAAAGGCTTCATCCTTATATGAGTCATGAGGAACAAAAGTTGAGATAAGTCTACAATTGGGTGGCTTGGTTAGGTGACCTACTGTTATAAGAAAATTTCAATGTATGTTTCAGGAGCCAGGTTTTCCTCTTTGAGAGCTAGATTAACTGTGTCACAGGCTGGGAAAGAGATGACTGGAAGGTATCCTAAAGGCTTGAGAGCTACAAGAGAAAAGCTGTGAAGCCACCAGAGTTAGGGTGCTGCGTGGAACCTGAGCCGGGCAAAAGTTGTTCTCTGGCTGCTTCCTGGTGAGGACCAGCTATCAACCATAGGGCTCAGCCTATTGTTGTTAAAGAGTCATCTGTATCCCAAGGCTCTGTCTTAGTCTTGTCCAGTCCATTGAGTGGGTATGCCTTCTCTTAGATTTAGATTCTTGGTAACCCCTCCTGGATGGGCAGATGAGATGCTGGGACCCCTACAAGGTGTTAGTAGTGTGAAGGTATAGCTTTGCCCCTAGTCAAGGGGGGACTTACAGAACTTTTAAAATATCTCCCCCTGAGCCAGGAAAGTGGTAGAACACAACACAAGTGTACCTAAGTTCTCAAGGGGTGAATATTATTAGGTGGACATAAGATATAATATCCAACTTGGGTCTGTAATGGTGACGCTGACTATCCCTTGTGCAGACGCAGCCTGAGTCCCCACAGGTTGGGTAAAACAGATCTGAACAACCATCCAAGAGTCAGAAGAGAGGTTTGAGCCATGGGTCTGACAATTATAAGATCTCTGGCAATTCACTTAAATTTCTGGAATTAATTTCCTTCTATATTAAATGTGGATAGCAATTTTAAAATTAACTTATATATGGAATCTAGAACAGTTGAATTTGCAGAAGTAGAGAGTAGAATGATGCTTACTGGGGGCTGTGGGGGTGAGTGGGTGGGAGGGAATAAGGAGTTGGTAGGAGGGTACAATTTCAGAAAGAAAAGAGGGACAGGTTTTGAGATCTGTCACACAGCAATGTGACTATGGTTAATAATAATTTTTCAAAATAAGAGTAAATTTCGAATTTCATCACAAAAATAAGCAAGGTGATAGATGTGTTAATTAGCTTGATTTAATCATTCTGCATAGTTTACATATATGGAAACATCACATTATACCCCATAAATGTATACAATTATGATTTATTAACTAAAAATATTAATAAAACAATTAAAAAATTAAATTGTATCTGTGAAATCACTTTGGGAACTGTACGGCACCTATAAACATAAGTTTTATTAACCATTTCTTCATGTATAAAATGAGGATCTGAATAATATCTAAACTTAAGGAGTGTAGCAAAAGTTAAATAAGGCAACAAAAATATTTTTGAAAGTACTTTGTACCTGAAAGAGCTTTTGTTATTTTTTTTAGTGCATTTGTGGATTTAGTTGATTTCTTGCTTTAGAGAACAAGGTAGCTTTGGCCTAACTTCCTCTTTCCTACTTTCTTATCACTCCACTACCTTCATACTTCTCATACCAAAATATAATAATATTTTTCCTGCTGCATACAGATAATAAGAGAGACTCTGTTTTGCTTGTAAATATAGTTAAAGGAGCTAAATCCTATCTCCTGGTGACTGAGTCTTACCTAAGCAGGAATGAGCACATCTGCACGGACATTTCCCCTTCTGCCATTATTCTATCTATAAAAAAAAGCTGTCCCCTGAGTGGTGATTTGTTTAACCATCATCACCATAACCCATTTATTTCAATGAAACGCACGTTGAATGCTTCAAATGCAACTTTCTACTCAAATTGTGGCAAAATTGTATCAAGCATCTCTTTAGATCAAAATATCCCACTACTTCATTTATTTTAAGTGGCAGAGGCTTCTGGCATTTGCCTTAGCCCTTTTGATGGAGATACTCCCTGGAGGAAATAGTCACACCCACTAAAACACAATGAATAAATAATGATCAAATCACTGAGGCACATCTTAAAGACTCACTATTTTTAATATCTTATAAGCATTTTGTTAAAACAAATGTAAAGCTGGGCGAGGTGGCTCATGCCTCTACTCCCAGCACTTTGGGAGGCTGAGGTAGGTGGTTCAGTTGAGATAAGGAGTTTGAGACCAGCTTGGCCAACATGGTGAAACCTTGTCTCTACTAAAAATACAAAAATTAGCTAGGCATGGTGGCGTGCACCTGGAATCCCAGCTACTCGGGAGGCTGAGGCAGGAGAATTGCTTGAATTCAGGAGGCAGAGGCTTGAATCCAGGAGCCAAGATCATGCCACTGCACTCCAGCCTGGGTGACAGACAGACTCTGTTAAAAAAAAAAAAAAAAAAGAAAAAAAAAGAAAAAAAAAACTATAATGCATAACACAAAGTGTTACATTTTACTTTTTAAAAAAGTCTCATATATAGTTGTATTAGCCTATTTTCATTCCTGAGAGTGAGTAATTAATAAAGAAAAAGAGGTTTAATGAACTCCCAGTTCCAAATGGTTGGGGAGGCCTCACAATCATGGTGGAAAATGAACGAGGAGCAAAGGCATGTCTTACCTGGTGGCAGGCAAGAGAGTGTGTGTGGGGGAACTGGCCTTTATAAAACCATCAGATCTCATGAGACTTATTCACTAGCACAAGAATAGCGTGGGAGATCCCATCCCTATGATTCAATTATCTCCCACTGGGTCCCTCCCAGGACACTTGGGGATTATGGGAGCTACAATTCAAGATAAGATTTGGGTGGGGACACAGCCAAACCATATCTTTCCCCTATGGCCCCTCCAAAATCCTATGTCCTCATATTTCAAAACACAATCATGCCCTTCCAACAGTTCCCCAAAGCCTTAACTCATTTTAGCATTAACTCAAAAGTCCATAGTTCAAAGTCTGATCTGAGACAAGGCAAGTCCCTTCCACTTACGAACCTATAAAATCAAAAGCAAGTTAGTTACTTTCTAGACAATCGAGGTACAGTCATTGGGTAAATACAGTGATTCCAAATGGGAGATATTGGTCAAAACAAAGGCGCTACAGGCCCCGTGCAAATCCAGCGAGGCAGTTAAATCTTAAAGCTCCAAAATGATCTCCTTTGACCCCATGTCTCACTTTCAGGCCACACTGATGCAAGAGTTGGGTTCCCATGGTCTTAGGCAGCTCTGCCCCTATGGCTTTGCAAGGTACAGACCCCCTCCTGGCTGCTTTCATGGGCTGGCATTGAGTGTCTTTGGCTTTTCCAGGTGCACAGTGCAAACTGTCGATGGATCTACTATTCTGGGGTCTGGAGGATGATGGCCCTCTTCTCACAGCTCCACTAGGCAGTGTCCCAGTAGGGACTCTGTGTGAGGGTTTCCACCCCACATTTCCCTTCTGCACTGCCCTAGCAGAAGTTCTCCATAAAGGCTCTGCCCCTGCAGCACACCTCTGCCTGCACATCCAGGCATTTCCATACATCCTCTGAAATCTAGGCAGAGGTTCCCAAACCTTAATTCTTGACTTCTCTGCATCTTCAGGCCTAACACCATGTGGAAACCACCAAGGTTTGGGGCTTACATCCTCTGAAGCAACAGCCTGAGCTGTACATTGGCCCCTCTTAGCCACCGCTGAGACGCAGAGCACCAAGTCCTGGTACCGATTTACTGTATTAGTCTTAGTCCATTTCCATACTGCTATAAAGAAATACCCAAGACTGGGTAATTTATAAAGAAAAAGAAGTTTAATGGACTCACAGTTCCACATGGCTGGGGAGGCCACATAATCATGGCAGAAGGCAAAGGAGGAGCAAAGGCACATCTTACATGGCAGCAGTTAAGAAAGCGTGTGCAGGGGACCTGCCCTTTATAAAACCATCAGATCTTAAGAGGTTTATTCACTAACACGAGAACAGCATGGGAAAACCTGCCCGCATGATTCAATTACCTCCCACCAGGTAATTTGCATGTCCCTCCCAGGACACATGGGGATTATGGAAGCTACAATTCGAGAAGAGATTTGGGTGGGAACACAGCCAAACCATATCAATAGTTAAAATCTTAGATGTAGACTTAATATTTTTGAAGACAAAAAATATAAAATAAAAAAGTAGTTAAATATTTTTCTAGGATCTCTATCAATGCGTTTTACTTTTACATAGTGATTATCAATGTACACAATCCTTAAAGCTCTATTTTCATTCAGGGGTATATTTTCATAAAGCAAGGCTCACTTTTTTTGTTCGATGTTTCATTTCATAATTTGCATGATCGCTGGCTCTATTGAAACAGTTCATCTGGCTATAAAAGAGTCATTTTCTCCTTATTCATTGCTAATCTCCCCATATCCAAATTGTTTAAATAACTGGTTCTCCCCATTACATGAACATCTGAATCACCCTTGGAGATTATGAAAACAAAGAGGTTATTTTGTCTTATACCAGACTTACTGAATCAGAATCCATGGAGGGTCCCTGCTTGTGATTTTGAAAAAGCTCTTCAGGAGATTTTGATGATGGAAATGATTATATTGATCGAATGATATATACTGTGCAGATACAGCTAAGATCAGCTTCAGAACAAACCATTATCTTCTTTAGCTGATGTTTAAGTGCACACACACACACACACACAGAGTTTAATTGTCATGTAATTCTAACTGTGAAAGACATAGTCAGCTCTAGCATACCATATCTTGTTTTGCATATTCTCTGCTAGCCTTACAGGTTTATGCACCTCATATCTGTTAAACTAGATCATAAACTAAACAATTGGAAACTACCTTTTTGTTTCCTGTATATTGCCAGAGTACTCAAGTACTCAGTACAGGGCTAAGCACACAGTGGGGTCTACATTCATTCTTTTTCTTTTTCTTTTTTTTTCTTTGAGACAGTCTCATTCTGTCACCAGGCTGGTGCAGTGGTGCTATCATGGCTCACTGCAGCCTCAACCTCCAGGGCTGAAGCGATTCTCCCACCTCAGCCTCCTGAGTAGCTGGAATCATAGGCATGCACCACTATGCCTGGCTAATTTTTGTACTTTTTGCAGAGAGGGGTTTTCACCATAGTGCACAGGGTGGTCCTGAACTCCTGGGCTTAAGCATCTCTCCTCACCTTGGCCTCCCAAATAGCTGGGATTACAGACAGGAGCCACCGTGCCCCACCCATGTTTGTGTTTTCTTGCTCTTCAACCACCTTTTTCATGGAACCACTCTGTTGTCTTTTCCACTCCTGGCCTTCTAAATGGAGCCAACCTACCCATTCCTACTGGGAAGCAGGTGGTGAAACAGCTGCAGTCTCAGGTGTTTACTCAGGCTCAACTTAGCTTGCCCATGCAACCCTTCCTCTTTTGAGCTAATCTCCCATGATTCCTTCTCTTGGTTTCACAGTTCTTAGAGATTCATTCATTTATTAACTCATTCAGACCTTTAGACACAATTCCTTACATGTCTATGCCAGATACTGAAGATAGAATGGCAAATACCCTATCCTATCCGCCAGTGAGGATCTTGCTATCTGGTGATCATTCTGGGTAAGAGTTCTTTCTTCAGAGAAGGAAATCAGGCAGCCAGTCCTGGATGCTGCATTAGGGTAGAAGTATCTACTTTCCAAGTTACCAAGCCCTAGCTCACATTTTGTTTCTAAAATACTTGAAATTTTTGCCATAAAATGTAAGTACGTTTTTGTGCAACACGCATTGATTTATGCATTAATCTTGTTTCCCCAGCTAGGCTGTAAGCTCCTTGATGGGTCAAAAACAATGTTATTTGTATTCTCTGTAACAAACAAAGTAACATATAATGTGTGGATTTATTGATTTCTGTAAATAAGAGATGAAGTGGCTCTGAGACTTGGCTCATATTCCTGAAAGATTCGACTTGCCTTGTACTGCTCTACATATCCCACCTCCCTCTCTACTTCACTACATTCCAGGAGTCATCAATTTGATCCCTGTCTGTTAGCACCTGCTACTCTTTTGACTCCTTGACTTGCTCTGCAGGCATTCAACAAATCATCAGCTTTTTCTGCTCTTATATTCTGGCAGCAGAGCCCTTTGGAGAAAAGCCACATCATGATACAGATGGGGACTCCAACACACTCCTGGTCTCCATCTTCAGCCGGGAACTCGGCTCTGCTTGGCACACACTGCATGTTTTTTTTTTTTTTTTAATCTCTCATCAGTGTTTGCTCCTGTTCCCAGGGCAGCTCTTTCAGCTTGACACTTCTTTCCTGAGGTCCTCTTCTTACCCACCTTCTCCCTCTCTCTCTGATAATAAATATCACAGAGAGAATGGAGCTTTATGAATGTACACCTCATCTTCCTAGAAAACCTCATCCTCAATCTCTCCCTTTTGTGAGGAAGGAAGTCACATCTCACCTCTTCCATTTTCTCCTGCTGAAGGCCAGTCCCTTCACCTGTACCCTTGGTCCTCTCCTCTCTTGCCTTTTACAGGCTCATGCTCCATCCATTAATAAACTTCTGGCCTGACTCATCAACCCTCCTCTCTATTGGCTATTTCCCTTCAGCATAAATAAGATGCACTATTTTCCACCCTCAAAAATCAACATTGGTTCTCAGTATCCCTTCTATATTTCTCTTTCTGCAGGATGATAGATTAGAAGTTTTAACTGAGGCAAGCAGACAGATTTGAAATGTCAGCGTGAACTGTGAGACAGACCTAGAATGAGTTATGTGACTGCAACCAAGGTACAAAGATGGTACCAGTGGAAATGGGGAGGACTTCCACCAGATTTCTTCAAAAATTCAATATGTGCTTTCTGTAGTTGACCTGGTGTGGGGTGGTGGTGGGGTCAGTTTTAAGCATCAAAAAGAATGTATAATATCTCATATTAATTTTTATATTGGTTACACATTTAAATGATAAATTTTAGATATCTTGGGTTAAAAATGCATCATTAAAATTAATTTTACTTGTTTGTTTTTTACTTTTTTAATGTGGGTACTAGAAAATGTAAAACTAACCATGTAGCTCACATTTGTGGCTTGCATTTGTTGCTTGTATTTGTGGCTTGCATTCTGTTTCTATTGAACATTATGGATCTAGAGGGTAAGAAAGGCTGAGAGAAGGGGATCTCTTGTTGTACTCATATCAGTTTCTATTTCCAGAGTTTTTAAGCATACCTATACATAAGTGTTTCAGACATAGAGCCATACAGGAGAATGATCCTGGAGCTCCTTTGACTGCTACCTAAGAGGACCACCTGGCCAGGCCAAGATAGGATTCTGAAAGGCAGAATCAGAGTGGAGTGGACTCCTGAAAACCAGGGGTTTGTGGGGCAGCAGCCACAGGAGGAAGGAAGGAATTACCTACTTCATAGGAGTGGCCATAAGGGGGGCCCAGCAGAGGAACCACAAACACTCTAAGAGGAAGACTCCGCTTGAAAAATCTCCCAGACCCTACTAGTTTGAAGCTTGGTTACTGAAGTACCAGTCAAGAACTTTCTGGCCCCCTGAATAGCATCTAGTGAGTGGCCAAGGAGGTCAATGTGAACTGGCTGAGCATATTTCGATCTTCGCAGTTTGATTAAGGATTGTAAGGTTAAGGAAGTAGATCTGATCTCAGAGCAGTGGCTGTCTATGATTTTGCTGGCCCTGATCCCTGGTCAATTTGGCTTTGTTATGTAACAAACCACACCCAAAACACAGTAGCTTCAACTTCTGAATACCTCCACAAGACTGATTTGCTTTTCCAGCTTCCATAAATATTTAGTGAATAAGGTTGTTCCCATATCGTTAGATACATAAAGCTCTTGGCACTGTATCTTTATTATTGATTGAGTTATTATCTAGCAACTATTTGCTCTTCAATCCCCTTCTCTAAGGCACAGCAGCAGTTCTCAAATATTTTGGCCTTAGGGTATCTTTTACTCTTTAAAAATTATATATATATATATAATATATATGTGTGTATTAATGTATTATATACAAATCTAAATGTAATAGAAATTAAAACTGAAAAAATTTAAAAGTATGCATTCACTGAGATTCATTGACAAATAATAATTACATGTTAACGTAAATTTTTTTAGAAAAATAAAAATATTTTTCAAAATAAAAAATAATGAGAAGAATAACACTGTTTTATATTTTCAAATCTCCTTAGTGTTTAGCTTAACAGAAATCAACTGAATTCTAAGATCTCTCTCTACATTCAGTCTGTTGTGATATATTATTTTCTGCTTAAGTTTATGAAGAAAACCTGATCTCACACTGGTAAGTAGTTGGAAAAAAAAAGAGAGTATTTTAAATCCTTCTTTGATACTACACCAAAATGCCACTGTATACTCATGGGAGACTGAGGGTAAGCAAATATACACTTTAATACAATTATGAGAAAAATTTTGGCCACAGGGCCCACACTTTGGAAACCATGGGAGTAGAGGATACTTTCTTGTCTCACTGATTTGGTCAGCCAATAGAATGTGTGTGAAAACAGGCCTTAAATGTATCTGCTCAATTTGGCTTGGCTCTTACACTCTTGTGAGCTCCCATGAGCAAAGGAGGTGCTGGGCACTGGCTTGATGTGAGGAGAATGTGGAAATGTGGAGAAAATCTGAATCCAACCCTCAGACTGAAGCCTGGGTCCCAGAGTTCAGCTGAGCCCAGCTGTGTTGCAGTGGACAGATGACCTGTGAGCAAGAAATAAAGGTTAATAATTTGGAGGTGGTTTGTCATGCAGCATTAGTGCAGCAATACAATCTGGTACTTAAAAAAATAAAACCAACCAACCAACCAACAAACAAACATAAAAATCACAGGGTGGAGAATAGATTGGCTTCTCTTCTTTCCATGTCCAGATTATCATATATTTGTAAACTTTCTGGTTGCAAAGGGAAGAAATTAATCTACCACAATAATGATTGTGTTAATTCATCGAAGTCCTTTCCTTCTAGTTTGTTTTGACTTCCTTCTTCCTTTCTCCCCCTCCTCTTATCTTTCCTTTTTTCATTCTTTATGTCTTTTATCTTCTTTGACTACTGAACCTTTCAAATTTGTTGGGCACCAGGAATACAAAACAAATAGGATCAGCCTTCTGATTTGGAGGGGGAAATAGACTATAGACAAATAATGGAGCCCCATGTAAGGGGTCCTGCAGTAAGTTGCTTATAGAAGGTAGTTGTATACAGAAGGTAGAAAAAAGGGAAAGGTCACCTCTGGCTATTCCTCCTCAGAGTCACTGAACACTGAACACAGGGCCTTCCCTGTGCTAGGAGCTGAGGTGAACAAGGAGAGTTCCAGCCCTTGCTCTCTTCCTTCCAACTTTTTGGAGCACGGTAGTTCCCTTCTGTGAAGCCACCACACTCTTATTTTATTTTATTTTTTGGAGACAGAGTCTTGCTCTGTTGCCCAGGCTGGAGTGCAGTGGCAGGGTCATAGCTCACTGCAGCCTTGAAGTCCTGGGCTAAAGTGATCCTCCCACCCCAGCCTCCCGAGTAGCTGGGACTACAGGTAGTGCCACCACTCCCGACTAATTTTAAAAATATTTTTGTAGAGATGGGGTCTTGCTGTGTTGCCCAGGGTAGTCTCTAACTGCTGGTTTTAAACAGTCTTCCCACCTCGGCCTCCCAAATATTGGGATGACAGGCGTGAGCCACTGTGCCAGCCCAATCACACTCTTATCTCAGGGTTCTTCACACACTTTATTCCCTCTTCTGGAAATCTCTCTCTTCCTCTTCACATAGCTACCAACTTTGGGTCCCTTCCCTAGGAAGGACTTCTCTACATCTGGGAGTAAGTTAAATTCCTCTTCTAGTTTTATTCATAGCATTTGATCTATCTTTCACTGTAATGTTTATCATACTTGCATTACTAATTAAATGTCAATTTTTCCTGCTGGACAACTAGTCCAAACCAGCTTTCTCTGGGTTAATGCCCTGTCCCCAGCAACTAGGAAGTAGCTCAGCACAGAACACATAGAAGGGACTGTCAGTAAATATTAAGTGAATTGAACTGAAATGGCTCAGGCCTGTTATGTGTGTGAGATAATAGGCATGTGGGGAGGAGGCAGGGAAGAGAATGTACAGAAATTGCATCAACAATCAGTTCACTTCCTAAGTCCTTGAAGAAAATGCCTAAATTACTACCCAAGTTGATCCCTAAAGTTAGGGGAAAAAAAGAGAAATCCAATTTGGGTCTCCAAAGAGTTGAGCAGCACTGGGCACTGCCGAGAACTCCAACAGCTGGAAAATTCCACTCCGGAGCAGCTGGCCTTACGGATGGCTCATGACGCAGGCAGTGTTTGGCGATAACATTTCCTGGAATTGATGCGTTATCTGCAGCGTGTGCGGCTCAGCAAGCTTGCCTTATTCACAGGAATACAAAAGCCCGTGCAGCGCAGCGCTGCTTTTGTATCGAGCTCATCCTGGAAGGCGAGGCGGGAGGCTGCGCCCAGGGAGTTCTGCGCGCTCCGTTGGCGGCTCACGCAGGTGCTGGGGGAGCAGGAGCGGGGCCCTGCCTGCCCCAGCACCTTGTCTCGATTGTTATCGCGAGGGGTCACTGCTCTTGCCCTGTCCCCGCTATGCTGAAATCCTTTCATTCCTTCTCTTATTTGTTGGACCCAAACAATAACAATACTAAAAACTTTACGTCCTGGCAACCACTAGTCTTCCTGCAGCATCTATCCGACAAATTGAAAAGATTGTTCAGAATGAAAAGGAGTATTTTGCACATGCAACAAATCTTCCTATTTTCAATGAGTTTCCAGTCATCATGGCCACGTGGCCTTGTAGACTTCTATAGAATGTGGCATCACGCGATTGAATAGCTGCAGCCTTGCTAAGACAACAGGGCGGACAAACCTCTGTCTGTTTTTGTGTGGCAAGAACAGTTATTACACTTAAATGGCTGCAGAAAAATATCAAAAGAAAAATGGTATTTCTTCATGAGTGAAAGTTAGTTGAAATCAAATTTCAATGCCTATTCATAAAGTTTTGTGGGAACACAATCATGCCCATTTGTTGGGGGTATTGCTTATGGTCGCTTTCTTGCAGGGTTGAATATTTGGAACAGAGACAGTATGGCTGGCAAATCCTATGCTATTGATTGTCTTGCCCTTTACAGAAAAAAGTTTGCTGACCTCTGCACTAGAGGGATATGGATTTTTTAACTGGCTCAGCCTAAATTTACCAGAGACTTGTTCAAGGGCCCATCTTGTGTTTCCAATAGATTGAATTTATATTCACCCTCTGAGGAAAGATGTGTGGCTGTAGACGTCTCTGCTTGCTCCTGGGCTTTCCTTCTCCACCCTACTTTATATTATGGGGGTGTGTGTGTGATAATCACAGCCCAAAGGAAATGACTGACTGGCTGGGACCACATCACGATCCAGCAGAGAAGGTAGGGCCATGTGCAAATCAGCTGCTTATGAGTGTAGTGGGGCCATCTTTAATGGGGGCCCTTAGATATTCAAGAAAACCCAAGTTCTTTTCTCCTTCCTTAAAGGGACTCTGCTTCCTTAAAGGGACTCTGCTTCCTTAAAGGGACTCACACCTCTCAGAAGAATAATTAAGCAAAGACCTTTGTCTACATTATCTGAGTGCACCTTCAATAGGTCTTGTTGTTGTACACTGTTCTCTATCAGCCTGTCCTTCCCTTTGCCATTGCACACCCACACACAGAATTATGACTCTTTACTTCTCTATATCTTCTAGACAGTGAGTTCCTTGAGGGCAGGTTTTTTATATCTCTGTATTATCAGTACCTGGCAAAGGCAAGGCGCATGGTAGACGCACACAAAATGTCCAAAGAACCAACAAAGTCTACCATGCTTCTCACACAGAGTTACAAATTTTGGGGGGTCCAGGGTGATGTGTGATAAGAAGAACCTACATTATTAATTCACAGATTAAGCATGATGTGGCTTTCTGTGTATTGATTGTACAGGTTGAGCATCCCAAATCCAAAATGTTCCAAAACTTGAAATATTTTGAGTGCCAACATGGCGATCAAAGCAAATGCTGTTTAGGGCATTTCGGACTTGGAATATTCAGATTTGGGATGCTTAACTGGGTAAGTATAAATTGAAAATTCTGAAATCTGGGGAAAAATTGAAATCTAAAACATTTCTAGTTATAAGCATTTCGGATAAAGGATACTCAAGCTATGCTTGAAGATCTATAATAAAAATCATAATTTTTATATCTGAACAGCATGACTGGATCATAGGGTAAAAACTCAGAATGCTTAAAAATGTAGCACAGACTTCAAAGAACTTGATGTGCTTCAAAGATCATGACCATTTTGAGCTCTGCCTCAGATCCCTGGAGTGGAGAGAAGGGGGTAGGTTCAAATTCATTCTCTCCTGCAATTGGAGGTCTTCAGGTGAAATTGTTGGAAAAGGACTAAAGTACTACATTTCTGCAAGTCCTGAACATAGCACTATTACCAGTGGGGTTTTGGCAGTTAGGTCAAGCCTCTTGGTCTATGCAGGAAGCAAGAAAGTGGAAGAGAAAGATCCTTGAAAGGACAAGGCCAACTCTAGTCTATACTCACAGATGCACCATGTGCTTTGTCAGAGAGCCTCCAAGGAGTCCTTTGAGAATCTGCTAAAAGTTATAGACTCTTCAAGAAGTTGCACTGTCTACCATGGTGTAGAAGGATGCAACTTTAACTTAATGTTTGTTATAATCTTCTTTACTGCTGAGCGGGGGAACTTAATTTCAACCAGTTTTAGGTTATTCTCTGACAGTGCGACTAAAGCCTTAGTAACATGGGGAAGGGTGAAAAGTGAGTTCATGCTTAATGAGGCATATGGTCTGAGTTGTTATCTTTGTTGGCATTGTCTTCCACTCCATGTGGTTGTCAGTATTTTTTTCAGCAAGTCACTCCTAAGCAGTTCCTTACTCCTGTCTATTCTTCTCTCTTTCTGCTAATATCCTTGTTCCTTTTTAGTTGTTTTTGTTCCTCAACTCATGCACTGGGCTACTAGAATCTGGATGGAGCAAGCTATAGTTGTTCCCCACTTCTCTGTTAGTCTTGCGGCCCATTGGGGGTCATGCAACATACATCAAACTTTTGCATACTGTTCTCCTGTGCCCATGGAATTCTCAGGTTATTAACCTCTGTCCAAGTCAAAATCTAAAAAAGGGGGTCTACTATTTTCAGAGTGAGTGGAGGTGAGGAAGAAAGGATAAAATGAACCGGGAGGTTTTCTCCTGTTTGAGCTGCCAGTGAAGGGGAGGGGAGAGGAGCAAGTGGGTGCCAGGTTATAGAACATCACTAGCAGCAGGCAACAGCCATCACCCAATCACAGCCACGTGCCTACTGCACTGTGTAATTCTATAGCTCTTTTGACTGGGCTTACAGGCACGCTCTCTCTGAGTGCTATTGATTTCTTGGGGAAAGGAGATCAAAAACAAGCGTTATACTTGGTGTCGTGTGTTTTCTAGGGGAAGTAAATAGATTAGCCAAAATGGACAGACAACATCAGGGCAAAAAGAGAGGAGGCTCCCTGGAAGTGCCTGCCCTGAAATGGGATCTCTTGAAATGATCCACAGGGGAAAAAAATAATTAGGCAGGGCAAGAATTTGTCTTGTACACAGATCAAATGTCACATTTCATTCCATCTCAGCTTTGTGTCCTGGGACTCAACTCTCTCTCTATTGGGTTTCTGTTTGATAGTAGCAGCTCTGCTTTCCTGAATCTCAACCATTCTCAGCTCCCAAGCTGCTGGGACCAATCGTCACTTTGTGCTTCTGCATGTTGCTCTATGGTAGCACTGTTCAATAAAACTTTTTGTGATGATGAAAATGTGTTATGTCTCTGTTGTTGAATACAGTAGCCACTGGCCTCATGTGGCTTTTGAGCTTATGAATTGGAGCTGGTATAACTGAGGAACTGGATTTTTCATTTTATTCAATTTTAGTGAATTTAAATTTAAACAGCCACATGTGGCTGTTTGCTATCATTCTAGACAGTGCAGTTTTAGACTCTTGCAATACAAAAGTGTGAATCAGTAGCATCTGTACCACCTGGGTTTGGGAAGTTGTTAAAAATATAGTGTCTTGTGTCTCACCCCATACCTTCTTAACTAGAGTCTACATTTTAACAAGAATTCTAAGTATAAGGGTGTGCATTAAAGTTTGAGCAACAGTGCTTGAAATGACGAGGTCTCAGGAGAACACATGACATCTGTTGGGGTTACCTAGGTTATACCATGGTAACAGACAAGTCCAAAATCCTGGTGACTTAAAATAAACAAGTTTTATTTTTCACAAATGCTTCTTGTCTATCATGGCTCAGAAGGAGATCTATTCTACATCATTCTCACTCTGGGTCCCAGACTAATGGACCAATACTCTGTAGATCATTTTTTGTTGCCATGGGAGAAGGGAAAACAGGCAGTGTGGTGAAACCTGTCATTCCTACTGACATTTCATTAGCCAAATGAAGTAACATGACCACACCTAAATCTAAGGAGGCAAGGAGGTGCAATCCTACCCTATGCCCAAGAGAGGAAGAAACAGAATATTTGGAGAATTTATTTGGTGAAGAGCACTAATGACTGCCACACACAGCAAGCCTAATTAGAACTTTTTTAAAAAAAATAGCTAATTCTCAGAGCATCATCACCTCAAGTTTTAACGTACAATAGTCTTCTGATTGGTGCCTCTGCCATCCTTTATTCCTTCACATTGCTACCATATTAATCCTCCTAAGGCATAGCTCAGAGGATGCCATTTTTCTGCTCAAACCCTCCCATGATACCTCACTGCCCACCAAGTTAAGTAACCTCCTTTTAGCATGATGTAGTAGAAAGAATGCTACTAATTTATCTGTGCAACCTAGGACTATGTTGCTTAAATTATCTGAATCTCAATTTTCTCATTATTTAAGTTGGAGATAAAAATATCTTCCTTCAAGGGCTGGTCTGAGTCTTAAATGAAATAATGTCCATTAGAGTCCCTAGGGTAGCAGACATTTAGTAACTGAGAGCAGTACCATTCTCTTGAGCTCCTAGAGCATACTGTGCATATCAATACCATAATATTTACCAAAGTCATATTGAAATGACATATCACATGTCTGTTTGTCCTAGTAGACTTGAATTCCTTAAGGGTAGAGTTTATGCCTTTGACTTTGTCACTACTGTATTTAGCACAAGGCCCTGCAACATTTAGCTTATTAAATGTTTTAAACTTTACATCATTAGTCAAGCATGTAGAGCTCTCCCTAGCAAGATGGCCTTAAGTGTGTATACTGCGTGATAACCAAGCTGGACCATTTGCTGCCCATTGAATGAACAACACATTTCTCACATCTCTGCCTTTGCTCATGGTGTGTCTTTTACACTTTTTTCCTTCCTCTACCTAAGACTTTCAAATGGTTACTTATCACTTAAGCTCATCTAAAATGGCACCTCTGCAACTAACATTTTCTGATTTCTGCACCTGAAAACAACATCTCCATTATGTGAACATCCATAGTGTTCAGAAGAGACTTCACACTGAAGGTGATGACTTGGGATTTCTCTGGGAAAGTGATGATCAGGGATTTCTATTGGGAAGACAAGGTTGAAGACAAAAGACAGGGAGGACATTTCAGAGTGACCAAGGTGGGCTTACACATCTACAGAGAGCTAAAGTGTGGGGGAGGTGGGGAAAGAAGGCAGGAATGAGAGGGACAGGCAGGGCCTTAAGGAGACTGGCCTTATAGGCCATGGTGAGGACCTTGACCTTTAATCTGAGCAGTGGAGTTGGCAGTAAGCAGGGACATGATATGACTACTTTTGTGACTTAGAAGAACCAGTTTATTGAGAATGAGGGTCTGATATGAAAAGACATACTTAATCATCGAGCTCTAATTGTCTATGTTGAGCCAATTAGTGTTCTCTCTGTTTTCTGATCACATTTTGGCCTGCCCAATTCCTCTTCTTTATTTATGCCACTTATTTGTTCTAATTATCTACCTATCATTTGAAGACATTTGCATTTTCAACTCCTTTCCTAGGCCTGCATTCCAAGTAAGTATTATCTCCTGATAGCTCAAATGTCTGTCAGTTAAGGATTGCATTTTGCTCTTTACTACAAAGACATTTCTCTGAATAGTGACTTCAGTAAAATAGAAGCTTATTTCTCTCCAATATATGCTTGGAGGTAGGTTTAATGATTTTACCATTTCATCAGGGACTAAGGTTTCTATCTTTGGCCTACAGCATTTATTCTCAAGATTATCTGGTACAAAATGGCTCCTAGCTTCCTTTGGCCTACAGCATTTATTCTCAAGATTATCTGGTACAAAATGGCTCCTAGCTTCCTACCATCACATCTTCATTCCAAGCTGTAGGATGGAGGAAGAAAATAATGCATGCTTTCTATGAGTTCTAGATAATGCATTTACTTATAATCATTGGCAAATACTCAGTTACAGTGCTGCAATGGAGGTGGGAAATATATATTTTTATTCTAAGTGACAGTGTGCCCAGCTAAAATTTAAGATTTCGATTTGTTTTATTTTGTTTTAAATAGCAAGAAAGAATAAGAAACTGGCAGCCTCTACTATGAGACTTATGAGAGTAGAAA
Source organism: Homo sapiens (assembly GCF_000001405.40). NCBI lineage: Eukaryota > Metazoa > Chordata > Mammalia > Primates > Hominidae > Homo > Homo sapiens. The sequence goes on from NC_000004.12 coordinate 18,325,431, forward strand.
ACTGACAGCCTCTGCTGTAGTATATGACTCCAGACTTCATTCTGATGCTTTTTTAAAGAAACTTTATGATTCCATTAGTGCATTTTGTCAAGAGTTCCATCCTACCAAGTCCTATCACTATGTAGTTCTTGTATTTAATGTGAATTTCAATTTATGTATTATTTACATTGTGTGCCTTGATAGATGCTCATCTGATTGTCCAAATTTGACAATTCTTGGTCAGATTCCATCCTTCTTAATCTTTTAATACTCCAGCTCAATGAGAGGGAGAAGAACCAGAAACTACTGGGCAAGCTGAATGCAGAACCTCAAACATACTTGAACAGGCATGCTTTAGTTGATGCCCATCTAGATGAGGAAAACATTCCTTTCTTTGCACAAATTTATTGTCCCCTAAGTGCCCTTGTTTGGGTTGTTTGCTGTCAACCTGGTACCCCTACACCTTCTTCCTAGGGTTTCCTCTGCATTGTGGAAAAAGAATCAAAAACAGGATTTATCCATGTCCCCTTTCCTATACTGCTCCAGTTGCAAAAGAAATAATGCTTGTAAATGTGAAGGGCTACCCCAGTCAAGGGTCATACTCTCAAATACCTGCAGGGGTTAACCCAGTGACATAAATAAATGAAATAGACCAGGATGAATGGGAATTGTGTGTCCAATGTAAATGGGAATCCTCAACTTACTGTATTTGTTAATGTTTGGGAGTGAAATCAGATGTCTCTATTTTTGAAGAATACTTAAAAAATAGATTTTTGGGGGATGGGAGGGAATGTCAGGATTTTAAAGTGATGACAGAACTAGTTTAACTCTTAAAAGACCAAGCAAAACACATTTGCTCATTTATGGGTCTCCTTGAATGACCTTTGAGTTACACAGATACCAATTCTCATTATTTGTAATGAAAGTTGAAAGCTATTGTTTTTAGCTTTCCTGCGAGCTTGCTATCTCCTTGCTTTTGCTAACATGCCTTTCCCCTTGACCAGTGTCTGGCCTATCTTAGTCCCCTATCTAATAGTAAATATTTGACTTCAGTAGAGCTCATCATGTTCTTTCTAGGAATCTGTATGTGGACCATGGGGAAAGTAGGCTATCCTTACTGACTTGTATTGCTCAGTGGGTCTGGTGTAGGCCTGAAGATGACAAGATGGTGGAACTGCATCTATAATGGCAGAGAATGAGGCCAAAAAGCAAAGGCAAGCAGAAGTAAAGGAGATTGGGAGAGTCAAGGCAGCACTCAGCCCACCCACAGTCTTAAAACTCTTCTTGGAATCCTGTGAGTTAATAAAATATTCTCCTGAGCCCTAGGAGCCAGTCAATTCCCTTTTAGTTTGCTCATGCTAATTTGAGCTGGCTTTGTTTCAATAGCACCCAACCAAAAAGACTACAACTATAAGTAGTAATAACAGTATTAGTAGAACTAAAACTTGATTATCCATCAATTCCTTTAGAAAGAAGGCAAAAAGGCTGGGCGTGGTGGCTCATGCCTGTACTCTCAGAATTTGGGGGAGCTGAGGTGGGCGGATCATGAGGTCAGGAGTTCCAGACCAGCCTGACCAACATGGTGAAACCCCGTCTCTACTAAAAATACAAAATATATTAGCCATGCATGGTGGTGCTTGCCTGTAATCCCAGCTACTCAGGAGGCTGAAGCAGGAGAATTGCTTGAACCCAGGAGGTGGAGGTTACAGTGAGCTGAGATTGCACTAGTGCCCTCCAGCCTGGGCAAGAGAGTGAGACTCTATCAAAAAAAAAAAAAAAAAAAAAAAGAAAGAAAGAAACAAGGCAAAAGAAGTAAATTTTTGTATTCCAAAGAATTTTCCTTGGACTACAATTTTTTTCAAAGGGTTTAAGAACTGTAGTAAGAGAGTTGGTATTTGGACTAGTGGAATGATAAGTATAAAATGAGACTTTTTATCTTATTAGGCACTGGTCCCTCATATGTTCTCTCCAGTCCATCATCTCTTCATGACTCTTGTTAGAAAATTTTCCATTGTGTGAACAGTTCCATAGATTTTTATTCTCCCATAAGAGAAACCAAGAGAACAGGTCTGGAAGAAAAGATTCAGTAGGTGCTGCATTATGTGTCTGGGATAAGTACCAATTTGATGAGAAAATGAAAAATAATTTCTCAAACAGCACTTTCTGAGATGTCATGTGTGATGTATACAACTAAATAGGTATATTTGTCTTTTGCTAAATATAACTTAATAGCTCTTAAAACTAAGCTATGAAGGGAGAATGAGAAGATGTAGAATAATATGTGGGATTCATATTTGAGAGAATATAAAGGCAAAACATAATAAAAAGTGGAAATGCCTCTCACTTAGTATAATAGGAGATTATCTAGGCCTGGGAGGTTTAGAGAAATGATACAGTGGTAAGAAAAACTATACATTAACTTCATGACACTTCATAGGGAAGTCGTGATTTCTGAACATGTGCAGTTACTTTTACTATAAATACTATCAGAGTGATCAGAGATTTGATAGAGGAAAACATCTTCCCCAGACATAAGCGAGCATCTCCCTGGGAGCACAGTTTCCAAATGGTCTTCAATGATGGCTGCACTCTCCTTAGACATTCTTTAGGATGTCTCAAGTGCCTTCTCCATTCAAGCCCGTGACTTCTTGAAGTCTTTAGACGTCACTGGATTTGGAAACTTGGGTGTCAAAACAGAGCTGAACCAGTACATTCTGTGGGTGCTTGGGTTAAAACTAAACCTCTCAAGATACAGCACCCTAATTAGGATTGTTTTTGTGAAATTGGTCACATTAATCTCTGTCTCAGTTAATTATGCAATAACATTTACATGCCTGGAGGCCAATTTACAATTCTTGCTCAGACTTCCCTGAAAATGTGCCACTATGCTCTGAAAACAGTGCCAAGACATTAATTGTAAATCAATTATTTTTGAAGTGGGGGTGCTGTTATAATTCCTAGTCTGGTTTTCCCACACATTAGAATATAAGAAGTAGTCCCTGCCATTCTACCCATCCCATGATACTAGACAAAATTTTGTATTAAAATTTCAAATTTTACCTGACTTCCCTCCTGAAAAAGTTCCTGTATCTTCTCCAGTCTTCACATTATGGAGGTCTACTGGCAATGTGTTGGATTAGATATAATCTTGAGACATATTCTAAACTCTTCCCCTGGTCCAAGAATAACTATGCTTAAATAATCCCAAAAGGTTGTTGGTTATGTTATTAATTTTTTCTAAAAGGAGAAGTTCCACAAGTTTTATGATAATATATTTTAATTTATCATAACCTTGAGATTCAGAGGATCACTGAGTCTGGGAGGAGAAGAATTTTTAGCTCATTTATTCAAGGCTTCAACCTGAGGCAGAAATCTCTTCTTCCATGTCTTTTATGCTTTCATCTAGTTGGGAAATACTTATTTAGTGTTTAGGATGAGTGGGGGAGTGTGCCAAGTTTTGCCAGAGACCCTAAGGTAAGATAAGCTCTGATAATTAGGGATTATAGTCTCATAGCAATTATGCTTCACATTTGTAAGTATATTAGCAGATGAACAGGGATGGATAGCATAGTAGAACTAGAAATAGATGGAATGCTAAAGGAGTTTCAGGGTGGGAGAGATTTATTTTGGCTGATAAAATTAAAAAGTATAGAGGAAGTGGCTTTTCAGCTGAGGCTCAAAGAAGTGGAGTAAGGTTTGAACTTACAGGGATGGGAGAGAAGAAAATTCCACATGGAGGGATCATGTGTGAAAATAAAGAAGTTAGGTGTGGTTTCATCATCAAACATGATTAGAAGGGTAACTTGTTGGAATCATGGTTAGAAGGTTACATATAGAGAGGTGGTTTTCTACCAGGTCATTGAGTCATTTGAAAGGCAGCCAAAATATGTTGTATGCTAGTCTGCAGGAGCAGAGGAGCCTCTGCCTATTTTCAAGCAAGGAAATGGCATGACCAAATTGTATTAGAGGAAGATGGCTGGGGTCCAGGGAGGGTACTAAATGTCAGGTGGATTGGTGAGCAAGGAGACTAGAGTCAGGGAACAAGCTAGAGTTTATTACATGGTTCAGGTAAGGGGTAATTAGAGATGAAACTAGAAAAGTAGCTAGAGTAACCGTAAGAAGGGGATAGGTGTTCAACATATGGGATTTAATGACTGAGTAATTGTGGAGGGCAAGGGAAAGCAAGAGACAGAAGTTACCTTAGCAGTTTTTATCCAAGTACATGGGAAAGTGGTTATGCTGAGGAGGAATAAAAAGTTTGGTGGAGGTAATGGTGGAAGTTGATATAGTATGCATGAGAATCTGGAAGCATATCAAGGTGAAGATGTCCAGGAAACAATGGAAGATATGAGAATGAAATTAGGTAAAAGTATCAGCGGTATAAGCAAAGACTTCAAAATCACTCATGTAGAAATGGCATTCAAAGCCATAAAAGGACAAGAGGTCACCCAAGAAGTGTAGGGTATAGAAAGGAAGAAAAGAGGGACAAAGCCAGATTTGGTTGAAGGAACTCATACATTTAGGAGGAAGTGGGAGCTCCAAGAAGAGTGACTATGACATAGACAAGGAACAGTTACAGAGGAAGGAAGATAATCAGGAATATAATATATAGGGTAATGAAACACAAGTGAGGTGAGAGCTTCATGAACCAGGGCTTGTGCTCAGTCTGAATTGTCCCAGGAAGATCAACAAAGCTAAAGTTGGGGAGAAATCCAGTAACTGTTAGATAAAGTAGCTATATGGTCATTTCAGAGAACCCTTTTTGGAAAGTGTTATTGCTATAAATCTGATTGTAAGGTCTTAAGGAAATAGTCGAGATATCTGTTCAAGATGGGGCAATGAGCTCATGCTTTTTTTCCCCCAGGGATATAATAATAGATTTCTAAAAAGTAAGAAAAGACTTAGTGAGAGGTTCTAAACACAAGGCCAGTAAAAACACACAATGTTGATGACAGTTGTAGCTCAAGCTTCTGGACTTTCTATTCTAAAGCAGGAGGTGGATCTGGGACCTTGGTTTCTGAAAATATGCTTCTTGTGTGGGAGAGAGCAGTGCTATGGCCACCGATGAAGGTTTCACAGTCTCCACCACTTGCCAAAGGAGACAGGAATAAAAAAATGTCTCATAATGTAGGATTGGCAATTGGCTTAAAAAATCTGTGGGCTGTGAGGTAGGGAAGAGTTTAGGAAGTGGAGGCGGGAGCAGAGGTTCAGGATGGACAGACACAGAAAGCCTTATGACTAAGAACTGGGTTCCAACTGCCATCTGGGTTTGTACCGCAATGACAAACATAGACAAGAAGTATATGAGTGTAAGCAGCTACAAAACCACATACACACATGGCAGTAAAACAAACACATTTTAAAACATCTATTCACTCCAAATAAGTGTGTAAACAGAATTTTAAAACAGATGGAAAAAATGCTGAAAAGGACAAATGATCAAAATTTTAAAATCAGAACACAAATTTACTCCCAATGAAATTATTTTGTAAACTAGTCTGACAAAGACTTTTGGATAGTGTATTTAAGACATTCCAAGTAAAAAAAAGAAACAGAATATACACCATCTATTAAAAATGAACAAATGAGCTAAAGAAATACATGCAAAAAAACCTACCATATGATTGATTTTATAAAGTTTAAAATCAAGCAACTCTCATGTGGTTTTAGAAGTCAAAATAAGGATAGTGGATATTTTATAGAATGAGAAAGAGCATGAGTGTGAGTTGGCATAAGGAGGCGTTTGAGGCAATTTTGGGATGGTAATGATATTTTATTTGTGGATTAGGTTGTTATAATTTATTGACTTATATATACTTATGATTTATGCTCTTTTCTGAATGTATGTTATAATACAAAAAATATTTTAAAATGGGAAAAGAGCCAGGTGCGGTTGCACATCCCTGTAATCCCAGCACTGTGGGAGGCCAAGGCAGGTGGATTGCTTGAATCCAGTAGTTTGAGACCAGTCTGGGAAACACAGTGAGTCCCCATCTTTATAAAAAATTGTTGTTGATTAAAAAATTTTTAAAAAAGAAAAGAAATAGTGTAAGAACTAATGAAAAGAAATAATGAAAAAACTAGGCAGAAACTAGAAAGAACAAGTGGCTTCATAAGTAAATCTTAGGAATTAAAAGTATAGTCATTAAACTGACTAAAAAGTAGAAAATTATGTGGGGTTTTATGAGTTCCATAAATAACACTCCTCTCTACACCACTGTGTTTGAAACAAATTTTAAGATGGATTCAGAAGCCAAATAGACTGAGATTAAGAGTGAATTTCATTAGGTGGAAGAAGGCCACAATTATTATATTATTATATATATTATTATATAATATATAATATAATATATATATTATATTATATAAAAATTATATTATTCCCTTTGTATGAAATGATCAGAATGGACAAATCCACAGAGACAGGAATAGTTTAGTGGTTTCCAGGGGGCTAGGGGTGAGGTGTGATTGCTAATGGATAGGAGGTTTGATTGGGGGTACTGAAAATGTTCGAGAAGTAGATAGTGAAGATGGTTGCACTATTTTTTGGATATGCCACAATGAACAAATTAATTGTGTACTTTAAAGGGGTGAATATTGTGGTTTATGAGTTATATCTCAATTTTAAAAAGAGTAAAAAAGGAGTTTTGTCACTGATACAAAAACCGTTGGAGGACAATGCCAAACTCATGACAAACGAGTTTGCTGATGTTCCCTGCCTGCCCTATCTCTAGCTTACCCCTACCCAAGAAAAAGTTTAGGGTGATAGACACATTTAGAATTGCTGCCTCACACCAGTTCAGAATGTGGATAGAGAGATTGAATCCCTAGCACTTACAGTCTTTTTAGTGGATTAGCCCCATCCAAAGAATGTAATATAAAGTTCAGGTCATCATCCACCTATCGGGTCAGAGGAGTAAGTAAGGGGTGGAGCAAAAAGAAAGTATGTGTTTATCCACTGATCTGTTGATGAACACTTAGGTTGATTCCATATCTTTGCTATTGTGAATAGTGCTGCAGTAAACATGGGGGTGCAGGTTTCCCTTCGATATACTAATTTCCTTTCCTTTGGATAAATACTCAGTGTGTTACATATACAGAATGGAATACTATCCATCAATAATAAAGAATGAAATTATGTCATTTGTAACATGTATAGAATTGGAAGTCATTATGTTAAGTGAAATAAGCCAGGCACAGAAAGACAACTATTACATGTTCTCAGTCATATGTGGGAGCTAAAAAAATTTGATCTCATGAAGAAAGTAGAATGATAGTTACCAATAGATGGAAAGGTTGTTTATGTATAGGGATGGTGTATTAGGCCGTTCTTGTGTTGCTGTAATGGAATCTATGAAACAGGGTAATTTATGAAGAAAAGAAATTTAATTGGCTCACAGTTCTGTAGGCTGTACAAATGTGGCACTGGCATCTGCTCAGCTTCTAGGGAGGCATCAAGGAACTTTTTTTTTTACTCATGGCAGAAGGTGAAGGAGTAGGCACATCACATGGTAAGAGCAAGAGCCAGAGAGATAGGGGGAGGTGCCACACACTTTTAAACAATCAGGTCTCAGAAGATCTCACTATTATGAGAACAGCACCAAGCCATGAGGGTTTTGCTGCCATAACCCAAACCTCTCCCACCAGGCCCCACCTCCAACTTTGGAGAGTACATTTTAACATGAGATTCGGGTGGGACAAATATCCAAACTATATCTTCCCACTCCTGGTCCCTCAAATCTCATGTTCTTCTCACATTCCAAAATACAATAATCTATTCTCAATAGTCCTCCAAAAGTCTTAACTCATTTCAGCATCACTCAAAAGTCCAAAGTCCAAAGTCTCATCTGGAAATGAATTTCTTCCACCTATGAGCCTATAAAATCAAAACAGCTTATTTACTTCCAAGATACAATGGGGTACAGGCTTTGGGTGAACATTCCCATTCCAAAAGGCAGAAACTGGCCAAAAGAAAGGGGCTACAGCTCCCATGCAAGTCAGGAACCCAGCAGAGCAGTCATTACATCTTAAAACACCAAAATCAGCTTTGAGTCCATGTCCCACATCCAGGGCACAGCCCTGAGAGGCAGGAACTCCCAAGGCCTTTGGCAGCTCCACCTCTATGTCTCTTCAGGGTGCAGCCCCATAGCTGCTCTCATGGATTGGAGTTGAATGCCTGCAACTTTTCCAGATGCAGGGAGCAAACTGCCAGTGGAGCTACCATTCTGAGGTCTGGAGGATGGTGGCTTTCTTCGCACAGCTCCACTAGGCAGTACCCCAGTGGGAACTCTGTGTGGCCTGCAAACCATATTTTCCCTTCACACTGCCGTAATAGAAGTTCTTGTGAGGGCTCTGCCCCTGCAACATGCTTCTTCCTGGACACCCAGGATTTCTCATATAGCCTCTGAAATCTTGGCAGAGACTGCCAAGTCTCTATCACTCTTGCACTCTATGCACCCACAGGCTTAACATCACACGAAAGCCACCAATGCCTGCACCCTCCAGAGCAGTGGCTTGAGCTACACCTGGGCCCCTTTTAACTGAGGCTGGAGCTGGAGTAACAGGCATGCTGAGTGATATGGTTTTTGTCCTGTTCCCCAACCCAAGTCTCATGTTGAATTGTGATTCCTAATACTGGAGGCGGAGCCTGGTGGGAGGTGATTGGATCATGGAGGTGGTTTCTAATGGTTTAGCACCATCCCCCTAGTGCTGTCTCATGATAAGAGTTCTCATGAGATCTGGTTGTTTGAAAGTGTGTAGCTCCCCTCAACCCTTGCTTTGCTCTCTCTCTCTCTCTCTCTCTCTCTCTCTCTGTCTCTTTCTCTCTCTCCTTCTGGTCATGGGAAGACATGTTTGCTTCTCCTTCGCCTTCTGCCATGACTGTAAGTTTCCTGAGGCCTCCCCAGCCATGCCTTCAGTACAGCCTACAAAATTGTAAGTCAATTAAGACTCTTTTATTCATAAATACCCAATCTCAGGTAGTTCTTTATAGCAGGATGAAAATGGATTAAAACAGAAAATTGGTACTAGGAGTGGGGCATTGCTATAAAGATACCTGAAAATGTGGAAGCAACTTTGGAACTGGGTAATGGGCAGAGATTGGAAGAGTTTGGAGAGCTCAGAAGAAGACAGAAAGATGAAGGAAAGTTTAATTGTTGTGTCCAAAATGCTGATAGTAATATGGACTGTGAAGTCCAGGCTGAAGGTCTCAGAGGGAGATGAGAAACTTATTGGGAACTGGAGTAAAGGTCACTCTTGTTATGCTTTAGCAAAAAGACTAGTGGCATTGTGCCTCTGCTCTAGAAATCTGAATCTTTGAATTTGAAGGAGATGATTTAGGGTATCTGGCAGAAGACATCCTAAGCAGCAAATCATTCAAGTTGTAGCCTGGCTTCTTCTAAAAGCCTATGCTCATCTGCATAAACAAAAAAGTTATCTGAAACTGGAACTTATATTTAAAAGGGAAACAGAGCATAGAAGTTTGGAAAATTTGCATACCCAACCATTTGGTAGAAAAGAAAAACCCACTTTCTGGGAAGGAATTCAAGCTGGCTGCAGAAATTTGCATAGGTAAAGAGGAGCTGAATGTTAATAGCCAAGACAATGAGGAAAATGCCTCCAAGGCATTTTGGAGAACTTTGTGGCAGCTCATCCCATCACAGGCCTGGAGGCCTAGGATGGAAAAATGGTATCATGCACCAGGCTCATGACATACTGGGGATTACATTTAAGCATGAGATTTGGGCAGGATAAATATCCAAATTATATCAGTTGGGATGAATAAAGGTTGATTAGTGGGTACAAATATACAGTTAGGTAGAAGAGATAAGTTCTAGTGTTTGATAGCATATTAGAATGACTATAGTTAACAATAATACATCATATATTTCAAAATAGCTAGAATATTTGAAATCTTTCCAACACAAACAAATGCTTGAGGTTATGGATATACTAAATACTCTGTTTTGATCATTACACACTGTATGCATGTATCACAATACACATGTACCCCATAAATATGTACAAATATTATGTGACAATAAAAGAACAACAATAACAAAAAAGAAAGGATGTTATTTTTTAGCAGACATCCTTTCATGTAGATATCTGAGGAGGTGGGGACAAATGTTACTTCCTAACAAAGTTATCTCTAGACCGGGTACCATGTGAAAATTAATGAATTAAAGATAGTATTGAGAAATTCACTTTGTGTGAAATACTGTTTTATTATTGTGAGGAAACTGCAAAATATCACAAAGAAAGGAAAATATTAAAGCTATGACAAAGAAAATACAGACTACCTATAAGAAAACAGCAACTGGACTCACAATAGACTTTTCAATTAGCAAAAGCAGAAACCAGAAAACTATTAAGTACAATTGCAAAATGTCAGTCAAGATTAATCACACAGCCAAATTATTATCCAGTAATGAGGGCAAATAAATATGCTTTTAGAGATATAAAAGTACAAGAGTTTACTACACAGAGATTGTCAATATAAGAATTTTTAAAATATGTTATAGAAAGTAGAATAGTAAGTACAGTTGGAAGCTCTGGGACACAAGGTACAATGGAAGACATTGAAAGTAATAAACTGTTGACAATTTTCATTGAATTGACGTAAAATAAATAAAATAAAGAACCCAATATTGTTGATAGCATACAATGGAAAGCACCAAAATTAATAAACTGTGTTGAAAAATTTCACTGAGTTGACATAAAATAAATAAAATAAAATACCCAATATTGTTGTGTTTTTCTTACAGGTAAAACTAAGTGGGAAAGGTATTTGATAACATGCTAAAATCCTTGTGTCTGGGAAAGACAGATAAAATATTGTGATCTTTAGATCATTCAAAAATGTGTAGTTAATTCTATATACTAAAAAGTTAACTAAAAGTATAGAAGTAAAATCCACGGGTAGAACACAAGGGTCATGCAAAAATGTTTATTCACCTAATAGAGGCAAGGTAAGAAAAGGAAAAAATATATATAAAGAAGTGAAGAAAATGGTTGGTAAACTCCAAATACAAGTAAGATGCAGAAATAATTCCAAATATATCAGGCATTATGGTATGTGTAAGTAGACTAAGCCTTCAAAATACAGAGATTACTAGATGGATACAAAACCTAAATCCAGCCATATGCTGCTGATGAAGGACATCACAAAACAAATCACACAGAGAGGTTAAAAACAAAAAAGAATGGAAAATATGCTAAGTAATTTAGCAATATTAATATCGTACAAAATAGATTTAAAGTATTAATAGAAAAAGAAAAGAACTGTGCAAAAAACAATCCTCTAAGAAGTAAGAATCACAATCCAGTTGTATATAATGGCATATCCCTGAAAAATGAAAAGTAAAAATAAACAAAATTTTAAGGAGAGGTGGGAAAATCAACAATTTTAACTGGAGATTTAACACGTAGCTATCAGATATTTACAGAATAAGCTGAAGAGGTGTTTGTAATAATAGAGAAGATTTAAGAGATGTTTGTAATAATAGAGAAGATTTAAGCAACACAATGTAAAAAGCTAACTCTAATGGAAAGCATAGGACTCAGTCAAACAAATAGAGAATATTAAATGCCATTCAAGTACACGTGGATTATTTACACAATGATCACATTGGGACAGAAGGGAAGTCACAATAAATTTTAAAGGTCAGTATAATAAATTCTATGTTCTTTAACCAAAAGACAACTAAACTAGAAATCAATAATAAAATATTTAAAAAACAGTCCCCATAGTTTTAGAAAAATAAAATGATACCTTAAATACTTAATGAGCTAAAGAGTAAAAGCCAATAAGAATTACAAAATATTGGAAAGATGTCCAAACAATAATTCTCTCAGTTCATTTTATTTTTAAAGTAATTAAAATTTTTTTTTATTTATTCTTAAAACATCCCAGGATACATGTGTAGAACATGGAGCTTTGTTACACAGGTATACGTGTACCATGGTGGTTTGCTGCACCTATTGACCCATCCTCTAAGATCCCTCCCCTCACCCCCTACTCCCCAACAGGCCCTGGTGTGTGTTGTTCTCCTCTCTATGTGTGTGTTCTCATTGTTCAACTCCCACTTATGAGTGAGAACATGCGGTATTTGGTTTCTGTTCCTGTATTAGTTTGCTGAGTATGATGGCTTCCAGCTTCATCCTTGTCCCTGCAAAGGACATGATCTAATTCCTTTTTATGGTTGCATAGTATTCCATGGTGTATATGTACCACATTTTTTTTATCCAGTCTATCATTGATGGGCATTTGGGTTGGTTCCATGTCTTTGCTATTGTAAATAGTGATGCAATAAACATACATGTGCATGTGTCTTTAATGATTCTATAATCCTTCGTGTATATACCCAGTAATGGGATTGCTGGGTCAAATGCTATTTCTGGTTCTAGATCCTTCAGGAATTGTCATACTGTCTTCCACAATGGTTGAACTAATTTACACTACCACCAACAGTGTAAAAGCATTCCTATTTCTCCACAGCCTCGCCAGCTTCTATTGTTTTCTGACTTTTTAGTAATCATTGTTCTGGCTGGCCTGAGATGATATCTCATTGTGGTTTTGATTTGCATTTCTCTGATGATCAGTGATGTTGAGCTTTTTTTCATACGTTTGTTGACGCATAAATGTCTTCTTTTGAGAAGTGTCTGTTCATATCCTTTGCCCACTTTTTGATGGAGTTTTTTTTTTCTTGTAAATTAGTTTAAGTTCCTTGGAAATTCTGGATATTAGACCTTGGTCAGATGGGTAGATTGCAAAAATTTTCTCCCATTCTGTAGGTCACCTATTCATTCAGAGGATAGTTTCTTTTGCTGTGCAGAAGCTCTTTAGTTTAATTAGATCCTGTGTGTCAGTTTTGACTCTTGTTGCTTTTGGCGTTTTTGTCATAAAGTCTATTCCCTGTGTCCTGAATAGTATTGCCTAGGTTTTCTAATAGGGTTTTTATGGTTTTGAATTTTACATTTGTGTCTTTGATCCATCCTGAGTTAATTTTTGTACAAGGTGTTAAGGAAGGGATCCAGTTTCAGTTTTCTGCATATGGCTAGCCAGTTTTCCCAACACCATTTACTGAATAGGAGATCCTTTCCCCATTGCTTGTTTTTGTCAGGTTTGTCAAAGATCAGATGGTTGTAGATGTGTGGTGTTATTTCTGAGGCCTGTGTTCTGTTCCATTTTTCTATATATCTGTTTTGGTACCAGTACCATGCTGTTTTGGTTACTGTAGCCTTGTAGTATAGTTTGAAGTCAGGTGGTGTGATGCCTCCAGCTTTGCTCTTTTTGCTTAGGATTGTCTTGGCTATATCGGTTCTCCTTTGATTCCATGTGAAATTTAGAATAGTTTTTTTCTAATTCTGTGAAGAATGTCAATAGTAGTTTGATGGGAATAGCATTGAATTTATAAATTACTTTGGGGGGTATGGTCATTTTCATGATATTGATTCTTCCTGTCCATGAGGCTGGAATGTTTTTCCATTTGTTTCCTCCCTTATTTCCTTGAGCAGTGGTTTGTAGTTCTCCTTGAAGACATCCTTCACATCCCTTGTAAGTCGTGTTTCTAGGTATTCTATTATATTTGTAGCAACTGTGAATGGGAGTTCATTCATGATTTGGCTCTCTGCTTGTCTGTTGTTGGTGTAAAGGAATGCTTGTCATTTTTGCACATTGATTTTGTATCCCAAGACTTTGCTGAAGTTGCTTATCAGTTTAAAGAGTTTTTGGTCTAAGATGATGGGGTTTTCTAAATATAAAATCATGTCATCTGCAAACAGAGACAGTTTGAATTCCTCTCTTCCTATTTGAATATGCTTTCTTTCTTTCTCTTGCCTTATTGCCCTGGCCAGAACCTTCAATTCTGTGTTGAATAGGAGTGGTGAGAGGGCATCCTTGTCTTGTACTGGTTTTCAAAGGGAATGCTTTCAGCTTTTGTCCATTCAATATAATATTGGCTGTGGGTTTATCATAAGTAACTCTTATTATTTTGAGATATGTTCCATCAATGCCTATTTTATTGAGAGTTTTTAACATGAAGGGATGCTGAGATTTTTCAAAGTCCTTTCATGCATCTATTGAGATAATCATGCGGTTTTTGTCATAGGTTCTGTTTATGTGACTGATTATGTTTATTGATTTTCATATGTTGAACCAGACTTGCATCCCGGGTATGAAGCCAACTTGATCATGTTGGATAAATATTTTGATGTGCTGCTGGATTTGTTTTGCCAGTATTTTATTGAGGATTTTTGCATCGACGTTCATCAGGGATATTGGTCTGAAGTTATATTTTTTTGTTGTTTCTCTTCTCTGTTTTGGTATCAGGATGATGCTGGCTTCATAAATGAGATAGGGAGGAGTCCCTCCTTTGGAATTGTTTGGAATAGCTTCAGAAGGAATGGTACCAGCTCCTCTTTGTATTTCTAACAGAATTCAGCTGTGAATCCGTCTGGTCCTGGGCTTTTTTTGGTTGGTATGCTATTAATTACTGCCTCAATTTTAGAAGTTGTTATTGGTCTATTCAGGGATTTGACATCTTCCTGGTTTAGTCTTGGGAGGGTGCATGTGTGTCCAAAAATGTAGCCATTTCTTCTAGATTTTCTAGTTTATTTGCATAGAGGTGTTTATAGTGTTCTCTGATAGTAGTTTGTATTTCTGTGGGGTCAGTGGTGATATCTTCTTTATCATTTTTTATCGTGTCTATATGATTCTTCTCTCTTCCCTTCTTTATTAGTCTAGCTAGCGACCTATCTATTTTGTTAATTTTTTTCAAAAAACCAGCTCCTGGATTCATTGATTTTCTGGAGGGTTTTTTTGTGTCTCTGTCTCCTTCAGTTCTTCTCTGATCTTAGTTATTTCTTGTCTTCTGATAGCTTTTGGATTGGTGTGTTCTTGCCTCTCTAACATTTCTAATTGTGATGTTGGGGTGTCAGTTTGAGATGTTTCAAGCTTTCTCATGTGGGCATTTAGTGCTATAAGTTTTCCTGTTAGCACTGTTTTAGCTGTGTCCCAGAGATTCTGCTATATTGTCTCTTTGTTCTCACTGGTTTCAAATAACTTATTTGTTTCTGCCTTAATTTTGTTATTTACCCAATAGTCATTCAGGAGCAGGTTGTTCAATTTCCATGTAATCGTGTGGTTTTGAGTGAGATTCTTAATCCTGAGTTCTAATTTGATTGCACCGTGATCTGAGAGACTGTTATGATTTCAGTTCTTTTGCATTTGCTGAGGAGTGTTTTACTTCCAATTACGTGGTCAATTTTAGAATAAGTGCCATGTGGTGCTGAGAATAATGTATATTCTGTTAATTTGAGGTAGAGTGTTCTGTAGACATCTACTATGTCCGCTTGATCCAGAGCTGAGTTCAAGTCCTGAATATCCTTTTAATTTTCTGTCTCATAGATCTGTCTTATACTGAAAGTGGGGTGTTAAAATCTCCCACTATTATTGTGTGGGAGTCTAAGTCTCTTTGTATGTCTCTAAGAACTTGTTTTATGAATCTGGGTGCTTCTGTATGTGGCACATATATATTTAGAATAGTTAGCTCTTCTTGTTGAATTGTTCCCTTTATCATTATGTAATGACCTTCTTTGTCTCTTTTTTTTTTTAATCTTTGTTGGTTTAAAGCCTGTTTTGTCAGAGTCTAGGATTGCAAATCCTGCTTTTTTTTTCCATTTGTTTGGTAAATTTTCCTCCATCCCTTTATTTTGAGCCTATGAGTGTCTTTGCACGTGAGATGGGTCTCCTGAATACAACACACCAATGGGTCTTGACTCTATCCAATTTGCCAGTCTGTGTCTTTTAATTGGGGCATTTAGCACATTTACATTTAAGGGTAGTATTGTTATGTGTGGATTTGATCCTGTCATCATGCTGCTATTTGGTTATTTTGCACACTAGTTGATACGGTTTCTTCATAATGTCATTGGTCTTTATATTTTGGTGTGTTTTTGCAGTGGCTGGTAACAGCTTTTCCTTTCTATAATTAGTGCTTCTTTCAGGAACTCTTGCCGGGCAGGCCTAGGAATAACAAAATCCCTCATCATTTGCTTGTCTGGAAAGAATTTTATTTCTCCTTAACTTATGAAGCCTAGTTTGGCTAGATATGAAATTCTAGATTGAAAATTATTTTCTTTAAGAATATCAAATATTGGCCCCCAATCTCTTCTGGCTTGTAGTGTCTGCTGAGAGGTCCACTGTTAGTCTGATGGGCTTCCCTTTGTAGGTGACCTGGCCTTTCTCTCTGGCTGCCCTTAGCAGTTTTTCCTCCATTTCAATCTTGGAGAATCTGATGATTATTTGTCTTGGGGTTGATCTTCTCATGGAGTATCTTAATGGTGTTCTCTGTATTTTTTGAATTTGCATGTTGTCCTGTCTTACTACATTGGGGAAGTTCTCCTGGATAATATCCTGAAGTGTGTTTTCTGGCTCGTTTCCATTCTCCCCATCTTTTTCTGGTATTCCAATAAATTGTAGGTTCAGTTTTTTTTATGAAGTCCCATATTTCTTGGAGGCTTTGTTCATTGCTTTTAATTCTTTTTTCTCTAATCTTGTCTGCATGCTTTATTTCGGCAAGGTGGTCTTCAAACTCTGATATCTTTTTTTCTGCTTGGTCGATTCAGCTATTGATACTTGTGTATGCTTCATGAAGTCCCCATGCTGTGTTTTTCAGCTCCATCAGGTCTTTTATGTTCCTCTCTAAACTGGCTATTCTACTTAGCAATTCCTCTAACCTTTTGTCAAGGTTCTTGGCTTCTTTGTGTTGGGTTAGGACATGATCCTTTAGCTCAGCATAGTTTTTCATTACCCATCTTCTGAAGCCTACTTCTGACGTTGCGATCATTTGGAGGAGAAGAGGCACTCTGGTCTTTTGGGTTTTCAAAATTTTTTCATTGTTTCTTTCTCATCTTTGTGCATTTGTCTAGTTTCGGTCTTTGAGGCCGCTGACCCTGGGATGGGGTTTTTCTGGGGGCTTTTTGTTGTTCTTGATGCTGTTGTTGTTGCTTTCTGCTTGTTTGTTTTTCTTTCAATGGTCGGGTCCCTCTTGTGTAGGGCTGCTGAAGTTTGCTGGGGGTTCACTTCAGGTCCTATTCATCTGATTCACTCGCATGCCTGGAGATGTCACTTAAGAAGCCCGGATAACAGCATAGACAGGTGCCTGCTCCTTCTTCTGTGATCTCTGACCTCGAGGGGCACCAACCTGATGCCAATAGGATTGCTCCTGTATAGGATGTCTGACAACACCTGTTGGAGGGTCTCACCCAGTTGGCTGGCACAGGGAACAGGACCCATTTAACAAAGCACTGAGTCCGTTGGTGGAGGGGGTGTGCCTTGATGGGGGGAAACCCACTCATCTGGGCTGCCTGGATTCCTCAGAACTACCAGGAGGAAAGTCTAAGTCTGCTGGTCGGCAAAGACTGTGGCCGCCCCCTCCCCTAGGGGCTCAGGCCCAGGGAAATCCAGGTTCTGTCTCTGAGCCTCTGGCTGGAGTTACTGGAGTTCCTGCAGGGAAGCCCCACCCAATGAGGAAGGATGGGTCAGGGTCAGGCCTAAAGAGGCCCTCTGGCTGCTGACTGCCACAGCCGGTGTGTTGGGCTGTGGGGACAAATCTTGACACCAAACCGTCCAGCTCCCTGGCTCCAGCAGGGGAAAAGCACAGCCTGGAGCCATAGAGATGGATGCCGCCCTTCCCCTGCCCAGGGAGCTTAGCGTGTTAGGCACTTGAGAGTCCCAGTACTGGCTGCTGCCCCCTCCCCCAAGGAGCTCAAATGGCTTAGACAGCAGGCAGCTGCAGTGGAGGAGCTGGTTGTCCCTCCCCATGGGAGTTTGGTAGGCTTCAACAGATTCCAGCAGAGAGGCTAAGAGTCTGCGCATTCCCCGGCTAGGCCCCAGTGGCATGGGTTTGCCAGTGAGATCGTCCAATCCATGGATTGCACAGTTCTGTGGAAAAAACATGGTTTCCCTAGCTGGGTAGCATGCTCACTCACCACCACTCACTCTCAGGTGGGCCGCCGCACCACACTGTTCTTCTTTCTCTCCATAGGTCACACCAGTCTCCTAGTCAGTTCCGATGAGAGAACCTGGATACCTTGGTTGCCTGTAAAGGATTCACGTGTTTATTATGGTTTTCTTCAATGGGAGCCTCTGAACGCTGCTGTTTCTAGTTGGCCATCTTGGCCCCGCTCCCCACATTTTTTATTTATTTTTATTTTTTGAAACAGAGTTTTACTCTGTTGTTCAGTCTAGGGTTCAGTGGCATGATCTCAGCTCACTGAAACATCTGCTTCCTGGGCTCAAGCGATTCTCCTGCCTCAATCTCTCAAGTAGCTAGGACCGCGGCCGTGCACCACCACACCCAGCTAATTTTTGTTTATTTTGTAGAGATGGTGTTTCACCGTGTTGCCCAGGCTGGTCTTGAATACCGGGGCTCAAGCAATCCACCCATCTTGGCCTCCCAGAGTGCTGGGATTACAGACTTGAGCCACTGCACCAGGCCTAAACTCATTTCTTAGTAAATAAATGATTAAACATAAATGAATTATTTGAACCAAAAGCTAAAAAAAAAAAAAAGGTGAACTTAATGTAGGTACAAGAAAATAATGCAATAAAAAACAAACAAAAAATTTAAACATAAAATAAAGGAACTATAGAAAGAGCGAGGAAAATCCAAATACCATTCTTTGACAAAAACTAATAAAGTAGATAAACCCCTAACAAGACTGAAGAACAAAAAGGTATAAAAGAATAAACAAGCGTATGTAATTATGTATAAAATAGGAATTTAAAAACAACAGAAATCATATAAGCATATTTTTGCTACAAAAGTAAATTTCAACACTTAAACAATTTTCTAGAAAAATATATTTAAAACACCAATCTGAGTCAAGAAGATGTGGAAAACATAAATCAAAAGATAGTTATCCAAAACTGAGACCAATAATTAAAATTCTTCCCCTCTTCCCCTATTAACCCAAGTTCCCATTACCCCCACCACACAAGGATCACAGTCACCTGTCTTTTGGCCCAGATTGTTTTAACAAGGACATTATACCAGTCATTTGAAGAACAGACTATCTCCATCTTAAAAAAAAAAAACAACCATTTCAAAGAATTAAGGTTGAGAGCTCTTCAACTCATTTTGTGACAATTTGTAATTCTGATATTCAAACTAGACCAAGAAAGTAAAATAAAATAAAATTATAGATCAGTTTCACTTAAGAGTACAAATGCAGAGAATCTAGATAAATTATAAACAAACGGAAAGGGCCACATATATGCTTTTATGTATATAAATGTCAAGTGATTATTCCAGTAATGTATCTATATGGGAAAATTAAATAATGTAATTCATCATATTAACAGATTAAAAGGAAATACCATATGATCATCTCAACTGATGGATACACAGTCACAGTTATATATTAAATTATACTATTTATTTAAATATTATATTTAAAATATTATAAATCAAATCATAACTATTACAATATTATAATACATTAAAGACAGCCAACTGAAAATCAATGGAAATGTCCCTAAATTGTTTATTTCCATTAAAAATGTATAACAAATATTATGCTTAATGGTAACACTACAATCATTCTTACTAATATCAGAAAAAAATAAGGCAAATTTTAGTTGTTCCTGTTATCATTATATTAGAAGTTATATCTGATGCAATAAGCCAAAAATAAGAGAGAGATTTGAAGGGAGCAGAACAAATATTCTTAATCACGGAAAACATGATTGTCTCTAAAGTAAATCCAAAAGAATCTATAAACTATTAGAGATACTAGAATTTAACAAAGTTGTCAGATAGATAGGGGAGCAATGTGCAAACATTAACACCATCCTAAACACCAGAAAACACAAAGTAAAATATGTAATAATATGTAATATGTAACATATTGTAATGTACCAAGGGGTACATTTAACAAAATATATTTAATATCTTTATGGAGAAGATTGCAAATATTTCTGAAGGTCACAAAAACAGGAAGAAATTGAGAGATATACAGTCACTCCCTGATACCTGCAGGGGAATGATTACTGGACCTGCCTTGAATACCAAAATCAACAGTCCCTCTAGTAAAATTGTGTAGTATTTGCAAATAATCTATACACATTCTCCTGTAAAATGATCTCTAGATTACTTATAATTTAATACAATATAAATGCAATGTAAATAGTTATACTGTACTTCTTAAAATTTTCATTTTTTATTGTTGTGTTGTTATATTTTTCCAAATATTTCCAATCTGCATTTGGTTGAATCTGCAGCTGGAGTAGCCATGGATAGGAAGGGCTAACTATATTATGTTCATGGCTAGAAAAATTACGTCAAGTTATCAGTGCTCCATAAGTTATTCTAAACATTCAATGAAATTCTACTTAAAATTATAATTTTTCATGGAATTTGATAAGCTTCTCCTAAAACCCATATGGAAAAAGAAAGGGACAAGCATTGTTAAAACACAATTTTTGAAAAAGAAGATGGCAGATTGTTTTCTTTTTCTATTTTTTTTTTTTTTTTTTTTTTTGAGACGGAGTCTCGCTGTCTCCTAGGCTGGAGTGCAGTGGCGCAATCTCGGCTCACTGCAAGCTCCGCCTCCCGGGTTCAAGCCATTCTCCTGCCTCAGCCTCCTGAGTAGCTGGGACTACAGGCGCCCGCCACCACGCCTGGCTAATTTTTTGTATTTTTAGTAGAGACGGGGTTTCACCATGTTAGCCGGGATGGTCTCGATCTCCTGACCTCATGATCCGCCCGCCTCGGCCTCCCAAAGTGCTGGGATTACAGGCGTGAACCACTGCGCCCGGCCAGCAGATTGTTTTATAGACATCGAGAATGACTATAAAACCATAATAAATAAGAAATAAAGCATTGGTTAAGAGATAGACAAATGAATCAATAGAACAAAAGAGGTCTATGCATTTGTGGAAGGTTGATATGTGGCACAAGTGGCATTAAAAAGTGGTGGCGAAAATTTATTTGAAAAAAAAAAAAACTATCAGAAAAAATAATCACAGTCAAATCCCTACCACACACAATACATAAGATGATTAAAGAAAAAATGTGATAAGCAAAATGTTTAAATGTTTAGAAGAAAATATAAATCATTCTATTACAAAGATATATGCACATGTATGTTCATTGCAGCACTATTCACAACAGCAAAGAAATGGAACCAACCCAAATGCACATCAATGATAAACTGGATAAAGAAAATGTGGTACATATACTCCATGGAATACTATGCAGCCATAAAAAGGAATGAGATCATGTGCTTTGCAGGTACATGGATGGAGCTGGAAGACATCATCCTCAGAAAACTAATGCAGGAACAGAAAACTGAACACTGCATATTCTCACTTATAAGTGAGAACTAAACAATGAGAACACATGGACACAGGGAGGGGAACAACACACACTGGGGCCTGTTGGGGGTGAATGGGAGGAGGGGGAGCATTAGGATAAATAGCTAATGCATGCTGGGCTGAATACCTCGGTGATGGGTTGATAGGTGCAGCAAACCATAATGGCACACATTTACCTATGTAACAAACCTACACATCCTACATATGTACCCCAGAACTTAAAATAAAAAAAATTTAAAAAAGAAGAAAATTTAGGAGCAAATCTTTATAACTTTGGGTTAGGAGAATATTTCATAGAAAAACAAAAAAACGGCCAGGCGTGGCATCTTACGCCTGTAATCCCAGCACATTGGGAGGCCGAGGTGGGTGGATCAACTCAAGGTCAGGAGTTCGAGACCAGCCTGGCCAATATAGTGAAACCCTGTCTCTACTAAAAAAATACAAAAATTAGCTGAGCATGCTGGCGGGCACCTGAAATCCCAGCTACTCAGGTGGCTGAGGCAGGAGAATTGCTTGAAGCTGGGAGGCGGAGGTTGCGGTGAGCTAAGATGGCACCACTGCACTCCAGCCTGGGCAACAAGAGCAAAACTCCATCTCAAAAATAAATAAATAAATAAATAATAAATAAAAAATAGAAAGGAAAACAAAAAAGCACAAAGTATAAAGGAAAAGGTGAGTAAATTTGAGTATATTAAAGTGAAAAAATTTTAATCTAAGCTAGCATAAATTTAAAAGACAAGTCACAGACTAGGTGAAGATATTTAAGACATATATGTTACAAAGGTTTAACCTCCAGAATTTATAAAGAACTCCTACATACCTGTAAGAAAAGACAAACACTTCAATAGGATAATGGATAAAGAAAATAAATAGTCGTCCACAGAACAGGAAATGTGGCCAAGAGACTTAAGAAAAAGAGGTCAAGCTCACTAGCAATCAGGGAAATGCAAAATAAAACAGTAATGAAATACCCTTTCAGAGTTATCAGATTTGGAGGAAAAAAAAACCATAACTCCAAAATGCAGGAGTTGGTGTGGAGGCTTGGTTTAACTCCCATAATATTGTTAAGGATGGAAGTAGGAGGTATAGCCACCAGTTCAATTTATTTGGAAAGCTATGTAGCAGTGTTTGGTGTATTTGAAATATGCCTTATCTTTGTCCAGGTTCCCTAGAGACTGATTCTGAAATGAGAATCTGTGCTTTATTAAGTGATCTCAGGGGAGGCTAGTAAAAGTGCAAGAAAGCAGGACAGGGAAGGGGACTAAGACAACTAACAGTGAGATCTCAGGCAAAGTCCTGTAGAGTTGTCTTCACCCTGATCCCAGATGGGAGCTCTGCAGTGAAAATTACTCCTCAAAATTGTTCAGAATAGAAGCAGGGGAGTTTTATCTTTCTTTCCTTCCACCTGCCCCCCAGTTACCGGTCAAGAGCAGATGAGATGGATGAGCAAATGCTTCATATTTCAGGGTCTGCCTACAGGCAGAGAAAAGATTCAGATGCTCTGTATAAGATTTCATTTCTAACATCTGGGATTGAGGGATAACATAATAAATGGTGAAAAAGACTTGGGTAAAACATGAACAGTGTTAACAGTGTAATACATGTCTACACCACAGTCCAGCAATTCAACTTTCAGGTATATACACAATAAATCCTTGCTCATTGTACACCGTACGGTTTTCTATAATGGCTGTACCAATTTACATTTTCATCAACAGTGTGCAAAGATTCCCTTTTCTTCTAAACCTTGGAATGCTTGTTATTTCTTGTCCTTCCAATAGTAGCCATTCTAACAGGTGTGAGGTGATATCTTGTAATGGTTTTGATTTGCATTTCTCTGATGATTAGTGTTGCTGAGCACTGTTTCATATACATGTTGGCCATTTGGAACAATGTCTATTCAGGTTCTTTGCACACTTTTAATTGTTATTGATTGATTGCTATTTAGTTGTGTGAGTTTCTTACATATTTTGGATATTAACCCCTTATAAAGTATATGGCTTGCAAATATTTTCACCTATTCTATGGGTTGCCTTTTCATTTTGTTGATTGTTTCCTTTGCTGTGCAGAAGCTTTTTAGTTTGTTGTGCAGAAGCTTTTTAGTTTGTTGTAATCCCATTTGTCTATTTTTGCTTTAATCGCCTGTGCTTTTGGGTTCATATCCAAAAAGTCATTGCCAAAATTAAATGTTAACTTTTTTTCCCTATGTTTTCTCCCACGAGTTTTATGGTTTCAGATCTTACATTTAAGTCTTTAATCCATTTTAATTAATTTTTGTGTATGGTATAAGAAAAACATCCAACTTCACTCCTTTGTACGTGGATATTCAGTTTTCCCTACTAAATTCTTTATTGTAACTCTTATTTCCCCATTGTGTATTCTTGATGTCTTTGTCAAAGATTGGTTGATCAGATATGCATGGGTTTATTTCTGAGCTCTCTATTCTGTACCATTGGTTTATGCGTCTGTTTTTATGTCAGTACTCTATTGCTTACATTACCATAATTGTAATATAGTTTGAAATCAGGGTATGTGATGTCTCTAACATTGTTTTAGTTCTCAAAATTGCTTAGACTATCTTCGTTCTTTTTTGGTTTCATATGAATTTTAGGATTGCTTTTTCTATTTCTGTGTAAAATGCCGTTGGAATTTTGATAGTGATTTCATTGAATCTGTAGATTGTTTTGAGTAGTATGGATATTTTAACAGTATTAATTCCAATCCATGAACATGGGCATTTATTCTCCCAATTCATAAACATGGCAAAGCTTTCCATTTATTTGCATCATCAATTTCTTTCATGAGTGTTTTGTAATTTTCAATGTACAGATCTTTCACCCCCTCGGTATTTTATTCTTTTTGATGCTATTGTAAATGGGGTTATTTTTAAAATTTCTTTTATGGATAGTTCACTGTTAGTATATAGAAATGCAACTGATTTTTATATGTTTATTTTGTATTCTGTAACTTTTCTGAATTTGTTTATTAGGGTTTTTTCCCCTATATTCAGTCAATGTGGATGTTTATTAGTTTTAATAGATTTTTTGGCAGAGTCTTTAGGGTTTTCTATACATAAAATCATGTGATCTACAGAGATAATTTACTTCTTCCTTTCCAATTTGGTTGCCTTTTATTTCTTTCTCTTGCTTAATTGCTCTGGCTAGGAATTTCAGTACTATGTTGAATAGAAGTGGCGAGAGTGGGCAGCATCTGTCTTTTTCCTGATCTTAAAGGAAAGCTTTCATCTTTTCACCACTGAGTATGATATTCCCTGTGGGCTTGTCATATATGGCCTTTATTATGTTGAGATACATTTTTTCTATACCTAATTTGTTGAGGTTTTATCATGAAAGGATATTGAATTTTGTCAAACACTTTACCTGCATCAATTGAGCTGATCATATGATTTTTGTTCTTCGTTGGGTTAATATGGTATATCACATTAATTGATTTGATTTGTGCATGTTGAAACATCCTTGTATCCCAGGCAAAAGTCTCAATTAATAATGGTGTATGATTCTTTTCATGTGATTTTTAAATTTCATTTGCTTGCAGTTTTTTTGAGGATTTTTGCATCTATGTCCATTAGGAATAGTTGCCTGTGATTTTCTGTTCTTATCCTTACCTGGCTTTGATATAATCATTCTGGCCTCATAAAATGTGTTTAGAAGTGTTCTCTTCACTTTGATTTTTTTTTGGAAGAGGTTGAAAAAGATTGGCATTAATTCTTCTTCAAATGTTTGGGAGAATTTATCCATGAAGCCATCTGATTCTACCTTTGTTTACGGTTGGGAGGTTTTTGATTACTGATCTAATATTTTTGTTATCTACCTGTTCAGATTTTCTATTTCTTTATGACTTATTCTTGGTAAATTATGTGTCTAGGGATTTATCAATTTCTTCGAGGTTATCTAATTTGTTAGTATATAATTTTTCATAGTTATCTCTTATGATCCTTTATATTTCTGTGGTATCAGTTGTAATGCCTCCTTTTTCATTTATAATTGCATTTATTTTTTATTTTTAAATTTTGTGGGTACATAGTAGGTGTATATATTTATGGGGTACATGAGGTGTTTTGATATAGACATGCAATGTAAAATAAGCACATCAGACTTCTGAGAAGTGTCTATTCAAATCTTTTGCTCATTTTTTTATTGGATTATGTATTTTTTCCTATAGAATTGTTTGAGCTCCTTATATATTCTGGTTATTAATCCTTTGTCAGATTGGTAGTTTGCAAATATTTTCTCCCATTATATGGGTTTTCTCCTCATTTTGTTGATTGTATCCTTTGCTATGTAGTAGCTTTTTAACTTCATGTGATTTGTCCATGATTGCTTTAGTTGCTTGTGCATGTAGGGTATTGCTCAAGAAACTTATGGCCAGATCGATGTCCTGGAGATTTTCCCCAATGTTTTTTTCATAGTAGTTTTTGAGGTCTTAGATCTAAGCCCTTTAATCAATTTTGATTTGATTTTTGTATATGGCAAGAGATGGTGGCCTAGTTTCATTTTTCTGCATATGGATACCTAGTTTTCTGGGCACCATTTATGGGGAAGACTGTCTTTTCCCAGGATATGTTCTCGGCACCTTCAACAAAAGTGATTTTTCTACAGGTGTGTGCATTTGTTTCTGAGTTTTTTTAATTCTGTTCTATTGGTCTATGTGTCTGTTTTTATGCCAGCAACATGCCGTTTGGGTTACTATAGCTCTGTAGTATAATTTGAAGTCAAGTGATGTTATTTTTCCAGTTTTGTACTTTCTGCTTAAAATAGCTCTAGGTATTCTATGCCTTTTGTGGTTCCATATAAATTTTAGGATTTTTTTTTCTCCTTTGTGAATAATGCAATTGGTATTTTGATAGGAATTGCATTGAATCTGTGGATTGCTATGGGTAGTATGAACATTTTAACAATATTGATGCTTCCAATCTGTGAACGTGGAATATTTTTCCATTTTTTGTTGTCCTCTTCAATTTCTTTCATTGGTGTTTTATAGTTGTCATAGAGATTTTCACTTCCTTGATTAATTCCTAGGTATTTAATTTTATATGTAGCTATTGTAAATAGTATTCGTTTTGTATTTCTTTTTCATGTTTTTCACTGTTGGCATATAGAAATGCAATTGGTTTTTGTATGTTAATTTTGGTATCCTACAACTTTACAGAATTTGTCAATTCTAATAGTTTTCTTGTGGAGTCTTTAGGATTTTCCAAATATAAGATGATATCATCTGAAAAAGAGGATAATTTGACTTCTTTCTTTCTAATTTGGATGCCCTTTATATCTTTCTCTTGTCAGATTGCTCTAGCTAGGACTTTCAGTACTATGTTGAATAACAGTGGTGACAATGGGCATCCCTGTCATGTTCCAGATCTTAGAAAAAAGGCTTTCAGTTTTTCCTCCTTTAGTATGATACCAGCTATGTGTTTGTTGTATATGGCTTGTATTATGTTGAGATACGTTCCTTCTATGTCCAGTTTTTTGAGGGTTTTTAATCATGAAGTGATGTTGAATTTTATTAAATACTTTTTCAGCATCAATTGAAATAATCATATAGTTTTTGTTTTTCATTCTCTTGACATGCTATATCACATTAATTGATTTGCATACATTGAACCACCCTTGCATCCCAGGGATAAATCCCACTTGATCATGATGAACGATTTTTCTAATGTATTGTTGAATGTGGTTTGCTAGTATTTTGTTGAAGATTTTTGCATCCATATTCATCGGAGATATTGGCCTGTAGTTTTATTTTTTTAATGTGTGTTTGGTTTTGGTATCAGGCTGATACTGGCCTCAGAGAATGAGTTTGAAAGTATTCCCTCCTCCTCTATTTTTCAGATTAGTTTGATAAAGATTGGTAGTTTTTCTTTAAATGCTTTGGTAGAATGCAGCAGTGAAGCCATAAGGTCCCAGACTACTCTTTACTGGGAGACTTTTTATTATGGCTTCAATCCTTTTACATGTTATTAGTCTAATCAGGTTTTGGATTTCTTCCTACTTCAATCTTAGTAGGTTGTATGTGTCTAGGAATTTGTCCACTTCTAGATTTTTCCAATTCATTGGCATATAGTTTTTCACAGTAGCTACTAATGATCTTTTGAATTTCTGTAGTCTCAGTTGTAATGTGTCGTTTTTTATTTCTGATTTTATTTATTTGTATCTTCTCTCTTCTTTTTTTAGCCTGGAATTTTTGAGCTCCAGGATTTTCACTTGATTCTTTTTTAATAATTTTAATCTCTTTGTTAAATTTATCTAATATAATTCTGGATTCCTTGTCTGTGTTACTTGAATTTCTTTGAGTTTCTTCAACATGGCTATTTTGAATTCTCTGTCTGAAAGGTTACATTTCTCCAGGATTGGTCCCTGGTACCTTATCTATTTCATTTAGTAAGGTCATGTTTTCTTGGATGGTGTTGACACTGGTAGATGTTCTTCAGTGTCTAGGCATTGAAGTGTTCAGTATTTATTGTTTCTGATTTCGGGAGCACCCTGAGACCAGTAACACTGTGGTCCTTGCAGACTTGTGGAGGTACCACCTTCATGGTCTTGGACATGATCCAGGAGAATTCTCTGGATTACCAGGCAGAGACTCTTGTTCTCTTCCCTTACTTTCTCTCAAGCAAATAGTCCCTCTATGCTCTGAGACACCTAAAGCTGGGGGTTAAGTGACACAACAACCCCTGTGGCTGCCACCACTATGAATGTGTTGGGTCAGACCTGAAGCTAGTATGGCACTGGGTTTCACCCAAGGCCTACTGTAGCCACTCTCTGGCTACTGCCTATGTATACTCAAGACCCCAGGGCTCCACAATCAGCAGTTGGAAAATCTAGCCATGCTTGTGTCCTTTTCTTCAGGGCAGCAAGGTCCCGGGGGCCCCAGGTGGGTCCAGAGTGCCATCTGAGAGTTAGGGACTAGTGTCAAAACCCTTAGAAATCTACCTGGTGTTCTATTGTATTGCAGCTGAGCTGGCACTCAAACCACAAGAATCAGTCTCCCCACTCTTCCCTCTCCTTTCCAAAAGCAAAGAAGCTTCACTCCATAGCCGCCACCACCTCAGGCCATGAAGAGTACTACCAGACTACCACTGATATTCTCTTAAGGCCCAAGGGCTCTGAAATCAGCTTGTGGTGAATGTTGCTTGGTCTGGAACTCAATCATCAGGGAAATGGGCCCCCCTCCAGCCCAGGGCAGGTCCAGAAATGCCATCCAAGTGTCAAATCCTGGAATCAGGGGGTCCCAAGAGCCCTCTTGTTATTCTACCCACCTGTTGCTGTGCTGGTACCTAAGGTGCAAGATAAAAGTATGTACCCTTTACTTTTCCTTCTCCTTTTCTCAAGCAGAAGGAGTGTTGCCCCATTGACACCACAGCTGATAAAGTGCTGAGTCTCACCTGAAGCCAGCAAGTCTCAGAAGCTCACTCAAAGCCCCCTACATAGTACCTGGGTATCACTGAAAGAGCTCTTCAGTTAACAGGTAATGAATGCTGCCAGAACTGGATTCTTTCCTTCAAGGCAGCAGGTTCCCTTCTGGCCCAGAGTGTGTCTGGAAATATTGTCTGTGAGCTAGAGCCTGGGACTGGGGCCTAATAACTTTGACTGGTGACCTATTGTGCTGTGGCTGAGCTTGTATCCCAGATGCAAGACAAAGTCCTCCCCACTTTTCCCTCTCCTCTCCTTAAGTGGAGGGAAGGGGTCTCTTTTGGAGCCACGAGATTAGCCGTGCATCCTGGGGTTAGGGGAGATGTGATGCCAGTACTCCCTTGGCTTCCCCAGCTGGTGTCTCAGTATGTCATGTGCCCCTCCTCCAGTCCACTGTCTCTGGGCCTAGTTCAGCACTAGGACTAGCCTAAGACTTGAAGTACTTATGGCCTAGACTGCCTTTCAAGTTTAGTTAGCAACTGAACACACTTTGGCCCTTGGTGGCAAGGTTTGCAAGGAACTCAAGTTTGGACCACTGGGATCAGTAAATCACCTCTGGTTAGGACTGGTTTAAGTGCTCCCTCCGTGAGTGAGTGTCAGTTGAGTTTGGTCTGGTTTTCCTTTCTGCTCTAATGAACAGCACTGAGTTAAATGCCTCACAGTTGCTGTGTCCTCCTTCCCCCGGTGCCTAGAGAGGCTCTTTGCACCATGCCGCCACTGCTGGAGTGTGTGAGAGGGGTGGTGTTGGCGATTCCAGACTGTTTTTTCTATCTCTTTATTGCTTCTTTCAGTGATATGCAGTTAAAACCAGGTACTCTAAGTGCTTACTTGATTTTTGTTTTTTATGAAGGTGTTCTTTCTGCGTAGATAGTTGTTAAGTTGGTGTTCTTAAAAGGGGGACAATCAGTGGAGCCTTCTATTCCACCATCTTGCTCCACCTCCTAATTCTATAGTTGCATTTATTTAAGTCCACTCTTATTTTCTTGGTTGTCTAGCTGTTTCTCAATTTTGTTTATCTTTATAAAAGACCAACTCTCATTTTTATTGATATTTTCTATCATATTTCTAGTCTCTATTTCATTTATTTCTGCTCAATTTTTTTTATTGTTTTCTTGTTTCCACTACTTTTGGACTTAGTTTTTTCTTCTTTTTCTAGTTCCTTAAGATGTGAAGTTATATTGTTTATTTTGGATCTTTCTTTTTCTCTTAATGTAGGCATTTATTGCTATAAACTTCTTCCTTAGTGCTGCTTTTGCTGCATCCTAAAAGTTTTGATATGTTGTGTCCCTAATTTCATTTGTCTCCAGATACTGTCTTATTTCTCTTTTGATTTCTTCTTTGCCACATTGGTGTTTGGGAGTGGGTTTTTAAATTTTCATGTATTTGTGAATTTTCCAAGATTTATCCTGTTATCAATTTCTAGTTTTATACCATTGAGATCAGAAAAATTAACTGAGATGATTTCAATCTTAAATTTGTTAAGACTTGTTTTGTGTCCAAACATATGACCTATCCTGGAGAATGTTACATGTGCCCTTGAGAAGAAGAATATGTATTCCACTGCTGTGGACAAAATGTTCTATGTATGCCTGTCAGGTACATTTCGTCTATATTGTTATTTATGTCAGCTGTTTCTTTATTAATTTTCTGTTTGGATGATCTGTTGAAAGTGGGTTATTGAAGTTTGCTACTATTATTGTTTTGCTGTCTGTTCCCTTCAGTTCTGTTAATATAGTTGTCCCTTGATATCTATGGGGGATTGGGTTCTAGAGCCCTTGCAGACACCAAAATTTATCATACTAAAAATTTATGATATATAATTACTTTATATAAAATAGTGCAATATTTGCATACAATCTGTGCATATCCAAC
This sequence comes from Homo sapiens, assembly GCF_000001405.40. Taxonomy (NCBI): domain Eukaryota; kingdom Metazoa; phylum Chordata; class Mammalia; order Primates; family Hominidae; genus Homo; species Homo sapiens. The sequence continues at coordinate 18,356,094 of NC_000004.12, forward strand.
TGTATACTTTAAATATTCTCTAGATTACTTTTACTACCTAATACAATACAAGTACCATGTAAATTGTTGTTAGACTGTCTTGTTTAGAAAATCTTTAAAGGAAAAATATTTTTTTGGACACTACCTTTTATACTTGTGGGTTCCACATCCTTGGATTCAACCAATCATGGGTTGTTGATCCGCAGTTTGTTGAATTCACAGATGTGGAACCCATGGATATAGGTGGTTAATTATACCTGCTTTACATATTTAGATTTTCTGATGTTGGGTGCATATATATTTATAATTGTTATATCTTCTTGATGAATTGACCCCTTTATCATCATCTAAAGACTTTATCTTGTCTCTTTTGACTAATTTTGTTTGAAAGACTATATATATAGCCACCTCTGTTCTCTTTTGTTACTATTTGCCTGCAATATCTTTTCCCATCTCTTCACTTTCAGCCTACGTGTATAACTAATGTAAAATTATTTTCCTGTGTACAGCATATTGTCGGATATTGTCTTTTCCTCTTACCCATTCAGCTTCTCTGAGTCTTTTGATTGGAGCAATAAATGCATTTATATTTATTGTAATTATTGATAGGTAGAGACTTACTTCTGCCATGTTGTTAGTTGTCTTTTGACTATTTGGTAGTTTTTTTTTTTTTTTGTCTTTTTCTTCTTCTCTTGTTGCCTTCCTTTGTAATTTGATATTTTTTTGTAATGGTATGCTTTGATTTTTTTTTATTATTTTGCATCTACTAGAGAATTTTTTTGTGATTACCATGGGGCTTAAATAAAATGTGTTATAATTTTCTATTTTAAACTGATATCTCAATCATATGCAAAAATCTTATACTTTTGTTCCCCACCCCTATTTTTTGCTATTGATGTTATACTCTATATTTTTTAGATTGTGTATGCATTAACAAATTATTGTAGCTATGGTTATTTTTTAATATGTTTGTCTTTTACTTTTATACTGGAGTTAAAATGATTTACCATCACCATTATAGTATGATAACATTCTGAATTTGACTATGTATTTTCTTTGAGCATTATGAATACAACATTCTCCTCTCTCTTGGCTTGTGAGGTTTCTGTTAACAGTCTTCTGGTGATAGCTACCTTACAGATATTTCCTAAGATATGAGGGAAGTTTCTTTTCTCTTGTTCCTTTCAAAGTCCTCTTTCTTTGGCATTGACAGTTTGATCTCATTGTGTCAGAGTATTCTTTTTTCATGGGTTCTGCTTTGAATCTTTTGAACTTATAAATCTGGGTGTCCATATTCCTTCAAGATTGGGGTTTTCAGCCAGTATTTCTTTAAATAAACTTTTTCTTCATTGTTGCTCTTATTCTGGGACTTCTATAATTAATCTATTCATGTGCTTGATGGTTCCCTTTATGCTTTATTCAGTTTTTTAAAATTCCTTTTTAGTTTTGTTCCTACAATCGGCTAACTTCAAATAATCTGCTTTCAAGTTTGCCAATTCTATTTTCTGCATGATTAAGTGTGCTGTTAAATCTATTGAATTTTTTAGTTCTGTCATTGTATTCTTTAGCTCCTGGATTTCTAATTGGGTTTTTAAAAATTATTTCTAGTTCTTTATTAAATTTTGATTTTTTTCATGCATTGTTTTCCTATTTTTGTTTAGTTGCGTTTTTCTCACATCTCATTTAACTCTTTTAAAATGATTGTGTTGAATTCTTTTTCAGGCATTTTATCAATCTCTCTTTCCTTTGGTGTCCATTATTGGAACTTTATTAGTTTCTTTTGGTGGTGTCATGTTTGTCTGGTTCTTTTTCACTCACATAGCCTTGAGTTGGTGTCTGTGTATTTGAAGGAGCAAACATCTCTTCCAGTCTTAAAGACTGCTGTTGACTGGTAAAGGCTTTCCCCTCTCGAATCCCCAGGAACATGAGATTCCCTCTGGGATTGTAGTCAAGTGGGGTTGGAGCTGGGCCACATGACTGCTGCTGGGTTCACAAGTGGCAGACTTGTTACCACAAGTGGGCACAGAACCTGCCTGGTCCCTGTACGGACTGGGTTGACTCCAGGACCTTGGTCATTAGGGCTGGTGCTAACATAATGCTCTACTTCAGGATTTGCAGATGGTGGGTCAACTATCAGGTATGTGGTCTGTTGTGGTTTCCTCTGGGTTCCTAGGAGCTCTGGTTGTGTCACTGCGTGTGTCCTTGGGCAGGCTGTACTGAACCTAGACTGTGGCTAAGAGGGATTGGAACTGAGTCACAGGGCTGCTTCAGGGTCCACAGCTGAAACTAAGGTCTACAGGTCTGCTTCTGGGGGCATGGACTTTCATATATCCCTCAGTGAGCAGAATTGTTCTCAGACTGCAGTGGAGAGGGTCTGGAGCCAAGTTTCAGGGCTGTTTTCTCCTCCATATCTGAGACTGAGATTGGCAAACCTGTTACTAAAGGCACAAGTGGGCATAACTCCTCCTAGGTCCTTTAGCAGACAGTTCTAAAAGCAGGATCAAGGCCAAATGGGTCTGTGGCATAGTCCACAGGAGGATGGGGTCATTTCTGTATCTAGAGCTGGGACCACAATTAATGAGCCTCCCATCTGAGTACAGTTCTGCCTTCTCAGAACAGCCCTATTAGTTCTTAGGCTCCACTGGGTTTTCGCAGTCTCCAACATGAATCCCAAAGCTCGCACAAAGGCACTTTGTCGCTCGGTAGCTGCCAAATTATTGTTGCTGGTGAGAATATAAGTGGAGGTCTCCTATTTCACCATTTTTCTCACAGGATATATTTAAATAATGCACTCAATTCTGGTTAGACCTCAACTAGTTAGTATTTGGCTTGGAGTGACCCAAAATAGACACACAAAGCTGTTATTCCCTGAAATGGCCTTTGTTTCCAATGCTTCTCATTTTGTGGTTGTACTTAGTGCAATTCTAATGTTTAAAGCTAAATAGTTGCTGTTTCAACAGAGCTGTCAAATGCAAGCCAACTACTTCATCTTGTCTTCAAGTGAGCAAAAGCCATCTTTTTCAACACTGGAGAAGAATCTGGCTCTGCTGGACTTAATTAAATATGTAAACCAAAATAGCAGTTTTTAAGAGAATTTTTAAAAGATCGACATGACTTTTGTCTTATAGTCTGAATAAAGTCTAACCATTCAGTGTGTCCCACTAGTATTATTTTCCCTATTCCTAAAATGCTGAAACCAACATCCATAAAGGATAATCCGCTTTCTCAAGGTCACACAGGAGATAAGGGCTGAGTTGGGTTGAGCTAGAAATTAAATTCGCATCCCTCTCTTCAAAACTCTGCTCTTACATGCTTCCTCTTGGTGATTTTAGAACAAAGGTTGGCAGGTATCTTCTGAGTGCCAGAGAGAAGAGAAACAATGCATAGGTTTTCTTGGAGTCTAATTGCAGCAAGTTGATGAAATGACTTAACAATATTAGATTCAAAGCCATTGCTGGATTCATTGCATGTAAACTCTAAACTTTAATTTCTGCAAAATGATCACTTTCCTCAGATATTACTATTTTGTTGATAAAATAGCTTCCTAAGGCATGTTTTTTTTTTTCCTTTAGGGAAGATAGTGAATTTCCTAGAAATAAAATAGTCCTACCACTTGAAATGGCCCAGTGACTTAGAATAGCAGTGCTTATTTCTGCAATTTGTCTTTCTCTTGTGTTCACTATGGTCATCTGGGTTTAATATCCTGGGTGGTGGGAAATGAAAGGCAGCATGTATTTTTCCTTGAGATTTTCAAATTTGAATTTCCTGCTGTGAGCTCTCTTGCTGCTCAGTTGAAATTAGAGCAGGATGAACTTCTTGAACTGTCACCAACTTGGCCACAAGCTGACTCCAAGACCTCCTGCAAGGAAAGTTCCCTGAGGGGACATCATGAAATGTCTCTGCAGGAGAGATTAAATGGTTTAATAATGTTCTATTAAACCCACAGCTTTCAAACAAAACCCAGCCTTTCAATAACACTTATCACCCCAAAGCTCCTATTTAAGTGATTTTTATCTCAGATAAGGATTTTACCACCAGGAAAGAAGGTACATGCTACATTATCACTTTTTAGCCTTTTTGGGGTGAGGTATGTTAAGCTTTTGCCAAATTCTCATAAAACATGTTAGAATGGTAGCTTATGTAGACAAGAGGAGAAATGAGTGTTTTATGAATAAACAGGAGTAAAGATAATGAAATACAATAGAAGGACAAATCGAGCACCAATGATAGCAATATATCATAAACTGAGAAGTTTGCTTCAATTCTCTGCGTACAAATTTTTAAAAGAAACAAACAAGCAGAACAAAACAAGGAAACAAGCTAGATCCCACCAGAACAGAACATATCCATGTTGTTTTCAATCCCATTAAACAGAGTTTCAAAGATAAGTGTGTAACCCCATCAGGGGAATCAGTAGAGAGACTCCAAGTCCAGTGTGTTTTCTTGTTTCAAAGCCTTTTGGATGATCCTTGCTCCTACTTTCTTAGAACTGTTGGATTTCAGTTTTCTTTAAAATATTTTTCATGCTCATTGTAATTAGATAATTTTTCAAAAATAAATATTTAATTTTAAAACAGCTTTAGATGTACAGAATAATTGTAAACATAGTACATTTCCATATACCCTATGCAGGATCCTCTATTATTAGAAGCTTACATTGGTATGGTATATTTGTTACAATTAATAAATGAATACTGATGCATTATTCTTAACTAAAGACTAGAATTTATTCAGATTTCCTTACGATTTGCCTGATGTCTTTTTCTATTTTAGGATTCCATCTAAGATGTCACATTACATTTACCTGTCATGTGTGATTAGGCTCCTCTTGGCTTTGAGAATTTCTCAGCCTTTTCTTGTTTTTGATGACTGTGATAGTTTTGAAGGGTGCTGGTTAGGTATTTTGTTGAATGTTCCTCAATTTGAACTTGCCTGATGTTTTTCTCATTGTTAGACCGGGGTTGTGTGTTTTGAGGAAGAATACCACAGTGGTAAAGGGACATTTTTATCATGTCGTATCAAGAGTACTTACTATAAATGTGACTATTTTTGATGTTAACTTTTATCACCTGGTTGAGTATTTTTTGTTAGGTTTCTTCATTGTAAAGTAACTTTTCTTCCTTCTGTTTTTCATATTGTGTTCTTTGAAAATATATCAACACATGGAGCCTACACTGAAGGAATGGGGAACTGTTTTGTTTCCTGAAGGAGAGAGTATCTACATAAATTATTCAGAATTCCACATGGGAGATTTTGTCTTCTCCAAATCTATTTAGTCATTCAAAAATTTATTTGTATTTGTATTGATTCATCAATATTTAATTAATTAATTAATTAATTTTCTTGAGATGGAGTCTCACTCTGTCACCCAGGCTGGAGTGCAATGGCGCGATCTTGGCTCACTGCAACCTCTGTCTCCTGGGTTCAAGCGATTCTTCTGCCTCCGCCTCCTGAGTAGCTGGGATTACAGGTGCGCACCACCATACCCAGCTAATTTTTTTATTTTTAGTAGAGACGGGGTTTCACGCTGTTGGTCAGTCTGGTCTCGAACTCCTGACTTCATGATCTGCCCACCTCGGCCTCCCAAAGCGGTGGGATTACAGGTATGAGCCACTGCGTCTGGCCTATCAATATTTATTTTATACTTTGAGCTATATCTTAGTTTGCTTTGTACTGCTATTATAGAATGCCCAAGACTGGGTAATTTATGATTAACAGAAATTTATTGACTCACAATTCTGGAGGCTGGGAAGTCCAATATCAAGGTGCTAGCATCTGGTGAGGGCCTTCTCACTGTGTCATCACATGGTAGAACAGCAAGAGAGGGCAAGAGAGAGGGGGAAAAAGGGATGCAAACACCCTTTCATAACAACATCAATCCTATCCACGAGGGTGGTGCCCTCATTGGTTAATCGCCTTTTAAAGATCCCATTTTTTAATACTGTTACAATGGCAACAAAATTTCATCATGACTTTTGGAAATGACAAACATTGAAGCCATAGCAGATTTCATCTATTACTTAATTTATTTTGTTATACAAACTTTTCCAGTTTTGGCCATTAGGAACTCTTTCAAGTGACTTTTGTGCCCTTTTGACATATTCTCATAATTAACTAATTAAAATTTGAGCATTTCCTTACTTTCTGGCACTACAGGATGCTCCAGTCTCATTTTCTGTATTTCCTTTCCCAGTCCTAGAATCAGGCATTTCTACAAAAAGAAGTGCTGAAGAATGATACTAACCCCAAGATCTAGGTACTAGGCTTGTTCATTGCTACTGGGGTGTTGTCACTTTAGGCCCTATCAGCTGACAGACTAAGGATATATTCATACATAAGAACCAGTCTATACTCTTATATCTATAAATATTTCTATGTGGAACTATTTGTGTTAAGCTAAACAGAGTTGTTACCGATGTCTCCAGCCCTAAAATGTAAGCACACAGATTACTCTAGACTGTCTCTTGCTAATTTGTAACCTCTAACTCCAACAGTATGAAGTGGCTCCCACTATCTTCCATCCATCTACCTAATTGTTTAATTTCTGTTTACATTTATAATTGTATAAGAATTGTAAGTCAATACCTCTGTGGTAAACAACTTTATTCATTAGACTACAATACCTAGATATAATTTCTTTTGCCTTTGCTCTTACAGACTTCACACATTTCTAAAGTTGTTTAGATTACCACCTTTATTCTTTCATGTCCTTCAGCGAAGTTGTTTTGTACACTTGTAGTACTGTCATAATGTTTTCCTAAATTCCAGATTCCATTCTTGGATTCCAAAATATTTAGTTAAAAATTACAATTATTGATGTTCACTGTGTTTTGAAATTCAATGGATTTTTGACACAAGAGTATAATGTATCCGTCATCACAGTGTCATTCAGAATAGTTCCACTGCCCTAAAAAAGATCCCATCTTTCATGCTTCACCTACACAACCCTTACCTTTCCCATCTTCTCTCTGAAATCTGACCTTTTTACCACCTCTATAGCTTTGCTTTTTCCAGCATGTCATAGAATTGGAATCATACAGTATGTAGTCTTTCCCCATTGGCTTTTTTTTTTACTTAGCATTATACATATAAGGTTCATCCTTGTCTTCTTGTGACTTGAAAGCTCATTTCTTTCTATCACTGAATAATATTCCATTGTATGGGTCTACCATAGTTTGTTTATTTATTCACCTTTAAAAGACATCTTGTGCAAATTTTTGTGCAGACATAGTCTTTCAACTTATTTGGGTAAATATTTAGAAGCATGATTGCTGGATGGATGGTGATATGGTTTGGCTGTGTCCCTACCCAAATCTCATCTTGAACTGTGGCTCCTACGATTCCCACGTGTCATGGGAGGGACCCAGTGGGAGGTAATTGAATCATGGTGGCAGGTCTTTCCTGTGCTGTTCTCATGATAGCGAATAAGTCTCATGAAATCTGATGGTTTTATAAAGGGGAGCTTCCCGGCACAAGTTCTCTTCTCTTGTCTGCCACCATATGAGATTTGCCCTTCACATGATTGTGAGGTCTCCCCAGCCATGTGGAACTGTGAGTCCATTAAACCTCTTTTGTAAATGGCCCGGTCTCCAGTATATCTTTACCAGCAGTGTGAAACGGTCTAATACAGATGATAAGACTTTGTAGAAAACTCAGTTTTGCAAGAAACTGCTAAACTGTCTTCCAAAGTGGCTGCACTATTTTTCATTCCCATCAACAATGAATGAAAGTTCCTGTTGTTCTACATCCTAATCAGTAATTAGCATTGTCAGTTCTATGAACTTTTGCCATTCTAATATGCATATAATAGTATCTCATTATTGTTTAATTAACAATTCTTGATGACATATAATTTGGAGCATCTTTTCATAAGCTTACTTGCCATTTGTTTATCTTTCATGAGATGTTTGTTAAGGTCTGTGACCCATTATTTAATCAGGTTGTTTACTTAATGTTGAGTTTTAAGTGTGCTTTGTATATTTTGGATAGATGTCCTTTATCAGATATGAGTTTTCCAATTTTTTCCCCAATCTGTTGCTTATCTTTTTATTCTCTTACAGTATATTTTGCATATCAGAAATGTTAAATTTTAATTAAGTCCAATTTCTTTTTCTTTCATGAATTGTGATTTTGATGTTGTGTCTATAACATAATCACTAAACCTAAGTTCACCTAGATTTTCCTCTGGAAATTTTATAATTCTAATTTTACATTTAGGTTTATAATCTATTTTGAGTTAAATTTTCTGAAACATGTAAGGTCTGTGTCTAGTACTTTCTTTTTGCATATGAATGTCCAACTTTTCAAGCACCGTTTGTTGAAAAGACTATCCTATACTTTTTTATTTTTTTGTTTTTATTTTTTTACCAAATTGCCTGTGTTCCTTTGTTAAAGATCAGTTGATTATATTTGTTTATGTTCTTTCCCAGGTTCTTTTCCAATGATATATGTATCTATTATTTTCCAATATATGTATCTATTATTTTCCAATGATATATGTATTTATCCTTTTACTCATGTCACATTGTCTTGATTATTGTAGTCTTATATTGAGTCTTGAAGTAGAGTAATGGGAATCCTCCAACTCTGTTCTTCTTTAGTATTGTGTTGGCTATTCCAGATTTTTTTCCCTTTCTCTATAAACTTTAGAATAAGCTTGTCAATATTTTTAAAAAGAGCTTTTTGGATTTTTGATGGGATTATTATGAATCAATAGATCAAATTGGGAAGAAATAACATTTCAAATGCATTTATTCTTCCAATGCACAAGCATGGATTATCTCTCCATTAATTTAGATATTCTCATATTTCTTTGATCATTGTTTTATAGATATCTGCATAAAATTTCTGTCCATATTTGGTTAGATTTGCATGTAAGTATTTCAATTTTTTTATTATTTATTTTCTTCTTTTTTCTTTAGGCTTTAATTGCTCTTTTTTATCTAGTTTCCTAAGGTAGAAATTTATGGCATTGATTTTAAATCATTCTTCTTTTCTAATATACATGTTTAATGTTATAATGATTCCTTCCAGTACTGTTCTAGTTGTTTCTGATAAATTTTGATTTGTTATATTTTTATTTTTATTCAGTTGAAAATGTTTTCTAATTTCACTGTGATTTATTCTTTGACCTTTGGGTTATTTAGAAGCATGTTGTTTAATTTCTAAATATTTGGGGATTTTTCAGCTTTCTTTCTATTGTAGGTTTCAATTTTAATTTTTCTGTTGTCTAAAAACATATTTTATTTCTGGTATGACTTCCATTTTTTTTTGAAGATGTTAAGGTGTAGTTTTGGACTAGGTTGTGGTCTTCTGGTGAATATTATATATGGGAACAATATCCATTTTGTTGTCATTGGATGAAACATTCTATAAATGTAAATGCCAATTAGATCAAGTTGATTGATAGTGCCATTCTAACTAATTTCTTGCTGACTTTCTGCCTGCTTGATCTATCAACTACTACAAGAGAGATGTTGAAATTTCTAACCATAATATTAGATTTGTCTCTTTCTCTTTTCAATTCTATCAATTTTTACCTCTTTTGTTTTGACACTGTGCTGTTAGGTGCAAACACTTTTAGAAATGTAATGTTGTTTTCAGATAATTGATTTCTTTATCATTATGTAAGGCCTCTCTTTGTCTCTGATAATATTCCTTGTTTTGATGTCTACTTTGTCTGAAGTTAATATAGCTACTCAAGCTTTCTTCTGATTTTTGTTAGCATAGTATGACTTTCTCTCTCTTTTTTTTAATCTATCTGAGTCTTTTTATTTAAAATGGTTTCCTCATACATCTCTTAGAGTGGATATTGTTTTTTAAAACCATTTTGGCAATCTGTCTTTTAATTAATATATTTAAACCCTTTATTTAAAAGTTTGATGGATTAGGTGGATTTTTATATTCCATGTTTGGTTGTTCTTGTTTCTAAGTGTTCCTTGAACACCATTTCCATTTCCCCCACCATTTCTGTTTCATCTTGTTTTAACTGAGTATTTTATATAATTTGGTTGTATCTTCTTTCTCAGCAATTGATTATGCTTTTTTAAGAAATTATTGTAATGGTTACCCTAGAGTTTCCAATTTACATTTTAAGATAATCTAGAAGGTTTTATCCCCAAGGTGCTGAATTAGAGGCTTTCAGCATGCCTCAGCCACTTGGAAATAGCAAGATAGTGCACAAAGATAAACTCTGTGAGCTTTAATTCAAGAAAGAAAACAGGAATCCACTGGAGTCATGAGGGTACGCTAGATTCCAGGGAGAAGAATGTGGGCAAACAGGCTCCATGATGGAGTCTCGATGATAAAAAGATCCTGATACAGGGAGGCCCTCTCTCCCTTATGCCTGGGTAGACCTCCAGGCATTCAGACCATGCACACTTCTGTTTCAGCAGCCTGAGCCATCCCACCGTTCCTGGACATAGCTCATGGTCCAGTGAGACCCTCTCCACCCCCAGGCAGATTCCCAGGCATTTGGAGCACCAGCTCACCTAGATCAGCAGACTGAGCTGCCCTATCCTTCCTGTGCAGAGATCCTGATGCAGGAGGGCCCATTCTACTCTATGCCCAGGCATCTGGATGACCCACTTTCTTGAATTAGGAGTTTAGGCCACCCCCATCCCCACGTAGAGAACTTCAGGCCAAGGAGGTTTCCCAGTCTCATGCCAGATAAAGAAATAAAAAGAACAAATTCTACCTGCATGAAACAATTACAAGACTTAGAAGTGCCAAAATCTTCAGATGAGAATAAAACAGCACAACAATTCTGGCACAAAGTTGGTTTTCCAGCTCCATGCTTAGGCACACCTCTGGGTGCTTGGTGGCCATCCACTGGATTCTCCTTCAGCACTAGTGCTTGTGTCTGCCATCAGGGGACTGGTACTCAGACCTGCCCGATCCTGTCTTGCTCATTGTGGCTCCCACTCTCCAAGGCTAAGCAGGGAGTTTGGACCATTGTGCACTCTATGAATCAGCATTGTCTGAAGCAACAGAGAACTTCTCCCAGAAAACAAGGATCATATATACACACACACACACACACACACACACACACACATACATACATACATACATACATACATACATACATACATGGCTGCAGCCTGCTCTTACCCATAAGTGCCATCTACTGGCTTGTAGGTTAAACTGCACAGCCCAATATATAATAAAACTGTCCGACAGAAGTGCATAGGGCTAGAGAAGAAAAGCCAAAAGAGCATACCTAGCATTCTCTACAGTCACACTCCCTAGAGAGATGAGAAAAGGTAAAAAGAAAGAAGAACAAAAAAATAATATTATGGGGAAAGAAACAAAAATTCTACCTGCATGAAAACAATATAAAAATTAGATGTGCCAGTGTCTCCACATGAGAAGGAACCAGCACAAGAGTTCTGGCACCATGAAAAATCTGAATGTAGTTACAGCAACAAAGGATCACATTAGCTCTCCAGCAATGGTCCCTAAACATAATGGAAACCCAGAAGTGACAGATAAATAAAGCAAAGAATGGATTTCAAGGAAGCTCAGTGAGATCCAAGACAAGGTTGAAAATCAAGAAAAGGAAACCTTTAAAGCAATCCAGGAAATGAAGGAAGTGATGAACATCTTAGAAAGAAATCAATCATAGTTTCTAAAACCGAAAAACTCACTTGAGGAATTTCAAAATACATTTGAAAGCTTTATCCATATACTGGACCAAGCAGAAGAAAGAATTTCAGAGCTCGAAGACCAGTCTTTTGAACGTACTGAGTCAGACAAAAATAGAGAAAAAAGAATTTGAAAAGAAAACAAAATCTTCGAGAAATATGGGATTATGTAAAGTGACCAAACCTACAGGATATTGGCATTCCTGAGAGATAAAAAGTAAACAATATGAAAAACATATTTGAGGAACTAATAAAAACCAAACATTAATCTTCTAGAGAGGTAGATATCCAGATACGAGAAATCCAGACAACACCAGAGAGACACCGTACAGAACAAACACCACCAGAACAGACTCTCCAAGGTCATTGCTAAAGAAACATATCTTAAAGGCAGCTAGAGAAGAAGGTCAGATCACATAACAGTGGAAAGTACATCAGGCTAACAGAAGAATTCTCAGCAGAAACCTTACAAGCCAGGAGAGGCTAGGGGCCTATTTTCAGCATTCATAAAGAAAAGAAATTCTAAGAATTTCATATCCCACCAAACTAAGCTTCGTAAATGGAGGAGAAATAAAATATTTTCCAGGAAAGCAAGCACTAAGGAAATTCTTTACCACTAGACCAGCCTTACAAGAAATCCTTGAAGGAGTTCCAAACATGGAAATGAAAGAACTATACTTGCTACCACAAAAACATACTTAAGCACTACATAGCCCACAGACCTTATAAAGCAACCACATAATAGAAACTGCAAAGCAAATAGCTATCAACTTCATGATATTATTAAAACCTCACATATCAATATTAATTTTGAATGTAAATGGCCTAAACACCTCACTTAAAAGGAACAGAGTTGCAAGTTGGATAAAAAACAAGTTATCCATCTGCTGTCTTTAAGAGACCCATCTCACATGTATCAGCATGTAACCACATCCATAGGCTCAAAGCAAAGGATCAGAGAAAGCTCTAACAAGAAAACAGAAAAGAATAAAGAGCAGGGGTCACTATTCTCATGTCAAATAAAACAGATTTTAAACAAACAACATTAAAAAAAGGGCAAAGAAGGGCATTGCATAATGATAAAAGGTTCAATTCAACAGGAAGACTTAACTATCCTACATGTATATACACACACACACACACACACATATATACACACACACACACACACACACACACACACACATAAAAAATTGAGGAGGAGGGCATCCTACCTAACTCATTCTATGAAGCTGGTTTCTGCATATGCTCTGTGTTCTGTTCTGCATATGCTCTATGTATATATGCGTATATATATACACCTATATAGGTGTGTATATATATACGTATATACACATATATAGGTGTATAATATGTGTATATATGTGTATATATGTATATCTGTATGTGTATATATGTGTATATATGTATATCTGTATGTGTATATGTGTACACATACGTATGTGTATATGTGTACACATACGTATGTGTATATGTGTACACATACGTATGTGTATATGTGTACACATACGTATGTGTATATGTGTACACATACGTATGTGTATATGTGTATATATACTGTATATATACACACATATATACGTATATACACATATATGTATATACGTATATGTGTGTATATGTATATATGTGTGTATATATGTGCATATATATGTATATGTGTATATATGTATATATGTGTATATATGTCTATATACGTATATATACACACATATACGTATATATGTGTATATATACATATATGTGTGTATATATACACACATATATGTATATATGTATATATAGGTGTATATATGTATATATGTATGTGTATATATGTGCATATATATGTGTATATATGTATATATGTATATATGTGTATACACATATGTACACTTATATGTATATATACGTGTATTTATACACGTATATATACGTATATACGTGTATATATATGTGTATATGTATACATATATACACGTATATACGTATATATCTATATATACGTATATATGTATACGTATATATACACGTATATATGTATATATCTATATATACGTATGTGTATATATACGTATATATGTGTATATATGTGTGCGTATATATGTATATACGTATATATACACATATGCGTATATATACACATATATACACACATATATACACATATACGTGTATATATGTGTATACATGTGTATATACACACACATATATATACACACACAGATATGTACATATATATATGTATACACACACCCAATGTTGGAGCAACCAGATTCGTAAAACAAGTAGTTATCTATCTACAAAAGACTTAGACAACCACAGAATAATAGTCAGGGACTACAGCACACCACTGACACATTAGATCATTCAGGCAGAAAACTAGCAAGTAAATTCTGGACTTAAATTTGACACTTGACTAGTTGGATCTCACAGGCATCTACAGAACCCTCCACCCATCAACCACAGATCATACTTTCTTTGCATCTGCATATGGAACATACTTCAAGATCATCACATGGTTTGCCAGAAAGCAAGTTTCAATAAATTAAAAAAAATTTGAAATCATACCAACCATACTCTTAAACCACAGTGAAATAAAAACAGAAATTAATACCAAGAAGATTTCTCAAAAACACACAATTACGTGGAAATTAAACAACTTGCTTCTCAATGACTTTGGGTAAACAATGAAATTAAAGAAGGCATCAACAAATTCTTTGAAATAAAAGGCGACAGCGACAAAACATACCAAAGTCTCTTAGCTGCAGCAAAAGCAGTGTTAAGAGGAAAGTTTGTATCAGTAAATGCCTACCTAAAAAACTTAGAAAGATCTTGAATTAATGATCTAACATCATACCTAGAGAAACTAAAAAATAATGAGCCAACCGCAAAGCTGGTAGAAGGAAAGAAATAGCTAAAATCAGAGCAAAGCTGAACAGAATTGAGACCCCCAAACTGAATACAAAGGATCAAAGAAACCAAAACCTGCTTTTTTGAAAGGATAAACAAGATCAGTAGACTGCTAGCTAGAGTAACAATGAAAAAAAGAGAGAAGATCCAATTAGAAATGACAAACGTGACATTACAACTGATCCCACAGAAATATAAAAATAATCCTAGAGACTATTATGAACATCTCTGTGCACACAAACTAGAAAATCTGAAAGAAATAGATAAATTCCTAGAAACACATAATCTCCCAAGATTGAATTAGAAAGAAATCAAAACCCGCAAGAGACCAATAATGAGTTCTGAAATGGAAACAGTAATAAAAAACCTAACAACAACAACAACAACAAAAAAAAGCCACAGACCTGACGAATTCACAGCTGGATTCCACCTAACATACAAAGAAGAGCTGGTACCAATTCTACTGAAACTATTCTAAAAAACTGAGGAGGAGGGCATCCTACCTAACTCATTCTATGAAGCTGGTTTCTGCATAGGCTCTGTGTTCTGTTCATTTCTCTTCTGTGGATTCTAGGAGAGTATCGTTTGTCTCTTGCCTGCCATTTGGGCTAAAATCCAGCTCCTGATGTATGTTAAGTATGTATGTTAAGGAGCTGCAGTCTCATAATCCTAGAAGACATAGTAGTCTTGGACACTGCTAGTGGTTCCAGGACTCCCTGTCTATGAATCAGAATATGAGAATGTCCATAAAGTTCTTGTGCAATTTGAATTTGTAATAAATTTTCTTCCACATCTGATATACACAAACTGCAAAATGTGACAGAGGATTTACTCAGATTTGAAATACTGAAATGTTAACATTCAATAAGTCTACCATAATCTTACATACCTTTAGATATAGCTGTTATCATCCTGATACCAAAACTTGGCAAAGGCACAGTTAAAATAGAAAATTACAGGCCAATATCCCTGAGGAACATAGATGCAAAAAATCCTCAACAAAGTAGTAGCAAACTGCATCTGACAGCACATGATTAACTATGGTTAATTCACCATAGTAAAGTAGGTTTGATTTCTTGGATGCAAGGTTGGTTCAACATATACAAATCAATAAATGTGATTCACTATGTAAAGAGAATTAAAAACAAAAACCACAAGACTATCTCAACAGATATGGAAAAAGCTTTCAATAAAATCCAACATCGCTTCAAGGTAAAACCCTCAAGAAACTAGGCATTGAGGGAACATACCTCAAAATGATAAGAGCCATCTATGGCACACCCACAGCTAACATCATGCTATATGGGCAAGACTGGAAGCCTTTCCCTTGAGAACTGGAATAAAACAGGGATGCCCACTTTCACCAATCCTACTCAACATAGCACTGGAAAGACTAGCCAGAGAAATCAGGCAAGGGGAAGAAATAAAAGTCATCCAAATAGAAAAAGAATTCAAACTACCTCTGTTTTTGGACAATAAGATTCTGTACCTAGAAACCTTAAGGATTATGCCAAAAGGCTCCTTGAACTGATAAATGACTGCAGTAATGTTTCAGGATGCAAAATCAATGTACACAATTCAGCAACATTTCTATACATGAATAATGTTCAAGAGTAGAGCAAAATAAAAAATGCAATCCCATTTACAATAGCCATACCCCACTAAAAATACCTAGGAATACATCTAACAAAGGAGGTAAAAACTTTATACAAGGAGGGCTATAAAACACTGCGAAGGAAATCGTAGGTGAGAAAAACAAATGGATAAAACATTCCATGCCCATGGATTGGAAAAATCAATATCATTAAAATTGCCATACTGCCCAGAGCAATCTACAGATTCAACACTGTTCCTATCAAACTACCAACATCATTTCTCTCACAGAACTAGAAAAAAAATTCTAAAATTCATATGGAACCCCAAAAGAGCCTGAATAGTCAAAGCAATCCTAGGCAAAAAGAGCATAGCTGAAGGCATCACGTTACCCATCTTCAAACTATATAATTAAGCTACAGTAATCAAAACAGCATGATACTGGTACAAAAACAGACATATAAACCAATGGAACAGAACAAAGAACCCAGAAATAAAGCTACAAACTTACAGCCATCTGATCTTCAACAAAGTCAACAAAAATAAGCAATGGAAAAAGGATTCATTATTCAATAAATAGTGCTGAGATAACTAGCTAGCCATATGCAGAAGAATGAAACTGGACCACTATATTTCACCATATACAAAAATTAACTCAATGTGGATTAAAGGTTTAAATGTAAGACCTCAAACGATAAGAATTCTGGAAGAAAACCTAGGAAATACTAATATGAATATCGGCATTGGGAAAGAATTTATGACTAAGTCCTCAAAAGCAATTGCAAAAAAAAAAAATTGAAAAGGGGGACCTAATGAAACTAAAGTTTCTACACAGAAAAAGAGACTATGAACAGAGTAAAAAGACAATCTACAGAATGAGAGAAAATATTTGTAAACTATGCATCCAAGAAAGGTCTAATATTCAGAATTCATAAGGAACTTAATTCAACAAGCAAAAAGCAAATACCCCCATTAAAAAATGGGCAAAAGATATGAACAGACACTCCTTAAAAGTAGACATATGAGCAGTCAATAAACATGTGAAAATCATCATCACCAATCATCAGAGAAATGCAAATCAAAACCACAGTAAGATAGCATCTAACACCAGTCAGAATGGCTATCATTAAAAAGTCAGAAAACAGTAGACACTTGTGAGGTTGCAGAGAAAAGGAAATGCTTACACACTATTGGTGGGAAAGTAAATTAGTTCAGCCACTGTGGGAAGAAGTTTAGAGATTTCTCAATGAATTTAAAACAGAACTACCATTTAACTCAGGAATCCCATTACTGGGTATATATCCAAAAGAAAATAAATTATTCTACCAAAAGATACATACACTCATGCTCCTTGTAGCACTATTCCAATAGAAAATGACATGGAACCAACCTAGTTGCTCATCAGTGGTGAACAGGATAAAAAAATGTGGTACATATGCCCCATGAAATACTACACAGCTATCTAAAAGAGCAAAATCATGTCCATTGCAGTAACATGGATGGAGCTGGAGGCTACTATTCTAAGCAAATTAACACAGGAGCAGAAAACAAAATACTGCATGTTCTCATTTGTGAGAGCTAAGCATTGGATACTCATGGACATAAAGAAGATAGAAATAGACACTGTGGACTACCTGAAGGGTGAGAGTGGGAGCAGTATATATATATATCCTGCTTGTTCTCTGAGCTCCTGGATCTGATTTGATATCTGTCATTAATTTTGGAAAGTTTTTGGCCATTATTACATTAAATATTTTTTCTGCTCCATTCTCTCTTCTGGTATTTCAGTTTTGGATATGTTATATCTTTTGAAACTTTCCCACAGTTCTTAGATGTTCCTTTTTTTGTTTTTTTAAATTTTTTGTTCTCTATGTATTTTAGCATAAGAAGTTTCTGTTGATGTGTCTTCAAGTTCACTTATTTGTTTCCTTGGCTGTGTCCAGTCCATTATTGAGCTCATCAAAGACATTCTTCATTTCTGTTACAGTTTTTGATTTTTTCCACTCTAATAACTTCAACCTTTCTAATCATTTCTGTGTTTTTAGCAACAATTTTTTTTGAAATAATCATGATTTTAAACATAAGGAATCTGAGAAATCCTCATGTACAAAGGCTTCTCTTCAGTGATGAGGAAAGTGAGTTGCTCAAGGTCACAGAGAAAAGCAAAGACAAGACGAGGCCCCAGTCTCCCATTCCTCTCTTCATGAACTTTCCCCCTATGTCACAATCATAGAAATATGGTACTTTATATTACATAGCTCAGTTATTAATTTTTGGTATACATTTGTTTCTAACTTTTAGAAACTGTTTTGGACTGAATTGTCCATATATTTGGACACATTTATATGTTGAATTTAAATTTATATATTGAAATCTTACTTCCAAATGTGACCATATTTACAGAAAGGGCCTTAAAGGAAGTAACAAAGGTTAAATGAGGTCACAAGAAGGGTCCCTAATTTAATATGACTGATTCCTTTACAAGAATAAGATGAAACATCAGGGATGTATGTGCACAGATCAAGGCCATGTGAGGACACAGACAGAAGATGGTCATCTGCAAGCCAAGGAGAGAGACCTCAGGAGAAACCAAATCTGCAGACAACCTGACCTTGGACTTACAGCTTTCAGAACTGTGAGAAATAAATTTCTGTTGTATAAACCACCCAGTCTGTGGTATTTCTTCGTGTCAACTACTATGCCTTGAATATGTCCCCCAGAAGGCATGTGTTGGAAACTTGGTTTCCAATGCAGGACTGTTGAGAGATAGGACCTTTGAGAAGTGATTGGATCATGAGGGTTCTATTCTTATGAGAAGATCAATCCATTGATTGACTAATGGATTAATGGGCTATTGAGGGAGTGTGTTTGTTATCATGAAAGTGGGTCTGTTGTAAAAAACAATTGGCTAGCCTTTTGTGAGCCCCCTTGGCATGTGATGCCCTGTGCCATCTCAGGACCCTGCAGAGTCCCTACTGGCAAGAATGCCCTCACCATATGAGACTCCCAGACCTTTGACTTTCCAGCCTTCAGAACTGAATGAAATAAATTTCTTTTCTTTATAAATTACCCAGTCTCAGATATTCAGTTATAGAAACGGAAAATGGACTAAGACAACAACCCTAGCAAACTAATACAAAAACCATTTTCTTAATCACATTTTTAAAAATGAAAATTTGATTAAAGAAAAAACATTATCATAAAGTCATCACCATAGAATAATATTTTTCTTTTTGCTATTCCCTTCTAGTACTTCCTATGTATACACGTTTTACACTGTTCACTTGCTTGCTTCTAAAACAACTGATCTGTGCTGGACTCTAATATTTTTAAGCACCCCCTTAAAATATTTTTCTGCCTCTGCCTATTCTATTTTGTTGGTTTCTGCTTATGCTCTGTGTTCTGTTCATTTCTCTTCTGTGGATTCTAGGAGAGTATCACTGTTGTCCCCTGCCTACTATTTGGGCTGAAGTCCAGCTCCTGATGTATGTTAAGTACCTGCGGTCTCATAGTCCTAGAAGGCATAGTAGTCTTGGATACTGCTAGTAGTTCCAGGACTCCCTGTCTATGAATCAGAATATGAGAATGTCCATAAAGTTCTTGTGCAATTTGAATTTGTAATAAATTTTCTTCCACATATGATATACACAAACTGCAAAATATGACAGAGAGAGGATTTACTCGGATTTGAAATACTGAAATGTTAACATTGAATAAGTCTACCATAATCTTACATACCTTTAGATATAGCTGTTATTATGGATAGGGTGTATTCCCTAGAAAGTAGAATAAAGATATTAAAACAAACCATTAATATTAATAGTTTATTTAAATCTTGAATAATTGCCGTTTTGTTGTATTTTGCAAATTGCTTTATATATTACACAGACATGATTTATTTATGATTCAAACTGAACAAAAACTTTCTGTATGCCTCATATTTCTAGGATGTGCATGCACACACACAGACACCTGCAGACAACAGTAATTCTCAAACTTGGGTATGCATCAAAATTACCTACATAGTTTGTTAGAGCACAGATGGCTGGGTCCCACCCAAGAGTTTCTGACTTAATTGACCTGGGTGGGACCCAAGAATTTGCCTTTCTAACAAGCTCCCAGATAATGCTTATGTTGCTAGTAGGGAGAATCACTGATTTATAAAAATCCATTGGAAAAAAACGCACTGGGGTGATGGGAAAAATCAAGAATTCTTTCTCCTTCCTTCCCTTCTTCCTTTCCCATACCGACTCTTCGTTCTTCTCCGTTTCTGTTTTTCTTCTCTCCCTCTCTCTCCCCTATGTTTTTTTGTTTGTTTGTTTGTTTTGTTTTCTTACTTTAAGTTCTGGGATATATGTGCAGAACATGCAGGTTTATTTACATAGGTTTACACGTGCCATGGTGGTTTGCTGCACCCATCAACTCATCACCTACATTAGATATTTCTCCTAATGCTATCCCTCCCCTATCCCCCACCCCCGATAGGCCCCGGTGTGTAATGTTTCCCTCCCTGTGTCCATGTGTTCCCATTGTTCAACTCCCACTTATGAATGAGAACATGCAGTGTTTGGTTTTCTGTTCTTGTGTTAGTTTGCTGAGAATGATGATTTCCAGCTTCATCCATGTCCCTGCAAAGGACATGAACTCATTCTTTTTATGGCTGCATAGTATTCCATGGTGTATATGTGCCACATTTGTTTATCCAGTCTATCATTGATGGGCATTTGGGTTGGTTCCAAATCTTTGCTATTGTGAATAGTGCTGCAATAAACATACATGTGCATGTGTCTTTATAGTAGAATGATTTATAATCCTTTGGGTATATACCCAGTAATGGGATTGCTGGGTCAAATGGGATCTCTGGTTTCAGATCCTTGAGGAATCACCACACTGTCTTCCACAATGTTTGAACTAATTTACAATTGCAACCTTCACCAGGTGGAAATAATTTGGCGTGGCGATTATCGCCAATTTTTGGTGGTTCTTGCTAACAAGAAAGAACAATATGCTTGATTGTCATCCCTCAACCTGCCTTTTGCCAGGGTCTCTGCCTGTTTCTTTGTCTTCAGTCTGTTTCTCTGATCCTTTCCCTACACAGCTTCCAGTTGCTGTCTGGAAACAGGTCATTTCTTAAAACTCCTAGCGACTTCCACTGGTACTCACAATGGAGCAGGAATTCAAACTCAGCTTTGGCTAGCTTTGAAGCAAGCTGCCCTTTTAACTACTACAGTATCCCGTCTTCCTCACATGTGTGAACAGAATGGATAACTAAAACATAAACCCCCTCTTCTTAGGAAATAATTTCAACCTTATTCCTCATCTTGCTCTTAAGTACTGACCAGTAAAGATATTGTTTGGTTGAAGTCCATAAATATTTAATACACCTCTGTGATGGACCCAGTACTGTGTGGGTTGAGTTTTCTTTCCTACTCCCTGAACGTGTCTTTGGGTTTGAATAATGGTGTGATCAAACAAAATATCAAAAATCCAAAACCAAATAAACAAAAGCCCCCAAAGCAAAAAGCAAAGCACAACAGCCAAAGAGCTAAGTTGAAGAAATGGACAAATATGGGACAATCATTCATAGATGTGGGACAATCATTCATAGGTGGGGGCTTTTTGCCCCCAAAGCAAAAAGCAAAGCACAAGAGGGCAAAGGGCTAAGTAGAAGAAATGGATAAAGATGGGACAATTATTCATAGATGGGATAATCATTCCCTGAGATTACAAGGAGTAGAAATGCTGTATTTTTTTAATGATTTCATTCATCATGTCTCTGAAAACCCAGGTACACCTACCCAAGGAGAAACTTAGGAAAACTAGAAATCATATCATCATAGAAGTAACCCAAGTTCTAGGACCAGCTCTTCCAAAAATTGTCTGTGTGTCTTTGACCAATTCAGTTTATTTCTCTGAGCCTCCATTTCCATAAAATGAAGGACTACGTCCAGGTAATTTCTAGAGTTTCTTCCAGTGCCAGTATCCCAGGGTTGCAACATTCTGTGGACAAACATACAAAACAGTCTTTAATTATAAGTTTGTGAAGTCATCTAGGGGTTCAGTTCCATATTCTCCTGGAGTCTTAAACCTTTATTAATTATTTGTTTCCCAAGGCCAGTTCTGTTAGTGGGAGGGGGAAGAGAAGCAGAGAAACCCCTTGGACCATAAGCCTTCCACTTCTGGTTTCTTACCACAAAATATTCCCCAGGACTTGGGAGCCAGATGGCAACACTTTTGAAGATGCACTAAGGATTTGAATTCTTGTTCATATTAAATATCACATGTAAATTATTAATCTGTAGCAGATGTTAATGTATATTATTACACTGTATTAAATATTAATGTTGCAAAGACCATTCTGTGGACCACATGGAGATGTAGGGAAACCACCACTGATCCTCCATTTTTAAATGCCAGATTTAGAATCCAGGTAGCTTAGTTGAAAGTCTTTAAAAGGAATATTTCTTACTAGCATTATATACAAAAATATAAGCCTTGTTCCAAAATAAATGATAATAACAG
This sequence comes from Homo sapiens, assembly GCF_000001405.40. Taxonomy (NCBI): domain Eukaryota; kingdom Metazoa; phylum Chordata; class Mammalia; order Primates; family Hominidae; genus Homo; species Homo sapiens. The sequence goes on from NC_000004.12 coordinate 18,378,725, forward strand.
CATTTAGTACATTTTATTATGGGCCAAGTACCCTTCTAAGTGGTTTACACATACTGATAAATTTAATCTTCCTAACAACTCTATGAGGAAAGCATTACTACTTATAATTGTTAGGAAACAAACAACCTTCTCTGAGCACCAACTATGTACCAGAGATTGTTCTAGGCAATGGGGATAAGGAAACAAGATAAAACATTGTCGTGATTTTTATGGAACTACTTTCTGTTGAAATGTAACAGACAATATGTTTTAGACAATATGCCCCAAACAAATAAATTCACAAAATAATTTGAGAGAGAGATAAGGGCCATAAAGTAGATTCAACGGTTATGTGAATGAGGACTGGAAAGGGGTTGTTAGAGAGTGGCCAACCTGGGGAATCTTCTTGGAGGAAGAGTCACTGGACTAAGTCTTCTAGGTCAATTCACATAACAGCAATTTCCTAAAAACAACTTGACAAATACCAGTTGTTTAAATGACCAAAGTATTGATACATCAATTTGTCAAAAACTTGTTTTAATCAACTGTCTATAGTTTTATAGTATTTCGTGTTTCTCCAAGATCACCTAATGTGCAATATGTTTTTAGAATGACAATTTTCTGAATATTGTGACTCTTAGCTGTTATGCATGCCACCAATGTCATGAATATTATAAATAGTTGGGTGGGTTTCTGGTTTCCAAAGCATTTTCTATCCAGTCTACAGCTTCCTCCCTCTTCTTTCAGTTTACATCTTTGCATTATTCAATTTTTCTATTTTGCTTCAGCTTATCTATGGACGGTTTGAAATAATTTGTGGAGATGCAAGCTAGGCAGCTCCAGTGTAAAATGAATATAAATTAAGCAGAATAGATACACTGCCTAGAAGTAGCTGCTGTCACTCCATCTTTTCTTCAAGTCAGTTCAACCCCTCTTCTCCCAGGCAGGCTGCAACCAGGAGAATGACCTTGTTAGTTTTTCTTGAATAGCACCATCTTTAATCTCTCTCTCTCATTCCTCTTTCTGGGGATCTTTTCCTTGCATCCACTTCCACCTATCTTAGAAACCAGTCAAGCCCCTATTCCAGGTATCCTAAATTTTTATCTCTCTTTATTTGATAACTACTCAAGATTGAGGGCTGTGTGTTTGTTGCTTCAACACTCATTCCAATCCACATGGAAGTTGCTTTCCTTTATTATAGAGACTGGAAGGCTAAAACTGACATTGCTCTAACTGCTTTGTAGCTAGGGTACAGATACATGATCTAGGATCTGCCTATCAGAAGACTTTGGAGGTGAAGATAAACAAAGGAGTAGTATGCCATGGAGATACTGACATTTCTAGCAAGAGTAGTGGGGATGGTGTCTAAGGCAGCCATGGTGGTATTGCTAGCATCTGGTACAGGGTGTTACACATGCAGTACTAGCAATGATGGTTCCTCTAGGATGGTTCCATGGTAGACTTGAATGTATCTTCTGGGTGCATTTTTTACCTAGCTCAATCTATCCTGGATTGTGTACCATAAATGTGGTAATTTGGGCTTCACAGAGATTCTATAAGTCATACGTATATTTTACTAAATTAATTTATGCTTAGGCTAACTGGAAGACCCAGCTATTTGGGACGCCAAGGTGGGAGAATTGCTTGAGCCTGGGAGATCAAGGCTGCAGTGAGCCATGTTTGTGCCCCTGCACTCCAGCCTGGGATACAGAGTGAGACCCTGTCTCCAAACAAACAAACAGATAAATAAATATTGTCTAGCATTTTTATTAGTGTCATGAGGGAGGAATTTTGTCTAGGACAGCGCTGGAGAAGTTGATATCTTCAGTCTAGGAAAAAGGAACAGGGATAGGAAATGACATCTCCCAGAATCAGGTGTGTAAAATAGCACAACGTGTTTAGGGAGACAAAAGGGGTTCTGTGTGTCTGGATTTCAGTTAGGTAGAGTGGGGACCAATGAAGGGGTACAGCTAGGATAAATGTGGGACTAGAGAGTAAGGTGGGGGCTGGGTCACAAAAATTATAAGCCCCCTTTATAATGAGGCAGCCTTGGTCTCACCTCCCTCATTCCAGCTGAGGTAAAAGGACTTGCCTTCCTCCTTCTCTAACTTACTTAGACACCTTCAATTTTCTGTCACGTGCATAATACCCTGTTAGGTACCTGGGGGTAGGATACTGATCTAGTGATCTAATTCTTTTCTCCAAAACACTGATGAGATTGTGCTAAATGTGTGCTAAGCTTATGACAGAGACAGAATTATTTTAAAAACTCTTTGGAAAATGAAATTCTGGTTCACTTGACCCAAGGGATTGGGTCACTTGAATTCCGTGTGTATATACGCTCAGTAAAACACGTCAATATACTTGGTTCAAAAACAAAACTGAATCTTTCTCATGCTGGAGCCTGAAGAACCAATATTCTACTCAATAATGCACTGATTTTTGATGTAATAGTTCTAAAATTTCTTCTCTGCTTCCACTTCCTTTTCCTTTGTTTTTTTCTGTCTTTCTTCTTCCATTTTTGTCTTTTCATTAAATCCATGTTGTCTAATGAGGTTTGGAATTGAAATATCGATGTTTAACCCAGAATTATCCCCATTGGTTTCTGGAAATAGTCTTTATTTCAGCTGATGTACAAGGAACTGTTGACTTCATGGGTTTGTTCAAAACTGACACTTGCCTTGCCTGCCAACTCCTTGCAACTGCTCAAGCACTGTTAGCATAAAGAATGATTATTTTATATAAAATAATCAGAATATCTTTAACAGTCATAGGTCAATGACAGGAAAAATGGTAATTTTGGGGAATGGGGCTGGGGAAATCCAGCAATGATTTTTATTTTATTTTGTTTTAAAAAAAGTGTTAAAACTGAAAACATATTTTGCCAACCACCTCCTCCCTTGCCTTTTTGAAAGTCCATATGTTCTTTAGGGAAAAATTGAATTCAGCTTCATTTGAGTCTTTGCAAAATTTTAAAAGTGTTATTTGATGTGCAAGATTTCTAGGTCTTCAGAAATCAGACCTAAAGTCAATTGTTTGGATGAAATTCAAACTGCATTTTCTCAACACTTTGAAAAAAATTTGAGTAAGATTCAGAAGTTCAATCTTTTTCTACTGCTAGTTGGCAGCAGATTGACACACTGGGAGAGTGTATTTACACATTGCTTATTTTCTGGTAGATGTTAGGAGGTCATAAATTTTGTTCATAACCATTTTTATTCAGTATTTAATAAACAAGTTTTGCTTTGAACCAGCAGTGGCATGTTGTAGCTTTTGTGATTCCTCTTTCTCACGGGTGGAGTGGGTTCATTTTCTTAGTAGGAAAATACATTGCTCTATGTATGTTAAGCAACTTTGAGAGAAAATAGCCAATTGAAGGTTGTCAAGTAGAAATGAGCCTCGGAAAATCTATTTATACTTGTTTTGAATTCGGCAAGAACCTGATTATCTCAGTGGCTGAGTCCAAATTAGGATCCAGTTGAACAGGATAAGGCAAGTTTGCTGAACAGGAGGATGGGGGATGTTGGAATCTAATCCTTTCCCTTTTCACTATCTTACTGTGTGACCCTCATGAAGGCATTTCTTTTTTCCTCCTTGGGCCAGAGTTCTCTCATTTGAAACAGAAGAAAATAGACCATAGCAGTGTTTTCAAGCTGAGTTCTTCAGAGCCCTGTGGTTCCAAAAATTGCTGTCTCCAGAGTTCCCCGGCTTTTATAGGTTTTATATGTAAAAGGTTTGCACACACACAAAAAAACTTAGATTAAAACGATTTGGTGACTACAAAGAAAGATAGAACAACCTTTAATAAACTGTACTGTTTTAGATTTAAAAAATTTTTTTTAACTTATATAATTACTAATTCTCATCATGGGTTTTAAATGACCTAAAGGAAATAATACCTGGACTTGAGCTTTGGAAATAGAAGTTTGATTTTACTTGTTGACACTGATCTGTTACATCCCAGGGATACTGGCCTTAAGTTGCTCCTCTGCTGTTTAAAACATACTGCTGGGTTTTAAAAGTGGCCTATACAATAAGCATCTTGGTAAAATCAGGTGGCAATATCTCCTACAGCTGAAAATGTGAATAATTTAGGACTAGTAATTCCACACTTAGATAAATGCCCAACAGAAATGCATATATATGTACATCAAAAGATATACACAAGAATGTTTATAGCAGCATTATTTGTAATAACTCTCAATTGGATAATACCTACATTGCCACCAAGAGTAGAATGAATAAATAAATTTGTGTTGCATTCTCACCATGGAAAATTATTCAGCAATGAGGATGTTGGATCTGCAACTACCCACAGCAAAGAGAAAAGAATACATCCTTATGAATTTAGAAAATGCAAAATCAGGAAAAACTAGTCTATATTATTGGAAGTCACGATTATGGATACTGCTGTGGGAGGAGATGAAAAAGTGGGAAAGGTTAATGAATGGGGGCTTCTGGGATGCACATAACGTACTGTTTCTCAACCTGGTGCTGGCAACATGTGTGGTCAGTTTTTGGAAATATATTAAGCTGTACAAATGTGATGTGCACCTTTCTGTATGCAGATTATATTTATTAAAATTTAAAAAATTCCTCTAGATTGTCTACTAAAGTCTGCTTCCCAAAATTAGTTAATTCAAAAGAAAATATTGTTATCAGTCTTGATAGTACTTTATTTTTATATCATGGGCAAAAGGGCATGAGTTAAATATTAAGGTATTAAATTGAAATAATATTGGGCTAAAGGTGTTTACCTAATCATGTAAATGATTACCTGCCACCTTTGGTCACAGTGTTTCAGCCAGTTGTAAGCTTGGAAGGTGCTGGCTGATACTCTTACATCACTTGATATATTTTCCTTTCTTCTTATTGACTGTTTAGAACTCAACTCCTAGAGTTTTCTGTTTCTCCTCATGAAGGATAAACTGCTACAGAAATTTCCCTCATGCCATAACCAGATGTAACTGAGAAAAGTATATGAACTAATAATTGCCAGGCATTGGACAATAGGCAATACAAGACTGTGATGCATAGGAGAAGGGAAATAGAAATGGTAAGCCCTATGATTGTCTCAGTTTACTCTTTAAAAGGAAAAATTGAAACAGGATCAGTGGCCTTACTGAGTTGAGGAGACAAAGGTTGTTGTTCAGAGTTAAAGAGGTAGCTAGAATTTGAGGGGCAGAGTACTGGAGAGGAGGGAGGGAGGGTAGGGTGTAGAGAGAAAGAGAGAGAGAACCTGAGACCTACAAAGTGGCTCCTCTAGTTTGACTGAGTACTAATATGTGCATGTGTGGGAGGAAAATGCCTGAGGAAAAAAAAAAATGAACCACTGGAAACTGATTGGCTGAAAAATTTCTGAAAGTCATACGGGGTTGAGAGTAATTTGTATTTCCACAAGTCATAACTTATTATTCTAGGGCATGTGGTAGAGTCTTCAGAAAGGTCATACCTTAATAGTGTAGTTAAGTTAGCCCCAGAATAAAGGCTGGTCTGGACCTGACATAACAAAACTTAAAGGCAAGTATTGTATGATTAAATTTCCTCTTCAAGTTACTTAGGTTGGGTGCTGTGGTAGGTTGAATAAAGGCTCCCAAATGTATCCATGTCCTGATCTTTAGAAACTGAATATTACTTTATGTTAAAAAAGAGACTTTGAAGATGTGATTATGTAAAGGAATGTGAGATAGGAAAATTATTCTGGATTATTTGGGTGATGCCTAAGAGGAATATTTTACTGTAGAAGAGGAGAAGGCAACATACTGATGAAGTAGAGATTGTACTGATGTGGCCACAAGCCAAGGAATTCTGGCAGCCATCAGAGGCTAGAAGAGGTAAGGAATGAACTCTCATCTGGTTTCTCCAGAAGGAACCAGGCTTGCTGACATCTTGACTTTAGCCTTGTAAGACTTATTTTGAACTTTGACCTCCAGGACCATGAAATAATAACATTTTATTGTTTTAACCATAAAATTTGTGGTGATTTGATATAGCACCAATAGAAAACTAATACAAAGACCAAAAGAAAATTCAGCAGTGTTTAAAGGAATAGTAATTAAAAAAAAAACCCAGAACTCAACGATGTAAGTCACAATGTCTAGCATCCAATTAAAAATTACTAGGTATAAAGAAACGTAAATATATGACCAATAGCCAGGAAAAAGTAAATCAATCAATAGAACATATCCCCCAAATCAGGGGATGATGAAATTAGTAGACAACAGCCATTATAAATCTTCTAAATATGTTCAATAATATAAAATTTTTGAAAGCTTGAATATGGTGAGGAGTAAAAGAGAGAAAATAGACACAAATGGAACTTTTAGAGATCAAAAATATATCTATAATGAAATACTCACTAGATGGGACAAACAGCAGATTAGATATTACAGAAGAAAATATCAGTGAATTTGAAGACATGAAAATAGAAACTACCTAAATTGAAGCAGAATGAGAAAAATGGGGAAAAAAGCTGTCCCACAGTGAGCTGTGGAAAAATATCAGGCAAATTAACGTACATGTAATTGGAGTCTCAGAAGAAAAGGAGGTCAGAAAAAATATTTGCAGAAATAGCAAAACGTTTTCCAAATTTGATTAAAACTATAAACCCATAGATCCAAGAAGCTCAAAAAACCCCAAGCAGAAAAAATATACTAAGAACCACACCAAGTTATATCAAAATGAAACTGCAGAAAATCATCAAGAAAGAGAAGAATCTTAAAGGCAGATAAGAAAAGATGACATATTACACCCAGAAGGACAAAGATAGGAATGACAGAACACTTCTTGTCAGAAATCATGCAGTGCTGAAAGAAAAAACTGTCAACTAGAATTCTATGCTTAGTGATAGCATCTTGAAAAATGAAGGCAAAATAATGACTATTTTCTGAACCTCAAAACCTGAGAAATAATTTATCACCAGCAGATCTGCACTATAAGAAATGTTAAAGAAATTCCTCAGGCAGAAGAAGAATGAATACAAATTGAAGTCTGTATCTACAGGAAGGAATAAAGAGTGCCAGAAATGGCAAATATGTGGGTAAATAGAAAATATCTTTTTTTGTTCTAGAATCTTTTAAAAAGATAATTAGCTATTTAAGAGAAACAAACAACCAACCAACCAAATTCCAACTTGAGCTACTTGGACATACATTATGAACACATTTCTGCAAAAGAAGGTGTTCCGGCTACCTTGGTTGAGAAGATGGATCCAGCTTGGTTAAGTACTGTGTAGAGCTGCTGTGTGAATTGCATGTGAGGAAATTAGCTCCTGTGCTTCCCAGATCCTCTGGATATTGGTGCCACACAATGGAGCCATCAGTGCCCAGAATATCTGGGCCAGGCTTCTCACTAAAAAGCTACTATCTATTACTGTTCAGTCTTGTTTCTGGACAAACAGTGTCCAGGGGGCATGGCTGGGACCCTATCTGTGGCAGGCATGGAGATGGTCATCAGGTTGAGAGAGAATAACGAGAAGTGATGCCCCAGTGGAGACCAGGCCTTTGTAGCTTGTCTAAAATGAAGTCACCAAAAGCCACACATGGCCAAGGCAGAGAGGAGCTGATAAGAGAAAAGGTTCAAAATACTTGTTAAATATTGAGAGGGCTTGGAATTAGTTCTGTTTGGAAGAGTAGGTAGCTATGGTGACTTTTTATTTGGTTTCTGTGGTTGCAACTTGGTGTCAGGAGAATTTAAAAGTATACCTTCTATTCTACAAAATGTAAATTAATTTATGGTGATGGAAAGAAAATCAGTGGTTGCCTGGGGATGGTAGTAGGTGGGCAGGGAAGGATCAGAGCAAGTCACTTCAAAGAGGTATGAGAAAACTAATTTTGGGGGAATAGACATGTTCATTATTATCCTGATTGTGGTGATCATTTCACAGATGTATACTGATATCAATACTTATCAAGTTGTATACTTTAAACATATGCAGTTTGTTGTTATTAATTATATCCCAATAAAGCTGTTTGCTTTCTTATTCAATTTTACTGAAGTAATTAATATTCTATCCCAGAGTTGGCTGTTTATGCTTTCATTTCATCTTCATGCAGGGTCCACTGTTCTGGAATTACACTTGGTATCATACTGAAAGTTGCAAGCATTCCAGATGGTGTAACTGACATGAGAGACAAATCAGTCATTCAATTTAGGGATGCCAGTGAGTTCCAAAAGGTGAGGGGAAGTTTGTTTTTCATTGCTTACATGTGGAAAGGCAGCATCTCAAGTCCAATTTTCTGGTCAGGTCTCTATCCAGAACTCTTTGGGTACTCACATCCTCATGTTCTCAGCATCCAGCTGGCCAGATCTCACCTCCCAGTCTCTACTCTTCATTGACCTAGAATGATATATGCAAATCACATGCAAATGAAGAACATTTACACATTTCATTATTTACCAGTTGAAGATGGAGCTGTTTAATTTTTGTTTGTTTGTTTTTTGTTTTTTGTTTGAGGCCGGATCTGTCTCTGTTGCACAGGCTGGAGGGTAGTGGTGCAATCTTGGCTCACTGTAACCTCTGCCTCCCAGGCTCAAGCTATCCTCCCACTTCAGCCTCCCTAGTATCTGGGACTACAGGCATGCACCACCATGTCAGGCTAATATATATTTATATATATATTTTTGTGTTTTTTTGTAGAGACGGGGTTTTGCCATGTTTCACAGGCTGATTTCGAACCCCTGAGCTCAATCAGTCTGCCCGCCTCTGCTTCCCAAAGTGCTGGGATTACAGGCATAAGCCACCATGCCTAGTCCTGTTTAATTTTTGACAAGACATTGCAATAATACACAATTTCCGAGTTGAACTTAAAATTCATTTGCCAGAATAATATCTTATTATTCAAGCATTCATTCTAACAAGGATAGGGTTTTTTTTTCTTTTTAATCCATATTGCTTAGTCCCTGCAGAATGTGAAACATTGAAAAAAGGTGGGGGCTTTTAAATCAGATAGGCTAAATTCAAATCTTTCACAGGCAAAATCTGTAATGGGGCATAAACTATTGAAATTTTCTTCCCTGTAATTTCCTTAAGTGTGAAATTAGATAATGATAGCTTTCTTGTAGGTGTTTTTGTTTGTTTTTGGTGAAGATTAGAGATGATATGTGTAAAGTGTCCAGCACAATGTCTGAATGGACGCAATAAACAATAGTGGACTGTTTGTAAACACAAGCACATTTCATGGCTTTTTGAAAATCAATTTCTAAAGGTAAAATTAGACTAGGAAATTTGATTCCTGTTTTTCCTCCTGCCCCCCACTCATTCCTAAATTCATACCTATTACAATTTCCTTAATTCTTTGTTGCTTGATGAGTGAAACATTAGTTTTAGCTTTCCTGAAGTTAGATTTTTCAGAGGGCGAATTCTTCCTCTGTTCTCCTCCTCCACTCCAAAGGTCTCATTTTCTTTTCCTTTGTTTCCAAGCTAAGACAAAAATCTTGGCTATGGGAAGTATTTATTGGGTGCCATTTAGACAAATATAAGAATGTGATTGAATACTCTCCATGACTGTCGGTTGAAACTAAACACGGAGTTGCCATGGATACTGGTTGCTTGGCCTCTGCTCCAACACATTAGAGCCTTTTTAGTTCAACAATGTGCAAACCACAGATGTTGCCATGCATTGTATTCATAATCAGCTTGGATCTCTTAGCAGAAGAATATCTTGAGTTTGTTTTAGCAGACAGGATCCACATTCTCAGATGGAAAACAAAATGCCCTGTGCCCTGCATGGTGTCTCCAGGTATAGGTGGCAACTTCTGCAGGCAGTTTTCATCTCTCCCTCTGCTTCATTTAACCTAGATATTCTTGTTTTGATATTTATTTGGAAGAAGAATCTCTATTGCACATTTTATAAAACACTACTAGGGCATCTGCTAGAACAATTATACATAGCTTTGGGTACAGAATTTAAAAGAAAGCATATTCAAAGAAGAAAGACTGCAAGAAAATCCCAGGTTCCATTTGAGAGCTGGAGTGGAGTCACAGCAGAGAGATCCCAGGTTGACACAGAAAGTTCTGTCTTTGCCACTCATTAGCTGTGTGTCCTTGGGCAAATTAAACAGCGTAAGCCATCGTTTCTTCATTCTACTGGCTCTTCTACTGGTAAGAACCCTTGCAATTACATTGAGCCCACCTGGATAATACAAGGTAATCTCTCTAAGGCTAGTTGATTAGCAAGTTTAATTCCATCTACAATGGTAATTCCTCTTTGCCATGTAACATACTCACATCTTCTGGGGATCTAAAGATGTATATGGACACCTCTCGGAGGGAAGAATTACTCTACAGTGCAAAGATGCAAAAGAAGTTTTGCTTTTTCTTGCTGCCCACAAATGCCTATATCTTGTTCATTAGTTCCTTTCCCACTGTTAGCAAAAGGGGCAATTCTAATGACCTATTTTAGATTTTCTCAGTCTCTTTTGATAAATGTTCAGTTGAATCCCACCCAGGGCTTTTTCTTCCTTCAGAGATTGATTCGTTTCTTTTCTTACTCTTGTTTGGTATCTGAGCATTTAAAAGCTTGAGTGATTTCATGATGGCATGGGCATGAGAACAGTTGTATGCCTCTCAGGGAGGCAGTGCTGAAGGATGTTGAAGAGCCCTTTCTTCTACCCTTTCTCTGTGCAAACACTCAACCCTGCTATATTTATTCTGCCCAGGCTGCCTAGCCTTACTGCAACTGTGAAGCGTTCTTCTCTCTTCTAATGCATACAATGTGTTAAAATAAATTCATACTATTAAGCATCAACCTGTAAAAAATGCTTCCAGAAATAATATGGTCTTATCAGGAAGACATTGAACCTAGAAATATTTTTTGCAAGAAATATTTTCCTTGCTCACTGCCATCCAGTTAGAGCTTGATGCCTAGAGTCCACAATTATAATCTTTTTTCCTTAAGCCTTCTCTAAAACACTGGATATTTCATGGATAAAACAATGATAAGATTTTTTGCCTTGTTGCTGCAGTAGAAAATTATGGAAAACTGGACAGGAAAAATTGCTTATTCTCCTAAATTTTTACAGGAAAAATTGCTTATTCTCCTAAATAAATATTTGAGGTTATTATAAAGAGAAGGGATATCTAATTCTTTCATCGAACTTAAGTGATCACAAACCTACTGGAAACAATATAACCCAAACATCTCTTTCCACACATTTTTGGTTGTCAAGAACAATTATAAGTAAGGGAGTTGCCTCAGTAGTATCGTGGAGCAATCTTATTTGATTTTTATTCCCTGTTTAGCTGCTTCGCTGTGAACAAGGCATCATTTATTGTTAGCTATAGGCATAACTCACTGTTGGAGGAGAGGTGAACATGAATATATTTGTAAGCCAGCCCTGGGTAAAATATGTGGTGAACAAAGCTTTCTGATTAGTGGCTCAGGTTCTTCTCTGGTCCCCACCAAGTGAAGAGACAATGGTAACATTTGAAGAAGAAAATGTTATTGTTGATTTCAGCACTGGGACAAAGAGGCAGTGATGGTGGTGGAGGTAGAGAGGGGAGGATGAAAACTAACCTTTCCTGAAGCATAATAGTATGATGTGTTAGGCTCTCTCACAAGTAGGCTTAGTTTATCCTCCCTACAACTCGGTGACGGTAGTAGTGCTATTATGGACATGGTGATAGTGACTGGCTGTTTCTCTTTTTTATACACCCAACATTCATTCCCTCGCAAGTTCTTATGATTTCTGTGCATTTCTAAATACACCCCTATAGTCAAAGTCACTATCAACTCTCACCTGGACCCCTGTGACAACTCTTCTAACAGCTCTCTCTGTCCCTCTGCTTCTATTCTTTACCCTTTCAATTTATTTACACATATTTAGAGACATTAGTTATATCATATCATGCCTTTAATTAAATTCCCCCAATGTCTTTTTAGAGAACTAAGAATAAAATATAACTCATCAGTCAGGAGAAGTTAAGTTCTTTAAAAACGTTTATCTTTCTCTTATGCTGCACATCAATTGTGGGTCTACTTGGGGGCTCTGGTCATCATTGACACTAAGGGACCTCGACTGATGGAGGCTCCATTTTGGCCTGTACTGCTGTGATCACTGAGGCAAAGCAAATAGATGAGGTGAATTCCATGCTGGCTATTTGAAAGCTTCTGCCTGGAAGTGACTCATTTCTTTGGTATCTCAACTTTGATTGGTCGAAGCAAGTAACATGACCTCACTTGCATTCAGCTGGGTACAGACAGCTATCATGTCACATTTCACTGAAAGAGAGAACTAAAAAATTGTGGACGGTCTCAATGACCACCACAGATACCCATTATCATAATTGACATGGTTTGGTTTTGCTTTGGTGCTCTCCATTTTTTGGATTTCAGCTCCTTTCATCATCCTTGCGATTATGGGTTGAGGTATTTTCACTAGCTGTTCCCTCTGCCTGGAATGCTCTTTCCTGCAGTTCTTGGCTTGACTAGCCAGACACAAAAGGCTATGTATTGTAGGAGTCCACCCATGTGAAATGTCCTGAAAAGGCAAATTTGTAGAAACAGAAAATACATGAATAGTTGCCAGGAATTGAGGTTAGGAGAGAATATGGAATGACTGCTAATGGGCACAAGGTTTCATTTTGGTATAATGACAAGGTTTTGGGATTAGACAGTGGTGATGGTTGCACAATTCATGAAAATACTAAAAACCACGGAATTGTACATTTTTTAAGGGTGAGTTCTTTTTAAGGTCCAGTGAATACTTTTATTGTATGCTTGGGAATTACAATGATCAAATCAAACAATGTGAAATTGTGTGCTCCTTTTGGTCTTTTCATTAAAAGGACTTGAAAAAATAATGATGCATCAGCACTTGTGTTATATATAATACAAATATTAAAAGTCCATTCAATGAGTTTGTAAATTAAAGCCAGAAGATGCTTACTTTACATTTTTAATAACCCCCACACATCTAATACCTCAAACCAAAACTAATTTGCAACAATGAAAATGGAATGTTTTCCTATCTAAACATGAAGAGTAATAATCATGCTATATTGGCATCCAGGTGAGATCTTTCCCTTATAAGGTGTCTGAAATAAGCACTTTTTTTTCTTTTCTTTTTTTTTTTTTTTAAGACAGAGGTTTGCTCTTGTTGCCCATGCTGCTCACTGCAACCTCCGCCCCACAGGTTCAAGTGATTCTCCTGCCTCAGCCTCCTGAGTAGCTGGGATTCCAGGCGCCTGCTACCATGCCCAGCTAATTTTTTGTATTTTCAGTAGAGATGGGGTTTTTCCAAGTTGGGCAGGCTGGTCTCAAACTCCTGACCTCAGGTGATCCACCTGCCTCGGCCTCCCAAAGTGCTGGGATTACAGGGGTGAGCCACCATGCCCAGCCATAAGTACTTTTTATTATGAAACTGTTGGCAGTGTTTGAATGAGTCTGGTGGGTTTCTATGTTCATGATTTTTACTTTTCCAAATTGTCATGAGGTCCCCTTCTGCTTGTCTCTAACCTCAGCCCCTATCAAGTATCCCTTCCTGCTCTGTGCTCCTGCGACCCTAGACTGTCAGTCCCTTTGACCTCCCAGCAGGTCTCTTGGGCAAGCCTTTTCAGAAGACTTTGCCTCCAGGCCCCTCATGACATGCAACTTCTTGTCTTTCAAAATCTAGTCCCCATGTCACCTCCTCAGTGAGGTCTTCGAAACTATACACAGTAATTGTTGTCCTCCCCTACCTCTGCTTCCTTGTCTCATTTTTTTTTCTTTCTTTCTTTATACCACGTATCACCATCTGCAGTGATCTTGCTCATTAGTTCATGGACTGATTTTCCATCTGCTCTCAACAGAATGTTTCAGAAGGCCAGAAGTTTTGCCTTTCTTACTCCTGTATCTCTGGAAGCTTGAACTCCATCCAGCACTTCAGAGGTCTCGATAGATGTCTGTGGATAAAGTTATTGAATAAGTACACTTAACAGCATACACTTTGTAAAATAGTTAGATAGACATGGGTTCAATCTCCAACTCTACCACTTATTAAGATGAGACCCTCACCTTTAGCCAATAACTTTACTTCTCTGTGACGCTTTCCTATATTTAAAAAGGGCATGAGAACAGTGCTATTGTGCAATTTAAAAGCAACAGTGACTATAAAGTAGTTGGTAGTGCACCTATCAAATAGTGAGCCTTCAATAAATGTTATCTATATGGAAAATCATATTATTAGTTTTACATCATTTCCTTATAACTCTTAGCTCTGACTAATGGGACAACTTGCTCAGCTTTGTAAACAGCCTAGATCATATATAATGTATAATTTTGCCACATGTCTATTTGGAGCTTAGAAATGTAATTAGAAAGTTACCTTTTTAATATTCCCTCAAGTTAGAAACAGTTTTGCTTTAGTTCAAGTAGAGTTATTCAATTTGATTTCTATTTTGATTAAATCAAAAACATATTAAGAATGCTAGATATACATGCTTACTAATTGGCTTCATCAAAGGTTTTTTTAACACCTAAAATTTTTCAGCTTGAAATAACTCTAAGTTCAGACCCATGCCAAGATAGTGATAAATACCTTTTAACATATGGATGTCTAGTTGTACATATTTTTAATACTCAAAACATTCCTTGGAAGGAATTATGAGATGCGAGATATTTTGAAGGAAATAGAAATTAACATTAGCACTTGTATTAATCATTTCCCTCTAAATAAATAATAGATAGGTGGTAATATATGCCCAAAGAAGAGCCAAGTCATTGTGAATCAATGGAAGAAAATGGAAGAGAGGAAAAGTGACACCTGAGTACTCAGGGGATATGTCTGGATAGAAACATTCAAGTACAGCATTACAAAGACCTAGAAGATGCTCAGAGAAGAATAGACAGGGAATCAGAGGACTTGAATCTAGCTCAATTTGGCCACTAGCTGGCTTGTGATCTTGAGCAGCTCTAAATAACCTCGCTGCCATAGTTTTTCTATATATTAAGTAGGTTTAATTCCATCTACTTTGTCTTCTTCACAGGGTTGTGATGATAAAGTAAAATAACAATTGAAGAATTTGGGAAAAGAAAGTCCACTCTATGGACACAAAATGCATCTACTACATGTTGTAATATGTATTTGGAATAAAAGTAACATTTATTGATTCAGTGTTGATTTATGCTAATTGAATCTCTATACAATCCTGAGAGAGGTATCCCCTTTTATGGATGGCAAAACTGAGGCTGAGGAAGGAAAAGCAATTGTAGCAGCTACTAAAAGGCTGAGTCAGGATTCAAGCCTTTAGGCCTGATATGGTTTGGCTGTGTCCACACCCAAATCTCATCTTGAATTGTAGCTCTCATAATCCCCACATGTCATGGGAGGGACCCTGTGGGAGGTCATTGAATCATGGGGATGGATTTTCCCGTGCTGTTCTCATGATAGTGAATAAGCCTCACAAGATCTGATGGTTTTATAAAGGGCAGTTCCCCTGCACATGCTCTCTTGCCTGCCACCATGTAAAACGTGCCTTGCTCCTCCTTTGCCTTCTGCCATGATTGTGAGCCCTCCCTAGCCATGTGGAACTGTACGTCCATTAAACCTCTTTTTCTTTATAATTTACCCAGTCTCAGGTATTTCTTCATAACAGTATGAATGGACTAATACAAGGTCTGTCTGATCTTAAGATCCATGCAACTTTCCAAGACATCAGTCTCATAAAATAAAACAGTGATGGAGTGGAGCTGTTACCATCTGTATCAGAGTGCCAATGCTTCCTGGGTGGGCACCACTGCTGTATTCTGAGGGAGTATTTTAAGGAAAATGTACATCTCATTATGAATTTATTTTTCACACATATTAAAAAATTAGAATCAATAATTTAAAACTTCTTTTTTTTACAGTTTAATAAAATCACCTTATAGTTTTCTTATGGCTCATACCGAGAATGAGCATATCTACCAAGGGCAGATATTATTTCACTCCATTTATTTCTAAACCCTTTCTAATGCTGCCTAGAATTTGCCAATCTTTTGGGGCTTTGTTGATTATTGGATTTTTTTGTTTTTACATGAAGACATATATATCCTCAATTTCTCATGTGTTGTTTTTGTATCTGTTCCTTGATCTTCCTTCCCTAAGTTACTTCATGAATCTGAGTTTTGATTCTGCTTTGTACTTGGGTAAAGAATGCGGTAGTGAGTGACAGTACCCCTCAGGCAAGGAAGTCCTACTTCACCTTGCAGTGAGTGAATGTTAAGAATGCATTTACAAGGTCACACAAAAATGTGAATTTGGGAAATTCTAGAAAGCAGACATGGGGAAACATATTCTTAGCAGAACACTAAGGGAAAGGAGAGATGCTGGAGATGTACCCAGCCAAAGGGGCCTCACAATGGGAGATAACACTTAACATTCAGAGATTACAAACCTATTGGGCCAATAATAGAATTTATTACCTCTTTCCTAATCATAATGAATGCAAAAATAAATATGAATCAGCAAGGTAGTATGTGTGCAAAGGCCAGTGAGAAGTGGGCTAGGAAGTATAAGGTTTAGAGATATAATAGAAAACATCCTGTATTTAGAATCGAAAGGCTGGGTTTAAGTCTTTGTTGTAGCCTGTGATCCTGCCTGTGATTTTGGAGAAACTTAATTTCTCCAAGTTCTCCTTTGTAAAATGGGGATAATAATAACTCTCCTTTATTTAATATTTACTAAATGCCAGGTACTGTGCAGAGTTCTCACAATAACCCTATGAATTCAGTATTATTATCTCCATTTTACAGATGGAGAAACTGAGGCTCAGAGAGGTGAAGTAACTTACTTCAAGGTAATCAGTTAATAGCTAGCTGAGCAAAGATCCTAGTCCAGCTTTTATTTTGAAACTTTATACTTTACTGTTCTATCCTGCCCAGAGAGTTGAAGGAAAACAATATTTATAATTGTGTATGAAAAGTTTTCAGACATGAAATTCGAACTATTATTATTCACTCCATTGTCCAGTCTCATATGAATAAAAATGGTTAAAATATCAGGAAATAAAACACACAGCCAGTAATTTCCATTGTTGTTTTTAATGTCATCAGTTTACCAGGGAAGATAAAATCTCTAGGGTGGGGACTGATCTTTTTCTGATCGACATCATCTTTGGGTTAAGTCATTGGTGCTTGGAAAAATAGAAATCATAAATATTCATGGCTTAGGGAGCATCAGCATTTCCGGGGCAGCCAAGTTCATACAGCACAGCAATAGCTTCCTGATGGAAGGATGGGATCCAACTTCTGCTCCAGTGGGTGGTGAAGCCACCAGAGTGTGCAAGGCATGGACAGTAGCATTGTTACCCACGTACCTCCTCTACACCCTCCTGTGTGAGGTGTAGACCAGCAGAGGAGACACCAGGCCTTGTATTCACAGAGGAAAAGGGAGACTGATTTTATTTCTCATCACTCTCTTCTCCTGTCATGTTGATTCACAAGGTTCTTTTCTGATTTGCTATTTCTTTCAGCCCTGAGTCCAAAGCTTAAAGCAATTTACATGCAAGTAAGCCAGCTGGATAGGACAGACCTGGCATCACGTACTAGATGCACAATTCTTGAAAATGCACGAATGTTACCTGAGCCCTGGTTTTCTCATCTGCACTATGGGCATGATAACATCTTCCCAGGTGCTTGGGAGGATTTGGTGAAACAAAATGTGAAAAGGGTCTGGCATGTAGGCCACACCCAATAGTCACCAGCGACAGCTGCCATTTTTGGCTGCTTGGCATCTATCTTTCTATTTTGGGAAACATCCCACCTGCCCCATCTCCATTCTTAAAAACTAGAGTAAAAACCATACATCCTTCCACTACCCGTTAGCAAGAGTTTGCACAGATAACCTAGGCTGAGCCAATCTGATGCCTCCATTCAGGACTGCGAATTGGAAACAAGTTCCGCAAAGACCAGGAGAGTTTGGGAGACATCCAAAGTGGGATGGTGGTGTCTGTAATGGGTGTCTGTAATGGTTAGAATTCTTGCTAACAAAATGGTCATCGTCATTTGTGTTCTTGGCCCTGCGCAGGCCCCTCCTTTCCTGCCGCTTTTGAAGTCTGTTTTTTTTTTCTTTTTTAAAAAAAAGCCTGTTAAGGATTCTGTGTTCCCTTGCTAAACTTCTAATACCTATTTTTCCTTTGAAGATAGCCAATTGTTTTCTGTTACTTGCAGCCAAGAATACTGATAAACACACTCTACGCTCAGTAGTGTTATATACATACCAACTGCACCTCAACTAATGGGGATATTTAATGAATCAAAATTGCCTTTTCTCCACCCTGTAGTCTGTTTTATTTTGGAAAAATTTTGACCAATGACATAAAGATTTTATTCCACTGTTTTATTTAATTATAACTATTCTTTTTTTTTTTTTTTTGAGGCAGAGTCTCCCTCTGTCACCAGGCTGTAGTGCAGTGGTGCGATCTCTGCTTACTGCAACCTCCACCTCCCAGGTTGAAGCGATTCTCCTGCCTCAGCCTCCCAGGTAGCTGGGACTACAGGCGAGTGCCACCACACCCAGCTAACTTTAAATGAGCTACCAACAGGAAAATCTTGGTTTGAGTATCCATTCAGTTGCATTTCTCTTCTCTTGACAGTAATAACTGTGAGCATTTGCATTTTGCTTGGTATTTTCCAGCATGTTTGGAAATACACTGCTAAGGCTGATACTTAATTCTATGAGATGAGTATTCTCCTGATTATCCCAATTTTAGAGATGCGGTTCCTGAGCTCCGGTGACTGGCACAGGGTCATGCAGTTTGTGGTGGAGCCAGGACTCAAGCCCAGGTTTCCTGATGACAAGCCCCAACTCTTCTAGTAATATTATATTTTTAATGACAGCTATGAGACTTTGCAAAACTAAGACCATAGCCTGAAATTTAATTTAATCAGGGGTGCTCATTCTGCTCAGCAAGCTGGTTCATAGTCAAGGAAAACCATCTACCCAGGAGTGTGTGTCTAAGGCATTGTGGAGATTGTGCTCAGATAACCTAAGATTGGAGTGTGGATGCCGTCCTTGTCCTACACTGCATGCCTCTTGTCAGTGTAGACAAAATGAATTAGACTGGTGAAATGCTTGCTAAAACTAATAGTTGACTGATGGCTGCCTCTCCCCTCCCCCAACCATTAACCCTGCCTACGGGAATTTGCTCATGGAGCTACAAATGAGTGACTGGCAGGCTGGGGAATAAAATGGAGACATCCACAGAACTGGGCATCACTAGGTAATTTTTCTCATCATGACATGACTTGTGACAGGTGCAGGGTGGATGTGTTTTTATCTCAGTAATTTCCTGGTGACATTCTGCTCTGCAGAGGGAAAATGCCTGAAGTACACACTGCTGTGGCATGCATACAGGGTTGCTGAACCAGGTTAACTGTTTCCTAAGATTTCTGTATCAGGGTACCTGCTGTTTGAGTTGATCTGGGAAGAAATCCCTAGCGATGCTCTCGTTAATTCCAGCTAATCATTCTTCAGCAGGAGTACCGAAGGCAGGCTTGTTCCCTTGGTGGGACTTAGATCTTTAAATGCTTGTGACTTTAAGTACTAATGAGCTAAAGGAAAGCTGCCCTACACAGTTTAACCTACTGCTTCTTAAATGACAATCCTCGGGGTCTTTCCTTCACATTCAATCTCTGATAAGCTATTTTATAATTTCCTGATGACAGTTAAATTGAGTCTCCTCATTGGCACAGTTACCCAATTTGCTTCTGACAATTCTGCCTTAAGAAACTTTTGATGAGGACATTGCAAGGTGGCACCTCCAGCAATCCCCATGGTGGGACATCATGAAAATGAAATAGCTGGTTTTTAAAACAAAAAGGAAAGAAATAGGGGAAATCATTTTTTTTTTAAAGCTTGTCTCTAAATGCAGGGATGGTTTCCCAGAATTCTATATGGTTAATGAAAAGTCAGACAGCAGATGACATTTACCCTGCTAAATGTTGATGATTAAGAAGGAAAAGGTTATATCCTGCTTTTTTTTTTTTTTTTTTTCCACTTCTGGAGCTTCTGCACAAGGGGGTCAACTGGAATGTCTGCATAAAAGGAATTGCCTGTTTGCGAACAACCGCAGACCAACTCCAGTATTGTTACAATTGCTGTTGATGATGGTAATTACTTTGTGTCCCCCCCTGGGGATTCAGCCTCCCAGTCCCCGATAGCCAGCTCCCTCCTGGACACATGCCAGCAGCCCGTAATTAAAGTGTTTTCTGAAGGGAGCATCTCTGTGTACTACCCATTGTGAATGATGTCCTTGGAGTCTGGCTGTAGTAATTGAAAAGAAATGAGACCTTTCCAGTTTGTCCCTCTTTCTGCAGCCCCTGCCCCGCCCCTTTCCCAAGACAAAAACACTGTGAAATGCCACACAAGAAGGAAGGATTCATTTTTGTGAATTTGAAAGCTGAAGCACAATACACTCCCATCCCCCACCCCGAGGAGCTGATGTTTCAAGTGTAACCTTCCTATTACAATTATTCTTGCATGATTAAATAGAGACTGTCCTCCTATTATGCTCTTTGTTGATAGATTAAATGTTCCAATGAGACATTAGACTGTGTTGTAATGAAGCATTTCTGGAGAGTCAAATTGTAAATTAGGTACGTCTTTGAGGATTACCTTCAATGAAATTTGATTATGTGACTGTTAATTCTAAATAAACATTATCAACATTTTCATATATATAATCTCATTTGATCTTGATAATAATTTTATAGGGTAGTTAGCACTGGAATTGTAAATCCAGTATTTTAATTCTGAGAAAACTTCAACTCAGAGAAGTTAAATAGCTTTCTCTAAATCCTCCAGTTAGTAAATGGAAGTGAACCATGAATCCAGATTTCTTGATTTCCAAAGTGGGGTTCTTTTCATGGAATCATAAGATAATTTATAAAGACAATGTACAGAATGTATATGTTGATTTTCACAAAATTCTGCAAATGTATCTCCAAATGCTAAGGCAATAATATTGAAAAATTATAATGGTTTTCAGAAGAGAGAGGTTTGATTGAGTCGTGCTGTCTTCTACCAGTTGGCCCAAATGCACAGAGTGAGAACAATTATATTACCAAACTCCATTCTCAACAATGTAATTCATATACAAAACTTGGAAGGAAATTAAAGAGGCTTGTTGGCTTCTGTTCCACAACAAACATGGGAAAAGAGATCTGTGTTTGCTTAATGGAAACCTTAATTCAGATTTCTAATTGGGTATAATGAACAAAGGAGAATGTCCCAAATGCTTGAAAACTGTAAACAGTACAGTGTTCTCTTAATGATCAAATACTGATTATCTTAGTGAATCTAAATGACATGGGTCTGAGTGCTGCCCGGGAATGCATAATTCCTTTTTTTGTGTTTCCAGTAAACTCTGAGCTGTCTTGGTCAGGGAGCCTAGGGGTGGGGCACAGCCGGGTGGGTTCTTGCTAGCAGGCTGATAGAATTGCCCGCCATGAGGACAACCACTTTTCAAAGATTTATAATAAAGAAAAACCTGAAATACAACTTTGATTTAAGGATGTTGACTTTTAAAACTTATATAGAGAAAAAATGATAGTTTATGTTTAATGGTCTTCGGAGACTAAGCCACGAATTTTACAGATGCTGAAGATTGTTTTTGGAACCTATATGAGGGGTTGACCTTAGAGTTTATATTGATTTCTTTTAACTTCTTCAGCAGTTGCAAATGTTTGTCTAGCTTAATTTTGGGAAAAAAATTAATGCTGTTTGAAATCATATCAGGTTTGGTGAATTAAATAAGGGAGTGATTGAGGGGGCCAAGCCCACTTGGGGTCAAGATGAAGCATAACAATGTATGAAGAATCATTTTCTTGTGTGCTTTGTTTACTACTCCTGAGGAAAATTCTAGAGGAGACATTGGAAGTACTTTTGGTGGTGGAAGCATCATTGAAATAATGCCATTAGTAGATTTTTTTTAAATAGTTTTTTTCGGCCAGGCACGGTGGCCCACACCTGTAATCCCAGCACTTTGGGAGGCCGAGATGGGCGGGTCATCTGAGGTCAGGAGTTTGAGACCAGCCTCGCCAACATGATGAAACCCTGTCTCTACTTAAAATACAAAAAATTAGCTGGGTGTGGTGGTACGCACCTGTAATCCCAGATACTCAGGAGGCTGAGGCAGGAGAATCGCTTGAACCCAGGAAGCGGAGGTTGCAGTGAGCCGAGATCACGCTATTGCACTCCTGACTGGGGGACAAAAGCGAGACTTCGTCTCAAAAAAAAATAGTTTTTTTCTCATTATAAAATTTATATATATACTCATATATATGCATATCTATCTATCTATCTATCTATCTATCTATCTATCTATATACATATGTTCATTTTTGGGTAGAAAATTTAGAAAGTGTAGGTATGTGGAAAGAAGAAAACAATCACCAGGATTGTCAAGTAGCCACTACTCACCTAGTCTGTTCTCATTGTTTTCACAGATATACATATACATGTTAGAGAGGAAGTAGAATATCGTGTTTATGAGTTTAGGTGGAAGAGTTCAAATCCCAGCTTCACAACTTTCTAGCTTTGTGATTCTAGCCAAATTACTTAAACTCTCTAAACTTCTGTTTTCTCATCTATAAAATGGAGTTAAGAGTTGTACTAAACTTGCTGGGTTGTTGATCATTAATTTTTATGTATTTATTCATGCATTCAGCAAATGTTTATCAAGCACCCACTCTGTACCTGGCTCTGTTTTAATCCTAGGACCAAAACAGGAATAAAAACAGTAGGAGTCCTGAACTCAGTGGATGTACTAGAAAGGGGATGTGGACAAAAAACCTTATAAATAAATTGAAACATGTTATTACAGTGCTTGCACCAATCCTTGATTACCACTGGCAATGCCAGTAAGGCCGGAAAGTGCCTGCACATGCAGTGGCTTGCATTACAGGAGAAGAATCATGAGTTTAGGGAATTCTAATCTTTCATAATGGACAGGAAACCCGCCTGACCTTTGTTCTAGACAGAGACATTATTATCTTTATTATATAGGACAGCAAATACACCCACCTTTTATTATCTTCTGAGTAGTAAAATATCCTTGTATTTAAGTATAAATACATCCTTGAAAAGTAGTCCACAAAAAAAGGAAGATAGTGCCTCTGCTTGCAAGATGTGCAGAAATACAAGAGACTCATAGAAAATTGTCCCAAAACACATGTTTGAAATGAAAAGTTTTCGGCCCCATCTAGACCTATGGGGACTGAAACTCTGTGGGTGTGAAACTCTCAGCAATTTGTGTTTTATCAGGCATTGAAGTGATTTTAATGCAGCTAAAGTTGGAGGTCCACTGCCTGGGGAATGGACTAAGGTCTCACTAAGGAAGTTGGGTAGAAGTGGATGGCAGCTCAGTAGGGATCTCTCCTGGGGCAGTGTCAGCAGTAGACAGACCAGCATGTGCCTGGGTTCCTGATCACGGTAATGTCACAAGGCACAGAGGGTGTGGGTAGGACTTAGAGAGACAATATCAATTTATAAACATGAACTAACCTAGAAATCAAGATACCAGGTTTTAGCCATTACCTTAGCCTTGTGAACTTGAAAAAATAATCCCATTTTAAAGACTTACAATATTTTTTAAAAAGTTTGAACAGTCATCTAGTCCTGGGATACCAAATAGGGATTTTTCTCTTTGACAACTCCAATCCCCTGATATGCAGGCTTTTGAGGGATTTGCAGGTGTCTGCCATGGATGAGGGAGGGATGTGACTATACTCTTACAGTTAACATATTTAATCCATCCAAATGCCTTATTTTTCTTTAGGACAAGAAAGGACAAGCTGTCTATCATTTGTTAGTTGTTAGTTTTCTGTTCTCCATCTTTTTATCAGGGACCACTTCAGGACCAACTTTCTTTCATAAGTCTAATTTCTGTTATAACTTTGAACTGTTTGGGTGAGCTATCATTAAGGCTACTAAAAAAGTATAGGACATTTGGATTTTTAGGCTATGATTTTGTATTATAATTCAGTCCAGATCAACAAATTTTGAGGCAAAAGTCTTTGTCAGGTTACTTTCTCTGAAGTCTTGCTTGTTCCCAAACCAAATGGATTTCTTAGTGCATTTGCAATCAGCAATAACTAGAGAGAGGAAAAATAGGCATTTTGAAATAGTTTCCTGAATATCAGTTCAAAGGTTTGAGCAAGTTGGATATATTATTAATTGTCACATAAAGTCTTAAAACAGCTTTGGAACTCTTAGAATCTTATCTATTTTTACATTTTTAAATTAAACATTTTTAGTCAGCCAAGCACATCGGACAAAGTACAATTTTGATTCAAATTGAAGAAATTTCTTTAAGGTGAATCTTTAATTTTAAGTGGGGCTAACACTTCAAGTGAAATTAAACATTAGTAGATAATGATTTTGATCTGTTTCCAAGAAAAAATAATTTATAGCAACAGATTTGTTATGGTACTAATTAGTTATTGCACCAGTAATTGCAATATTTAGAAAGATGAGAAAAAAATACCAAATAGTAGTACAAGTAGTGCAGAGAACAAGAGAGAGGAGTAGATAGGAGAGAGGAAGAAGTATGGAGAGAAAAACGAAAGAGAGAGAGAGAGAGAGAAAGAGAGAATATTTGAAAAGGAGTTGTCAGCCTCTTCTGCCTTGACTCCACCCTTGCTAAAACTGTGTAATTTCCAAGGGGTGAGAAGCTACTTTTCAGTTTTAAGCTAATGCTTTCCCAGAAAATGTTTTCTTTGCTCCCTAAATTATTGATTGGGCTATTAAGGGTCTAAAATGAAACTTTAACTCATTGTTTTAATCTTCCCAGAGTGACCTCCTAGAACATACTGACTGAGTTGCTACACTGCCTAATTGAGAAATGTCTGAGAGCAGAAAGTAAACGCCCATAGACAGCAGTGGCCTGACCACTCAGCACCTCCTTTTGCACGCCTTACCAGAAAAGATACTACAGAATAATTCCCAACCTCCCTATGCCCATGAGGCGTAGGGAGGTTGGGAATTATTCTGTAGTATCTTTTCTGGTAAGGGGTACAGAGTCCTTGCCATTACAACTTTAGCAGGGTTGGAAATTGTCACTGGCATCTGCTTAGGGGTCGAGAGCACCTACTTCAACTCATCATCACATCTACTCACTAAGAAACTGGTCCTAGAGGCAGAGGGTACTGAGTTATGAACCTGTCAGCCATGGAAAAGTTCTGAAAGTATGGGAGGTGGGTGATTTCTGTAGCTGTAAAAAAGACAGTCTTTGATACCAGACTCTAAAATTCCAGATTTAAATCTTTTATTTCCCTCTTAATGGCAGTAGTCTTGGAAAAGGTAATTAATGTATCTGCTTCTCAATGTTATTGTTTGTAAAACGGAGACGATGATAAAACAGCAGAGCCAGTATGTGGAGAAGATACAATGTAAATAAAGTGCTTAGTTACTTGCCTGGTAAGCACTTCAACTGATTTAAATGTCATCATTTAAAAAATTATTTACATTGTCATCATTGTCAGGGACAGGACTGTAAGATCCAGCTATTAGTTCACCACATCAGGAGCAAGTCAAAGGATTTGGGAACAAGGATGTGTAGAGGGGGATAAATTAACCAAGTCTTGGGGAAAAGATAGGCAGAGTATAGAGACCAGAACATTAAGCTGACATTTAATTATCACCAATACCAGTACGTATCATTTATTGCTAATTTGTCAGGTGCTACTCTCTTCTATTTTGCTATTGTTTCCAATCCTCATGTCTACTGTATAAAAAAGAAATATCATTTTCCTGTTTTAACTGGTAAGATAAAAGTGCTCAGAACATTTATGTATCAGTTGAGGACCCAAATTCTCATTCTAAGGACTGTGACTTTCCAGTGCACCCACACTTCAGGTGAATGCTGTCTGGGTCACTAGAAATGTCTGTGGGTTTGGGTGTCTTTTCTACTTTTTTCCTTCTGTATTTGTAATTATTAGGATTTTTAGCCTCAGAGAAAAATTCAGAGGCATGCTCCTCACCCATAATCTTCTTATCTTTTTCCTCTCATTTCCCTTTCATTTCCTGGCTCTGATTTTATTTTGCAGTGTTGGTGGATCTTACGGTACCTCTGATTTTATTGTGAAGAAAAAATATTGAAGTGTGTTAGTTAGATATTGAGTGTAGCAAGTCAACCTCAAACAACCATTTCCTGTTGTTCATAGTCTGTGGGTTGGCTGGGGATTGGTTTGTCTAGGCTGGGCTTGGCTGCCGGTGGCTCTGCTCCATGTCTCTTATGCTAGAACCATCAGGCCAGCCTAGAGCAAGGGAAAGCACACAGGACTTCTTTAGGCCTAAATTCAGCACAGGCACACCTCACTTTCATCTCATTCTGTTGGTTAAAGCAAATCACATGGCTGGGTCAAAAGTAAATGAGCAAAGAGTGCCCTCACTTATACTGAAGGGCACTACAAAAGTACAGTACGTGGCAAAGGATATGGAAATAGGGAGGGGTGGGGAATTAGAGCCATAGATGCAATTTATCACAAAGATATGTCAACCAAGACATCATTTTGAGACTTACTGTTGCCTGGTGGTTTCTCTTTCTCTATGTGACACTCACTTGCGGGTTAGCTGTCTTTTGAGTCCTGACAATCATGGGAAGCAGATGTCTCCCTTGGGCATGGTTGACACTGAGTGTTGCTTTTTCCAGTATCTCACTCTGCACTGTCTCCTGGTGAAACTATAAGCCTTAGGGAAGAAACAGTATCTTCAAACTCTTACATCATAAAGTAGGACATATTTGTGAAGTAACTGATTTTTTTCTTTGACTCTCCAAACAATTCCCTTAAAGCACTCTATTTCCTGCAGTAAGTTTAGGGAGAATAAGTTTATCAGTGGGAATATTCATACCATAACCTGGTATTCTTATATTTTAACTGGTATTATAACTCTGTAATCCTTTCCTTGGTATTATTGTTCTTACTGAAACTTGGCAAGACACAATGTCTTTTGTTAATGGAAGAATCTTAGGCAAGGAATATTCTGATTGGGTAATAGCAGGGCTCTGAAATTGAAATTGGGTAATAGCGGGGCTCTGAAATTAAAATTACCTCCTGTCCTTGAGCATGAGTCTTGATCATTACACAGAGCGGGTGCTCATACCTGATGACACTGATTGACTTAATGAATAAAAGTCACTCTTATTTTTGCTCTGCAAGATTCTATCTTTCCAAGGCAGGAATCTGAAACAACTTTGTGTTGGGTATAACCATAGGCAATTTCTCTCAAGTTGCTTGCAATCAAATATTGACAGGTTTATGTGAATTGAGATTCTGAGATCAAGTTTCCAAGGCCAACAAATCACAGACATTGAAGGTAGAGGGAGGAGAATGAACTTTTACAGAATACCCACTATGTGCTACGTACAATGTATTGGGCTCTCTAGGAATACTTTCTTATAAATTTACATTACATCAAAAGAGATGGATAGCATCATTTTAATTTTAAGAGAAAGAAATTGAGGCTAAGTAACTGTCCATGGGCACATAGCTCATGAGTTTAAGGTTTAGGCTTAGGTCTTTCAGATTCCAAAGTGTGTATTTTTTCCTAGGCCAAGCTGCCTACAAAAATGAGATGGTGATATTGTCCAAAGTTGGCTAAATTGAGTAGATCTTTGACTCTTTTCATTGTCTTTAGGGCTTGTAGCACTACCTTTATAATCTCTCTTATAAATCACCTCATGTGAAACCTGCTTTTCACAGTCAATAAATAACTGGGTGGTTTTAGACTTGGGTTCTTTGTTAATTATTATGGTTATGTTTAAATCCAAATAAAGCTTCATGATAAGATAAAGAGGCCAACTGAGTGTGGGTTGACCATTAAAGCTGGAAGCATTGATTTCTGATATAATTATGGGGGAAATAAATTCTTATCAGAAACTGGGTTAGCAATTGACAGTGTTGTCCCTGTACTAACCCTGTAGCCTTTCTTCTCGAGGAAGCTGACCCTCTGGGAGCATGTTAGACCCATTCACAGAGATTTTATTTCAGAGT
The DNA here is from genome assembly GCF_000001405.40 of Homo sapiens. Taxonomy (NCBI): domain Eukaryota; kingdom Metazoa; phylum Chordata; class Mammalia; order Primates; family Hominidae; genus Homo; species Homo sapiens. The sequence continues at coordinate 18,406,657 of NC_000004.12, forward strand.
TGATCATTGCCTTTTCCATTTCAGAGCCTCATCCAACAGTTTACTAAATGGTATCCCCACCATGGCCTCAAAGAGCTCTGTCTCCTTCTGTGAGCCTTCTTCTCTTTCCCAGGAAATTGCTTCAGTCCTGGTGGAATACTGCAAACTGTAAAAGCTCCTCAACTTCCTGTGTTCTAAAAGGTATTCACTAACAATCCAAAATTAAGGGGCGGCACAGTGGAATGGTAGAAAAACACGGAGCAAGGCAGACCTGGGTTTGAATTTTGGGTCCTCTGCTTAGTAGCTGTGTGGACATGGGTTAGTTAGTTAACCTCTCTGGTAATCAGTTTCCAGATTTGGATAGCTCTCTAGAAAAGAGGGTGACAAAATCTACCTCAGAGGTTTGTTGTGGATATTGAATGAGGTAAAGTATGTAGAAAATCTTCAGTGCAATAATACAATTATAATCTATTGATGTAGGCCTGCCATGAATGACTACAGGCCGCACACTGCTTGACTCTAGGGGGTGACATTCACAATGTGCTCAGTGCTATGCCATGAATAATCTTTATAACCATAGTCATCCTACTGACAAATTTACCCTACTGCCCAGTGCAAAGAAAGCATATATATAAAAAAGCAGTCATTATCATTATTATTATCCCTCCAGTGAGATTTGCGTACTGGTTACTCACCCTTGTTTTTTCTTTTTAAGTTATTTACTCTGTTAGGCAATCTACCTAACTAGAGTTCATTTTCATCCAAACTGAACAGTTTCTGCAATAGCCTACGACCATTTTGGACACAGCAACCTACAGGCAAGTTCTCATCTGGACTCCTGGATATTTTCCCCAATCCTGGACCTAGAAATTAGCCTTTTCATTTGCTTAGGAAATGGAATCAAAGGTCATGGATGAAACGCATGAACAGGGTTTAGGAGACGGGGAACCTGCTCTTGGGGATGAGGATGAAAGCTGCAGACTATCAAACTTGAACTTGAAAATTGTGGTGATCTTCTTGAACATCTGTTTCCTAATCACAGAAGCACAAAAACGTATTTAAAATTATGGCAAAAAGACTTCAAGGATCAATAGAACTTCTCACTAGAGAATTTGGCACTTCTTTGGAGAATATCCGTAATAGCTACAATCTATAATTTAATTGTCAAGCATTAATATGAATTTATGAATGCTGAACTTTAGGTGCAACCAAATCCCATTTTTAACAGCAAGAGAATCATTTTGTGGACCTTAAATTGCATTGATTTTAAATAACTTGGAACCACACCTGCATTTTTAATGTGCCGCTTTGCTCTCACTGTATAGGGTGATTCTTACCCAAACTGGTAGATGCGCTGTTTGCTCCATCCCTTTAGAAGTACATCAGGGGAAAGAAAAGGGAAGAGAAAACTAGGAAATTACACCCATTCAGAAATCATGAAGAGGCTGGGCTTTTGTCCTTCATATGTGATTTTTTTTGAAACATGATTTTTGAAATGATTTAAAACGTAAGTTGTTGTAGGTTTGAATTATACAGCTCAAGTGAAGGGGTGTAGGATGTATGTGGAGGGTAAGGGATGAAGGTTGGAAAAATTACTGTTTGTGAGGTCCAAGCTATTCATGTATTTGTTTAATTCTCATAACACTTCTGTAAAACTAGGGTTATTGTTTCCATTTAACAAGGAGAAAAGCCAGGCTCTAAGAAGAAAATTAATCTGCCGAAAGTCATAGCTTTGTTCTCTTCAGAATAAAACCTTTACTTAAAAGGTAAAGCTATAATGTTATTTTCTTTACTGAAGATGTCATGAATGGTACATTTCTAAAAGGTATCTCCCATATCTACTTACCCCAAGCAAATCCTCTTTCCTTTGAACCAAAGCCAGCACACATTTTTGGGAAATAGTAAATATTTTAGGCTTCATGAGCCATATCGTGTCTGTAGCAACTACTCAACCTGCTGAGGTGGAGCAAAACCAGCCATTGACCACATGTAAATAAATGAGCATGGCTGCGTTTCAGCAAAACTTTACTTATAAAAGCAAATGGAATACAAAAGCGGGGAGTCAGTGAAATTTGGTCTGCAAGCCTGGTTTGCCAACCCCTGCTTGAGTCCATACATCCTCAGAACAAAAATGAACAAAAAATCCAAAAAAGTGCTAAATGAAGGTGGAGTTTGGAGGTGAAAACATTTTCTGTAAAGGGTATCATAAGCTTTATATTGTTTTCATCATATATTGAGGGGAAAATCCATTACTGTATATATACTGTATGACTGTATCAGTTGTATAACTGTGTAGGTCCTTGGAATAAAACAAAACTCTTCTTTAAATATATGCATGCCCAGTGTTTCAAGTATTACACATAGTTAACCACAGAAGACTGAGTGAGAGCATGCTCTGATTCATGCAAAAACTGTTACAGTTCCGCTGTAGTTGAGTGGCTGGTTCCTTTTCTTCTTATCATCAACTCAATTTTAATGCAATCTTTAAATTCCCTGACACCAACAGATTATCATATTGTTGGAACAATTTCAATATCCTAGAGCTGGATAGATAACATTTACTTAAAAGGTAAAACTATAATGTTATTTTCTTTACTGAAGGTATTATAAATAGTACATTTCTAAAAGGACAATTTCTTTGCCATTTATTTATTTATTTTTACATGCTATACAGAGGCAGAGAGACTGGGAGACCTCAAATAAGATGCTAACTAAAAAAAGTAAAAGAATTTTTTATTTTTTTAGAAAAATCAATGTAAGTATTTGGAAAATGTGGAAAACACTGCACAGCTTCTAAACTCTCATTAAACTCCATAGAAAATCACCAACTAGCTCTTCTATGTAAGGTATGAGACATCTGATAGTTGGAAATTGCCTAGTGCAATAACTAAACCAAATAGTGTAACTGAGGAATACTAAAGGCCAGAAGCCAATTTACAGTGGAGTTCACGTCCAACAGCTTAATATTCTGGTTGAGAAATCCTATTGCAGTGGTTCAGGCTAGAGATAATGAAAGTTCAAATTGAAACAGTAACTGTTAACAGTGGCAAGAAAGGGATGAATATGAGAGATTTTTGGATATAGAATTGGCAAAAAGTGGTATACTAGTTAAAGGTCGTTGTAGATGATGATAATAATGACTTTTTGTGTGTGGAAGATAACAGAAACTGACTGGTGGAATTAAGAAGGAAAGATTTATCAGAAGGATTCTAGGGTAGCTCATTTAATTAAAGAAATGACTGAATATTCAAATCTTGGAAATGCAGAAATCAGGGGCTCTCTAGGGAACTCAGCAGTGAGCCTCCACATATCTTTTTTCTAGAGTATTGCCATTAGGGTTATTGACTTCAAATCTATGGTTAGTTACTTTTATTAATGGTCTCAATTAAAGACTTCATTGTATCTATGCCCTTTGCTCTGTAACTCTGTAGCCCCCTCTCATGCTGAGTCTGAAATTGGCCATGGAACAGTAGTGAATATGGTGTCAGCAAAAACTTGAATAACACTTGCAGAAATAGTTTGGCTCTGTGTCCCCACTCAAATCTCATCTCGAATTGTAATCACATGTTGAGAGAGGGATCTGGTGGGAGGTGACCGGATCATGGGGGTGGTTTTTCCCCATGCTGTTCTCACGGTAGTGAGTGAGTTCTCATGAGATATGATGGTTTAAAAGTGTTTGGCAGTTCTCCTCGTTCTCTCTATCTCTCCTGCTGCCATGTAAGGTGTACCTTGCTTCCTATTCACCTTCTGCCATGATTGTGAGGTTCTTGAAGGCTCCCCAGCCTACAGATCAACTAAACCTCTTTTCTTTTTAAGTTACCCAGTCTTAGGTAGTTCTTTATAACAGTGTGAGAATGGACTAATACACTTTCAGATTTCCACTTTCTTGGTTGCTCCCTGTCTTTGCCATGAGAATATACCTGGGCTAGCCTAATGGATGATGTGGCAAACAAGATATTGGCTCAAGATGGATGATGTGGCACAAGATGTGGAGCTATGACATCCTAGATTTCTGAGCTGAACCCCCAGCTATGAGAGAAAACCCATCTGAAAACTGCATATCCAACCCCGCAGCTGACTGCAGGCACATGAGTGAGCCCCACCAGACCTAGTTCAGATCAGCAGAACTGTCCAACTACCCACAGGCTCATGAGAAAAAACAAATTGTTGCTTTAAGTAAATTTTGTGGGTCTTCTGTGTCTCTGAATTCAAATCTCAATTTCTTGAATAACAGAATTTGTTTGATTCAGCTTGGTTCTTGTGTCATAACTCTGGATACTTTAGCTGTGACCAGAGGGCAGTTGGCATGGCTAAAAGGAGAGAAATTTGTGAGCTGGAAAAACATCCCACCTAGTAATTTATTACATATGAGAAGGGTTGAGATAAAATGGAGAGTCAAAAACTCCTGGAATATTTGTAATTACTCCCAAAGATTCACCAAACTCATGAGAAGAAAGGGAAATTGAGGATCAGCATTGGGGAAATTGCTTGTTCATAAGGAGCCAAAAATGACTGGTCCAGACCCATGAAGAATTTGATTGAACAGAGATCATAGAAAGGACACTTTTTTTTTTTTTTTTTTACTTCTGCATCTTCAGTGCCTAGCAAAGTATGGTACACACTCTCCTTCCTAAAGAAGGAGAAGGGCGTCAAAAGAATTGTTCAAAATAAATATCAGCTGTTGCTATTGAAACGAGAGGGGCCAAATGTTGCTGGTTATGAATATATCAATACATGGTAATGAGATACCTACATTGTATTAAACATTATTAAAAGTAAGAATCTGTGCCAGAAACAAAAACATTTATATTATCATATAATACACTAACATTTTTTTAGGCAACCAGCCGATGAACCACCTCCATGTGGTGTTTATCTCACTGTGCTTACATCTTGCTTGCCATAATCATAGAATTTTAGACCTGGAGGGCACATAAACCCTCTGGCTAGAGAGGTTATGGCACAATCCCAGATATACTCAATCAGCACCTAATTACTGAGCTCAAGCCATGTACCTTGCACAAACAGAAGGTGCAAGTAAGCAGTTCCAGGAGTCAGGTACTTATTATGACTGGTTAGTTAGTGATTAATGTGATCTTAATCACATTAGTCAACTTCTTCATTTTCATTTCTCATATTTCACCACAGTCTTCTTGCATATCTGGGCTCAGTCTCTGTACTCTCACTGCAAGCCTGAGAGGAATGCATTGAGAGGATGGCATGAGGAAGCACTTTTTCCTATGTGAGGTCTTGAGGTTAGTTGCATTTAAACTCTCATTCTCCCTTCTTTCCCTCCCCTATTACTTCTCTGTCTCTCTCTTTTCCCTCCCTACTTCCCTCCTTCCTTCCCTCCTCTCATCTCTTCTTTCTTCCTTTCCTTTCCTTTCTTTGCTTGTCTTTCTTTATCTTTTTCTTTCTTTCTTTCTTTCTTCCTTCCTTCCCTCCTTCCTTCCTTCTTTCCTTCCTCCCTCCCTCTCTCTTTCTTTCTTTTCTTCTCTCTTTCTATTCTTTCTTTCTTTTTCTTCTCTTTCTTTCTATGCTTTCTTGCTTGCTTTCTTCTTTCTCTTTCTTTCTTTCTTTCTTTCTTTCTTTCTTTCTTTCTTTCTTTCTTTCTTTCTTTCTTCCTTCCTTCCTTCCTTCCTTCCTTCCTTCCTTCCTTCCTTCCTTTCTTTTCTCTCTCTCTCTTTCTTTCTTTCCTGATTAAACCCTGGGTTCAACACATGGTATGTATCATATGTTCTCACTTATAAGTGGTAGCTAAACATTGGGTACACATGGATAAAACCATGGAAATAATAGACACTGGGGACTCCAAAAGGGGGGCTGGTGGGAAGGGAATGAGGGTTGAAAAATTACCTATTGGGTACAATGTTCACTATTTAGGTGATGGGTATCTTAGAAGCCCAAACCTCAGCATTATGCAATTTAATCCATGTAACAAACTTGCACATGTACACTGAATTTAAAATAAAATAAAATGAAAGTCATGTAATACTAAAGATACCTTTCCAGACCCTGACCCCCGACGTTGGCCAAAATCTAGCATATATGGTTAAAAAAAAAGACATTTTACTCAGATCTGAGACAGAAACAATTATGGAAAATTGTGGTTCCTATATTGTTCTAGTTGTTGACATAAAATATCTCCTTTAATCCATGCAGCAACTTTACAAAATAGATATTATTATCCTGATTAGTAGATAACAGAAATAAGGCTCAGACAAGTAGGTAATTTCCTCAAGGTCACATAGCTGAGATGTGGCACAACTGGGATTTGAGTGCTTGTTCTGCGAGTTATGACTACAAAACTTGTGCTCATTTTTCTGCACACGGCAACAGATCCATCACCCCTTAGCCAAATTCCCACTCATAAAATAAGACATAGTTTCTGTGTTATTTAGCTCTTGCTATAATAGAGCTGCATAATAAGCAACCCCAAAACTCATTGGCTCATAGCAGTAAACATTTATTTTTCTCACACATTGGATCTGTAAGTTGGATGGTATTTGGCTTATTTCAGCTGGACCTGGATGGATTCAAGTAGGTTTGGCTCTGCCATGCAGGTTGGATGCAGGTCTATTCCAAATGTCTTCTCAATTTCCTTCTACCACTATCCTAGGCATCTTCTCATAGTGAATGATAGGAGTGCAAGAGAGCCAGCCAAGCCATGGGAACCCTCTAAAGCCACTGCCCACAATAAAATGTTCATTAACATTTTATTGGCCAAAGCAAGTCACATGGCCAGCTGAACTCACAGAGGCAGGAAAATGTAGTCCACCCATTTGGGGAAGAACTATAAAGTTATATGGCAACATGTTCAGATGTATACTTCTGTAACAGAGAGGGAGTGAAAAGTTGGGAGCAGTAATTCAGTCTATCATAGTCCCAGACCCTCAAGATGGCCAAGTAAGCGTGTGAGTTGGGGATCTACTGGCTTTGTAACTTCCTGTCCATGAATCATTTTACCTAACATGCATCTTTTCTGAGCCTTCATCTGTGCTGGAATAGTCACCATAATCCCTGTTCAGTATTCCTCACAAATTTATTGTATGGGGCTGGGTGCGGTGGCTCGCACCTGTAATCCAGCACTTTGGGAGGCTGAGGTGGACGGATCACGAGGTCAGGAGATCGAGACCATCCTGGCCAACATGGTGAAACCTCGTCTCTACTGAAAAAAAAAAAAAAAATATTAGCCAGGCATGGTAGTGTGCGCCTGTAGTCTCAGCTATTCAGGAGGCTGATGCAGAAGAACTGCTTGAACGCGGGAGGCGGAGGCTGCAGTGAGCCGAGATCCCGCCACTGCACTCCAGCCTGGGAGACAGAGTAAGACTCAGTCTCAAGAAAACAAAACAAAAACAAACAAACAAAAACCAAACTTATGTATAGCTCTGAGAGATCAAATTGAACTTCTTTATAAACTTTACTTCAGACTGAAAGTTACATTGTCATGTATTATTTTTATCAATATTATTACCATTATCATTATTAAGGGTAAAAATACCATTAATTAGGATATTTTTGAAGTTTTGTTGGGTGCCACCTGGTAGTCTACAGTTGGAGAACCCAGTGGTCTTGTGGCATTAATGCTTGTAGATTGTGTGATAGCATCGATGGTTTGGTTTTGGGTATTATTAAGTTATTTGTTTATGATATTTAATAAAAGCAGGCACTGTCTCGTCTGCAGCTCATCAGAGGTGGTACCAGCTTTCCATTTCTTAGGGTGTGGTTTTCATTTGGGGCAGCCCCAAGTGGGAATGAGGGCGGTTGTTGGTTCGTGGGCTTCGTCTATTTCACCTAAGTGGTCCGCAGTCTGCCGGAGCTTGAGAGCCCTACTTCCCGTGAGTGCACTGACTCCCAGGCTGAAAGCATTCACACAATTTCTATTGCTTCATAATGGGCTGAATTCTCTCTCCATCAGACAAACACAAATAGTACTTGAGGTGAGCCAGAAAGCACAATAGGTAACCTCTGCCAGAGCCAACTAGCTGCAAGCGTGGATGAAAAAATATCTCCCCGAAGAAAGAAACCACAACAATGAAAGGGGGAAGAGGGAGGCAGAAATTGCTATTATAAACTGAAAATAAAATTTATAAGATAAACCTAAACATATTTTTACAAGGTTTGCATATTTTTTCAGTTCACCTCAAATCTATGAAATTCAATTCTCTGCAACTCAATCCAGTCAATATTTGTTGAGACTAGTATCAGAAACACAGGGATGAGTTTTAACTCCAAAATGAATAATATATGAACTCTGTCCTTAAGAAACTCTAGGCCGGGTGCGGTAGCTCATGCTTGTAATCCCAGCACTTTGGGAGGCCGAGGCGGGTGGATCATGAGGTCAGGAGTTCGAGAACAGCCTGGCCGACATAGTGAAACCCCGTCTCTACTAAAAATACAAAAATTATCTGGACTTGGTGGCAGGTGCCTGTACTCCCAGCTACTCAGGAGGCTGAGGCAGGAGAATTGCTTGAACCCGGGAGGTAGAAGTTGCAGTGAGCCGAGATCTAGCCACTGCACTCCAACCTGGGCGACAGAGCTAAACTCCGTCTCAAAAAAAAAAAAAGAGAAACTCCAGCCAGTGGTGAGCACCACCCACCCCCACATCCCAGACACACATACATGAAAAGTCAGCAGGTAGGAGTGAGGCAGACTGTTGTTCAGTTCCTGGAACAAAGTCTTGACCTCACTGAATCTGTTTCCTCATCTTTAAAACAGGGACAATATTGTGCACCTCACAGACTTCATCTGATGTCATTAATTTATTTAAAAAATATTAACTAAGCCCGTTTTGAGTCAGGAGATGTGGCAGCCTTTCAGAATCCCACAGACTTACACAGGAGGCTACAGTATGGCAGTGATTGGGAAGAAGGCAAAGCAGCTGTGGGGAGGCCAGTAGTAAGTCTACTGCGATCTTCCAGGAGAGGGGTGTTACTGGCCCCCTGTGTAGTAGGAGTAGGGGGTCGAGAAAAAGACAGTCTAGAAACAATCTTAGGAGGTCACCAATGTCAAGGCCATTACTGATCTACAAGTTGTTGCCAAATTCACTGGTGAATTCCTTGTCCTCCTGTTGCTCTACATTCGACACAAGCTGATTATATTGATTATGTCCTTCTTGAAGCATTTATTTCCCTGTGTTTCTGGGATACCACCATTTCTTGGAGTCCCCCTAATGCACTGGCCACTTCTTTGTCTGCTTTGCTGCATCTCTCTAATATTCAAGACTTACCAATTATTTTCTTTTCTTTGAGTCACTCCCTACCAAATTATTATTTCCATTCTAACTTCCTCCTGATTTGTATACCCAGTTGCGAACTCCACTCAGATATTTAAATCCAAAATGAAGTTGTTAATTCTACTCCTTGTCGTCTAGGTCCTAACGCTCCATTTTTTCCAGTTACTTAGAGCAAAAACACTTGGAATCAACCTCGACCCCTTTTTTTCCTTATAATTCACATTCAGTCCCTCACACACCTTGGAAGCTTATTTTAGGCTGATTGCCTTCATGACTTCAAGTAATGATGTCCCTGTGTCCACATTCTTTGCAATGTGGCTTTTCATTTCCTCCCATTAACTGTGGAGTCTATTTCCCCAACTTTGAATAGGGGTTAATTTTGTGACTCACTCTGCCAAGAGAGTGAAAGACTTCATATTTAAATGAACAATATCCAGCAGCACCCAGCCCAGAAAAAGAAACAATAACTTTCATAACCATTGGCCACAAATGGTCAGGACTTGATTAATAACTGACAACTTTCCTAATGTTTGCCCCTGCTTCCAAATTAGAACCAACTAGATAAAACTAAATATGCACCCCCAACCAATCACATAAGATGCCCCGCTCCCAGTTAACTCACCTATAGTTGCTCTGTGCAACAACCTACAATTGCAGCTCACCTGAGGCCTTCTCTTTTTTTCCACTAGAAAGCTTCCCACACCTCTGCCTGTCTTTGATTCTGTCATATGCAAGTGACAGTGGCTGACTTTCTTGCTCTATCAAGCTCTGAATAAAAAGCCTTTGCTTTTTCTCATTTGGGTGGTCTTCCTTTATTCCCAGAAGACCACAGTAGTAACAATATGCCCATTCTATGTTTGTGTCTCAAGAAGCCTCTTTGACAGTTAGCAATTCTGCTCTTTTCTCTTGCTTTTCTGCTATCACCATGAGAACAAGCCAGGCCAATATCCTGGGAGTTCAAGGGCCTGCTGGAGTTCAAAAGACTGTATGGAACAGGGTCAGATGTACTTTTGTAATAGAGTACACTTTGCAGTAGAGCCGCCTGAAAGTAAGAAGCCAAAATAAGGAAGCAGAGAAACTTAGAAGGTTAATTCTGGGGTTATTTGGGTGATAGGAAGATATGCAAAGTATTTAGCTTTCCAGTTAACAACTTGAGTTGGCTGGGGTTAGCGATAACTTGGGTTTCTCTTTTGGTGTCTACAAGAAGTAGAGGAGGCAGGATCACTCCAGGAGTCTAGGCTGTGATGCTGCTTGCAGGAGCTACTGCTAAAGCCCCGAGCCAATCAGCTTCTATTTCATGTTGATCTTTCGAGGGTGAAAACCTACTGGAGAAGAGCATGAGCAAAGCCATTGTATTTGCTGGGGCATTTTAAATATAGCTGAGATAGGAAATATTGTGTTTTACAGAGCCGTGAATGAATTCTTTGTGTGTTTATAAATGCTTAACAAGCACAGTCATGCATGGATTAACAACGGGGATACAATGAGAAATGGATCCTTAGATAATTTTGTTGATGTGTGAATATCAGAGTGTACTTACACAAACCTAGGAAGTATAGCCTACTACACACCTAGGCTACGTGGTGTGGCCTATTGCTTCTGTGTCCGGAATTGGTGGGTTCTTGGTCTCACTGACTTCAAGAATGAAGCTGTGGACCCTCGCGGTGAGTGATACAGTTCTTAAAGGCGGCGTGTCCGGAGTTTGTTTCTTCTGATGTTTGGATGTGTTCGGAGTTTCTTCCTTCTGGTGGGGTTCGTGGTCTCGCCCGCTCAGGAGTGAAGCTTTGGACCTTCGCGGTGAGTGTTACAGCTCTTAAGGCGGCACGTCTGGAGTTGTTCGTTCCTTCCGGTGGGTTCGTCGTCTCGCTGGCTTTAGGAGTGAAGCTGCAGACCTTCGCGGTGAGTGTTACAGCTCATAAAGGCAGTGTGGACCCAAAGAGTGAGCAGCAGCAAGATTTATTGCAAAGAGCGAAAGAACAAACCTTCCATGGTGTGGAAGTGGACCCAAGCGGGTTGTCACTGCTGGCTCTGGCAGCCTGCTTTTATTCTCTTATCTGGCCCCACCCACATCCTGCTGATTGGTAGAGCCCAGTGGTCTGTTTTGACAGGGCGCTGATTGCTGCGTTTACAATCCCTGAGCTGGACACAAAGGTTCTCCACATCCCCACTAGATTAGCTAGATACACAGTGTGGACACAAAGGTTCTCCAAGTCCCCACCAGAGTAGCTAGATACAGAGTGTCATTGGTGCATTCACAAACCCTGAGCTAGACACAGGGTGCTGATTGGTGTGTTTACAAACCTTGAGCTAGATACAGAGTGCCGATTGGTATATTTACAATCTCTGAGCTAGACATAAAGGTTCTCCACGTCCCCACCAGACTCAGGAGCCCAGCTGGCTTCACCCAGTGGATCCCGCACCGGGGCTGCAGGTGGAGCTGCCTGCCAGTCTCCCGCCGTGCGCCCGCACTCCTCAGCCTTTGGGTGGTCGATGGGACTGGGCGCCGGCGGAGCAGGGGGCGGGGCTCATCCGAGAGGTTCCGGTCGCACAGGAGCCCACGATGGAGGTGGGAGGCTCAGGCATGGCGGGCTGCAGGTCCCGAGCCCTGCCCCGCGGGAAGGCAGCTAAGGCCCGGCGAGAAATCGAGCGCAGCGCCGGTGGGCTGGCACTGCTGGGGGACCCAGTACACCCTCCGCAGCCGCTGGCCCGGGTGCTAAGCCCCTCATTGCATGGGGTCGGCAGGGCCGGCCGGCTGCTCCGAGTGCGGGGCCCGCCAAGCCCACGCCCACCCGGAACTCCAGCTGGCCCGCAAGCGCCGCGCGCAGCCACGATTCCAGCTCGCGCCTCTCCCTCCACACCTGCATGCAAGCTGAGGGAGCTGGCTCCGGCCTTGGCCAGCCCAGAAAGGGGCTCCCACAGTGCAGCGGTGGGCTGAAGGCCTCCTCAAGTGCCGCCAAAGTGGGAGCCCAGGCAGAGGAGGCGCCGAGAGAGAGCGAGGGCTGTGAGGACTGCCAGCAGGCTGTCACCTCTCACTTCTGGGCTACAAACATGGACAGCATGTACTGAGGACTGGAGGCAACTGTAATGCAACGGTAAGAGTTTTGTAGCTAAACCTATCTAAACATAGAAAAGATACAGTAAAAATATGGCATAAAAGATTTAAAAATGGTATACTTGCATAGGGGACACATCATAAATGGACTAAAAGTTGCCCTGGGTGAGTGCGTGAACGGTGAGTGAATGTGAAGTCCGAGGACATTACTGTATACTACAATAGATTTTATAAATTGTAAACTTAGACTACACGAAATTTATAAAGAAATTTTCTTTCTTCAATCATAATGAACCTTAGCTTATCATAACTTTCTTACTTTATAAACCTTTTAATTTTTAGAACATTTTGACTCTGGTAATAATAACACAAATGCATTGTATAGCTGTAAAAATATTTTCTTTCTTTATATTCTTATTCTATAAACTTTTCTATCTAAAATTTTATTTATTTATTTTACTTTTTGTTAAAGGCTAAAACACAAATACATTAGTGTAGGCCTACACAGGATCAGGATCACCAATATCACTGTCTTCTACCTCCACATCTTGTCCAAATGGAAGGTCTTCAGGGGCAATAGCATCACGGAGCTGTCATCTCCTGTGATCAAAATGCCTTCTTCTGGAAGACCTCCTGAAGGAGCTACTTGAGGCTGTTTTACAGTTATCATTTTTGTTGTTATAAACAGATAATTACACTATAAAATAATGAACAAAAGTCACTGCAGTAGGTTTGTTTATACCAGCCTTCCTACAAACATGTGAATTATGCACTGTGTTGTGACTTGTAACAGCTATGCTGTTACTAGGTGATAGAAACTTTTCAGCTTCATTATAATCTTATGGGACCACTGTCAAATATGCAGTTGGCAGAAATACCCTTATGTGGAACATGACTGTTCTGAAAAGGACTGTTATGAAAAGGAAAAACAAATGTACTTTTAGCCTCGGAAGCCTACTAGGTATGATGAGCATAACAAGATCCCTGAGTTGAGATTTCTGTTGTAGAAAGCTGCTTCAAATAAGCCTTCGTGAGAACTCAAAGGTTTGCGACTATGACTATCAAAAAGCCACAATTTGCATTGCCCAGACCACAGCTTATATCTTACTGAAAACATAAACATGAAACTAAATATGAACCATGTGGCCTAGATTTTTAGCTATCAATACTTTTCTTTCTTTTTCCCCCACTTTGTACAAAGAATACTTTGATTTCTTCCATCACATTTCTTTTTCTTTGCAACTTGCATCAAACACAGGCACCATGCACATGTACTTTGTTTGGGATCCAGTGTTCCTCTCTTTACAAGTCAATCCCTGAGGATAGATAGGGAGCAGCCAGTTGCTGAGCGCGAGAGCTTTCTTTTTCCCTATGAAGTTCACTAAGAAGTACCCAAGGGGCTGTCTGCAGTTCATTATTACCGGATAGGGCCTGAGCGGTGACCTTTCACTTCTGACCTGTGGATCTAACTCTAGCATTGTTTTTAGTGAGCATGCTCACTAAAAACTTGGGGATCATCTGTATCAATGGATATCCTCAGAAGTTTTTATTTTCTCTTTCTGTCAAACAAGCAAGTGATAATCTTGATGTCTTATGAAAGTCTTTGTACCAGTGTTTATCATTAAAATAGCTATGTCTAAAATCCTGTGGGCTTACATAGAAAATAACTAAGTGTAGCCAAACACATATCAGGCATTCCAGGTTCAAATCCTAGCTAGGTGAGTTGGGGCAAGTTGTTCACTGGGCTACAGTTTCTTTGGCTACAAAGAGACGTGGTTGCCAAAGTCTGTCCATCTCTAATGTTGGATAACATCAACTATGTGCAAATTGTAAATTTAGAATTCTGCAAAAATCCTAAATTGCGTAGTTTGAGTGCTTATTATATGGTTAAGGGATTTTAAGACAGTCATTTAACAAACATCAATTGCCCTCATCCCATGCACCGGGCAGACTTATAGGTGCTAGAATAGGACATAGAGCAAGACAGACATGATTCGTACAATCCCTGGACAAATGTGCTGGTGGTAAAACTGGCCTGAGGTCCCACCATGATTAAGTAATAAAGCCAGTTTTGAACTCAGGTCTGTAGGATTACAACATGCTTGTTCTTATTCCCTAAGCTTTATTGTCTCCTGACATTGAAAGACCAAGGCTTTACGTCCCTGGCTTTGTCTTACAGGGACACAAATGTGGTGGTGATGGCTAGGAGGGCCTTTTCATTCTTGAAGTTTAGCCCAATAGGAATTCAATATATTCATTGAAAAAGCATCTATTGACTGTCACCATAATTCTGGGAATATGGGAAATTGTAGCATGACACTGTATTTCTATTTATACCTTCCTCATATCAGTGCAGAGTTAATATTGAGCCCTATTTTCCCAACATTTATGCTACTTCCCCTGTACTTTACCTCTGTAATAGGTCTGCTATCAAGATAAGTGAGGACATTACAAATTCTCCTGAAAGAATGGACTCTATAAAATTAAGTATTTCTTCTACTTAGTGTCAGATCAGTGTGTTCTTCAGCAAAGACGTCACACTCAGAATAAAAACCAACAACAAAAACAACAAGTGAACAGAACTTAGCATTATAATTTACTAGCCTTTTGGATTTGGCTCACACAACTTATCTGATTCCCTATCACAGAATTTTGTCTGTATGTACCTAAAATAAGACATAATCTGTTAAGTGCCTAGCATAGTGTCTGAAGCTATTAAAGGTATTCAGTAAATATTCGTTCCCTTCTTTCTCTAGAAGGGAAGGGCACGCTGTATTGGCAGCCTGCCCTCAGCCACCTGGAGGCTTACCACAAAAAGAGCTGAGCTGAGGCCTTCAGCCTTAGGCAACAGCTAGGTAAGTTAAAGATAGTTTCACTTCAGGATGTGATTTCTATACATTTATTCACATTTTTATACCATACCCATTTTATAGATGGAGAAAATGAAGGAACAAAGAAACTTAGTTTACCTGGCATCATCCTGGTTAGGGCTAGAAAAATTAAGCCCTACAGTAATGAATTCGATGAAAGGTGTTTGTAGCCATCTCTGCTGTTCTCTTCATCATAGGCAGATATGTACCAAAGGGAAAATGTGTTTATCGTGAGCTTTCCATCCCTTTCTCTGATGTCACTGTAGAATATAGCCAGCAGGATATGGATAGTTCCTCAGAATGTGGTACTAACAGGGCAGGGACAACTATCTCTTTCTTTGATCAGAGGTCAAAGGGCTGGTGTGCTATCTATGATCTGGATACCAAAGAAACGACCAAGGTAAATGCACTATGTACAGGCTAGGGAACTTTTGATTCCTCTCCACACTATTGGCAAGAATGGCTTACATTGTGAAAATAGGACATTTGCTGAAAAGTGGCTTGATACATCCCAAATTAAGACACAGTAGAGCTGGAGTGAGAACATTTGTTTCTCCATTAATGATCCTAGATTATCTTAAAACCAAAATATTATATGTTTAACAAATTTCAGTGTACCAGACACTTGCCTTTAAATTACTTCCTTTATTCATCTGAACAGTCTTGTCAAGTAAGACAGGCGTTAGCACATTTTACTGATGAGAAAACAGAGTCTTTGAAGCTCAGTTAACTTGCCCCAAGTTGCTCAGTTGGTTAAGAAGTGAGCTAAGTATTATGAACCTTCTCTTAGCCATGAGTTACCTAATTTCAGATGACTTAAGCAACATGTCCGTGAAGCTTGTCCTTAGGATCACAAGTCCAGTGCCTTTGCAGCAGTGGACGAGGGTTAAACTCTCAAGGGTTTCCAAAATTAACCTGTGGCCACATGTTGAAGTCTGGTGGGATGAGCTGAGTCAGTGCTCCATCGGCTTTACTCTGCGCCCCTTGTTCCTTAAGGCCAAGAGAGGATGTCCCCTCCAGTCTGTGCCTTTCGGTGTCTTGAGTCTGGTGGCTTCCTTGCAGTTGCCATGACAACTGTGGTTACATAATCACTCCCTTCACCCTCAGGCACCCGTTAACTTCTGACCTTCCCTGAGGATTTGCTCCATGGGTAACCTGCTGTCCAGACAGCCTGTTTATGGGAGGACAACCCCACATTGTTTGTGTCATGAACTGCCAGCCATTTTCCATCTTCCCCCACTTCTCATCTGTCATTTGGGCTTGTGTCAAAAGGAGGGTCAATTAACTTCCTACAGAGATGTTAACATGGCAGACACAAATTGATTTACTTGCTTTAGCCTGGCCAGTTTTTGCCATGAGTATCCCAGGTAGAAGGGATAGTCGCGCCTGGAGACTAGATGTCGATCGATTGCTCTTTTATTTTGGAAGAAATACAACGTAAATAGTAGATGTGGGCAGATGGAAATTTGTCTGATAGATTGGTGCCATCCAAAGCCTGAAGGGATTGCTTCCTCCTTATGGTATTTCTGCTTTACAGCATCAACCTCCACTTCTCCATGCCATCATATTTCTTTGTCAGAGAGCACCTGCTCTATCTTGGTTACTGTTATCCTTGCTATTTATCTAATGGCTCCATCCAGAAACAAATTGTCATCCTCATCAACCTTCTTTAATAAACTATCCTTTTATCAACCTCCTCACAATCTAAATGGCCATTACATAATGTTGATTCTACCTCTGAAATAGTCTCTCTTCTATACCTTCTGCTACCTCCTTTTCCACTTAGCCACACTTCAGGCTACCATCTCCTCTCCAGTGATCATTGCCATCACCTTCTACCAGGCCCTGAAGTCTGAACTTCTCCAATCAATTCGCCAGCCTAGTCTTGATTGGAGGGCAGGGTTAATCATATTACTTCTCTGCTTAAAAGCCTCAATGAATCTGCTGCCTACAGAATGAAGTCCCAAGCAGGCCAGATGTGATGGCTCATGCCCATAATCCGAGCACTTTGGGAGGCAAAGCGGAGTAGATGGCTTGAGCCCTGGAGTTCAAGACTGGCCTGGACAACAAAGTGATATCCTGTCTATATAAAAAACAAACAAACAGCATGAAGTCCCAACATTTATGCATTTCTTATAAGGCTCTTTATTGTGGGGAAAGGACTCCCTATTCAGCAAATGGTATTGGGATAACTGGCTGCCATTTGCAGAAGAACAAAACTGGGCTCCTACTTTCACCACATGCAAAAATTAACTCAAGGTGGATTAAAGATTTAAATGCAAGACTTCAAATTATAAGAATCCTAGAAGAAAACCTACGAAACACTATTCTGGACCTTGGCCTTGGGAAAGAATTTACGATTTAGTCCTTAAAACCAATTACAACAAAAACAGAATATGACAAATAGGGCCTAATTAAACTAAAGAGCTTTGCACAGAGAGAAAATAAACTATCAACAAAGTAAACAGACAACCTACAGAATGAGCACAAATATTTGTAAACTAGGCATTGGAAAAGGGTGTTCAGAATCTATAAGGAGCTTAAATAACTGAACAAGCAAAAAATAAATAAGCCCATTAAAAATGGACAAAAGACACGAACAGACACTTCTCAAAAGAAAACATAACGTGCGGCCAATGAGCATATGAAAAATTGCTCCACATCACTAATCATCAGAGAAATGCAAATCAGAACCACAATGAGATACCATCTCACATCAGTCAGAGCGGCTATCATTAAAAAGTCAAAAAACAACAGATGCTGGTGAGGCTGTGGAGAAAAAGAATCACTTATATACTGTTTGTAGGAATGTAAATTAGTTCAGCCACTGTGGGAAACAGTTTGGAGGTGTCTCAAAGAACTTAATGCAAACTACCATTTGACACAGCAAACCCATTACTGAATATATACCCGTAAGAAAATAACTAGTTCTACCAAAAAGACACATGCACTAGTATATTCGTTGCAGCACTATTCATAATAGTAAAGACATGGATTTAACCTACATACTCATCAATGGTGGATTGGATAGAGAAAATGTGGTACACATACACCATGGAATACTGCTCAGTTACAAAAAAATAAAAATGAAATCATGTCCTTTGTAGCAACATGGATGCAGCTGGAGGCCATTATCTGAAGCAATTTAATGCAGGAACAGAAAACCAAATACTGCATGTTCTGTTTTAACTGGAAGCTAACCAATGAGCACTAATGGACATGAAGATGACAACAATGGACACTGGAGACTACTTAGGGCAGCGGGGGCAAGGGTTGAAATAATAACTGTTGGACACAATGCTCAGTATTTGGGTGATGAGATCATTTGTACCCTAAACCTTAGCATCATGCAATATACTCAGGTAACAAACCTGCCCATATACTCCCTGAATCTAAAATGAAAGTTGAAATTATTAAAGAAAAATAAAGCTGTCCATTATGTAAGCTCTGTGTACCTATGCAATCTTTTTCATAGTCATTCTGTTCTTTGAAGCAATGCTAAAGTCTTGCTTTTCCAGAAATATGCTATAATATTTTGTATAATTATATCGTTGCACATGTTCCCTTTGTCTGAAATAATGTTTTCTTTTTTTGTCCCTTGGAAAACTCTTATTCATCCCTCAAGATCCAATTCAAATATCACACCTTTAGACCAGTCTTTTATCCCTAATTTGAATTTAATAGCATCATTTTCCTTATACTCTGCCTCTGTTATAGCAAGTGTCCCACTGAATTACATTTAGTTACTTAAAGGATTGTTCTGCTACTAGCTTTGAATCTTTAGGAAGAGGAATCATGTCTTATATATTATTATATACCTATCACTTTGCAAGGTGGTGATGCATAATAAATTCTCAGTAAATGTTTTAGAATTATATGAAGTGATTACCTCCCAAATCTCATTGCCAACAAGGAGTTAGTGAGAGCTTTTTTAAATGCAAAGAAATTACTCACTCCTCCTATGATGCTTTATATCTTTGATTCTTTGCACACGTTTCCTCTGCTTGTGACCATGCCACTTGTCCCTTGAAGAAGTCCTATGTACTCTTCTTAGCTCAAATATCATTGCCACCTTGAAGCCTTTCTTTACTTTCCTAGGTAAAATTAATCGTTCTTTCCTTGGATTTCTCCCTGTACAATCTGTATACTTATTTCATTCTTTTATTGTAGTTAGCTCAATGTTTTTCTAAACAATCCTTTAAAAATCATGAAGCATAAATTAGTTCAATCATTGTGGAAGACAGTGTGGTGATTCCTCAGGGATCTAGAACCAGAAATAGCATTAGGATTATAAATCATTCTACTATAAAGATACATGCACACGTATGTTTATTGCAGCACTGTTCACAATAGCAAATACTTGGAACCAACCCAAATGCCCAACAATGATAGATTGGATAAAGAAAATGTGGCACATATACATCATAGAATACTATGCAGCCATGAAAAGGATGAGTTGATCTTCTTTGCAGGGACATGGATGAAGCTGGAAACCATCATTCTCAGCAAACTAACACAGGAACAGAAAACCAAACACTGCATGTTCTTACTCATAAGTGGGAGTTGAACAATGAGAACACATGGACACAAGGAGGGGGAACATCACACACTGGAGCCTGTTGGTGAGCGGGAGGCTAGGGGAGGGATAGCATTAGGAATAGCATCTACCTAATGTACATGATGGGTTGATGGGCGCCGCAGACCACCATGTCACTTTACTTATGAAACAAACCTGCATGTTCTGCACATGTATCCCAGAGCTTAAAGTATAATAATAAAAATAAATAAAATAGAATAAAAATCATTATTAAGCAAATAAATGCCCATTTCCTTCATTCTACCAGAATTAGTTGTAGCTTCTTTTGTAGGTTCATAGCGTGTATTTCTAATCCTTCCATATAACTTGTCTTAGAGTATAATAGTTATTTGCTTATGTATCTATAACATGTTAAGCTCCTTGAGGGAAGATTTGTGCTTTATTCATCTTACTTTTCTTATTGCCTACGAGGACACCTGGCACATAGGTGCTAAGCAATTATATGTTAAATTGAATTGAAATGAACAAATGAACAAAATGAACAAATGAACAAAACTATAAGATGTTTGAGAATAGTGATTTTACCTTCCTCCTTGATTTTACCAAAGTAGCCATAGGAGGAAGATTAAAAAAAAAAAAAAAAAGAATAGCTTTTGGTTGTGCCTATTTGACAACTGGAAACATTTCTGAAATAAAACAAGAGCCTGTATTATTGTTGACCTGTCACTAGAATGTCCCTAAAGTTTAAAAATAAAGTTCTCTCTATTATGGCTCCTGTGCTGGAGCTACATGTACTCTGCAGTGGGAACTTATAGACAGAACTTGTTTATGCGTTTCTAGTAAAGTGAGTTAATGGCTATGAAAAAACAATGTTGAGTTCAAATATTCCAAACTTCTGCTCCAGATCAAATACTCCAGAGATTCTCTTAGGATATAAAATGAGTCTTCTATTAAAATGTTCAGTTGTCTCTTAAGATGGCTCAATTAGAATTAACCTATGTTTCTTTTTACTGCAGGTAGCCCATCTACCTGAAGTAGTTGGTTCTTTTTTTTTTGAGACAGAGTCTTGCTCTGTCACCCAGGCTGGAGTGCAGTGGTGCGATCTCAGCTCACTGCAACCTCCGTCTCAGGTTCAAGTGATTCTCCTGCCTTAGCCTCCCGAGTAGCTGGGACTACAGGCACACACCACTATGCCCAGCTAATTTTTGCATTTTTATTAAAGTTGGGGTTTCACCATTTTGGCCAGGCTGGTCTTGAACCCACCATCAAGAACCAACATAATTTAAGGTCAAGATGTAACATATAATTGCCACAGAGGCAGCAAAGCGTAGTATTTAAGAAGATGGGCCCTGGAAGTAGAGGTTCTATGTTCAAATCTCAGGGATGTTGCTTTCTAACAGAGTATGCATTCCAAGTCTCTTAACAACTTTTCCTCATCTGCAAAAATGGGCCTACCTTAGTGGGTTGTCCATAAAATATACATGAATTACTGTTTGATAATTTCTTAGAACAGTGCCTTGTACATAGTAAGAAATGCTATGTAACTATTTATGAAATCAGTACCTTCCCTTGAGTCTTTTGGGGCATAGTTTTCTGCCTGAAATGTTCTTATTCATGCTTTTTTTCTACTTAAGGGTTTATTTTTAGTTGCATTCTATTTCAACCTTGAAGACTTTGATGATCAATCCTGCCTCAGTCACATTTCCTAAATTTAAATTATAGCCCAAACACATGGTAAATTCCTTGACACTCTTTACTCCATTACTGTCTATTGGGTGTCAAACAGTGACTCAAGGGACAACTATCAGGGGCTTAGCCATGTGTCAAGCCAAACCCATGGAATTTTCTAATTAAAAATCTTATGTGCAGACATATTCTGCAGGCAGATGGTCTAAGAACAAGGAAGAACTTAAAAAATTCCTCAAGAGAGGCACAAATCAATTACTGTGTATGTAGATGTGTGCTTAATCCCCCTAGGTAGTGGGGACTCTCTAAGACCACAGGGAATCCTCATTACTTTGGACAACAAAAATTCTAAACGTTTTAAATTTAAATCTTTAAAAATTTTACTAGTAAAATTAAAAATTTAAAGATTAAAAAAATGTTAAAATATTTGTTCAGTAGTCCTATGTGGACTTTGTCTGAGGCAGTGAAGAGCTAAAGTAATCCTGACTCTCAGAGGATTGTGAGAAGGTCCCAGTGACCTAGAGTGGAAAGTAGAGGCATTGTTTGAATGTAGGAGAGAGATTTGATTAGATTGTGGGTGTGTGTTGTCTACTTGGACTGTTTGAGTCGACCTGCACAGGGTGGATGGAATTCTCTGTTAGTTTTATGTTTACAGTTTATATGCCTTCAATTTGCAATGTCCAATAGAGTAAACTAGTCACATGTGATTTCTGAGCACTTGAAATGTGGTCATTCTGAGTTGAGATGTGTTGTAAGTATAAAAGACACATTGGATTTCAAAGACTTAGTATGAAAGAAGATAGAATATCTCATTAATCTTTTTATATAGATTACATGTTAAAATGATAATATTGCAGATGCGTTAAGTTAAATAAAATATATTTTAAACATTAATTTTACTTGTTTCTTTTTATCTTTTCTAAAGTGGCTACTAAAACATTTAAAATTATACATGTGGCCCACATTATATTTCCCTTGGACAACTTTCCCTTCAAGTATGATTTTGAAAGGCTATAAAAACTTATTGAGTACATATGATGTGCTAGGCCTTGTGCAAGTTGTTTGCAATTAAAAGATAAATAAGATGAATCTCACAGTTTGAGACAGAAACAGATGTATAAGCACCTATCTGTGATGCAGGGTAATGAGTGTGCACTTGGGTGGCAGTATTGTGTGGAAAAAAGGTATGAGGTTGGGTCATATGGAGCTGAATTTGAATTCTAATTCTTCTACCTGCTGGTGGTATAAAGGGGACATTCATTTGCCCCTCCGATTTTCAATCTTTTTATCTGTATAATGGTAATGATTATGTCAGCTTCTTTTATTTGTGGTTAGTATTTGCATAGCCCTTAACAGGTGTTCAATAAATGAATTAGTGTCATTTGATTATATGATCAAAGTTCTTTGGTGCTGTGGGAGAAGAGAAAATGAAGTGCCTAATGACTAATGTTGAGAAAGTTGAATAGGTGAGGCCTACAGAAAAATGTCATTCAACTGGAGTGTTAAATGATCATTAAGAATTTAGAGAACGGATGGCAAAATCAAGGACAATAATAAAAAGGAAACTTACATGCTCATTTATTTCTCACTGTTCTAAGTATTGTACCTGTGATAGCCCATTTGAACCTTTCAGAAGTGCTACGTGGTAGGCAGTTTAATTAAGTTCCTAGTTTGCAGATGAGAAGAATGGGCACAAAGAAGTAACTTCTCCAAGGTCACACAGCTAAGAAGAAGCACAACGGAGGTTGGATCTAGGCGCTTAGGCTCCAGAGTCCATGCTCCTAGGCACTCTACTCTGCTACCTGAAGAGGAACCATCCAGAGCAGGGCAGTGGGAGAACCTAGCAGACTGTCCATCATGCTTGAAATACATGAGGAGGGTACCATGGTAGCATATATGAGGGAAGGAACTTGATGAGTGAGGATGACGATTGCCTAGAGGTGAGACTGAAGAGGGTAGTGAGGGTTTACTAGTGAGGGACTTTGGTTGCCATACTAAGGAATATGGCCTTTATTCTGTAAACTGTGAAGAGCCGTGGAGGATTTCCAAATCGGGTAGTGGAATGAACAGGATTTTATTTTAGAAAGAGAATTCTAGTAGCAGGATGGAGATTAGAAAGGAGCAGATAGAGGACAGAAGCAAGGAGACTGCTTAGAAGAATACTAGAGTATTGAAGTAGTCCAGATGAGACATATTGATGGCTTGAGTTAGGGCAGCAGCAACAGGCATGGATCCAAGAGGTAGAGTCCATAGGACTTGCTTGTGGGAATCTATAAGGAAAGATGATGATGCTTGTTATTATTTGGTTTTTCTCCATTGTCTGTGCTTCTTTTTGTTGGCGTATGTTCCCTAGTTAGTCCAGATTGAGTTTTTCTTTTCTTTTTTTTTTCTGTTTTTCTATCTCAAGTTGTCTTTACACTGTTGTTTATATTCTGGACATTATAGCACATGATAATTGTTATGCTTCAGGTTACAGCTCCATGAAAAATACAGTGTGATTATTGTTCATCTGTATTTTTTTTCTTAATGCTTAATGGTATATTTTTACTGGGCACAAATAATCGCCTAATTGCTATGTGGTTATTGAAGTCACATACAATGCTCTGTTAAAGATTACCCTAATTATGAGGCAAGGTTATTAGATTCTTCGTTTGCCTAGTTTTAGGCCTGTAGAATTTTCAAAAAGCAAAAGGTTGAATAGGCATTGTTATCTTAATACTGTCCCATTCAGCACCCCTCTCATTTGGCTGTTGGGGCAACCTATGTACACAAATGGGTTGACTCCAGTCACACTCCCTGCTTTGATGAGACCAGGCAGCATGAGCCCTGAGCACGCTGGGGAAACCATTGTTGTCTAAAATGAGGACTGTCTGATAGGATATAATACTCTTGTGCTTTTGTTTCTAGTTAGATTTTCTAACCATGAATATATTTTTCCTCTTGGGTTAGCTATTTGTATGTTCTTGTTCAAATGTATACCTTATAGATATCTTATTTTTTAAAAATAATTTTATTTAATTAGATTTTTGGTAATGTTTCTGGCATCCAAAATGATAGGAGCAGTTGGACCTTCCATTTGTTTAGTAAAAATTTAAATGTAATTGCATTAGTGGAAAATGTAACTGTCCAGAAGAATGAATTTGAAAATAGGCAAAGAATTACAACACATTTTTTTTGTTTTTTTTGAGATGGAGTTTCGTTCTTGTTGCTGAGGCTGGAGTGCAATGGCATGGTCTTGGCTCACTGCAACCTCTGCCTCCTGGGTTCAAGTGATTCTCCCGCCTCAGCCTCCCAAGTAGCTGGGATTACAGGTGCCCACCACCACACCCGGCTAATTTTTTTTGTATTTTTAGTAGAGACGGGGTTTCACTATGTTGGCCAAGCTGGTCTCGAACTCCTGACTTCAGGTAATCTACCCGCCTCAGCCTCCCAAAGTGCTGGGATTACAGGCGTGGACCACTGGGCCCAGCCACAACACGCTTTCT
Organism: Homo sapiens; assembly: GCF_000001405.40. Lineage (NCBI taxonomy): Eukaryota > Metazoa > Chordata > Mammalia > Primates > Hominidae > Homo > Homo sapiens. The sequence continues at coordinate 18,431,501 of NC_000004.12, forward strand.
ATGGATGGAATAAGCTATATCCTGAACTGGTGTTAAATTGTGCTTGTTACCCATGCCCATTCACTCACAAGGTCATTATCACGCAGAAGGCATCCATTGTAAAGTTGCAGATCACACACTGCTGCAAGAAGAAGGAAATAGTTGGGCTATCAGATTAAGAATCCCAAAAGACCTTGACAAGCTGAGGCAATGGATTCAAGCTAAAATATCATCTTAAGATGGTTTTATTTGGTTCCAAGAAATCAATCACACAAGTATACCTTTGGAGATAAGAGCCTGGGATGCCATATATAAAGGAAAGATATAAATCCAAACCATAGAGTTATAGAAGAGGTGGCTACTTTAGTATTTTAGGAAAGTGGTGGGTAAGGGAAGAGAAAAGCAGGGATGGCAGTTCAAGAGATGCATATTCTTTCGCTTTCCATGAAAGCATAGAGCTGTAGCTATATGCTGAGAAGAGGGAGAGGATAGATAGTGTGAGATTGCAGATGCCAGAACAAGGAGATCTGATTATCTTGAGGGCGGGGAGTGAGGCCCAGTGGGGAAGAATGAAGGTGGTATTAAGGGCATAGTTGGAAAGATTAGCCTGGGAAGAAATGAAGGTTGTATGTCTTCCTAGACAAGAGGGGTGGAGGTAAGCCTACAGAAAAACATGGCCACTTTAAAGTTACAAGCATCGTGATGAGAAGGAGAGAAGAGATGGAAATAATGAAACTGGGAAGCTTCACCCTTCTCAGAAATGGTAGATGAAGTCACCTGCTAGGTGTGAAAAGGTGACATCCTCAGAGATGGAGAACTGTGAGACAAGGAACTGCAGATGTGGTCAATGCCAATGCAGAATGGGTCACTCAAAGCCTAAAGAAGTGAGGGCTTGGTGTGATATCATACCCTTTGTGTGATATATTGTGTCGTATCTTGTCACTTTCTTGATTTAAATGCTATGACGGCCACTCACTGCTTTTGGGGATAAAGATCAAAATTCTTAGCTGTTTTGCAGTCCCTCCATAATCTGGGCTGTCCTCCTTAGTGGCCTCGCCTTGTTCCGGTCGTCAGTCACTGTGTTAAATATCCTTTGTTAGTGTTGCCAGCCCACCCTGTGCTTTAAGCTCAAAGGCTCAGCCTGCAATACAGTCTCCCAGCTCTTGGCCTAGTTAGCAACTGCTTCTTCTTCAGAATGCAGAGGAAATCTGACTTTCTCAAGAATGCTTCCCTAATCTATCTGACTAGTTTTGTTCCCCACCCCTTGCATAGCACCCCTCTCTTCCTTTATATTTTGTCCTAAATGTAATTAAGTAAATCATTGTAAAGATAAATCAAGAGAAGGTAGGAAGAGAAATAAGAGTAAGTCATGTGAGTTCAGGATTGGTAGTATAATTTGTAGGTCCCAGTGCAAAATAAAAATGTGAGTGTCTTGCCAAAAATTATTAAGAAATTCAAGACAATGACAGCAGAGCATGAAACCAAGCACAGGGACATCTGATCATGAAACTTTGTGTGACCGCCTGGGTCATCTACCCACGAAGCAGCCCTGTGTGAGCTTCTCCTGCTGCAGACAGGGACTATGAATTCTCTGGATTTAACCCATGAATTGGCTGATTGACTCAATGGGAGTTTAAGAGTTAAGGCACTCTGCAATGCTAGTGAGGACAGTGTTGAAATGATGAACCACTGTCCTTAGAACAGAATAGGTTACAACAAGAAAGTAGAATGAGGCTGAGACTGGCTGAGTAGGAAACAGCAGAATGTCAATGCAGTAGAATTTTGGAGTGAAGGACGCAATAGAATAGAATGTCCATGCATTATTTATTAGTGCATCAAATTGGCATTTAATTTGTTGGTTCCTACTTTGTGTTGGAAGGAGAAGTCATTGACTTTTTCAGAGTATGACATAAAGGAAGACCTTGAGAAATTTTAGAGAGAGTCAGGTATGGAGTTGGAAGCTCAGTGATATGGTTTGGCTGTGTCCCCACTCAAATCTCATCTTGAATTGTAACTCCCATATGGGAGGAACCTGGTGGGAGGTGATTGAATTATGGGGGATGGGTCTTTACTGTGTTGTTCTCGCGATAGTGAATGAGTCCCTGAGATCTGATGGTTTCAAAAAGGGGAGTTTCCTTGCACAAGCTCCCTTCTCTTGTCTGCCGCCATCTGAGACGTGCCTTTCACCTTCTGCCATGATTGTGCAGCCTCCCCAGCCACATGGAACTGTAAGTCCAATAAACCTCTGTTTTTTTTTTTTTTTTCGTAAATTGCCTAATCTCAGGTATGTCTTTATCAGCAGTGTAAGAAGGGACTAACTAATACGCTCGGGTTTACTATTTATCAGCTCTGTGACTTTGATAAGTTATTAACTTCTCTGTGTTTTGGATTTATTTTTTGTGGGGATGTAAAATTGGGATGATGTTAACATGTCATATGGTTGTTTCAAAGACCAAATGAGTGAACTGGGTTTATAGTAAATTCTTATAATTTTGTACTTGTACACAATTAATTTTCTCTTCAATGCCATTTTCTTTAAGTAAGTTAGTTGAATTCAGTCACAGTATTACCATATATTATAAATAGCTAAAATTCATGATTAGACTTAGGTGGATGCAAAGAATGTATTTGTGTGCTTTGTGAAACTTGTAATGGCAACTTTGAGCAAAAGGAGCAAAATGTATAAACAAACTCATCTTCATTATAGTAAGTGCCAAATACATCTGGAACACATCAGCAAATTAGTGTTTAACATATTTCAGTGAACTCCAGCATTTTATATCTGTATTTCTACAGTCAGAGGGCTTTCTCTTGGGTACCTCGAGGTAATTACCAAGTGCTAGAAATTGTGGGAAACAAAGGTTAATGATCTATGGTTCTGTCTTCAGTTTTAGTAATTCATACGAGTAAGTATCTTTTATTTATTGAGCATAAAGTTTGTAGGTTTTTTTACTTTACAATTAGGATGCCATTTATTTTAGGTTGCTCTGCTCTGGAGAATATTCTGATAAATTTCATAATCACTATGCCTAGCATTTTCATTGTACAAAGGGTCATCAACAAAGTCATCTATATCATTACTAATGGCTTCCCAATTTATATCACTAGCTTGCCTGAGTTCCAGGTATGTATCTATGATTGTCCACTAAACATCTTTACCTGCATATCCCTCAACACTTCAAACTCTACTTGTCCCAAGTAAAATTCTCACTCTTTTCTACAAACCCAGTTGCTTCTCTTAAACAACTAGTTTTTTGGCTCGTTCCTAATAGAAAGATTGCCTGGTGTTGTAGATTCCACCTTCTTTATAATTCTTGAATCCATACCCATCTTTTTATTGCTTTTGCTGTTGACCTAGTTCAGATTCTCATCATCTTTGACCCTAGCATGTCAATCACCTCTCACTTTTTAGTCTCCCTTTCTTTGAATCCACTCTACTCACAGGTTAGTCAGAACATTTTTTTTCTGAATTACAAATCTGATCATGCTTTCAATTACATTCTTGTTGTTCCCTAGATAAATTCCAAATATTCTAGCATGTAATGTAAAAATTTGCACAATCTATTCCTAACACTTTTCCCCACCCATATCTTCTGACAATTCACTGCTCTTAGAGACAAGCACTGCATATCCCTAGAGTACAGCAAAAGGCACCCTACCCTAGTGGAGAGAGCCAGGAAAGTCTTCTTGGAGATGACATTTGTGTCATTTCCAAGAAAGGATTCAAAGAAAAATTCTAGGCAAAATGGGAGGACCTCTGTTATGAGATGTATATAACAAATTATAATTGCTTATTTATACAGGCAAACAACATTAATACTAGGAAGCCTCATTTTTCTAATAGGTCCTAACTTTCACAAATACTCATTTTTGTTGCTTTTTCTCTCTGTCAGCCTGTCTACATTTGATTTCCCTTGGAGATTCTCTCTAGTCTAATGGAATTCTCCTTATGGGACACAGGTCTTTGGTGGAAAAGCCTACACTAAGTTACTTATTAATTCAACACATAGTTGCTGAGTATTTAAAAATGCCAAACACTGTGCTACTTGTTGAGAATATAATGGAGAACAAAACTGACCACTTTCCCTGCCATCATGGAACTTACATTCTATTTGGGGAGGCTATCAGTGAAAAGGTAAACTGAAAAAAAATTATAATAAAGTACAAAGGAATAATCCAGGGCCCAAGAAGATGGATAGGATATAATAAACTTTACTTAACGTGGTAGACACTGGAGGCTTCTCTGAAGGTGACATTGAGCCTGAGATCTGAAGAATGAGAATAGTATGTGGGGAACAGCATTCTAACTGGAAGGGTTAATGCATATAAAAATCTGGGGAAGGGACAGTATGATGATGAAGGTGGGGTGGAAGAGGGAGATGCAGTGGGGAGGTGCTGGTGGCATAATCTTCCATTTCAGAAGCTCTCTCTGGCTGCTGCATTCAGCACAGCTCAGTGGAGGGCAAGCACAGCCACAGGGAAGTCTGTTATTATCTGGTTGTAATTGTCAAGACCAGAATTGATAGCAGACTGGACTAGTCAGCCATTAATAAAACACTCAGCACCCACTGTGCACTGATCTTTTGCTAGGATTGAAATATGATAAGACATCATCACAACACATAAAGAACAAATCCTTTAGTGGAAGAGAAACATTCAAAAACATCTCTTAAAGGATTGACACATAGTATATTAGCAGCATGAAAAATGAGCCAAGGCAACTCAGGGAAGGGAGTGATCATCCCTGGTGTAGCTGTAGCCAGGAGGCTTTACAGAGGAGACAGTAATTAGCTGGATCATGGTCTCCAAAGTTGAGAAAAGTGGACAGGTGGCCAAGAGTATAAGGAATATTCCCTGCTGTTGTTCTTTGTGGTGGGTGGCTGGGATTGAGGGTAAGTTCTCAGATCTTGGGTCTGGGCTGAAGAACTAGAAACAGAGCAAAAGTGTGTAAAATGCAGCCAGTTGTGTGTCTTTCACAATATAGTTCTTAGCAGCTTCAAAAGTAACCTTTTTTTGGCCTGTCTTCTGATCTTCTTTTCCATTCCCCTTATTCGGTGTAGTCATTGGCAAAGAGACTATTCCTAATGAAGTCGAGCTGACTTCATAACCCCTGATGATCTGCGTGCTGTTCTACGGCTGACGTTTCCACTTTGATTGGATGGATGAGACAGAAAACAAAGAGTTGACTACTTCTGGTGATTAAAACCTCCCTTGATGATTTTTAAAAGGGATTGTTCAAAGCTTTTAGTATGTCTGAGTAGCGAATTACACTTTACTTCCCTAAAACTACTCCAGCAATTGTGCATGGACATAGCAGACTTTCTTTTCTGCTGCACAACACTACAGAGAATAGTTTTTTTTAAGAGTAGCAGCCTTTTAGTAGGAGATTAAGTGATTTGTGCATATATAATTTATAAAGCACTTGAAGCTTTTTGTATAAGAGCACGTTGGAAAGGTAAAATTATTATTACTTATGTTGTTATTAGCTTATTTTATCCTGTTCTCATGTGAGATATTAGTTTTTGAACTAATAATTCAAAGCAGAACTGTTGATCACAAAGAGAAAAAGAAATAGATTGGACAAACATAAAAATTAGGGCTGATCTGTCACAATAGATAAGATTGAGTAGTGTATGACATTTGTTTTTCTTTATAATATTATATTCCTTATATATTGTAAGGAATATAATACATGATTATATTCCTTGTATTATGTGTGTGTATATATATATAATTTGTTTTTCCTTGAATTTATACACACACACACACACACATATACACAGAGAGAGAGAGAGAGAGAGAGAGAGAGAGAGAGAGAGAGAGAGAGAGAGAAGGTCTCACTCTGTCATCCAGGCTGGAGTGCAGTGATGTGATCATAGCTCACTGCAACTTTGAACTCCTGGGCTCAAGGGATCCTCCTGCCTCAGCCCCTCAAGTAGCTGGGACTATAGGCATGTGCCACCATGCCTGGCTATTTAAAAAAAAATTTTTTTTAGAGATGGGGTTTCACTATGTTCCTCAGGCTGGTCTCAAACTCCTAGCCTCCAGTGATCCTCCTGCCTTGGCCTCCCAAAGTGTTGGGGTTAGAAATGTGAGCCACCATATCTGGGCAGAAATTATTTCTTGATTATTGTTGGGCAGACATTTTTTTCTTAGGTTCCTTTATAAATCAGATCCTGAGAGCAGTGATTTACTGGTGTGTGAGTGTGTGCAAACACACACACACACACAAATTACTTAAAACTACAAATTATTTGAAACTTCTGTTTTACTTTGGCCTCCATGCAGCTGATAAACAAAGAACCAAATGACATAATTATGATTGTAGTGTCTTTAATTTAAGGTGCAGAAAAAAATGAGCTTTTACTTGTCTGCCTTCCATCAAAGAGCTTGCCCTGGATACTGGTACCTTGTGGGTTTTCGACATTTGTTATGCCCAAGGGTTAGGAATGGGAATGGAGGCATGATATAAAGTTTGATTAAGGCTTTGATCCCCTTTAGGCTAAAAAAAAAAAATCACAGGTTAAATTAATCTTTTTTCTATTATTCAGGTACATTAATTAAATTATTCTAAGATCCTTTAGATTATATACTTTGACTATATTTATACCAGTTAGGATTAAATTTGACTGCATACAACAGAAAAACACCAAAAACCAGGAGCTTAGATAAAAATTCTTTCTCAATTTAAAAGAATTGGATGTAGGTAGGGCCAGGTTAGGGGCTCCCCAGTTATTAGGGACCCAGGCTCCTTCTTTTTTTTTTTTTTTTGAGATGGACTTTTGCTCTTGTTGTCCAGGTTGGAGTGCAATGGCGCAGTCTCGGCTCACTGCAACCTCCACCTCCCAGGTTCAAGCAATTCTCCTGCCTCAGCCTTCTAAGTAGATGGGATTACAGGTACCTGTCACCATCCCTGGCTAATTTTTTCTATTTTTAGTAGAGACAGGGTTTCACCATGTTGGCCAGGCTGGTCTCGAACTCCTGTCCTCAGGCAATCTGCCTGCCTCGGCCTTCCAAAATGCTAAGATTACAGGCATGAGCCACCATGCCTAGCCCCAGGCTCCTTCTGTCTTGTTGCTCTGCTATCTGGAGCAGGTTGCCTCTTGGTCCAAAATGGCTGCTAGGGTTCCAGCCAACATATTAACACTCCTTTGCAGGAAGGAGCAAGGGAAGAAGAAAGGTATATATTCCACTTTTGAGGAGACTTCTTAGAAATCTCACTAACCCCTTCTGTTTATGTTTCATTGACAAGAGATTAGTCATACAACATGTAGCCAGCTGAAAGGGAGACTGGGAAAAATAATTTTTGTGACAATGCATCCAGCTAAAAAAATTTACCTTTCTGTGACTGAGGAAGATAGGGAGAATGAGTACCAGAAGTCATTTGCAACTTCTGCCATAGTATTTACTTCAGGTTGATTTGAAATACTTCTTTCAGAAGGTGGAGAAGTTGATTTGCTTTAAATTCACTTGGTTTTACTGAGTGTAATGGTGTGGCGTGGTGTGGTCAAATGAGTTCTGGGGTACTGGATTCTAATTCCAACTTAACGTGATGCTCGGCTTTGGTGTCCTCATCTCTAAATAAGGAGTTTGTATTATAGGTCCTCTAGGATTCCTTTCAATTCTTATTTCCTAATCTGGTTTCTGAAATTTTACAGCAAAGCTGTCCATATACACTCATATATAATTATATGGTATATCATTAAAACACTTGTTTCTATAGAAATAAAAGGTATACATAACAGCCATATTAGTGGAGAGCTACTTGTTTAATATTTTTCCATTTTCACCCTCCTTGCTCTAAATGAAAAGAATGGTATCTTGCATGCGAATTAAATGCTGAGAGACTGAATATGGGGCATAATTGTCCTCGTTCAAATTAGAAGTAAACTTTTCATCCTAAGGAGCAGGTCCCTCTCCCGTTTTTCTTGGTTGCATTACTGTTGTGTTTTGCTCATCAGCTTCTGTAGGAACCCGTGACCTGGAGGAGTTGGAATTTGTGTTCTTAAGTATGTGATGCAACAGAGTCCATTGCACTTTGGAATGCCTGGACATATTAATGCTGGTGTTCCTGGGAAATAGTGATATGGGTATTGCATTTTCTCTGTCTCCTATTTCCCATGGTTTCAACTGGTTGTAGTTCTTTGCCTTGGGACAGCTGTTATAGAGCACTTGGTAAACTTTTCCTAGGACTTGCTTTGTGCTGCTTGTTGACTGCTCCACAGGCCACACAAGATGCCGTCTTTCAGGGCAGTGGGTTGTGAGCCCTTTATAAACCATCCTAGTATGTTTTATCAGATGGAATGATTCTGAAGACACTTGCATGAAAATTACTAGAAAAAGGCAAAACAAAGCAATAACAACAAAAGAATATTGGTTGCTTTTCCTTCCTAACTGTTGTAATTTTTAATCCTAAGGGGAAGAAAAGCAATTATAAAATGGCATTATCCTTCTTAAGTCCTACATGGAATACAGCAAAGTTACAAACAAACAAATAAACTGAATAAATACTGCCTTTTTATGTTGTTGAAGCTAAAAGGTTATTGACAGGTTAGGTGTTTTAGGTTGAACCATATGAAATTGCTGCTTTTCAGGTCAAAAAAGGTCAAATATAGATAATTTTTAATGGTTCAACCTAATATAGAAGTTTTTAGTCTGGTTACAAAATAGAAATCTTTGGTTTTAAAGCTTATATCATTTGGAGTTTCTCCTCAGCCATATGTTTTACTTGGAAGAACATTTGGCTATTAGACGATATTTTAAAATTCAAACAAATATATATATATCTGTATATATATACATATATATACATATATATATATATAAAAGCAATGTAATTTTGAATAAATCCACTTCTTCCAAGGTAAAAAATTAAAAAGTTTAAGTTATATTTTTTTAAAAAAAGACTACATAGATTTAAAATAAGTATGCCAATAAGACTTTCCTCGTCCTTGACTTTTGAATCCATAGGTAAACACAGTGAAATGGAGTGGAAACAAAGCCTTTGCAAAATGAAATCTATGAAGAACTTTACTGTGAAAAATGACACCCTCTAATAGCCCCCAGAGCTCTCCAAAGGCAAAAATATACTCCACAAATTATTTTAATGAGTTGAGGGACAGACGTTTCCATCAGGAATGATTTAGCATCCACATGGGCAATTTAGGAGGAAACCAGATTCCTTCCTCTGTCCTGGCTTGGAGCTGACTCCCTCCGGCACCACTATCCATGGTCTAAACGTCCCCAGGCAATTCTTCAGCGTGGGTCTGTTCTCTCCAGGGTCAAGGAGGATGAGTCTCCGTACAAAAAACAAAAACAAAAACAAAAACAAAAACAAAACAAAAAGGCAGGCAGGGTGGGGATAGAGTTAATTGTGGAGCTCACTGTGACTTGTTATTTTTGGACACTCCGGGGAATATGGCTGTGTCTGTTTTGGATGGCCCTGATTTCTTTTGGCTGTGGAAATACTGAAACCACCAGCTAGCTACCTGCTGTCTCCAGAAGGCTGAAACCTTGAAAGGTAAATGCTAAGTGCCCCAGGTAGCCAAAGCATGACCTGTCTGGTTACTAAGGAACAATTTGCTCAGCTGGTTACTAAGTAAGACAGGGAGGAGGAAAGACAGGAAGAAAAACCAGTACAAGATATAGAATCCCCATCCCACCTTCAACCTGGATTCATTGTGCTTTCAAATTTTAGACTCCGATTATCAACCTGAGAAGAGAAGCAATCCTCTAAAATCTAGGAATCCTGTGGATGTAAATAAAAAGTCCTGAATGGCATTTTAGTTTCTTTCTCTGAATTGATATGCAAATTCCTAATTTACTTAAAGCACACTGTCGTGCATTATAATAAAGCCTAATACATGCTTCTATGTAATTATGCGTAATAACCAGTGATCAGAGGGAGGAGGGAAGGCGAGAAGGGAATTGTGTTTCCAGCTGGCCCTCTACACCTGCAAATAACAGACAACTCCTTTCAGTGTAGAGGAAACAAGATAATGACAGTATGATATTAAATACAAACATTAATTCTTGGGAACAAAACATAAAGAAGAGGTCTTTCAATTAAGATGTGTGATAGTGAGCAACTTAAATTACATTCCACATCATCTTAAGGAGAAATAAGACCAAGCAGAATGAAAACCTTAATTTGCTATTTACTGCTATACTCTGATGATATGAATCTTATTATTTATTTAAAGAAATATTTGTCTGGACCACTTAAACCCTGTGGTAGGATCCACTTTTCATACTCATTTGGTTTGGTTTAAGAACTAAATTGCAATAACATGGTCTCTCACTCTGAAAGGACAAATCAGATCCTAGAGGGAAAAATCTCAGGGTCCCAGGGGTGCCTCAATTCTGAGGAAACAAAAACAATATAAGGAAATGCTTTGTGAGCAGGAAAGTGTAATCCTAATATAGGAACTGTGGTCCCAGCTACTGTTACTGCGAGTTTTGTTATAAGAGGTGTCTTCCTGAAAAGTCATCTGCAGAAAGAATTTCTTGACATTTAAACTTACATCTCCGTGTGCAAGGTAGTTTAATATAGTCATTAGGACTTTTGAAGTTTTTCTGACCTGATTTTGCTTCCTAGTTTCATTAATTATTAGCTGTGTGATCTTGGACAAGTACATTTCTTAAAGCTTATTTTCAAGAAGACTTTTCAGCACAGGCCACAAAATTTCTGTTGGGTGCCCATTATGTTCCTAATATGATTATGTCACCATCCCTACCAAGATTAACTGTAGCTTATCAGTGCACTCCACCAAGGTAGTGGACACCTTGTTGTACGAATAAAGTGATAAACTCTTGGTGTGGGTACATTTTTTTTTTTTTTTTGAGACGGAGTCTCACTCTGTCGCCCAGGCTGGAGTGCAGTGGCGCCATCTCAGCTCACTGCAGTCTCTGCCTCCAGGGTTCATGCCATTCTCCTGCTTCAGCCTCCCTAGTAGCTGGGACTACAGGCGCCTGCCACCATGCCTGGCTAAGTTTTTGTACTTTTAGTAGAGACGGGGTTTCACCGTGTTAGCCAGGATGGTCTCGATCACCTGACCTTGTGATCTGCCCGCCTCGGCCTCCCAAAGTGCTGGGATTACAGGCGTGAGCCACCGCTCCCGGCCGAGTACATTTCTTAAAGCTTATTTTCAAGAAGACTTTTCAGCACAGGCCACAAAATTTCTGTTGGGTGCCCATTATGTTCCTAATATGATTATGTCACCATCCCTACCAAAAGGATCTCAACATTTCAAGTAGAAGATTTGGGATGTAAATTGACACTTTTAATTTAATGTGGTGAGTGTTAGGACAGTAGCAGGTATTGATGGGAGCCCTCAGTTCATCTTGGAAGACCAGAGAAGGCTGGTAGAGGGAGATGCATAAAGAGACATGAAGAGGGAGCAAAGTGGGTTAGGTAAATAATTGGGAAGAGTTTTCCATACTTGGAGAAATACATAAACTAAAGTATGGATTTCAAACATTGAAGCAATCACAGTGAGGAGGCTGTTCATAAAGGTGGTTGGAAAATTAGGTGGAGATGTTTCCTTAGTCCACACCAGGGATGGCCAACTTTGTTTTTCTTTTTTGCAAATGGTCAAGTAGTAAGTATCTGTAGTACTGAAAGGCATATGCTCTCTATCTCACCTACTCAGCTCTGATGTAGTGTGAAACCTGCCATATGTAAATATGCCATATAACAGGTGATTTGTAAACAAATGACAAGTGTTCACTTTCTAGTGGCGTTAATTATTAGCTTTGTGGTCTTGGGCAAGTTACCTAAGCTTCTGAAAGCCTCAGTTTCTTCATCTATAAAGTGGGAATAAAAATAACTACAACTATAGCCAACTGAGAGCATACTCATGAAAATGAAAGAAAATAACATGCCTACTCTATACCAGGCCTACTTCCTGGGGTCTGTAGAAGGTTTGGGCCTGGATTTGGCCTGTGGGCCATAGTTTGTCAATTGCTGCATACCTTATATCATCAGCATGATAAACCCACCAAATTCATTAGGTTACTACACATAAACTATAAAATGTCCTTTGATCTCATCTTAAAATTTTATCTTACGGCTTCTATTTTCCTTCTATTTTAGTAATTTCCTGCATCAAAATGTAACATAGAATGAAGAATAAGATAGATGGAGCCCCCTTGGGCTTTCATTGCATTTATACTTATAGCTATGAATGGGATTGTCTACTTTACTTGAGGAAAAACAGATGACTATTTAGATCACTAAATCTGTAGTCAGTACTTGGCTCTTAGAGATGAATGGTATTAAACTAACATTTGTTGAATGAAGACTTTATGGTAGGCATATGCTAGATACTTTTATACACGTTATCTTATTTCTTAAGGTCTCGAACATAAATTACTACCACTGTTGTTTTATTCCTACATTTTTTCTTTTTTAATTTTGCAGACTACATTTTATTTCTTTATATTCTATTCAAAACCCATTTATTGACTTCTGCTTTCAAGCAAGATGAAGTAAAGAGAAAAAATTTACTCTCTCAACCAATTAAAACATTTGACAAAATGTACAAATTTGACAAAAATGTACAAATCAGCTATTTTCAGATATTGGAGAGAGGGCAGTTCATGACAATGATACTTGAGAGAGAAGAAATAAACAATGTGAACTGTAAAATAGCCCAAGCTTACTGAGGAGAGATTAATGACTAGAGCATGGAAAGAGGAAACCAAGGAGAAGCTCGAATTGAAGAGACAAAGTGCAGAGTTCAGAGATAAAATGGAGGCTAATCACAAGGAAGATTTATGGGTAGGAGAGGACTGAACAGAGAAAGAGATAGCTGAAGAGATCTGCAGAAGGTCCCCTGCCCAAGTGTTCATGTGAGTACTACTCCACACCTGCATGTGAGAAAACTACCCAAAACTAGAACTACTTGAAAGGAGTAGAAGGACCAATCCTGGAGGTCACACAAGGCCAGGAATAGTTTGACCATCAGCGAGAGTGGAAACAGCTCAGCACTGTGCTCAGTTGTAAGAAAGATTTCACAACTGTAGTGGGGCAAAGTTTGCCCTAGATTAAAGGCTGGACTAGCGCGGCTAAGATTTCAAGCAAGGCTTGAAAGGATCAAATAAATTCAATATAAGTTAGCTGTGTCTCAGAACAAACCTCAAGAATTTAAAAAAGAAAAGAATGCCTATTATTTAATTCAAAATGCACATTCTGACATCCAATGAAAAATTACATGGCATCTAAAGGAGTAGGAAATACCATAATGAGGAAAAAGATCAGTAAATCAAAACTTAACCAAAAATTATATGAATGATTAGTAAACAAGACCATTAAAACAGCTTATAAGTATGTTAAAGAGAGACATGGAATACATTAAAAAGACCCAAATCAAACATCTAGAGATGATAACATAATCGCTGAGGTGAAAAATACACTGGGTAGAATTAGTAGAACACTAGAAACAGCAAAGTAAATGTTTAGTGAACTTAAATCCACAGTAATAGAAACTATCCAAAATAAAATACAAAGAGGAAAAAACCTGAATAAAAATTAACAGAGTGTCAGTGACCTGAGGAAAAATTTCAAGCAGACTAATATGCTTAAATGTGAGTCCCCAAAGGAGAGAGGAGAAGGATAAAGGAAAGAGAAGAAAACATGTATTTTTGGAAGCTTGAAATGTTTATAAATGTGATGAAAAATACAAATTCACAGATCTAAGAATCTTAATGAACCTCAAGCAAAGCCACACCAACACAGGCTACAATCAAATTAAAACTGATGATAAAGAGAAAAGTCTTAAAGCAGCCCTAGAAAAAAAGACAGTACAGACAGAAGAACAGCAATAAGAGTGACAGCAGACTTCACAATGGAAACGACAGATATGAAGGCAGTGGAATAACATCTTTAAGTACTGAGATAAAACAATTGTCTTAGAATTCTTGCCGAGTGAAAGTATTTTTCAAAAGAGAAGGAAAAGAAAGACTTTTTCAGGCGTACAATAAATGAAAGAAGTCATCATTAGCGGTTCTGTATTGCAATAGTATTACAATAAATATTAAAAATCTTTCATACAGAGAACAATATCAATGGTGTTCTGGATTTATACAATATAATGAAGTGCAGCAGAAATGGTAAATATATGGGTAAATATAAAATATTTTCTTTTTATATTTAAAATTACTCTAAAATATAATTGGCCACTTGAGGAAAGATCATTACAATATATCATATGTTTTATACCAACTGTGAAGGTAATGTATAACATGTTCACAAAATCAAAAAAGCTGAAGGGAAATGGAAGTATAGTATCATAATGTAATAATACCATATGTAAAATGGCATATTATTTGAAGGTACATTGTGATAAGGTAAATTTGTATGATGAAAACACTAAACTAACCACTATAATGTGTAACTCATATACCAAAGAGAAAAAAAATGGAATTATTAAAAAAAACACGATCACAGTTTGTAGAAAAACAGAAAAGGGGAACAAAGAATAGATGAGATAAATAGAAAACAAATACAACCATTGTATATTTAAATACAACAAAATCAATAATCACATTAAATTTAAATAAACTAAACATGCCAAATAAAAGGCAGATATTTCAGATTACTTAAAAAACAAGACCCAACTATATACTGCCTATAAGATATGCACTTTAAATATAAAGACAAAAATAGACTAAAATGGGAAACAGTGGAAGCAAGTGTATTATGTTGGTGCAAAAGTGATTGTGGCTTTTCCCATTACTTTCAAAGCAAAAACTACAATTGCGTTTGCACCAAACTAATATCATGGCAAACGAATTTAAAAAAAAGCTGGAGTGCTGATATTCACATTAGATTAAGAGGATTTCAAAGCAAATAAAATGACCAGGGATAAAGAGCATAGTTTTATTTATACACATAAGGTGATCAATTCATCAAGAGAACATATGTATGTTAAACATATTGTACCAATCAACAGAGCTTCAAAATACATGAAGCAAAAACTGATAGAACTATAAGAAATAATGAGATTTACAAATATATTGGGAAATTTCAGTATCCCTCTCTCAATAGTTGAGAGATGTCTGAAACTCAGTAAGCATATAGAAAAGTTTATCAATACTATTAACAAAATAACAATTTTATTTATAAAATATTACACCCGACAAGAGCAGAATATATGTTAATTTCAAATATAGATGGAACAGTTATCAAGATATAATTATATTATGGGCTATAAACCAAATCTCAAAATTTGAAAATATTCAAGACATAAAAAGCATGACCACGTGGAATTTAGAAATCAATAATATAAACATATTTAGAAAATCCTCACGTATTTTAAAACTAAATAACATTCTTTAAATAACCCACAAACAAAAGTTTAAAGTATTTTAAACTGAATGGAAATAAGCCTCTCCAAATTTCAAAATTTGTGAAATACAGATAAAGCAATACCTACATGGACATTTATAGCACTAAACACCTATTTTAGAAAAGAATTTAAATCAATGATCTGAGCTTCCACATTAAGGCACCACAAAATTAAGAGCAAATTAAACACCATGTAAGTAGAAGAAAAGAAATGACAAGGCTAAGAGCTGAAATTAATGAAATAGAATTAAAAATAGAGAAAAATCAGTGAAGCCAAAAAGTGGTTCTTTGAGATCAATAATACTGATAAACTGTAGCTAAACTGATCAGGAGAAAAGTATAGAAGACACAAATCACCAATATCATAAATGAGAGAGGCATATCACTATAGATACTATGAACATTAAATAAATATTTAGGGATTATATCAACTTCATTTCAACCAATTCAACAACTTAAGTAAAATGACCTAATTCCTTGAAAGACACAAACTTCCAAAGGTCATTCAAAAAGAATTAAAAACCTGAAATCTCTATATCTAGTAAACAATTAGTATTTGCTGTTTAAACCTTTCCAGAAACAAAACTCAGGCTCACATGGCTTCACAGGTAAATTTGACTAAATAAGTAAGACATAATAAAAAGTCTGTATAAAGTCCAGAAGTCTATATAATAAAAGAGAATGTTATAAAAAGTAAAAGTCTATATAAAAAGTCCAGAAAAATTTAGAGGAAGGGACACTTCCCATTCTATGAGGCTGTCATTACCATCATACAAAATCCAGGCAAAGATAAAGAAAAGAAAACCAATCTCTCTTATAAACACAGATACATGCAAAAATTCTTAACACAACAAACCTGGCAATATATAGAAAGAATAACATATCATGACCAAGGGAAGTTCATCCCAGGGATGTAATAATACTGATTCAATATTCCAAAATGAATCAATATAATTTACATTAATAGATAAAGAACAAAAATATCCATAGGATAGTCTAAGAGAAACTCAGGAAACTATTAATAGAAGGAAACTAACTTCCTTAACCTGACTTAGAACAACTACAAAAAGCCTACAGGTAATAATATATTTAATGTAGAAAGACTGAATGCTTACTCCCTATTGTATTAATCTGTTCTTATGCTGCTGATAAAGACATACCTGAGGCTGCATAATTTATAAAGGAAAGAGGTTTAATTGACTCACAGTTCCACATGGCTGGGGAGGCCTCACAATTATGGCAGAAGGCAAAGGAGAGGCAAAGTCACGTCTTACATGGCAGCAGGCAAGAGGGCATGTGCAGAGAAACTCCCTTTTATCCAACCATCAGAACTCAAGAGGCGTATTCACTATCACAAGAACAACATGGGAAAAACCCACCCCCATGGTTCAATCACCTCCCACCAGGTCCCTTCCAGGACACATGGGGATTGTTATAATTCAAGGTGAGATTTGGGTGGGGACACAGAGCCAAACCATATCACCTATGATCAAGAATAATCAAAGATTTATGTTCTCACTACTTCTATTCCATGTGGTACTGGAGGTCTTAGTCAGTATAATAAATCAAGAAAAAGAAATACAATGCATAGAGCTTGGACAAAAAGATTAAGACAGTCCCTACTTGCAGATGATGTGATTTGAACACACACTGTTCTATAGACTAAATGTTTGTGTCCCCGCAAAATTCGTATGATAAATCCTAATGTTGAATGTGATGGTATTTGGAGGTGGAGCCTTTGCGAGGTGATTAGGTTGTGAGGTAGAGCCCTCATGAATGGGATTAGTGCCCTTCTAAGAGATCCCTTAGGCTTCTATGTCCCTTCTGCCATGTGAAGTGACAGTAAGAAGATGGTCATCTATGAACCAGGAAGCAGGCCCTTACCAAACATTGCATCTGTCAACTCCTTGATCTTGGGCTTCCTAGCCTCCAGAAGTGTGAGAAATAAATTTCGGTTTACAACTCACCCAGTCTATGGTATTTTGTTATAGCAACCTGAACAGACTAAGACTGCTACAAAAGACATGTGGATATAAAATAATTGTATAAAAAATTTCTCAACATCAGTCATTAGGAAAATGCAAATTAAAACTACGAGATACCACTATACAGCTATTAGAATGTATATAATTTCAAAAAAAAAAAAGTGAAATGCCAAGTGCTGGTGAGAATTCATTGTTGGTAGGATTGCAAAAAGGTACAGCTACTTTAGAAAACAGTTTGAAATTTTCTTACAAAGTTAAACTTACACATATTATACAATATACAATCCAGTGATCTCATTCTTAGTTATTTACCCAAGTGGAATGAAAACCTATGTTCATACAAAAATCTCTTTATTTGGAATTAATCCAAATGTTTCTCAGCAGGATGATGGATAAACACAGGTACATGCAAAAATTCCCGTCAAATGAAATACTACCCAGCAATAAAATGAGGGAACTGCACACAACGACATGGATAAATCTCAAATGTATTATGCTCAGTGAAATAAGTCAAGCTCAACAGGCTACGTGTTGTACGATTCCATTGATATTTTTAAAAAAGCAAAAACATAGGGGCAGATCAGTCTTTGCCCGGAAAGGTGGTTGCAGGGATTGATTGCAAAGGGAATGATTGCAAATGGGGAAATTTTTTGGCGTGATGAACCTGTTCTATATCTTGCTTGTGCAGGTGGCTACATGGTTGTATAGGTTGGTGAAAACTTGCAGAAGTATAATACAGAAAGCATAAGTTTTGCTGTGTATAAATTGCACCTTAATTTTTTTTAAGTTGAAAATGACTCAGCCCCAAAATGGGGGTTGTACAATTTCCTCTTTATTAAGAGATGGAAACAAAGACTGTAATTAAAATAAATGTATTTCGCAAGTGGGGTTATGATGATGACACAGAAAATGGGTATCCAGCCCTCCCGAGAAAAGTATCCATGGGTATCCTGAAGGGCTTCCTGGAGAAAAAGAAGGTAACTAGCAAGACTTGCATTATTAGAAATCTGTCCATATCTTCCAGTTCTTCAAAATGCTATGACTTATTCTTTACCATTAGCCTAAGGGGAAATAAACCTTACCCTCCTATTTCACATGCAAAGGAAATGGACTTCCTCCCTCTCCTTTTCTGAAGGTTTCTCTTTCTCTTCCATCCAGTCTGTTTCAGTATTTTCATAAAGGAAGCTGCCAGAAACAGCCAAAGGGTCTGAAGGATCATGAAACAGTATGTTGAAATTGGTAAAGACTGATCTTGACATATTCCTCTGACAACCTTTTGATTAATTTTCTGCTTCATTAAAACCCTTAATTAAATTAACACGGGGTGTAGCCATATCCTTGACATATTTTGTGTATTAGCAAACAAATCCTTAGATTTCAAAGCCTGTGGCAGTGGAAAGAAGAAAAGGGCTCCTGAAGCTGGGTCAGTAGTTCATGGGAGATGGTGGTAATGAAGAGGAAGAGGATGAGGTTGGAGCTTGTTCAAAAGCCCTGTGGGATTTGAACAGTGGTGCTCAATGATAACACAGAGGAGGAGGCCTTGTGTGGATTGGCCTCACCTTGGTCAGACTCCAGCCTCCCACTATCGCCTGTCCTCCTCTCCCTACCCCTACCCCTAATCTGTTCCACCTCAGACAAGACATCACAACTCAAAATGGTTAAACTCCTGAACAGATCATTCACCGCACCACGATCAATACTTGATTTGTCCCTTTAACACTTACAGATATAGCTTTGTAGGCGTGCTTTTCATGAGTGATGAAAAATGAGGTGTCAGTACTCATATCTTGAAAAATTCTAAAAACGATAAATTGATCATTTTTAAAGTTCCTCTTTCACCTCTCCCCATATGTTGGATTTAGCAGCACATATGCTACTGTTGGCATGATGTCTGTGCCTGCATTGTGCAGAACTTAAAACATGGGGAGGGGGAGGTAATAAAAATCAAAGATCTATAATGGTATAAAAATTATGAACACATATAATTCATAAATGTATTCCTTCAAGTCAAATTATTTTAAGTGAAGTTACTGTCATTCCTATTTCATAGAAAAAATTAATTTCCACCAGGTTCTTTTCTAATATAACAGATTGACAAAGACGGGATGCAGGTTGCTCATGCATCTCGTGTATTAGCGTATGAATGGAACTTACACCCTTTCTACAATTAAATCACTGACTTGTGCCAGATGCAGGCTTATAGATGTTTTAATAAACAACACAAGTTTACCACTTTTCTTCATTTGTTAGCATAAAAATACAAACTTATGCTTATTTCTTGGAGGAAGGTCTTATGGGTTAGTTTACAAATTTCTGTGTAAACTTATCTGTTACAAATGAGTTTGGTTGATAGTCATACATTCAGCACAGGAGAATTTAGTGCCTACTAATGTGTCAAGCCATGCCTGGAAATATAGCGATGAAAACCACAGTTTCTGTTCTCAAAGATGCCATAGGTCAATATACCGGGAGTAGTGACCCAGATTAGCACAGCGGATATAGGCGTATATAGAAAAGTAAATTCAGTAAGATTAGGGAGGTGGTCAGTAAAGTCTTCTAGGAGTCACCATTGCTGATGTTAAGGTTTGGTAGATGAAAAAATGTTGTTTAATGGCCCTGGTGAAGGTTTGGGAAAGCATCAGGGAAGAAAAGCCTCACTAAAAGACATAGCTGTATGTGCCAATCACAAACATGCAAAGCAGTAAGTATGGTGGGGGTGGGGAGGCAGTACACCTAACAAAACAGTGTGGTCGAAGGCCTGGAGAATGGTTCAAGATGAGGCTTGAGAGGAAAGCATGAAACAGTTCATGAAAGGAAACAAAGAAATATAAGCGTGTCCCGGGAACTGTGAGGAGCTACTGGAATATTTTAAGGATGGATAGGATCCGGTTGGATTTCTCCTGCCGTAGAGTTATCACTGGCAGCAATGTAGAAGGGTGAGATGGATTTTGGAATGAGAATTTAGTGGCAGGAGGCAGTGGAACAAGGTAGGAGGAGGTGAAAAAAATTCAAGTTGGAAACAATTAGAACTTGAACTTGGAGGAAAAGAGAAGAGGGCAGTGCATGATAAATGCTGTTGCATTTCATTGAATGAACAAAAGGAGAGCTACTGTTGGCACTAGTCAAGGATACAGACCTCATGGGAAGGCTTTTAAAAAACTGTATCTCCTAAAGATAAAATATAATACTATCTCCATGGTTACAGCATATAGCCTTGTATTGGGTGATCCATATTGCTGCACACATTGTTTTACCTGGAATACTTCATTTTTACACGGACTAGAGTTGTTTAGTAGGAGAGATAGCAGCAGCAGCTCCAGAGGGATGTAAAGAAAGAAAGTTTGGCTCCTGTGGGTGGTGGGAGGATGTTAGGTGTCATACTAAGTGCAGGGCACTCTGCATTAACTCTTTTCATCCTGGCAACAATCCCTTGAAATAGTGCTCTGGTAAATACCACATAATGTTGAGAAGACTTGGAGACAGAGAGATTAAGTGACTGGACTGAGATCACACAGCTGGTGAGGGGAGGGATCAGAATTCCATCTCAAATCCTCATCTCCTCTTCTTTACATCTTTATCTCATGAAACTTCACTGTCTTTTTCTAATGTTCTTCTGTTGGTCTCCTGATTTCACCATTCTGTATTTACAGCCTGAATAATAAAAGGTATACAATCTTCAAGAAGATCTTTTGAGAATCAGCATGGCAGGGTGGTAATGAGCAAGGGCCCTGGCATGCAAATGCTTGAGTTCATATTCTGCCTCCATCATTTACTAGCTGTGTATCTTCAGGCTCTATGCTTTGGTTGACCTATATCTAAAACAGAAATAAGATAATCTCCAATTTAGGGTTTTAGGAGGATTAAGTGAGTTTATAGACATGAAGCACATATAAAAATGCCTGATGCATAGTAGGCACTTACTAAATATTAGCTATTGTTTATTGCACCTAATGAAATAAATGGTTTCTGTGTTGATATCAAGAAAGACAACTACATCTTAACAAAGGTGCCTCAAAGGCGACGAAGCCCCGCATCATGCCGTAAGAAGACCAGAACTTCAGAGTCAGTGTTGCACGGCTATTCCATCCAGAAACTGTGCTGCTTTGCGCACACAAAAAACTATGTCTCTTTAAACCTAGATTGCCTTATCCTTAAAGTGACATCTCAGTATATCTTCAGCAGAAAATATAAAGTTTAAAAAATAAATAATATAGTCATAGACATTTCAGAGCCACAAGAGATTCCAGATATGCCCAGATGCAATGATGTTTTCTTTTCTTTTCTTTTTTTTTTTGAGACAGAGTTTTGCTCTTGTTGCCCAGGCTGGAGTGCAATGGCATGATCTGGGCTCACTGCAACCTCCACCTCCCAGGTTCAAGCAATTCTTCTGCCTCAGCCTCCCAAGTAGCTGGGATTACTGGCACCCACAACCACGCCCAGATAATTTTTGTATTTTCAGTAGAGATGCGGTTTCACCATGTTGGCCAGGCTAGTCTTGAATTCCTGACCTCAGGTGATCCACCCGCCTCAGCCTCCCAAAGTGCTGGGATTACAGGTGTGAGCCACCGTGCCCAGCCTTGCAATGATGTTTTCATTAGGGTTCAGGGAAGAAATTTTTAAAATGATTTGAGAGGTTTTACAAAGCTCTGAGATTTTTTTTTCCTCCTTTTTGGGTTTCCTTTACCTTCCCAAAAGGATTGCTCTCATAATGTGGTAAGATTGCTCTTTGTTTCTGATAAGGGTATGTTGTAGATCACAGGTATGCAAGATTGGAATAGAGGTTTAAAAAAACACCCTTTTAGCCCCATATCTTCATTTTGCAGATGAGAAAAAAGACCCAGCAAATTTAAATATACTGCACAAGGTCACATAGCAGATAAGCGACAGAATTGGGACTAGTTCTTTTAAACCTGCCTAGTGGTTTACTGCATCATTTTGCTTCTCTTTTAAGGATCAATCCTTCTAAAATTTTAAAGTGTTTTAAAGAGGTAAGGTCTTTACTTGATGCTGGGCTTCATCGCCTTTGAGGCAGCTTTGTTAGGATGTAGTTGTCTTTCTTGATATCAACACAGAAACCATTTATTTCATTAGGTGCAATAAACAATAGCTAATATTTAGTAAGTGTCTACTATGCATCAGGCATTGTTATATGTGCTTCACATCAATAAACTTTAAAGAGGTGTAGATACATCATTCTTTGACTGAGACATTTAACTGGGGACAAAAGATTACAGCCAAATTAAAACCCTTAGAAGATCCAAACTCTACACAGATTGTACTGCCACCTCTTCCTCATACATAATTCACAAAAATATCAATATCAAACCATAAGGTAAATGTAAAGAAGTCCAACAAAGTTATGATTTCCAGTTATGATGTCCTCACTGCCTTATTTGAAATATCCATTTCGAATCTTCACAGAATTCTTTTAAAATATCAGGATGCCCCACATAGGCTGTTGCTCCAAGTATGTTCATGTCTTGAGATCAGGTTTGTCATAAAAATGAGGCAAAGATGGCCAATGTGTATTGGCCCCCAGTTTGTCCATTTCTTCACTGCAGGCTGAAACCTGTTAGCTCAAAAGCCACTGGCTCCAAACTCAAACTTTTATACATCTGATTGTTTAGAAATATAGCCCAAACAAGCACATATTTAACCACGTAGAACCTGCCTGTTTTATATACCCTATAAAACCTCACCTGGTAGGTGTTCCTACTGATAATATAAAGCCTAGCGGTTATACGGTCCCAAGTCACTGCTGCCCTTCAGAGCACTCTGACCTGGGAATTCCCTGCTGTGCTGCTGAGCCATGCTTGTTAAGGCCCCCAGTATGATTGATCCTCTTCTCCCTTGGGAGTTACCTTGCCTTCCTTCTGAATGATGGCCACCTGCCCTTAAGCCTCTGAGCAGTCTCCTGTTGTGAGAGGCCTCCCCTCTCATGCAACCCTGTCCAATTACTGTCTTAAAGGAGAAAGACACACTCTTACCTGAACCCAGGACACAGCCAGATGTTGTATATGAATTAATCCTGCCTATATTAACTTGTTTCAATATCTTTTCCTAAGATATTGGATATGCCACACCAAAAAAATGTTCAGGTCAAAGAAATTCTGACCCATAAATTAAACTTCACTACATATTACTTCAAGAGACTTCTTCCTTAGCCAAATTTCTGGGTAACTCATAAAGAGCCCCATTCATAGGTTCATTCTCAGAGTGGCAATGGCATCAAAAAACTATGATTCAGCAACAAAGGAAGACATTTCAAAGAAACCATTTCCTAATTGCACATTGCAATCCCTATAAAGAGGCTAGGAGTATCTCCCTATTGTTTTATTTTTCTTTCCTCTATGTCTCCTCATAGATACCCCACTGCCCTTGCCCCTCCTGATCTCCTAGGCTTCCCTGAGAACTCCTGCCCAGCCTTAGCTTATATGCTCAACCCTTGCCCTGCACATGTCCATTCCCACCTGATCATGGCAGTATATAGTTATTCTCTGCAAGAATGATTTTCCTCAGAAAGTGGAGATAGGAAGAACTATAGCAGAGAGAGGCAGAAGCCCCATGAGTTATCTTGGGAGGGAAACCTTGGCCACGCTCACCTGTTAATGATGTTCGTTCCATTCCACAGTAGCCTTCTTTCTCCTTAGATTCACAGCAAGATATGTCCAATGATAGGTGTTGTTTTCAATCTCAATCTTCTTTGTGTTGCTCCTTCAGTGCCTGACAGCAGGTTCAGTTTCTGGGGAGCTTTCAATAGTTGTTCTTAACCACTTGAGGGAAAAAAAAGCTCTTGAAGATATCCGTAGATTCTATAACTGTTTGCTCTTGGTTTTGAAAATGATATTTTCCAATTAGTCTTTGCCAAGCTTGTTCCCCTTATCCTGAGGGGAAAGTCAGCAGGGAGCAAAATGTAGACCATGAGAAGTGACACACTTGACCTTGCAAACAGTGTGAAGGTCTAGCTTTATTAGTCTGCAGCATTGCAAGAGATATTGGCTCCAGTCTTTGGTAAAGCTTTTAATAGGAAGAAACTTCTTAAAATTGAAAATCAGTTTCCTTGACTAAAAATAGTCTGATAGAAATTATTCTCATTGACAATCAGGTTACATTGCTCAAGGTCAGCCATCCAGAGAACTGAACAGAGAAGCAAAAAGTTCAGGGAAACTTTTACTTCAAGTTCTGCATTTGAGAAAATCCATTTATCACTCTGAAAAAACGATACCCACATGTTTCCAACTTTGGGATACATTTAAATATAGTTTCATGCTGGATTTATGACCTGATCTCTCTAAGTTTACCTGTCTTTGCAAAGTAGATTTGTTTTTGAAAGTTTGCATCTAACACAAATTTGTATAAAACAGACTCATTATTAAGCAATTGTTATTAAATTCTTTAAAATGGAAATACACAGATTGTTACATAATACAGAGATTATGTGTAGGGGTTGGAATAATTTATCATTTAAAGCAATATTATGATCAAGTCATTGATAATGTGACATAACCTTCTCTATTATAAATAAATATTTACTCTCTGCTTAGGAAAACACAACTCAACTAAATGCTGAGTCTGAAGATTCCTGCCCCCAAGCAGCCAGGTCATCTTGGTGAGGTTATGACTGTTTATTCTAATAATATTTGCAGGGCGGGTCCTGTAATAAACCATTCCCTTGCAACTCTCTAAAACTTTGATCAGAATAAACTACAGCAGGTTCTCAAATAACAATTTCATTCAGCATCTTTTCAGTAATGCCGATGAGCAAAAAAAAAAAAAAAGATTCCCAGCTAGGACCGTTCTCTGTGTGGAGTTTGTACATTTTCCCCATGTCTGTGTGGGTTTTCTTTGGATACCCTTGTTCTTCCCACATCCCAAAGCTGTGCACATTAGGTTCACTGGTATGTCTAAATGTGTTCCTGGTCTGAGTGAGTGTGGGTGTGTGTGAGTGCACCCTGAAATGGGATGGTGTCCTACCCAGGACTGCTTCCTGCCTTGCACCTTGAGCTGTTGGACCAGACTCTGGCCCCCTGTGACCCTGAACTGGAAGAATTTGGTAAATAATTATCTAAGTCATTTTTATTAATCTTTCTTATATGCATATGCACCTCACATTTATTTCAGTGTTTAATATTAGAAGTGTTTGGGTTTTTCTTTAGAAGTTTGGTGACGTGTTTGTGACAAGAAATGTGAGGTAGGAAATTAACGCTTGTTTATACCAATTAGCCTATGGTAAAATTAGTTTTGAGATAACATTGTTTCATTTAGTCACAGTTTCCAAGAAACTATCTACAAAGTGAAGACTTACTATGCAAGGAATATTCTTGGATAAAATCATTGAAAAGGGTCATTGGGATAGGAGGATGATAGAAAAATGGAAAGAATCAGGCAGATGTATTTTTAAAGTTCATGCCGTATACTAGCTATATGGACTCAGACTTGGTTAATTTATTTAATATCCAAACCTCAGTTTCATTATCTCCAAAGTGGAGTTAAGGATGCTTTTCCTGATAGGATTATTGTGAGCTTTAAATGAGATAAGGTATGCAAAATATCTGGCATGGGGCTAGACATTGCTTCTCCTTTCCTTGCCACTATATGAAATCTCACTTACACGAGAGTTGCCTCCTTTCCTATTTTTCAACAAGACATGAGTCTACCTTCTTCATCTCTGCCTTTCTTTCATCGTTCTTCCCAGCTAGAGTACTCTTTCACTTCCACACTGTTTCAAATATTTGAGGTTCAGCTTATACCCTATCTTCTCACTAAATGCAACTCTTTGCTGTTTATCACAACACATAGGGTTCTCTCTCTTAAAACAATAACAGATAAACAAACCCAACTGCTGTTCTTTGAGTGCCTACTATGTTGAAGATGTCCCACATATATTATCTCCAAAGAAATTCTATCAAATCTGTATTATTTGTACATAGACATATTTTAAAACATGTAGCTCAGGGAGGTCACCCATTTGCCCCAGGTCACACAGCTAGTAAGCAGCACACTAGGGATTCAAATCCAAGCCTGCTTGACTTCAAAGGTCGAGATCTCTCTTGACCACAAAATTGGCAAATTGAATAAAAGCAACTTGCATTTTTAAACATTTTCAAGATGGAAGAGAAACCTAATACTTGTGGGGACCATTGTATAAAAGATATGGGAATAGTAACGCAAGCCACTGAATCACCTGGTTGGAGCTCAGGGCAGTTATAAATCAATGCCTATGGGACCCATTCAGTATTTGGTAAATGCAGAGATTCTTTGTCTTGTGGAGAAGGATGTTTTGTTTGTTTGTTTTAAGGCGGTGGTAACCTTTTAAGAACAGGTTAAAGAGACAAGCCACCAAAGACTCCAATATCCTTAACAATTTTTTTTCTAATTTGTTCAATGAATACGTTCTTTTGGTCCCACTTTACCTAAACAGGATTCTGAGACTTTAAATCATGATTTTATCAGACACAGTAATCTAGAACTTTGGACTGAGAAGGGATCTGATAAATCATGTGATTCAATATTTTCATTTTGTCCTTTAAGATATTGAGATTCAGAGAGATTAAGGGACTTGCCCTCACTTATAAATGCAGTTAATGATATGTATTTTGGCTCAAGTGGCCAATTATTTGTCTTCTCTAGTACTTCCTCCACTTGATGGGATGATAGAATACTTGAGGATGGAGATGGCACTATAGGCTTTGTTTTATCTCACATTCTGGACTCACGGTAGTTATGTAATATGGAGTACTAGAACAGAATTCAAGAAGGGTGATAGTGAGTGCTTCAGGTCTTCTTTTTTGATAAAAAGCAAGACAAGAAAAATAAATTGCTGAACACAGAAGTTTGCTGACTCTGCAAAAGCATGTCAGATATGATTACGTTTTGGCCTAGTGATTAACTAAATAGAGCATGTGCCATGGTGTTATCGTAAGAGACCAACAGCTGTTATTAAAGGAAGCTATCTTGACTAGATCATGTTCTTACCTTAGTAAATGTCTTGTATATTTTCTCTCTGTTTTTTGACATCAGAATGATTCCAGAGCTTCCACCATCTCTGTTGTTCATACAGTGAGAATTTTGTGGTCTCTCATCTGATATCTAAAAATCCTTCACTCTTTGTTCCTAGCCCACATTCTACCCAACTGCTGATGCCTCACTCTGCCCCATGGCATCTCCTGTTGCTTTGTTTCTGACTTGACTTTGATAACTGCCTACAGCCCTGCTTCAGAGGCCAGCCAACAGGGGATGCCCAGGGTCCCAGGCTGAGCAGGTGAGAGGGTGGAAATTAGAAGGGAAATATCTCTTCTATTAAATCATAGATGTAAATCACAAATAAATTCCCAGAGATTTTAGCTAGGAAGAGCCCTGAAAGCAGACTTAGCAGAAATAAATTATTGATACCCATAAGTATTGTTGGTGACATGTTTGTAGGATTGATAAGACAGTCCTGGCCCACAAGGAACTGAGCATAGAGTGAGTGAAACCCTTAGTGTGCAGAGGCTGGCTAGAGGCTCAGCAATCCCACTTCTGTTCCATGGACACTCAGCAAAACTATACTTTTCAGCTTTCTTTACATTGTTAGGTTGGGGCCATGTGGCTCAATATGGCCCTTCAAATGTTGGCAGAAGGGATTTCTAGAACTGGCCTTAAAACATAGCTCTTTCTTTCCAGTTCATGTGGCTGATCAT
The DNA here is from genome assembly GCF_000001405.40 of Homo sapiens. Lineage (NCBI taxonomy): Eukaryota > Metazoa > Chordata > Mammalia > Primates > Hominidae > Homo > Homo sapiens. The sequence continues at coordinate 18,459,493 of NC_000004.12, forward strand.
GTAATGATGTGATCATATAATCATGTTATGATGAACTCATGTGATAAGAGGTATCTGGATCACTGAGCTATTGCATGGAAGTGAGCTGCTGAGGATAGCCTCCCAATGTTTATTGGATTGTGACTTGAATGAAAAGCAAAACTTTGTTGCCTTGAGCCATTTAAATTTGGGTATATTTGTACTGTAGCATAAGATATTTTATACTACACATGACTACAAGACAATGGAATTGCTTCCCAGTGAAATTTTTTCAAATATTATGCTGTCACCAAGGACAGCAACTCTGTTATCCTGGGGAATTATGGGATGCTTCCTATAAAAAGAGATGTGTAAGGTAAGTCTTAAGATAATTCATCCTTTTCTGTTTTCACCTTTCTCTCTCTGGATTTTTTCTTTATATATCAAAGCTCCTTTAATTGAAATAGAAAGTGGAATGTTAAAAGTAGAAAACAGATCCAGGTGAATTTATGTCTTTGGCCCTCTTTTAGCAATGAGTTAGAGAAGTTTAAAAGTTCACTTTCATGTAGAAGAGAATTAGATGATAATTATTGCATGGAAACACAAGTTGTAAAGAAAGGGCATCAGATAAAGCACCTGTAGAATTATACCTACTCTTTGGAGTTGGAGTAAAGTTAGGATGGGCTCAGAAATCTGCACCTTAGAGACTTTTAAATTTGCTGAATCTTATGTATTTTCCTTAAGGATGTTTACACACAAGAGAAGCCTTAAATGCACTGGCAGTTGGCACCATTTGGTAAGAGTAGACCTCTTGTTACAGCTGTTGGATGGTAAGATGACTCTAGTTTGAATTATTTATTTTTTTAATATAATGAACACTAATGATCCAAGAACTATCCAAAGCACTTCATGAATATAAACCTCCTTAATATTCATCAATACCTTATGAGATACTTACTAATATTTTCTTCATTTTAAAGATGAGAAAACTGAAGCATAGAGAGTTTAAGATTATACATTTCCCAAGATTGCACATATAAAAAGTGTTGGAACCAGGATTTGAACCCAGGATGTCTGGCTCCAGATCCCAAGCATGTCACTGCTTTGCCATGCTGTGATGCTTTTGCTAATTAATAAAGACACCATCCAACAACTATGATTTATTGTTTACTATTTGTCAGGCATTGTTCTAAATTTACATGTACTGTTTTTTCAATGCTCTAAACCACCTTACGAATAGGTACTATTATTACTCTTGTTGTAAAGATGAGACAGGGAATAAGAGAGAAATAACCAGGAGGCATTCGGAAACAAGAAGAGACAGAAACTGTGCCAAAACTCAGGCAGACTTGGGTGCAGAGCTTTGTAGTTTACTATTGAAGCAGATATCCTCTTAGTAGTTGAGATGCAGGGTTTTTCCAGTCATAGATAGAAGAAAATTCCCTTGAAACCAAGAACCATGAGTCCTGTGCCCTTGCCTGTTTCTCCTTCCAGGTCACTTAGGAATGAGGACAAGTCTTGGCTATTTTCTTGGCCTGGAATATTTTTCTCTCCTTCTTCATTTATTGATGCTCTTGATAATTCCTAAACTATAATTAAAAGTCCAGCTCAAAAGCTACCTTTTTTCAGAAAAAAAATCTTCACTCTCCTAAATTATAAAAGAATGAATTTCCTTTTTGTCATGTTTCATTGGAAATCTAACAATGAAAAATTACCAGTAATTTATTCCAATGGATGCTTCATTAAAGCAAACTTTTACATATTAATATACCTACCATATCTTTGGCTTTTTTGTCTTATTTTCTGAGTTTTAGCTTTAGCTGGAAGAGATACTTTTACATAGTTGCATTGGTGGTAAAAATCTAATAATATGTGTAAAAGAGAGAACTCTGGGTCTGTCATGATGATTTTTAACCTAGAGATAGGAGGAAAATATTAGAAGTACTATGCATTTAAAGTTGTTTAATATTAGGTTATTTCAGATGCCACATTCGCTATGTTGCAGTACTGTAAATAGTTTTTGTTTAAAAATTAGCTAATTGTGTATATCAATATTTATAATTTTAATACATTTTCTTTCTTAGAATTTAAAAAGGATTTGTGAAAAATACATATCTTTGTCACATATAATAATTGCCAAAAATAAATTAAAAGCCAACAACAGAACAACACACACAATAAAAGCAATTTAGAGCATAGCTTACTTTTGAAGACAACTTATAAAAACATTGATGGACCCATTTATTCTTATTACGACACTGGATAATTCATTCAACCTTTTGTCTTCTGTAAAATAGAGGAAATAATATCTATTCTGCAAAAATGAGATGAAATTATTTATATGAAAATATTAAGGACAGAGGATGACATAGAGTAGAAGCTTTATTCAACTTCCTTCCCCCCTTCTTCCCTTGCTTCCATTCTCCATTTTTCTTCTTTTACTCCTCTCTATGTCGACTTCTTTAGGTCACACTGCAGAGCAGAGAGAAGAAAAATGGAGGAGGAGAAAGTGAAATGAGTCTTGTTTTGATAAGACTGGAATTATTTTGGGAAATGGACTTCTTAGATGGTGCTGCCCCTTAGCTACTTCAGAAATGAAAGAAGGGATGACTAGACTTATAGAGAATGTATTACAGTGCTCAGGATCCTGTGCACTGGTGGATTTAGTCCCAGCTTGAACTCCCAATAAGAAGTAACTCTCCCTAGCAAAGAAGGTTTAAAGCCTCTTTACTCTAATCATGGCAGGCATACTATTACTGGTAATTCCAGAAAGGACACAGATCAAAACACTATAGGTGGCTAAGGTAGAGTACTGTTTCCTAAAGCCATTTTTGATAATACATAATGCTGGTAATCATATGAAGGAGTACATGTTAAAGGAAAATCCTTCCTTGGAAACAATGAAATACAGAGTCAGAACCCAAAGATTACTTTGAGCAACAGCATGACCAAAATCACAGACTTCCTGCAACCGGTAATAAGTAAAGCAAAGTGTAGGCATTCCGGCAAATGGCAGTGTGGAGATCTAGCCTGGACTAGAATTACTCCCATAACCACTATATTATGTCTTCTATTGCTGTGTAACAAGTTACCACAAACTCAGTGACTTAAAACAACATACATTTATTGTCTTGAAGTTTCCATGGCGTGAGAAGTCTTGGCATAGCTTAGCTGAGTCTTCTGCTCAGGTCCTACGAGGCTGCAATCAAGGTGTCACTCAGGCTGCATTATCATCTGAAGGCTCGCATGGGGAAAAATCTACTTTCTAACTCATTCAGGTTGCTGGTAAAATTCATTTTTCTTGTCAGTTATGAATGAAGGTCCAGTTTTTGCTGGTTGTAGGTTGAAGGCCTCCCTCAGGTCCTGGAAGACACCCACAGGTCCTAGCCTAGTTGGGCTTCCTCAGCATAGCTGCTTACTTCATTAAGCTAGCAAGGAGAATCTATCACCTGAAGGAAGACCCAGTCCCTTTTCTAAGGGCTCCCACCTGTTTAAGTCAGACCTACTCAGGATAATTACCCTTTTGATTAATTCAAAATAAACTTGAATTACATCTACTAATTACCCCGCCTTTGCCATATAAGATAACCTAATTAAAGGAGTGACATCCTTTGCCATATTCCCTTGGTTAGATGCAAATTACAGCTCCCGCTCATACTCAAGGGGAAGGGATTTTACAGGGTATAAATATTAGCAGAGCAGGAAACATGGGGGCTTCTATAGGATCTGTTAATAACAGCCAAATTGGTTGAGGTTATTGCTGGTTAAGAGTAATCAGAGATAGGTGTAAGAATTCCTGTATACTCTTCACATTTGAATAATTTAATTCAATTAACTGTATAACATATGCAATTTCACTCAAGAAACTGTATCTGGTAAACATGTAGCATATTAATTGGTAATTGTTCATTACCAATTTACCAATTGCTCATTACCAATCAACTTTTTCTCACCTTTCTGTAGAGATAAGTTAATGAAGTCCATGAAGGATCTGTATGTATTCATTTATTCATTCATTTGACAAATATTTATTGACCACCAACTATAAGCCAGACACTGTTTAGGTGCTAGAAGTATGGTAGCAAACAAAAAGGATTGAAAATAATCCCTGCCCTCATCACTGTTACATGCTAGAAGAGCAGAGAGGCAATGAATACAATGAATTAGTAAATATGTTTGGTAGTGGTACGTGCTACGGAAAGGAAAGGAAGGCATGGGTTGTGATTATAGAGAGTTTGGGCAGGGATGGTGTTTTTAAGAAGATCACACGTAAGTAAAGACCCGAAGAAGTGAGAGGATAAATCTCATGGGGATTTGGGGAATGAGCACTCCAGGCACAGAGAAGAGCAACCGCAAGGCCCTGACATTGAAATGCGCCTGAGGGGTCCGAGGGATTATAAGGAGGTCGGAGTTTCTGCAGCTGAGTGAGCCAGGGGACCATGTAGGAGATGGAGTGAGAGAGGAAATGGGAGCTGGGTGTAGCAGGTCTCTGTAGGTCTTTGAAAGGAATTTGGTGTTTACTCTGAGATGGGAGCCATTGGAGCATTTTGGGCAGAGGAGTGATATGATCTGATGTGTTCTAACAGTGTCACTCTGGCTGCTGTGTTGAGAATAGGCATTCAAGGGTGAGACAGGGAGACCAGTAAGTGAACAATTATGATAATTTAGGTGAGGGATATACACATATATATGTGTGTGTGTATATATATTGGGGAATGAGCAGAATGTTGCAATCTGGAATACGCATGTTATGACCGATGCTGGGCATATTCAAGGAGATTGAGGTAAGAGGAAGCTTTTAAAAGCAAACGGAGAAGTGTGCATAAGTTGTTTTGAATGAAAGAGAACATTGGTTACAGGGGCTTTATTACAGGAGTTGACGTCAGTTCATTAGTGGAGACAGTGTGTCAGACAAGTGTTCTTGTACAAATGGTTAGCTGTCCTTGTGTGACTCATGGAGCAAGCTGTGGTTGGAAAAAAATCTATCAGGTAAATTGTAAATGAGAGCCCTGCCTTCATAACCTCCCAGCTCCATTTAGTTTGGTTTTAACATAAGTGACTCCATTTTGGTACTGACAGTTTTCACAAGGCTAAAATGCACTTTTTTCTGAATCCTCTAGCTGAGAATTGGTCTTTTGTCTTACTCAGGTTCTTAACAGAATCTCATTCTTTGCAGTAGTGATAGTAAGATCCTTTCTTCTGGCTGGCTGTCAGTTCAGGGTAGTTCCCTGCCTTCAGAGGCCATTGTATTCCTTGGGTTATGGCTCCTTCTTCCATTTTTAAACCAGAAATGGCAGGTCGAGTTCTTCTCATATCACATCTATCTGACCCCCTGTGAACTGTTCTCCACTTTTAAGGACTCGTTATTAGATTGGATCCACCCAAATAATTCAGGATAATCTTGCCTTTTAATTTTTAGCTGGTTAGCAACATTCATTCTCTCTGAAACTGAACAGAAAGAATTATGTGAAAAAATTGCTGTGTAACATACAAATTCACAAATTTGAGTAGTGAAACATAAATATCTTAAGGGACCATTTTTCTTCCTTACACCACATGCACAGACATGTACACATACACACACACACACACACACACAACTGGCTCACATTCATTTTTTGCCTCTTTCCACTTAATTATTCAAATTATGAAAAAGGAAAATAAAACCCAGTTGGTCTCTTCTGCTCTCACACACTTCTGACACCAAATGTTTGGGATATTTTTTTTTTCCACACCAAGCAATTTTTCAATTATTTGCGGATTCCAACTAGGTGTCCTACAATTCAATTCAGTTCTGAAACTGTCTTCCTGGAGCTAGCCTCAGATCCCCACAAGTTAAGGGCTTGGTCTAACAAGACTGCCCCAATTTTAGATGCCAGTTGCCAGTCTGAGCTCCACTTCTGACCGACCAGCTATAAATTGGGGGTTCCCAAGACCCCCTCCTTGAGTTTGATCATTTTCTATAGTGGATCATGAACGTCAGGGAAACATGTACTTATGTTTAGCAGTTTATTATAAAGGATACAACTCAGGAACAGTCAGATGGAAGAGACATAAAGGACAATGTGTGGGGGCAGTGGTGCAGAGCTGCCATGCTCTCTCTGGGCACACCACTCTTCCAACACCTTGATGTGCTCAACCCAGGAGCTCTCTGAACTTTTGGGTTTTTATAGAGGCCTCATTACGTAGGCATGAATGATTGAATCATTGGCCTTATGGTGATTAAGCCAAACTATAGTCCCTCTCCCCTCCCAGGAGGTCTCTACCCCTGAATGGTGTGCTGAATGTCCCATCCCATTCTATTTTTTTAAGGTTATTTTCAACTGACCACTAATTATATAAGGAATTACATCGACTTGTAAAAAAAAAATCTGGTCTATCTTTTCTCTATAGTACCGTAGTTTTGAGGTTGTAAGAATAAATTACACGTTTAATGCTACTTCAAAAGGGATTTAAAAAATAAACATTCCAAATGTGCTTCTAGGCTCATGCTATCAACTATTTTTCCAAGATTATAGTGATTAAGATTTTGCTTTTCAAACTGTTTTATGCCTATCGGTGTACGTTTACTTTGACCACGTCGTTTATCTGCTTAGAACTCTAAATCGTGTTTGAATTTCATGCTATCTACTGGCTCTGAGTTGAAATGCTTATTCAGTTGCTTAAAGGAAAGAAAACATTTCTTTGAGCTGCTTCAACCCGTAATAGTCTTTAGACAATAGCCATTGTATAAAAAAATCTGTACATCGCGCTTGATATTCATGTTTACTCAGTATAATAATCAGCAATGTCTTGGGGATGGTAACAATGTGCTATGTGTTTTATACAAACTTTTTCCTTGAATTCTTACAGCATACCTATGGGAGTATGTGCTGCTGTCAATTCTGTTATATAAATCAGAAAATAAAAAAACACAGGGGGCCGAAGTCATTTGTTCAGTCATGTAGCTGTGAAGTATCAGCAAAGAAACTTTAGCTCACTGACAAGAATGCCTCTGCCCTGAGCCATTTGGCCATAAATGCCTCATGAAATTTATTCCTTTTTAAAGTGGCTATTTTACCATTAATATGGGGGCATATGTGGATCAAATATTACTATTGCTTTATTGACAGGAAATTGAGTACCATAGTTGCCCTAGTCAGATATCTAATATTCATAATTGTATAACTATCCTTTCATTTCCTTGTTCTATGAAAGCTGTATTATGGCAGGTAACCAATTTCCATTATAGCCTATACATTTTGTTTCAGCTAATAGAGGTTTTTTTTTTTTTTAACCCACTGGACAAATCTTTAGATTGTCTCCTATTGCTGATTAGAAAAAAAGGGTTTTCTGGTTTTTCCTCAAAATTAGGGATAACTCTGGGGAATATTTAGGACAATATGTAAATAAATTTCATATCTAAGACAGACCTTTGTATAAGCAAATCAATAATCTTTGCCACATTCCAGTGTGTTCTGTTAGCATTCATAGAACACATTCATATGAAGCCAATCGCAAAGCTGAAGGTATCAAAGAAAGTGATAAGAATAAGAAACGAGTTCATTTAATTTACCAAGATTCTTCAGGTAGACCCTTCTAATTTTCATTTATTTTGCAGGTCTTTTCAGCTCCCCAAAAAGCTACATTAATCACCTAGGATATTTATATACCAATCCCCAGTTTCCAGAAATAGGTGCCAAGGTTGCATCATACATGCAAAAGAAGAGTATTTGGGAGGCTCTTAGGTAATTGATCTGTTTGAGAGTCTCCACCCTGAGTTTCAGTCTAGTGTCTAGGATCTCACCTCCATTCCCAGGGAAACACTACTTACTTATTGGCAAAGACATGCCTTAGTCCAGAGGAATAAGAAAAAAAGGTGTCACAGAAAAATCATGAGACATCTAAAGAGAACAAGCTGTAGGAATAAAAGGCACAAGTAGAACACATATAAGAGGATGCAAAATTGATGGAACACATACAGCAAGGCTTTAAAGTAAACATATTCTATGTTATCACAGAGATAAGATAGACAATTGGAAACAGTAGATCAGATAGTTATAAATAAACAACTGGAGGTATTAGAACGAAATAATAATGTTGAACTAAATTGCTGCATGGATATGCTGACTCACAGGATTGATATTGCTGAAGAACGAACAAGTGAGCTGGAAGATCACATTGAGGAACTCTCCTGAAAGACATCAGAAAATGACAAACAACTGGAAAGAATAAAATATTGAGAGATAGAGAGGATAGAAGTGCCAACAGCTAAATAAAAAGGAATTTCAGAAGAGAACGAAGAGTAAATAGAGGAGAGAAAGTAGTAGAAGTAATGAACAAGACATGCAGCCTTAGGCAGAAAAGAATCATAGAGTGCTGGTAGAACTGATAAGAAGAAAACTACCTCTAGACCCATGACAATGATATTTGAGGACATGAAAAACCACAAATGTTTCTAAAAGCTCCAGAGAGGAAAAACCAGACCCCTAGTAAATAAGTGATGATAATCTTTTCAATAGTAACACTTGCTGCAAGAAGACAGTAAAAATATATTTTCAAATTGTTGATGGAAAATGACTTTGAACTATATTCATTAAAGCTATTATTTAAAATTACCAACTGGGCATGCCTTTAATAGCAGCACGTTGTCCGAGACCAGCAATTTAAGAGCCATCTGGGCAACACAGTAAGACCCTATCACTACAAAAAAAAATTTTTTTAATTAGCCAGGTAGAGTGGCATGTGCCCATAGTCTTCACTCCTTGGGAGGCTGAGATGGGAAGACTGCTTGAGCTCAGGAGGCTGAGGCTACAGTGAACTATGATTGCATCACTTCACCTAGCCTGGGCAACACAGTGAGACCCTGTCTCTAAGAAATAAAATAAAATAAAAAAAATTGTTATTGAGTATAGAAGGTCTTATAAAGCAGACTAAATAAAAGTCTTAATAAATTCCCCAAATTAATATCATTCATGACATAAAATATGTCTGTAATTTAAGAAAAATGGAAACTAATAATAAAACTTAAACACTAACATAGCTAAATAACTAAAAATATACTAAATAAACAATAAAAAGAAAAAATAATAAGGGAAACTAAAATAGGCTAAATAGCAATGAAAGCACTACGTGTCAATACCTGGGGAGGCAGATTAGGAAGAAATTAATGGACTTAGAACATTTAGCAAATAATAAGAACTACTGAAATAAATTAGCTAAGTGTTCAACTTAAGAAATAAAGAACAACAGAATAAATCGTAAGAAACAAGAGGGAAATTAATAAAAGTGAAGGCAGAATTGAATAAAATGAGATTATATAAAGAAAATTAGAGAGGGTAACAATTTCAAAAAACCCCTGTTCTTTTAAAAGACAAATAAACCACTGGTGGGATTTAATAAGAAAAAATTGACAAGATATTTAAATAAAATATGGAGTGAAAATTGAAAATAAATACACATAGAATACAGATTTAAGAATCATTAAAATATGAAAATAATACTTAAATAATTTTGAAAACATTGATGTAGAAGACAAATTTCCCCTCAAATAACAAAATGAACAAAAGCAGATGGAAATTAAAATAGATTAATAACCACCAAAGTGATTAAAATGGATTCTCAAAATGTCCCTTGGCCTCCAATACCGAATAGTTTTACAGATGGATTCAATCAAATTGTCAAGAATCATATAATTTTTCTTATGTACATTATTATATTAAAATATAAAAAATAAAAGGGAAATGTGAGAAATTAGGTTTATGGGCCAATTCCATTTAAGAACATAGATGTAAATATACAAAAATTAACTAAGTAAATACAGCAATGCATTATAATTGCATTATGATATAATAGCATTGATTATAAAAATGCCAGGATGATTCAACACTGAACAAAATCTATCATCTTGATAGGTGTAGAAAAAAAATTGATAAATGTCAACAAAATGGTAGACAACCTCACACCTGTAATCTCAGCACTTGGGAGGCCAAGGCAGGCGGGTCACCTGAGGTCGGGAGTTTGAGACCAGCCTGGCCAACACAGTGAAACCCCGTCTCTACACAAAGACAAAAATTAGCCGGGCATGATGGCGGGTGCCTGTAATCCCACTACTTGGGAGGCTAAAGTGGGAGAATTGCCTGAATCCAGGAGGGCAGAGGTTGCAGTGAGCCAAGATCGTGCCATTGCACTCCAACCTCCATCACAAAAAACAAACAAACAAACAAACAAAAAACAAAAAAAAAAACCTCATATGAAAAACATTTTTACTGAAAATGTTTTAGCCACATTACATTTAATGTAAGAAAAAAGACAATAATTTTCAGTCTTCCTGTTACTAGTCAACTGATTTTTAGAGGTAGGGTAATCAACTCAGGTTTGCTAGAGACTTTTCTGAGTTTAGCTCTGAAAATCTTGTGTCTGGGGAAACTCCTCAGTCCCAGGCAAACTGGATGATTAGAATGGCACAGTTAGAGTTTTAAAGCTAAAGTCCCATGTCCCAGAACCCTTTTCAGCCTCAGGCAAACTACACAGCAACTACAGATCCTGACTAGAGCTATATAGAATAAAAAGACACATAAAGTATAAAAATGGGAAAAAAGAGGTAAATGTTTTAAATTATTTATTGAGAGATAACAAACTTACAAAATGTAAGAAAGTCATTAAACTGCTAAGATCAATAATATAATGGCAACGAAAATACTGGATCAACAATCAGCAAAACAGATTAATAGGATTTCTTAATAACCAACTAGGAAATGTAGACTGAATATCATTTATAAAAGTAATAAAAATTGTGGGGTATCTAGGGGTTGTCTAACAAAGTCTACTAGAAACTTTATGGAGACAATGTGAAAGTTACTTTAAAGGATCTAAAAGAAAAATCTAAAAATGAAATATACCTCATTCCTGAGAAAATAATTTTGCATTGTAAACATAAATTTTCTCTGTATTAATAAATCCAAAGCAATTCTAACCAAAATTCCAGCATAATTTGGAGGGGGAGGAGTGACTTGGAAAATTACTTTAAAACTGTATATGGAAGAATCAACTTCCTCAAATGGATAAAACAATATTGAAAAATTAGAATAAAATAGAGGGAGCCAGTCTCACATACTAATAAATAATCCAAAATATATATAGTAACAAAACAATGATGTATTGCTGCAGCAACAGGCAAATAGGCAAAAGAAACAGAATAGACAGCTCAGAAACAAACTCATGTTTAAACAAATTGGTAATTAATAAAAATGCAAATATGTGAAGATAGTTGGCTACTCTACTTTAAAAACATTAGGTTGGATACTTATCGTCTATTATATTAAAATTATTTACAGTTACTAAATATGAAAAACAAAATAAATATGATATAAAATAAAAGAAAATACCTAGTAATTTAAGAAAATTTAGGACAATGTGACCTCAGGATAGGGAAGGATATTTAAAACAAGATCCTCAAGTTCAAACATAAAGACAAAAAAATGACAAATGTGATTACATCTACTTTTCAATTTTTTTCTTCAGTAAATTATACATAGACAAAATTTAGTGGAGATAGGTGACTAGCAGAAGATATTTGCAATGTCTATAAAATTTTAAAGGCATCAATATTTAGTGTATACATGAATTGCCTGGAAATCAGCAAGATAAATGCAAGACATTCAACAGAAGAGTAAACGATAGGATTAAACTATTGCAGAACGGTGGATGCTGATTTAATAAGCATGTGAAGAGATCTTGACAGGTATTTAGAGAATGCAAGTTAAAATCAAGAAACACTCTCCTGCACCCAAAGATTTATTAAACATTAGAAAGTCAGGTAGTATCAGCTCTAGCAAAATGTGGGAGAAATGGGTATCCTGAGGTTGGTGGGAGTGCAAATTGATGTAGTCATTTGAAAGGACCAGCCAGTAGTGCTCGGTGGAACTCAGTACGCGGATAATGTACAATCGAGAAATCTCTTCATCTGTATACAGAAAACCTCTCACACAGGTCTGTAAGGATAAATGTGCAAAAATGGTTATTGCAGTAGTCACTTTTGGTAGCAGAGTTGGAGGCAATCCTTCAATTGGTCATCCTAGCAAAATGAATATATAACATGTGGCATATGCATACAATAGAAAACTAGGCAGCTTCAAAAATAATTATATATGTAAATGTACAGTTGTTCTTCACTATTTATGGATTCCATATTTGTAAATTTGTCTACTTGCTAAAATTTATTAGTATTCCCCAAATCAATACTCTTGGCACTTTCACAGTCATTATGGACATGACATTTGCTGAGAAGGGAAAGCTTTGAGTTGTTCAATGTGGATATTCCCAGCTGAGGTCGAACACGGCCACATTCTTTGTGTTTTGTCTGTCATAAGATAAACAAGTGTCCTTTTCGTGGCCTATTCAGTGCCACATTTATTGCATTTCTGTTCTTTATGTTGATTTTGCTGTTTATTTTTTTAAATTTTTTATTATGCTTTAAGTTTAGGGTACATGTGCACAATGTGCAGGTTTGTTACATATGTATACATGTACCATGTTGGTGTGCTGCATGCATTAACTCGTCATTTAGCATTAGGTATAAATCCTAATGCTATCCCTCCCCCCTTCCCCCACCCCACAACAGTCCCCGGTGTATGATGTTCCCCTACCTGTGTCCATGTGTTCTCATTGTTCAGTTCCCACCTATGAGCGAGAACATGCGGTGTTTGGTTTTTTGTCCTTGCGATAGTTTGCTGAGAATGATGGTTTCCAGCTTCATCCGTGTCCCTACAAAGGACATGAACTCATCATTTTCTATGGCTTCATAGTATTCCATGGTGTATATGTGCCACATTTTCTTAATCCAGTCTATCATTGTTGGACATTTGGGTTGGTTCCAAGTCTTTGCTATTGTGAATAGTGCCGCAATAAACATACGTGTGCATGTGTTTTTATAGCAGCATGATTTATAATCCTTTGTTATTGCTGGGTCAAATGGTGTTTCTAGTTCTAGATCCCTGAGGAATCACCACACTGACTTCCACAATGGTTGAACTAGTTTACAGTCCCACCAACAGTGTAAAAGTGTTCCTATTTCTCCACATCCTCTCCAGCACCTGTTGTTTCCTGACTTTTTAATGATTGCCATTCTAACGGGGGTGAAATGGTATCTCATTGTGGTTTTGATTTGCATTTCTTTTTGCTGTTTAAAGCTGCCCTGAAGCATAATGCTGTCTGGCATTCCTAAGTACAAGAAGGCTGTGATGTGCCTTATAGAAAAAAATAAGTGTGTTAGATATGTGTGGTTCAGACTTGCCATTGACTGTGAGTTCAATGTTGATGAATCAACAATATATATTAAAATGTCTTTAAACAGAAATATACATAATACAAGGTTATGTATTGATCAATTGATAAAAATATTGTGACCAGAGACTCAAGGGAACCTAACCCTGTACTTCCTCTAAAAGTAATGAGTAAGTATTTACTAATTCAGTATCCACAGTGGCTTTTTAGAACATAAAGACTGCAAATAAGGATTGACTATATATGTATGTATATATATATATGTGCATATGCATATGTATGTGTGTATATACATGCCTCTAAATATGTTTGAAAAAAATGCACATATGTGTACATATATATATATTATGCTGAAATTTCCTCTTTATAGATTTACATAGAGAATGATCTAAAATAACATAGTGTTAAGGAAGATTGTTGAAATAATATAATTTACAGTCAGTATGATGTACCATTTGAGTAAAATTATAACAACCCCCAACAAAAATAATGTGTTACAAGCATATGCACATATCTAAATAAGTTTATAAAGTTGGATTGGAATATATTATGTATTATAATGAGAGCTGGAGAATGGAAGAAATGGGAATGGGGATGGAGAAAGAAAAAAAATTATAAATAATTTTTCTCTTTCCCTTGCAAAGCAAAATAAATGACAATGTGCTATAAACCGAGCTGTGTTATTAGCCTAATTGTGAGTTTAAAATAAAAGTCTTCTGGCTTATAAGCACAGTCCATAATGTTTTATTTTACCTTTTTCTGAGAGAGTCTCACTCCATCATCCAGGATGGTGTGCAGTGGCTCAATCTCAATTCACTGCAACTTCTGCCTCCCAGCCTCAAGTGATTCTCATGCCTCAGCCTCCCAAGTAACTGGAATTACAGGTGCAGGCCACCATGCCTGGCTAAATTTTGTATTTTTAGTAAAGACAGGGTTTCGCCATGTTGACTAGGCTGGTCTCCAACTCCTGACCTCAAGTGATCCTCCCATCTCAGCTTCCCAAAGTGCTGGGATTACAGGCGTGAGTCACCGTGCCTAGTCTATTTTTATTTTTTAAATAAGAATTACAAAACTGACTTTTTGCCTTTCTCTCCATTCCTGTGAATTTAGGGGCCAATACAGGTTGCCATAAAAAATTAGGAAAAAAACCTGCCCTTTTTCAATACTTGATGGCATGAAAACCAAAGTTAATAATAATGTATTAATATTGGCTCATTATGACAAATGTAATGTATTCATATAAAATATTTATAATGTGAGATCTGGTTGTGTGGGTATATGGGAACTCTGCACTCTTTTCACAATTCAGTACATCTAAAACAAAACATTTATTAAAAGGTAAAGTTAAATACTGGTTTCTCACCACCATCCTGAGATTTTTTATTTGCCAGCTTGTGTTCACTGAGTATGAATCCTGATGTCTTTATCCAGAAGCTAGTTTTAAAAAGCCTTTCCCTTTTTAGTAGGCTGTTGAGTGTTTAAATTAACCTTAGAATATCAGGAGCTTAATAGCTTCCTTGAAACTTTTGATAAGCTATTTGTGGAAGAGAGGTCAGAATTAGGGTCTATAGATAAGTTAAAGGAAGGCCGACTTCGAGTTCTGGAGGAAAAAATATATACTAGTGATTTAAATGGGATGCAGATGAAATGGCTTGCCTGAAGTTGGCTTCTCATATCTGGAACATTTTAAACAGAGACCTCTTTTTAGGTCTATTATACATGGGAGAATAGGTAAAATGCTAAATAACAAGGTTAGAATAGTCTTTATTGATAGCCCCTTCTTACTGTCACCTTCTGGGTCTTTACTGAGTTGACAATCTGATTCTGCAACCCAGGTTCTCTTGATTTGCTTATTTGTGCATCCAATAAATATTTGTGAATCACCTACCATATGGCTAACATTTTACCAAGCCCTGGGTATTTGACATTGAACACAAAGAAATGACGTTCTTTCCAAGTCCACTGAGCAAGGTTTCCTTCTGTGGAACAGGTCAGAAATGGTTCATTAAATCCTTTGTCAGTCAGTTCAAGGGCCACTATTACTCTCTTTAGAGAGGAATCACCCAGAAGGAATGAAATCCTGATGAGGATTTACTGACAATAAAGGCTATCAAGACACTTTAAAGACATACTTTTTTTTTTTTTTCAGGGAGCAGGTGGAATGTAGTTGTTTGGCAGTATCTTCCTTCCCCTGACCTATGTCATCATTCTCCCCAAGATAGACATAAGAAACCAAAAACTGCTGTGCTGAAGACAAAGATGTGTGTAATTTAAAGAGAAGTGGGCCATTTAAAATTACTATCTTCCTTATGCCTATCAAGTATCATGTAATTTAGGAAAAATCATTTCTTTTAGTTCTGTTTTGGGGCTAATAATTCTCCTTTGCAAATAACCGCAGATGTTCTCAAATGAAGCTGTTGTGTGCATTCCACATGAATTTACGAATTTAAAGAGTTTTGCTCAGATATTCATTCTGTTGTATTTAGGGTCAAAAAGAAGTCAACCTGTCTCAGGAAGGAAGCCAACATTTTATCTAATGCATACCATGTAAACTTTATATTTATTATTTCATTCATTACCTATAAATCCTTGGAGGCTCAGAGAGTTTAAATAATTTACTCATTTACTTTAACTGAATTATTAAATGTGGGAACCAGGTAACCAAACTCAGTTGGAAACCCCGGAGTTCTTTCCTCACAATTGGACTTCTGACTCTTTTTACAAGGTCCTCCTTGGCCATCTGAGATTGATTCATTTATTTTGTCTAAAGATATTTCTTGGCACATACACTGTGTTCCTAGCATAATGGCAGATGATGGGAACACATTCCTGAAAAAAAATAGACACGGTTCTTGTAGATGTGAGACTTAGAGCCTGGTGAGAAAGTCAAACAGTAATCAAGTAAATACACATTTAATAAAACTAAATAATAATGGATCAAAAGATAAATCCTGTAATCTTAGCACTTTGGGAGGCTGAGGTGGGAGAATTGCTTAAGGCCAGAAGTTCAAAACCAGCTTGGGCAGCATCATGACACCCAATATCTACAAAAAATTAAAAAATTAGCCAGCCATGGTGGCTCATGCATGTAATCCTAGCTACTCAAGAAGCTGAGGTGGGAGGATCGCTTAAGCCTGGGAGTTTAAGTCTGCAGTGAGCCACGATTGCACCATTGCACTCTAGCCTGAGTGACAGTGTAAGACTGAGTCAGAGAGAGAGAGAGAGAGAAAAGCTATAGGAAAAATCAACAGATGCCATGACAGAAATCAATGAGGGTAGAGAGAAGGTTTCATTTAAACAAGTTAATTCATGAAAGCCCCTTTGCAGCAATGGTATTTGAAGATAAGCAAATGTCAGTTGGCGAAGGTTGAGGAGTGGAGTATTATAAAAATGTTTGAAGGTACAAGTGTGTTTCCATTTAATTCTGTAATCCATTTTGAGTTAAATTTTGTGTAAGATGTAAGGTTTAGGTTGGAGTTCATTGTTTTGGCCTATGCATGTCCAGTTTCTTCAGTGTCGTTTGTTGAAAAGGCTGTTTCCTCCCCTGAATTGCTTTTGTAACATTATAAAGTCAACTGCACTGATTTCTGGATTCTGGATTCTGTTGCATTGATCTATGTATCTGTTCCTCCATCAATATCACACAACCTGGATTAGTGTGGCTAACTAATGTCTTGATACTGAGCAGACTAATTTTTCCTACTTTATTCTTTTTCAAAATTATTTTAGATATTCTAGTTGTAGTTCTGGTAATGACAGAAGCTTATAAAACCATCAAATCTCATCAGACTCAGTCATTATCATGAGAACAGCATTGGGGAAACCACCCCCATGATCCAATTACCTCTACCTTGTCCTGCCCTTGACTCATGGGGATTATGGGGATTACATCAAGGTGAGATTTGGGTGGGGACACAGCCAAACCATATAATTCTGCCCCTCTCAAATCTCTTGTCTTCACATTTCAAAACACAATCATGCCCTTCCAACAGTCCCCCAAAGTCTTAACTTGTTCTAGCATTAACCCAAAAGTCCAAGTCCAAAGTCTTATCTGAGACAAGGCAAGTCCCTTCCGCCTGTGAGCCTGCAAAGTCAAAAACAAGTTAGTTACTTCCTAGATACAATGGGAGTACAGGCATTGGGTAAATATACCCATTCCAAATGGGAGAAATTGGCCAAAACAAAGGGGTTACAGGCCCCATGCAAGTCTGAAATCCAAAAGCATAGTCATTATACCTTAAAGTTCCAAAATGATCTCCTTTGATTCCGTGTCTCACATCCAGGTCATACTGATGGAAGAGGCAGGCTCCCACAGCTTTTGCCAGCTCCACCCCTGTGGCTTTGCAGGGTACAGCCCCCATCCAAGCTGCTTTCATGGGCTGTGGCTTTTCCAGCTGCATGATGCAAGCTGTTGGTGGATCTACCATTCTGGGGTCTGGAGGATGGTGGCCCTCTTCTCACAGCTCCACTAGGCAGTGCCCCAGTGGGGACTCTGTGTGGGGGCTCCAACCCCACATTTCCCTTCTGAACTGCCCTAACAGATGTTCTCCATGAGGGCTCCACCCCTGCAAAAAAATCCTGAACATCCAGGTGTTTCCGTACATCCTCTGAAATCTAGGCAGAGGTTCCCAAACCTCAATTCTTGACTCCTGTGCACCCATGGGCTTAACACCATATGGAAGCCACCTAGGCTTGGGGCTTGCACCCTCTGAAACAATGACCCGAGCTGTACCTTGGCCCCTTTGGCCACTTTTAGCCACAGTGGAAGCTGAAGCAGCTGGGGCAAAGGGCATCATGTCCCCAGGCTTCACAGAGCAAGATGCCCTTGGCCCAGCCCACAAAACCATTTTTCCCTCCTAGGCCTCCAAGCCTGTGATGGGAGGGGCTGCTGTGAAGGTCTCTGACATACCCTGGGCACATTTTCCCCATTGTCTTGGTGATTAATATTTGGCTCCCAGTTGCTTATGCAAATTTCTGCAGCAGGCTTGAATTTTTTCCTAGAAAATGGGCTTTTATATTCTATCACATCATCAGGCTGCCAATTTTCCAAACTTTTACGCTCTGCTTCCTTTTGAATGCTTTGCCACTTAGATATTTTTTCTGCCAGATACCCTAAATCATTTTTCTCAAGTTCAAAGTTCCACAGATCTCTATGGCAGGGGCAGATATCAATTCTCCCCAAAGTGATCTATAAATGTAATGCAATCCCAACAGGATTTATTTTTTGTAGAAATCAACAAGCTGATTCTAAGATTCATGTGTAAATGCAACAAATCTAGAATAGCCACAACAGCTTTGAAAAGGGAAAACGAGATTGGAAGTTTAACAGCACCCAATTTTAAGACTTATTATGAAGTTACTATAAAAAATTATTGGCATCAAAATAGATGATCAGATAATTGAATAGAGGACAGAATCTAAAATTTACCCATAGACATATATAGACCACAATTTTTTGACATATTTTCAAAGGCAGTTCAGTGCTGGAAGAATAGTCATTTCAACAAATGGTGCTGGAAAAATTGGATATTCATATGCAAACAAACAAAACCCAAAACTTTGATTCACACATCACAACATATCCTAAAATTAACTCAAAATGCATCAAATACCTAAATGTGAAAACTAGAACTACAAAGTTTCTAGAAGAAAACTGATAATTTCCCTATAGTACTTATCACTATCAAAAATTACCTTATGATTTGTATACTAAGCTTTATTTTAGATTTTTACTTCTTACTGACTGACTCCTCCCTAGTATAATGTATGCTCCGGGTACACAGATACAACAAAACATATCAAATAGAAAATATTTAATAAATATTTTTGACTAATGAATAGAACAAGGACCAAAAGGAGCTGTTTCCTCAGAAGCAGTGGAGTGGTCAGATGTAGCAAACTGAAAAACTACTGATGGGTGCTAAAAAAATAAAAATAAAAATAAGTCATTTTAGGCAACATATGCATTTAAAATTACTTGATTAAAACTTAATGGCTTAAAAAAATAACTTTACTTTTACACCATATCTTCAATCTCTATACCTTTACTTAAATATACAGGGCAACTAAGGTATAGGGGTAAAGAATGAGTTATTCAAGGTCACAGAAATATGCCATTCATTTATTTATTTAACAAGCATTTAATACAAACACTATTTACAAAGGACTGAAATGTATATAGGCAAAGATAAGCAAAATATAGTGTTGTTCTGTCTAAATTCTAATTTATAATTTTATTGGAGGAGGTGAATGCATACAAAATCGGGGTGGGGGGACAATGAATGAAGTGGGAGGAGTGGAGGAATTCCGTGTGTGGGTTAAATATGGCAATAACCCAACTTTTGGAATGAGAAAAGCAGGCCATTGTATATTTAATTCCAATCACAATGGTGTCACTGTGGCAGTCACCCCAGGTTGAGGTCAGCTAAGCCTACAGTCTGCTCTTATAACTGTTCTTAGTAGTCCAGTTGGCTGTAAAAGCAAAATACTATGGGGCAATTAATTTCAAGACTAGCACTCAATCCCAGGTTTCTGACAATCCTACACCTTTAAAAGTATGCGTTCTTGTTGCAA
This sequence comes from Homo sapiens, assembly GCF_000001405.40. Classification (NCBI taxonomy): domain Eukaryota; kingdom Metazoa; phylum Chordata; class Mammalia; order Primates; family Hominidae; genus Homo; species Homo sapiens. Next base: position 18,479,287 of record NC_000004.12, read on the forward strand.
TGAACAATACCCAAGTCATTAGTTAGCAGGCAACTCTAATTTTGATAAGAACATGAGAAACCCTTGAAAATATCCTCGAGCATTTCAAACAAAATCTTCAAAATGTTGATCAGTTAAAGTCATGGGAAAATACCTTTGTGCGTAGCAAAATAATAGAGAGAAACTTCCTCTGGAGGAATATTAATAACCAGGTTCTAACTATATTGATGATATATTTATAGATTCATCTCTGCTAAGGAGTTGCTGAGCTAAACTATTTTATTGTTCAGATTACAAGCTGTTTCATTCTAGATTGGAACAAAAAAAGTTTTAAGCACCATTGCAAAAGAGAGTCAAGATATAGTTTTAGAGAGTTTGTTCAACAGGAGATTAATTCGGTCGACCAAACCCATTTTCTCAACCTTCAAATATTTTGCTGTCTGTTTATTCATTTGTATAGCTATACTTGGTTATGAGTACTAAAACAGTTCAATTTTTAATTGTTGTAAGAGCCAGTTTTTCTGAGTCCAAATCCCATGCTCTGCCTACTTTGTTACATTGTCTCATCCCATTAGTGAGTAGGAGTTCTGCCCACTTTTCACATTCCATCTTTTTGGAGCTACAGAAGGCAAAAAGAATTTTGTCAGAGTACAACTCCTCCCCAGATCAGCTTATTTGTGGTGTTACGTGTTGTGGCCAAAAGGCTGCTTTCCTACAACAATCAATGAGAAGGTGTTAAAAAGTCAGCCTTATGAATAATCGCATTTTGTGTGTGTGCCAGTGGGGCTTGTGGCATTTCTGTGCAGTGTCTGTTAGTGACCTTACTTCCATTTCCTGAAAATTTATCTTGTCTACAGTATTTTAATCTTTTTAGCGTGAATAGAAAAAAATCTTTATAGCAAAACATACTTTTACACTAGGGACTGATTTGATTTCATGTTTCTGTGAAGGTTTTTTTTTTTTTTTTTTTTTTTTTTAACCTCTATTGAAGGGAGACTTTGTGAGCTTCCTCTTCCTAGTTGGCATTTTCAGGCTATTTTACAATCCATGGTTAGCATGTAGAGTGGGTGATCTAGAGAATATATTTTTAAAAATATTTTTTGAAGTTAATGCTTCTATAAGTTTATAAGATTTATAACAGAAAACATTTACAGAGACTTAATTAAGAGGTAACACTGAAAGCTTTAAGGCAAATGAAAACAAGATATGTGTACTGATTTCCACACAATGAGTGATTTGAAATCTGCCTGGTTAACATCTGTGGAATTTGGGTCCCAGCTCTAACATTTACCAGTCATGTGACCTTGAGCAAATCTCTTCTCCCCTCTGAGCCTAGAGAAGAAATTAGATAGAAGTACTTGCCTTACCAAACTCAGAAGGTAGCTAAGAGATTCAGATGAGATAATAAATGTGAAAATGCTAAGTTAACTATGCATTGCTTTGAAAATACCAAAGGGTAAGATTAATACAAAATTTAAATATAAATATATCAGATGTATCAAGATGGGATCTAAATAGAATAATTAAGCATACTAATAATAATGATAACTCCATCAGCATAATAATATTGGGGCTGGATGTTATGGAAGTGATGATAAAATTTCTCCCTTTTCTCTTGCTATTTTTTCTTGTCAAATGAATACTTTAAAAAGTGATATTTTCTTTTGTATATAGATAGCTTTCTTCACCTCCAGACCCAAAACTTTGTTCCTAAAGATGTGGCAGGGTGAGGACAAGCACAATTCTGAAACTCAAGCAGAGGTAGAAAGAGCCAGGAGCAGGTGACAGGAGACAGGATAATGGACCTGGGCTCCAGTGTTTTCATTAGAACCAAACAAACATAAATGATGTATTCCAAATGATTTTAAACATTAACAGAACAGACAGGTGTTTCAATTAAATAAGCAACAGAACAGGTAAGTTAATTATTAGCTTGGGAAAGACTTTTAATATTTTGAGCCATACCAACCTCCAACAGGTGATTTATAAGCAACTTGACTGCCCCTGAAAAAATTACAAGAATAATTTTTATAAAATGACCATTATGGTTTTCAAAGAAGTTTCACATGTTTATTTACTTACTTTTCACAAAAACCCTGTAAGGTGGGCAAGAGGAATAGCAACTGGACATAGACTTGCCTGACATTAGATAGAAGATAGATATCCTATGGTCTTTCTCTGGAAGGAACACATACAGGATTCTTGATACAAGAAAGACATAAGGACAGCATGTAGCTGAACATATTTTCTTGCTCTGCCTTTATTTTCAAAGAAATGGAAGTTCTAAGTTATAAAAATAACAACAGGAACAATAATGAGATTCCACAAATACCATAAATTAACAACTCAGGGAGAAAGATTTATTACCAAATCTGTTGGCATAGTCTCAATTATAAATAGATTTGCTAAAGTTTCAGTAGCAGATATTTGCTTCCTACAAGCAAATCCCCCAACTATCTTTCCTACTTATTCTGGATCCAGCTTAATCCAATGATTTAAAAATACTTATTGAGCATCTACTCTATGTGAGGGATTATGCTAACTTTTATGAATTCTCCATCAGTTCTATCCAATAGAACTTTGCTTTTTTAACTTTTATTTTAGGTTTGGGGTTACATATCAAGGTTTGTTATATAGGTAAACAGGTGTCACGGGGTTTGTTGTACATTTTATTTCATCACACAGGTATCAAGCCCAGTATCCAATAGTTACCTTTTCTGCTTCTCCCTCTCCTCCCACCCTCCCCCATCAAGTTGACCCCAGTGTCTATTATTTCCTTCTTTGTGTTGATAAGTTCTTATCATTTAGCTCCCACTTATAAGTGAGAACATGCAGTATTTGATTTTCTGTTCTGGCATTAATTTGCTAAGGATAATAGCCTGCAGCTCCATTCATGTTCCTGCAACAGATATGATCTCATTATTTTTATGGCTGCATAGTATTCCATGGTGGATTTGTACCACATTTTCTTTATCCAGTTGGTCATTGATGGGCATTTAGGTTGATTCCATGTCTTAGCTATTGTGAGTAGTGCTGCAATGTATTAGTCTGTTCTCATGCTGCTAAAAAAGACATACCCAAGACTGGGTAATTTATAAAGAAAAAGAAGTTTAATTAACTCACATTTCCACATGGCTGGGGAGGCCACATAATCATGGCAGAAGGCAAAGGAGGGGCAAAATCATGTCTTACATGGCGACAGGTAAGAGAGAGTGTGCAGGAGAACTCCCTGTTATAAAACCATCAGTTTTCGTGAGACCTATTGACTATCACGAGAACAGCACAGGAAAAACCCGCCCCAATAATACAATTACTTTTCACCAGGTGCCTCCCATGACATGTGGAGATTGTGGGAGCTGGAATTCAAGATGAGATTTTGGTGGGGACACAGCCAAACCATATCATGCAATGAACATATGTGTGTATGTATCTTTATGATAGAATTTTATATATTCCTCTGGGTATATTCCCAGTAATGGAATTGCTGGGTCAAGTGGTTGTTCTGCTTTTAGCTCTTTGAAGAATCACCGTACTGCTTTCCACAATAGTTGATCAAATTTACACTCCCATCAACAGTGTATAAGCATTCCCTTTTCTCTGCAACCTCTCTAGTGTCTGTTATTTTTTGACGTTTTAATAAAAGCCATTCTGACTGGTATGAGATGATATCTCACTGTGGTTTTGATTTGCATTTCTTTAATTATTAGTGATATTGAGCTTTTTTTTTCATTTGCTGTTGGCTGCATGTATGTCTTCTTTTGAGAAGTATCCATTCATGTCCTTTGCCCACTTTTAAATGGGGTTGTTGTTCTGTTGTAAATTTGCTTAAGTTCCTTGTAGACTCTGGATATCAAACCTTTGTTGGATGCATATTTTGCAAAAATTTTCTCCCATTTTATAGGTTGTCTGCTCACTCTGTTGATAGTTATTTTTTTTAGGTCCCACTTGTCAATTTTTGCTTTTGTTGTGTTTGCTTTTGGTGTCTTTGTCATGAAATCTTTGCCCATTCCTATGTCCAGTATGGTATTGCTTAGGTTGTCTTCTAGGGTTTTTATAGTTGTGGATTTACATTTAAGTCTTTAATTCATCTTGAGTTGATTTTTATGTATGGTGTAAGGAAGAGGTCGAGCTTCAATCTTCTGCATATGGCTAGCCAGTTATCCCAGCACCATTTGTTCAATAGGGAGTCTTTTCCTCATTGCTTGTTTTTGTCAGCTTTTTCAAAGATCAGATGGTCATAGGTATGCAGTCTTATTTCTGGGATCCTTCTTCTGTTTCATTGGTCTATGTGCCTGTTTTTGTACCAGTACCATGCTGTTTTGGTTACTGTAGCCTTGTAGTGTAGTTTGAAGTCAGGTATTGTGATGTCTCAGCTTTGTTCTTTTTGCTTAGGGTTGCCTTGGTTATTGGGCCCTTTTGTGATTCCATATAAATTATAAAATAGATTTTTCTAGTTTTGGGAAGAATGTCCTTGATAGTTTGATAGGAATAGCATTGAAACTGTAAATTGCTTTGGGCAGTATGGTCATTTTAATGATATTGATTCTAAAAATGAGCATGGGATGTTTTTCCATTTGTTTGTGTCTTCCCTGATTTCTTTAAGCAGTGTAATTCTCATTGTAGAGCTCTTTCATCCCCCCGGTTAGTTGTATACCTAGGGATTTTATTTTTTTTGTGGTAATTGTGAGTGGGATTGCTTTTCTGATTTAGCTCTCAGTTTGGTTGTTGTTTGTGTATAGAAATGCTAGTGATTTTTTACATTTATTTTGTATCCTGAAACTTTGCTGAAGTTGTTTATCAGCTGGAGGAGCTTGTGGACCAAGACCATGGGATTTTCTAGATATAGAATTATGTCATCTGCAAACAGAGATAGTTTGACTTCCTCTTTTCCTATTTGGATGCCCTTTATTTCTTGACCCAAGAGAGGAGACTAGTTCATCTCCCATAGATGCTATACATGTCGCACCCCCCTTCACATGCACACACACAAACTACTCATCACTAGACAGAAAACCCTCGGCTTGAGTCCACAGCACACACCCTCCATCCTGGGCTGATTGCACTGAGCAATTGCTTACCTGCATCTCTCTGAGGTAGAGTCCCCAGGGGACAAGCAAATGACCCTCAGCAACAACCACTACTAAGATCTCTTCTTCTCCTGCCTCTAAGTTGGGGAAGGAACATAAACACTGAGATCACTCCAGAGATGCAGTGGACAGCCTAAGAGTGCATCTCACAATTTACAGCCAGCACTTAAGGGGAAGAGGAACCCACACTTTCAGAGCATCGAGAGGGAAAATGACTGTAACTGTGAGGAAACATAGGGCAACCACACAACCAAGCAAGAGTCTACCAACTGACCAATAACCTAAGTGCCACCTGCTGGATCACACCCCAAAGCGTCAACACCAAAAATAACTCACTGACATATCCCCCTCTGAAACCAGAGACAAGAAGTCAGCTTCAAATAAAGACCCTACACAAAGCCTCGGCCCAGTGAAAACAAGTCTACTGACTTTATTACATCTATACCACAGTTAAAAGAACACCCACACAGAGAGATGAGAGGGAACCAATGGAATAACTCCAGTAACTCAAATGGTCAGTGTCGTACATCCTCCAAATGGCCACATCAGCTCTCCAACAAGAGTTCTTAACCAGACCAAACTGGCTGCAATGGCAGAAATAGAATTCAGAATACAGATAGGAACAAACACCATCGAGATTCGAGAAGATGGCAAAACCCAATCCAAGGAAAATAAGAATTACAATAAAGTGATACAGGAGCTAAAGGATGAAATAGTCCATATAAAAAAAGATACATAATGGCTCTGACAGAGCGGAATAATCCAATACAAGAATTTCACAATGCAATCACAAGTATTAACAGCAGAATAAACCAAGCTGAGGAAAGAATCTCAGAACCTGAAGACTGGTTCTCTGAAATAAAAGAAACAAAAATAAAGAAAAAGTAAGAATAAGGATTGAACAAAACCTCTGAGAAGTATGGGACTATGTGAAGAGGACAAATCTACAAGTCATTGGCATCCATTAAAGGGATGGGGAGAAAGCAAACGACTTGGAAAATATATTTCAGGATATCATCCGTGAAAACCTTGCCAACCTTGCTAGAGAGGCCAACGGTCAAATTTAGGAAATACAAAGAACTCCTGAAAGATGGTACACAAGAAGATCATCCCCAAACACATAATCATCAGATTTTCCAAGGTCAAAGTGAAAGAAAGAATGTTAAAGGCAGGTAGAGAAAAAGCTCAGGTCACCTTCAAAGTGAACACCTTCAGGCTAACAGCAGACATCTCAGCTGAAACCCTAGAAGCCAGAAGAGATTGGGGGCCTCTCAGAGAAATGCAAATCAAAACCACAATGAGATACCATCTAACACCAGTTAGAATGGCGATCATTAAAAAGTCAGGAAACAACAGGTGCTGGAGAGGATGTGGAGAAATAGGAACACTTTTACACTGTTGGTGGGACTGTAAACTAGTTCAACCATTGTGGAAGTCAGTGTGGTGATTCCTCAGGGATCTAGAACTAGAAATACCATTTGACCGAGCAATCCCATTACTGGGTATATACCTAAAAGGATTATAAATCATGCTGCTATAAAGACACATGCACACGTATGTTTATTGCGGCACTATTCACAATAGCAAAGACTTGGAACCAAGCCAAATGTCCAACAATGATGGACTGGATTAAGAAAATATGGCACATATACACCATGGAATACTATGCAGCCATAAAAAATGATGAGTTCATGTCCTTTGTAGGGACATGGATGAAATTGGAAACCATCATTCTCAGCAAACTATTGCAAGGACAAAAACCAAACACCTCATGTTCTCACTCATAGGTGGGAATTGAACAATGAGAACACATGTAGGGGAACATCACACACCGGGGACTGTTGTGGGGTGGGGGGAGGGGGAGGGGGAGGGATAGCATTAGGAGATATACGTAATGTTAAATGACGAGTTAATGGGTGCAGCACACCAACATGGCACATGTATACATATGTAACAAACCTGCACATTGTGCACATGTACCATAAAACTTAAAGTATAATAATAAAAAAAGAGAGATTTGGGGCCTAAATTCAACATTCTTAAAGAAAAAAGTCTTCAAGAATTTTTCATCTGACCAAACTAAGCTTCCTAAGTGAAGGAGAAATAAGACCCTTTAGAAGCAAATGTTGAGGGAATTCATTACCAGAAATGAATTCATTACCAGCCTACCTTACAAGAGATCTTGAAAGGAGCATTAAACATAGAAAGGAATGACCACTACTAGTCAATACAAAAACACACTTAAACACACACTCCAGTGTCACTGTAAAGCAACCACACGAAGAAGCCAAACTAATAACCAGCTAATAGCACAATGACAGGATCAAGTCCACAAATATCATTACTAACCAAGAGAACTTTCTACAGTGATGGAAATATGTGTATCTATAGATTTGTGCTGTCTAATAGTAGCCACTAAACATGAATGGCTATTGAGCACTTGAAAACTGTGATAGTTTGAATGAGGAAGTGAATTTTACATTTTATTTAATTTTAGATAAAGTAGCCACATGCGACTAGTGATACTATATTTGACATTGTGGCTCCAGATTGAACTCGTAAAGGTCGTCCTGATGCTATTTTTGATGGGAAGCCTTGGAGAAGTTATATTTTGACATACGTTTTATATAGAAATGAGGGAATTAAAAAACACTTTTTCTCCCAACCACTTTGTTAAACACACATCTCCCTATTTTTACTGTGTTACTGCAGTGCCTTTCTAATATTTCTTTAACCTGCTTTGAATGTCTGCTGATCTGATTTGGCACTGCAATCACAGTTCTCTGTTCTGATGTAATGCTCTGCCCTCTCCTGTTAATTACCTGTGTTCAGATATTCCTATGGTTGAATTTCTTTCACTTCATAGGACCTCAAAGGAGAAAGATTTCATGGAAGAATATATTGAAATCTGTCTATCTATCTTTTAATACAATTTTATTATTTTTTGATATTTTTTCTTTTTCTTCTGGACATGTATTAAAAATTTGATTTTATCAACCTTTTTCTGATTGCTCTTTGAGGATGCTATCTCTTATCAACATGTGGACACATGGTGGTTATGGTAATAAGATCCATACCTTATCATGGCCCCCCATGGACATGCGTAGTCTGGGGAGTGAATACCTCTCTTACTTCATTTCAAACCCCTTTCCCTTCACTCACTGTGCTTCAGCTTTATTGTTTTATCACAATTCCTACAAGACACAAACATCCTACCAGTCTTTGCACTTGCCTTGCCTTATACTCAAGTTTAATTATCATCTCATTAGAAGGGCCATTTTTGCTCACTTTACCTAAATTGGCTGCTATCTTCCTCCTATTTTATTTTTTGTCACAAGCTGCATTTATTTTTATTTGTTTATTTATTATTGCTTAATGCTCTCTCTAGAATGAAAGCTCAGTGAGGGCAGGAATGTTGCCTTTCTCTGAATTTCCAAGTGTATACCCATTGTCTCATACAGAGATTGAAAAAATGGTAGTTGCTCAATAAATTTTTGTTAAACCAATGAATAAATCACAATTTGTCTAAGGATTCATAAACTGAATTCATAACAGGCTATAAGTCTGGTTGTATTAATAGCTATTCCTAAATCCTGTGGATTTATATTCTTACCTTCTCCATAGATACATTGTTGGATAAATTGACAATTCAAATATTTTGGGTGTACTACATGCTAGGGTATTTGTAAATAGGAGTAATACAATATTGTTCTTATGCATAAGAAGTACAGTTTATTGGGAGTGCCAGATAGGTAAACAATTAATTACAATATTGTGTACGTTCAATAACAGAGGAACATGCTGCCTGAGTCTTCCTGAGGACAGAAGGCTGCAAAATGAGAGCACAACATCTGTGACATCAAATGCACTGTGATTTGGCAGTTAAACAAAATGTAACCTGGGCTAGTAGAAAAGTCATGAATTCTGAAGTCGAAGGAATTTGTCTTTTAGATCTTGTTCTGCTATTTCTTTCTTGTCCTTGGCTCAATGCATAAATTTGTTGGGCCTTAAGTTTCTTCCTCTGAAATGGGAAAGGCAAACAATACCTCCTTTGTAGAATTATTGTGGGCATTAAGGACCACACCCAACTTGCAGAACCTTCAATAAATGTTTCCTCCTATCTGTCTTTTCTCTGTTTAACATATCCCCTAAACTAGAAAGGAGAATTTTTTGAGATGATTTAGTGGGGCTCCAAATACTCAAAACTTTACAGAATTTTTTTTCCCCCAGAGTAAATTGAGGACTTTCACTGTTCCACGCAGAGGCATTTATCTTTGAAATGGAAGAAGATTGTATTTTGGCTGGCCTGTATTGACTCCTAGAAAATGAAAGTAGTTACTCACCAAGGATATAAGCCTTCCCAGAGCTTACTGATGCTTCAATCCTAGAAGTTGTCAATGTTTAGTGAGGTTAAAGCAGCAAGAGTGTGGATATCTCTGTCTTATACCTTAGCTTCCAGGGAATTGAACTAAACATTATATCTGTCTCCATAATTCTTATACAGATTTTTCATGCCAAATGATGTGGGATCTGGAAAGATGGGCGAATAGGAATAGCTCTGGTCTACAGCTCCCAGCAAAACCAACACAGAAGGTGGGTTATTTCTGCATTTCCAACTAAGGTAGGCAGTTCATCTCATTGGGACTGGTTAGGCAGTGGGTGCAGCCTATGGAGGGCAAGCAGAAGCAGGGTGGGGCGTTGCCTCACCTGGGAAGTCAAGGAGCTGGGGCACCTCCCTCCCCCAGCCAAGGGAAGCCATGAGGGACTGTGCTATCTGGTCCGGATACTATGCTTTTTCCACGGTTTTTTGCAATTGGCAGATCTGGAGATTCCCTCAGGTGACGACATCACCAGGGCCCCAGGTTTCAAGCACAAAACTGTGCGGCTGTTTAGGCAGACACCAAGCTAGCTGCAGGAGTTTTTCTCATACGTACCCCAGTGGCACCTGGAACCCCAGTGAGATGGAACCGTTCACTCCCCTGGAAAGGGGGCTGAAGCCAGGGAGCCAAGTGGTCTCGCTTAGTGGGTCCCACTCCCACACATCCCAGAAACCTAAGAACCATTGGCTTGAAATTCTCACTGCCAGCACAGCAGTCTGAAGTTGACCTGAAATGATAGAGCTTGGTAGGTGGAGGGTCGCCCGGCATTACCGAGGCTTGAGTAGGCGGTTTTCCCCTGATAGCGCTAAGGAGGCTGGGAGGTTTGGACTGGGTGGAATTCGCCACACCAAAGTAAAGCAGCAGTGGCCAGACTGCCTGAATAGAGTCCTCCTCACAGGGCAGGACATCTCTGAAAGAAAGGAAGCAGCCCCAGACAGGGGCTTACAGATAAAACTCCCATTTCCGTAGGACAGAGCACCTGGGGGAAGGGGCGGCTGTGGATGCAGCTTCAGCAGACTTAAACTTTCCTTCCTGCTGGTTCTGAGGAGAGCAGCTGATCCTGACAAGGAGGATTCTCCCAGCAAAGCACTCGAGTTCTGCTAAGGGACACACTGTCTCCTCAGTTAGGTCCCTGATCCCTGTGCCTCCTGACTGGGAGAGTCCTCCCAACATGGGTTGACAGACACCGCTTTGCTGCGTTGTGGTGAATTCCACCCAGTCCAAACCTGCCAGCCTCCTTAGCACTATCAGGGGAAAACCGCCTATTCACGCCTTTGGTAACGGCGGGCAACTCTTCCCCCACCAAGCTCAATCATTTCAGGTCAACTTCAGACTGCTGTGCTGGCAGGAGAGCTCTGGATGGCATCAGGCCAGTGCCCCTCTGAGACGAAGTTTCCAGAGGAAGGAGCAGGCAGCAATCTTTGCTGTTCTGTATCCTCCACTGGTGATAACCAGGCGAACAAGGTCGGGGGAGTGGAACTCCAGCAAACTGCTGCAGAACTGCAGAAGAGGGGCCTGACCGTTAGAAGAAAATCTAACAAACAGAAAGCAACAACATCAACATCAACAAAAAGGACTCCCACACAAACCTCCGTCCAATCATCATCAGCCTCAAAGATTAAAGGTAGATAAATCCACGAAGATGAGGAAAAACCAGAGCAAAAATGCTGAAAATTTTAAAAACCAGAATACATCTTCTCCTCTAAATGACAGCAACTGTTCTCCAGCAAGATCTCAAAACTGGGCAGAGAATGAGATTGATGAATTGACAGAAGTAGGCTTCAGAAGGGGGGTAATGACAAATGCCTCTGAGCTAAAGAAGCATTTTCTAACCCAATGCAAGGAAGCTAAGAACCTTGATAAAAGGTTACAAGAACTGCTAGCTAGAATTACCAGTTTAGAAAGAATATAAATGACCTGATGGAGCTGAAAAACGCAGCATGAGAACTTCGTAAAGCCTACATAAGTATCAATAGCTGAATCAATCAAGCAAAAGAAAGGATATCAGAGATTGAAGATCAATTTACATAAATATAGTGTGAAGACAAGGTTAGAGAAAAAATGATGCAAAGGAATGAACAAAGCCTCCAAGAAATATGGGACTATGTGAAGAGACCAAACCTATGATTGATTGATGTACCTGAAAGTGACAGGGAGAATGGAACCAAGTTGGAAAACACACTTCAGGATATTATTCAGGAGGACTTCCCCAAGCTAGCAAGGCAGGCCAACATTCAAATTCAGGAAATACAGACAACACCACAAAGATACTCCTCGAGAAGAGCAACCTGAAGACAATAATCATCAGATTCTTCAAGGCTGAAAAGAAGGAAAAAATGTTAAAGGCAGCCAGAAAGAAAGATCAGGTTACCTACAAAGGAAAGCCCATCAGACTAACAGCAGATCTTTCTGAAGAAACCCTACAAGCCAGAAGAGAGTGGGAGCCAATAGTCAACATTCTTAAAGAAAAGAATTTTCAACCTAGAATTTCATACCCAGCCAAACAAAGCTTCAGAAGTGAAAGAGAAATAAAATCCTTTACAGACAAGCAAATGCTGAGGGATTTTGTGACCACCAGGCCTGCCTTACAAGAGCTCCTGAAGGAAGCACTAAATATGGAAAGGAAAAACTGGTACCACCCAGTGAAAAAACACACCAGAATATAAAGACCAACGACACAATGAAGAAACTGCTTCAACTAATGTGCAAAATAACCAGCTAGAGTCATGGTGACAGGATCAAATTCACACATAACAATATTATCCTTAAATGTAAGTAGGATAAATGCCCCAATTAAAGGACACAGACTGGCACATTAAATAATCAAGACCTATTGCTGTGCTGTCTTCAGGAGACCCATCTCATGTGCAAAGACACACATAGGCTCAAAATAAAGGGATGGAGGAATAGAAATGGAAGGCAAAAAAAAAAAAAAAAAAAAAAAAAAAAAAAAAAAAGCAGGGGTTGCAATTCTACTCTCTGATACAACACACTTTAAACCAACAAAGATCAGAAAAGACAAACGAGAATGCACAAGCCGCAGTAACAATGAAATCAACTGGAAGAAAGGGTATCAGCGATGGAAGACGAAATGAATGAAATGAAGAGTGAAGAGAAGTTTAGAGAAAAAAGAATAAAAAGAAATGAACAAAGCCTCCAAGAAATATGGGACTATGTGAAAAGACCAAATCTACGTCTGATTGGTGTACCTGAAAGTGACGGGGAGAATGGAACCAAGATGGAAAACACTCTGCAGGATATTATCCAGGAGAACTTCCCCAATCTAGCAAGGCAGGCCAACATTAAAATTCAGGAAATACAGAGAATGCCACAGAGATACTCCTCGAGAAGAGCAACTCTAAGACACATAATTTTCAGATTCACCAAAGTTGAAATGAAGGAAAAAATGTTAAGGGCAGCCACAGAGAAATGTTGGGTTACCCACAAAGGGAAGCCCATCAGACTAACAGCTGATCTCTCAGCAGAAACTCTACAAGCCAGAAGAGAGTGGGGGCCAATATTCAACATTCTTAAAGAAAAGAATTTTCAACCCAGAATTTCATATCCAGCCAAACTAAGCTTCATAAGTGAAGGAGAAATAAAATACTTTACAGACAACCAAATGCTGAGAGATTTTGTCACCACCAGGCCTGCCCTAAAAGAGCTCCTGAAGGAAGCACTAAACATGGAAAGGAACAAGCAGTACCAGCCACTGCAAAAACATGCCAAATTGTAAAGACTATCAAGGCTGGGAAGAAACTGCATCAACTAACGAGCAAAATAACCAGCTAAGATCAAAATGACAGGATCAAATTCACATATAACAATACTAACCTTAAATGTAAATTGGGTAAATGCTCCAATTAAAAGGCACAGACTGGCAAATTGGATAAAGAGTCAAGACCCATCAGTGTGCTGTATTCAGGAAACCCATCTCACATGCAGAGACGCACATAGGCTCAAAATAAAGGGATGGAGGAAGATCTACCAAGCAAATGGAAAACAAAAAAAGGCAGGGGTTGCAATCCTAGTCTTGGACAAAACAGACTTTAAAACAAAGATCAAAAGAGACAAAGAAGGCCATTACATAATGGTAAAGGGATCAATTCAACAAGAGGAACTAACTATCCTAAATGTATATGCACCCAATATAGGAGCACCCAGATTCATAAAGCAAGTCCTTAGTGACCTACAAAGAGACTTAGACTCCCACACAATAATAATGGGAGACTTTAACACCCCACTGTCAACATTAGACAGATTAACGAGACAGAAAGTTAACAAGGATATCCAGGAATTGAACTCAGCTCTGCACCAAGCGGACCTCATAGACATCAACAGAACTCTCCACCCCAAATCAACAGAATATACATTCTTTTCAGCACCACACCACACCTATTCCAAAATTGACCACATAATTGGAAGTAAAGCACTCCTCAGCAAATGTAAAAGAAGAGAAATTATAACACACTGTCTCTCAGACCACAGTGCAATCAAACTAGAACTCAGGATTAAGAAACTCACTCAAAACGGCTCAACTACATGGAAACTGAACAACCTGCTCCTGAATGACTACTGGGTACATAACGAAATGAAGGCAGAAATAAAGATATTCTTTGAAACCAACGAGAACAAAGACACAACATACCAGAAACTCTGGGACACATTCAAAGCAGTGTGTAGAGGGAAATTTATAGCACTAAATGCCCACAAGGGAAAGCAGGAAAAATCTAAAATTGACACCCTAATATAACAATTAAAAGAACTAGAGAAGCAAGAGCAAACACATTCAAAAGCTAGCAGAAGGCAAGAAATAACTAAGATCAGAGCAGAACTGAAGGAAATAGAGACACAAATAACTCTTCAAAAAAATCAATGAATCCAGGAGCTGGTTTTTTGAAAACAATCAACAAAATTGACAGACCGCTAGCAAGACTAATAAAGAAGAAAAGAGAGAAGAATCAAATAGACGCAATAAAAAATGACAAACGGGATATCACCACTGATCCCACAGAAATAGAAACTACCATCAGAGACTACTGTAAACATCTCTACACAAATAAACTATAATATCTAGAAGAAATGGATAAATTCCTCGACACATACACTCTCCCAAGGCTAAACCAGGAAGAAGCTGAATCTCTGAATAGACCAATAACAGGGTCTGAAATTGAGGCAATAATTAATAGCTTACCAAGCAAAAAAAGTCCAGCACCAGATGGATTCACAGCCGAATTCTACCAGAGGTAGAAGGAGGAGATGGTACCATTCCTTCTGAAACTATTCCAATCAACAGAAAAAGAGGGAATCCTCGCTAACTAATTTTACGAGGCCAGCATCATCCTGATACCAAAGCCTGGCAGAGACACAACCAAAAAAGAGAATTTTAGACCAATATCCTTGATGAACATTGATGCAAAAATCCTCGATAAAATACTGGCTAACTGAATCCAGCAACACATAAAAAAGCTTATCCACCATGATCAAGTGGGCTTCATCCCTGGGATGCAAGACTGGTTCAACATATGCAAATCAATAAATGTAATCCAGCATATAAACAGAACCAAAGACAAAAACCACATGATTATCTCAATAGATGCAGAAAAGGCCTTTGACAAAATTCAACAATCCTTCATGCTGAAAACTCTCAATAAATTAGGTATTGATGGGACATATCTCAAAAATAATAAGAGCTATCTGTGACAAACCCACAGCCAATATCATACTGAATGGACAAAAACTGGAAGCATTCTCTTTGAAAACTGGCACAAGACAGGGATGCCCTCTCTCACCACTCCTATTCAACATAGTGTTGGAAGTTCTGGCCAGGGCAATCAGGCAGGAGAAGGAAATAAAGGGGATTCAATTAGGAAAAGAGGAAGTCAAATTGTCCCTGTTTGCAGATGACATGATTGTATATCTAGAAAACCCCATCGTCTCAGCCTAAAATCTCCTTAAGCTGATAAGCAACTTCAGCAAAGTCTCAGGATACAAAATCAATGTACAAAAATCACAAGCATTTTTATACACCAATAACAGACAGAGAGCCAAATCATGAGTGAACTCCCATTCACAATTGCTTCAAAGAGAATAAAGTACCTAGGAATCCACCTTACAAGGGATGTGAAGGACCTCTTCAAGGAGAACTACAAACCACTGCTCAATGAAATAAAAGAGGATACAAACAAATGGAAGACTATTCCATGCTCATGGGTAGGAAGAATCAATATCGTGAAAATGGCCATACTGCCCAAGGTAATTTATAGATTCAATGCCATCCCCATCAAGCTACTAATGACTTTCTTCACAGAATTGGAAAAAACTACTTTAAAGTTCATATGGAACCAAAAAAGAGCCCGCATTGCCAAGTCAATCCTAAGCCAAAAGAACGAAGCCTGAGGCATCACGCTACCTGACTTCAAACTATACTACAAGGCTACAGTAACCAAAACAGCATGGTACTGGTACCAAAACAGAGATATAGACCAATGGAACAGAACAGAGCCCTCAGGAATAATGCTGCGTATCTACAACTATCTGATCTTTGACAAACCTGAGAAAAACAAGCAATGGGGAAAGGATTCCCTATTTAATAAATGGTGCTGGGAAAACTGGCTAGCCATATGTAGAAAGCTGAAACTGGATCCCTTTCTTACATCTTATACAAAAATTAATTCAAGATGGATGAAAGACTTACATGTTAGACCTAAAACCACAAAAATCCTAGAAGAAAACGTAGGCAATACCATTCAGGACATAGGCATGGGCAAGGACTTCATGTCTAAAACACCAAAAGCAATGGCAACAAAAGCCAAAATTGACAAATGGGATCTAATTAAACTAAAGAGCTTCTGCACAGCAAAAGAAACCACCATCAGAGTGAACAGGCAACCTATAGAATGGGAGAAAATTTTTACAACCTACTCATCTGACAGAGGGCTAATATCCAGAATCTACAATGAACTCCAACAAATTTACAAGAAAAAATCAAACAACCCCATCAAAAAGTGGGCATAGGATATGAACAGACATTTCTCAAAAGAAGACATTTATGTACCCAAAAAACACATGAAAAAATGCTCATCATCACTGGCCATCAGAGAAATGCAAATCAAAACCACAATGAGATACCATCTAACACCAGTTAGAATGGCGATCATTAAAAAGTCAGGAAACAACAGGTGCTGGAGAGGATGTGGAGAAATAGGAACACTTTTACACTGTTGGTGGGACTGTAAACTAGTTCAACCATTGTCGAAGTCGGTGTGGTGATTCCTCAGGGATCTAGAAGTAGAAATACCATTTGACCCAGCAATCCCATTACTGGGTATATACCCAAAGGATTATAAATCATGCTGCTTTAAAGACACATGCACACATATGTTTATTGCGGCACTATTCACAATAGCAAAGACTTGAAACGAAGCCAAATGTCCAACAATGATAGACTGGATTAAGAAAATGTGGCACATATACACCATGGAATACTCTGCAGCCATAGAAAATGATGAGTTCATGTCCTTTGTAGGGACATGGATGAAGCTGGAAACCATCATTCTTAGGAAACTATCGCAAGGACAAAAAACCAAACACCACATGTTCTCGCTCATAGGTGGGAATTGAACAATGAGAACACATGGATACAGGAAGGGGAACATCACACACCAGGGACTGTTGTGGGGTGGGGGCAGGGGGGAGGGATAGCATTAGGAGATATACGTAATGCTAAATGACGAGATAATGGGTGCAGCATACCAACATGGCACATGTATACATATGTAACAAACCTGCACAATGTGCACATGTACCCTAAAACTTAAAGTATAATAATAATAATAATAATAATAATAATAATAATAATAATAATATAGAAAAAAAGAACATTACATGATGGTAAAGGGATCAATGCTACAAAAAGAGCTAGCTATCCTAAATATATATGCACTCAATACAGGAGCACCCAGATTCATAAAACAAGCTCTTAGAGACCTAAAAAGAGACTTAGACTCCCACACAATAATAGTGGGAGACTTTAATAACCCATTGTCAATAGTATCAACTGATCAACAAGACAGAAAGTCAACAAGGATATTCAGGACTTGAACTCAGCTCTCGACCAGGCCAACTTAATAGACATCTACAGAACTCTCCACCTCAAATCAACAGAATATACATTCTTCTCAGGACCTCATCGCACTTATTCTAAAATTGACCACTCCTCAGCAAATGCAAAATAACTGAAATCATAAGAAACAGTCTCTTAGTGCTATCACATTAGAACTCAGGATTAAGAAACTCACCCAAAACTACATGGAAACTAAATAACCTGCTCCTGAATGACTACTGGGTAAATCACAAAATTAAGGCAGAAATAAAGAAGTTATTTGAAACCAATGAGAACAAATGGAAATGTACCAGAATCTCTGGGACACAGCTAAAGCAGTGTTTAGAGGAAAATTTATAGCACTAAATGCCCACAAGAAAAAGCAGGAGAGATCTAAACAACACCCTTACATCACAATGAAAAGAACTAGAGAAGCAAAGGCAAATAAATCCAAAAGCTAGCAGAAGACAAGAAAGAACTAAGATCAGAGCAGAAGTGAAGGAGATAGAGACACAGATAACCCTTTAAAAAATCAATGAATCCAGGAGCTGGTTTTTTAAAGATTAACACAGTAGATGGACTGCTAGCCAGACTAATAAATAAGAAAAGAGAGAAGAATCAAATAGACACACAAAAAAATGATAAAGGGGATATTGCCACTGATCCCACAGAAATACAAACTACTGTTAGAAATTACTAAAAACACCTTTATGCAAATAAACTAGAAAATCTAGAATAAATGGATAAATTCCTGGACACATACACCCTCCCAAGATTAACCAGGAAGAAGTCGAATCCCTGAATAGACCAATAACAAATTCTGAAATTGAGGCAGTAATTAATAGCCTACCAACCAAAAAAAGCCCAGTACCAGATGAATTCACAGCCAAATTATACCAGAAGTACAACGAGGAGTTGCTACCATTCTGTCTGAAACTATTTCAAATAATGGAAAAAGAGGGACTCCTCACTAACTCATTTTATGAGGCTAGCATCATCCTGCTACTAAAACCCAGCAGAGACACACACACACAAACAAAATTTCAGGCCAATATCCGTGATGAACATTGATCCGAAAATCCTCAATAAAATACTGGCAAACCAAAGCCATCCAGCAGCACATCAAAAATCTTATCCACCATGATTAAGTAGGCTTCATATCTGGGATGCAAAGTTGGTTCAACATATGCAAATCAATAAATGCAATCCATCACATAAACAGAACCAATGACATAACCACATGATTATCTCAATAGATGCATAAAATGCCTTCGATAAAATTCAACATCCCTTCATGCTAAAAACTCTCAATAAACTAGGTATTAATGAAACATATCTCAAAATAATAAGAGCTATTTATGACAAACTCACAGTCAATATCATACTGAATGGGCAAAAGCTGGAAGCATTCCCTTGGAAAACCGGCACAAGACGAAGACGCCCTCTCTCACCACTCCTATTCAACTTACTATTGGAAGTTCTGGCCAGGGCAATCAGGCAAAAGAAAGAAATAAAGCATGTTCAAATAGAAATAGAGGAAGTAAAATTGTCTGTGTTTGCAGATGACACAACAGTACATTTAGAAAACCCCATCATCTCAGCCCCAAAACTCCTTAAGCTGATAAGCAACCTCAGCAAAGTCTCAGGATACAAAATCAATGTGCAAAAATCACAAGCATTCCTATACACCAATAATAGACAAACAGACAAACAGAGAGCCAAGTCATGAGTGAACTCCCATTCACAATTGCTCCAAAGAGAATTAAATACCTAGGAATACAACTTACAAGGGATGTGAAGGACCTCTTTGAGGAGAACTACAAACCACTGCTCAAAGAAATCAGGGAGAAGGCAAACAATTGAAAAAACATTCCCTGCTCATGGATAGGAAGAATCAATATCGTGAAAATGGTTATACTGCCCAAAGTAATTTATAGATTCAATGCTATTCCCATCAAGCTACCACTGACTTTCTGCACAGAATAAGAAAAAAACCACTTTAAATTTCATATGGAACCAAAAAAGGGTCTGTATATCCAAGACGATCCTAAGCAAAAAGAACAAAGCTGGAGGCATCATGCTATCTGACTCCAAACTATACTACAAGGCTACAGTAACCAAAACAGCATGATATTGGTACCAAAACAGATATATAGACAAATGAAACAGAACAGAGGCCTCAGAAATAATGCCACATATCTACAACCGTCTGATCCTTGACAAACCTGGCAA
The DNA here is from genome assembly GCF_000001405.40 of Homo sapiens. Taxonomy (NCBI): domain Eukaryota; kingdom Metazoa; phylum Chordata; class Mammalia; order Primates; family Hominidae; genus Homo; species Homo sapiens. Next base: position 18,499,068 of record NC_000004.12, read on the forward strand.
AAACAAACAATGGGGAAAGGATTCCTATTTAATAAATGGTGCTGGGAAAACTGGCTAACTGTATGCAGAAAACAGAAACTGGACCCCTTCCCTACACCTTATACAAAAATCAACTCAAGATGGATTAAAGACTTAAATGTAAAACCTCAAACAATAACAATCCTAGAAGAAAACCTAGGCAGTACCGTTCAGGACATAGGCATGGGCAAAGACTTCATGACTAAAACACCAAAAGTAATTGCAACAAAAGCCAAAATTGACAAATGGGATCTAATTAAATGGAAGAGCTTCTATATAGCAAAAGAAACTATCATCAGAGTGAATAGTTACCCTACAGAATGGGAGAAAATTTTTGCAATCTGTCCATCTGACAAAGGTCTATGTAGGTCCAGAATCTATAAAGAACTTAAACAAATTTACAAGAAAGAAAAAAACAACCCCATCAAAAAGTGGGCAAAGGATGTGAACAGACACTTCTCAAAAGAACACATTTATTTGCCAAGAAACATGAAAAAAAGCTCACTATCACTGGTCATTAGAGAAACGCAAATCAAAACCACAATGTGATACCATCTCATACCAGTTAGAATGGGGATCATTAAAAAATCAGAAAACAACAGATGCTGGAGAGGATGTGGAGAGATAGGAAGGCTTTTTCACTGTTGGTGGGAGCATAAATTAGTTAAATCATTATGCAAGACAGTGTGGGGATTCCTCAAGGATCTAGGACCAGAAATACCATTTGACCCAGCAATCCCATTACTGGGTATATGCCCAAAGGATTATAAATCATTCTACTATAAAGGCACATGCACATGTATGTTTATTGCAGCACTATTTACAATAGCAAAGACTTGGAACCAGCCCAAATGCCCTTCAGTGATAGGCTGGATAAAAGAAATGTGGCACATATACACCATGGAATACTATGCAGCCATAAAAAAAGAATGAGTTCATGTGCTTTGCGGGGACATGGATGAAGCTGGAAACCATCATTCGCAGCAAACTAACACAGGAACAGAAAACCAGGCACTGCATATTGTCACTCATAAGTGGGAGATGAACAATGAGAACACGTGGACACAGGGAGGGAAACATCACACACTGGGGCCTGTGGGAGTTGGGGGGCAAGTGGAGGGAGAGCATTAGGACAAATACCGAATGCACATGGGGCTTAAAACCTAGATGACAGGTTGACAGGTGCAGCAAACTGCCATGGCACATATAAATCTATGTAACAAACCTGCCCGTTCTGCACAGCTATCCCAGAACATAAAGGAAAAAAACAGATGTTATTTATCTGAATACATTGAATACATTCTTTCCCCTACTTAGAGATGTGGGTGTATAATGCTCAAATCTCCATCAAAAGAGGAAGAATGAGTTTTACACAATAAATGTAGAGAGAATGTAATAATTAGGTTTTGGTGGAAAAAGCTGGATGGAAATATGGAGTCATGTAAGACTGGGTTTCTGTCATGCAACTAGCTGTACAACTGGGGCATTATGGGTTACTGAACCACTTTGAGATCCTGGTTTATGACTTTTGCCGATATATTTAGGTTTAAATGTTACTTCAGGTTACTTCTATATATATTTGCTTAACAGTTTTCAATTTTGGAGGTGATTTTCCATGTATGTTTTCTCTGCTTGGAATGCTCTTCCTTTAGATACTCACCTGTAGATATTAACTTCTTAACCCCCTTCGAGACTGTGTTGATGTTACATTAGTGACTCCTCTTTGGAACCTTCTTTGAACATTGCAACTCCATCTTTCTCATCACTTATCACTTCTTTTCCCTTCTTCATTTCTCCATAACACTTATTACCTTATGATGTACTTTGTAATTTACTTATTTATTATGTTCGTGGCCTGTCTCCCCAGTTTGGAGTGTTAGCTTCAAGTTGGCAGACATTTTTGCACTTTGGTTTAGATCTATGATAAGACAAGATAAATAGCATGGATTTAATATTTGTCAGGTGAATGAATGAATGAATGAATGAATGAATTCTCTCCTTGGATTCTCAGACAATTCTGTGATGTAGTTTGAATACTCATTGATAGTTTAGAAATGAGGTATAGTAGGGAAATCAAAAGATAACTTAATGTTCTATGCCTGATTCCGCTCTCAATGCCAAGGACTTGCTTAACTTTCTAAGCACAAGAAAGCCCCAGAAGATTTCACTGAAAACCTCCTGTGTAGAGCTGGAAGCTCAAACTGCAAATTCTCCACCCTCTATGACCTTCTAAGGAAATTTATGACATAAGTTTGTCCTTGTGCTTCTTGATTTGCTAACTTCTCTTAGTTTAACTGAAAATATTCTACTAACTTGCTAATACATTTAAGTACAATTTTAAATTTCTTTTAAAGACAATTGAAAATACAGTTTAATTATTTTAAAGATCATATATATGTGTATGTATGTGTATATATGTGCATACACAGTCAGTTTGGAAAACGCAGATGAGAACAACAATACAAGAAAATTATGACAAAAATGCACTGCCAAGTGGTAATCATAATGAACATTTTGATCATTCTCTCTTGCTTTCCATTTATATATACATCCCCCAGCTATTTATTCAACAACTAGTGATCATTATGTGCCAGATTTTGTTCTAGCTAATACAGTGACTATAGGTAGGTTTATATATATTTGATAATATAGGACTATATCATCCATATTATTTTTAAACCACTTTTAAAAAATACAGTGAACATCTCATGTCATTAATGGTTTTCCTATTTCGATTAAAATAATGCATCATTTAACTGAGAGTATGAGAATCCACTTTAGAGATTTACCAGAGATTAGTCAATTTCTTCTTTTTAGGGAAGTTGAGTCTTTTCCAAATATTTAAGTTTCCTTAATCCTTAAAGGTGTATTTTAACTCTGTGAAATCCTCAAGGGCAATGATCTTGTCCTGTTTATTCATTTTATCAAGTGTAGTAGCTATTATATCATTAATTTGACAGATGAGAAAACTGAGGCTTAGAGAAGTTAAGTAATTTACTAACAGCCATAGAGTCAGGAAATGGCTGAAATGACCACCAAAGCCAAATATGACTGCAAATTCCATGTTATTTCAGCCACACCTGCATCACATGGGTGATTCTCTCTCACTTCCTCTAATAATTGTCAATATTATTCCAATACCAAGGCTACCTTGGCCTGGGCCCACCTTTCAGGGCCAGGCTTGTTTTCCTGGCTTTGTTGCCTGTAACAGTTTTTCTGAGATCCCAATGTCTGCAGTTTTTCATGACACCTAAACTTCTATATTCTAGTATAATCTCCTTCTTAGGAAAAATCTTCAAAGTCATTCATGGTATGGTATGTAAAACATACAAAAATGGAAAGATCGCCACTCCCAGCAGGATTTACATTTTTAGAATGGTCAGGAAGTCTTAAGATAAAAATAGAGCACACTAATGATGAAATTTTAGATATTGGTAGTATATGAGATGGATCTTTAGCTAAGTAGAGGTTTTCATGCAGAGAAGTTGGCTAGTGGGAGGGAAGTGTGTTTTAGGTATATGAAGTGCTCTCAGCAAAGGCAGGGGTGTAAAGGAGTGTGTTGGATTCAGGGGACAGTGAGCTTCACATTGTGTGTGGTGTATAGCTGAGAGCAGAGAGATCAACCAGTAGCCATTGCTTGGGACGTGAAGTCTCTGGAAGTTTATGCTTACCTGTGTGTAAGCTGATCTCTTGGGTGAGGGGCAGGTGCAGTCCATTAACTTACATGTGGAGTTCTAATTGGAAACCCAATTAGACAGGGTGCCTAATTGCTCTGCTTCAAGACACCCAAATCATCTGATTATTGAACATGTTATTTCACTTTCATAACTATGTACACAAACTCTGTGGCCTTGAACATGAATGGCTTTGCTATATACTGATTAAATAAGTAGCCCTTCTTACATTTCAAGGCCACCATTCATGTATGTTGCATTTTGTTGTCTTTTTAATTAACTTTTGCTTTACTGAAAATAAATTAGAAAGATCAATTTGATTATTCTTATAAGTAGTATCTTAATGGAAGACTCTCAGCATTTTAGCCAAGTAGATCTAGTCAAGTTGCTTTGTGCCTTTGAGTTCCAGACTGCTTCTGTGGAAAGTGGAGATAATATACCTAACATTTGCTGTGATGAGTAAATGAAGAAATGAGTGCACATGAATGACTAAGAAAAGGCACTCAATAAGTGGTATCATTGTTGGTATTATTTCAATAATAATGTATCATATGCGACGATATCAGAACTAGAAGGAGATGATTTATTGGTTAATCAGTGTCTTCATTCATTCATCCATTTAACATATATTTGTTGAATATTTTCTGTGAATCAAGGATTGTGCTAAGTTTTAGTAGTAAAGCCTAAAATGTAACACTGATATTGCCTTCATGGGGCTCATTCTTGTGAAGGCACATATGTTAGTTTTTGTGGCTGCTGGAACAAATGCCTACCTTAGTGGCTTAAAATAATGCAAGTTTATTATCTTACAGTTCTATAAGTCAGAAGTCCAACATGGATCTCACTGGGCTAAAATCAGCAGGGTTGTCTTCTTTTCTAGAAGCTCTAGAGGAGAGTCCGTTTCCTTGCCTTTTCCATTTTTTTAGAGGCTGCTCCTATTCCTTGGCTCATAGTCCCTTCCTCTGTCATCAAAGTCAGCAACTTGGTGTCTCCTTGACCATTCTTCTGTTGCCACATTTCTTTCTGACTCTGATCTCAATCAGAAAAGATTCTTTGAAGGACATATGATTTAGTTGGGTCCACCATGATATTCTAGGATAATTTCCCCATCTAAGGGTCCTTAAGCATAATCACAAGTGCCAAGTCCCTTTTTCCATATGAGGTAATATATTCCCATGTTCCAGAGGTTAGGATGTGGACACCTTTGGGGGAACATTATTCTGCCTACCACAGGAAATATACTATAAACAACAAAATATGAGCAAATAAATATGAATAGGTAGTGTGAGTTATTGATAAGAGTTAGGGACTAAGTAAAGCAAGCTAAAAGGAATACAGAGTTCCAGGGAGGAAAAGGGATTACAATTTGTCTGGGCAGTCCAGTAAGTCCTCACTGATAAGGTGACATTTGAGTGACACTTGAATTAGGTTTAAGCAGAAATTATTTAACAAACCTATACTGCTAAGACTAAATGCTTTTGCCACCTCCACAAATTCATCCTAACCCCCAAGTTGATGACATTAGGAGGTAAAGCCTTTGGTAGGTGATTAGGCCATGAGGGCAGATCTCTCATGAATGGGATTAGTGCTCTTATGAAAGAGACCCCAGAGAGATCCCTTACCAGGTGAGGACACAATGAGAAGACAGCGATCTATGAATGAGAGACTTCTTACCTGCTGGCTCCTTGATCCTGCATTGTTTATTTTTTATAAACTACCCTACCTGTGGTATTCTGTTTTGTTTTTTATAAACTACCCTACCTATGGTATTCTGTTATAGCAGTTCAAGTGGGCTAAGACATAAACTTTAAACATTTTTCTTGAACATAAAATGAATGAAGTGTATTTATTCACTAAACATTGATAAACGTCCAAGCCATTTCTGAATACATGAGCCTTCAGATAGGATACTAATCATGCATTGAGATTTTTTCTTTTCTTTTCTTTAAAGTGGACCAAGAACCTAAGATATTGATGAAAGCAATTTGAATTCTTAATCTTCAGGATTTTGACAATTTTCTCCCAATTTTTTATAGTTGTTTCTATAGCAAACTTTTTATTATCTTTCCTCTTTTCATACTCGCTTTATTGGTTTATATAAAACCAACGACTAAATTAAGTAATTTACAACAACAATTACAACTATAATGGGAACAAGTTGAACAGACTTCTGATAAATGTACCATTCAAATAATGGGAGAAGTATATGGGTATGTTAGACAGTAGACTATTGACTCTGGGTGAGGGTGCCACAGGCAATAATAGCTCTGTAGTTAATGGAGGAAATGAGAAGTATCATTGCTTTATCTGATGTGTTAATTAAATGGTGGTCTCTTACAAATGCTCTTACAGCATTACTAACCTGAATTCAATCAACCTTTATACCAAAGTTTCATCATTTTAAAAATTTGATGAAAAGGCTTAATGGGTATGAGATAGAAATATGAGTTGTTGTAGTGTAAAGATAGTTGAAGTTACAGAATTAGATGCATTCAATATTTATTCCAAAGACTTTCTATTGAAATGTTTCAGATGATGCCCCTAAATAACTTGAAAAAAAAGAAGAATTTTCTGCTTTTATTTTAGTTATAGGGGGTAGCTGTGTAGGTTTGTTACATGGGTATATTGTACTCAAGTTGTAAGCATAATTCTCAAGAGTTAATTTTTCAACCCATGCTTTTCTCCCTCTCTCACCCCTCTAGCAGTACACAGTGTCTATTATTCCCATGTTTTTGTCCATGTGTGTTCAATGGTTAGTTGCTGCTTATCAATGAGAACATGAAATATTTGGTTTTCTGTTCCTACATTATTTCACTTAGGGTTACAGCCTCCAGCTCCATTCATGTTGCTGCAAAGAACATGAATTTATTCCTTTTTATGGCTGAGTAATATTCCATGGTGTATATGTACTACATTTTCTTTCTTCAGTCCACTGTTGATGGGCACCTAGGTTGATTCCATGTCTTTGCCATTGTGAATAGCATGACAATGAACATAAAAGTACATGTGTCTTTTTGGTATAATGATCTATTTTCTTTTATGTATATACCCAGTAATGGGATTGCTGGGCTGAATTCTAGCTCTGTTTCAAATTCTTTGAGAAATCTCCAAACTGCTTTCCACAGTGGTTGAACTAATTTACATTCCCAGCAACAGTGTATAAGCATTCCCTTTTCTCTGCAGCCTCACTAGTATCTGTTATTTTTTGACTTTTTGATAATAGCCAATTCTGACTGGTGTGAGATGGTATCTCATTGTGGTTTTGATTTGCATTTCTCTAATGATTAGTGATGTTGAGCACTTTTTCACATTTTTTGGCTACTTACATCATATTTCTTCTCTCCCACTGAATCACTCAGCTTTGTGCAAGTCTACCCTCTCTGTTCCCCAGTTTTTTAAATTTGAGAATTGGGAATGATAATAGAACCTATCTCATAGGGTTGTTATGAATTTCAAGTGGGTTAAATCTAGTAAAGAGCTCAGAAAAGTGCATGGTATATAGTAATCCAGCAGGAAGTGTGAGCTACACATGTCTGTAGCTGTGAAAAATGCTGTGTATATGAGACCAAATAAAAGGTTCGTCTTCTTAGTTTACTTATAGTCCAATGTTGTGCTGGTAGTGCAGATCTCTTGGATATCATAGAGCATAAGAGTTATTTCAGAAGTTCATGAAAAATATGTATGTTATTTTTTTTGAAAACACTTGCTCATGACTGGGCGCAGTGGCTCACATCTGTAATCCCAGCATTTTGGGAGGCTGAGGAGGGTGGATCACCTGAGGTCAGGAGTTTGAGAACAGCCTGGCCAAATGGTGAAACCCCATCTCTACTAAAAATACAAAAAAGTAGCCGGGCATTGTGGTGGGTGCCTGTAATCCTAGCTACTCGGAAGGTGGGAGGCAGGAGAATCACTTGAACCCGGGAGGTGGAGGTTGCAATGAGCTGAGATTGCGCCATTGCACTCCAGCCTGGGCAACAAGGGCGAAACTCCGTCAAAAAAAAAAAAAAAAAAAAAAAAAAGAAGAAGAAAAGAAAAAGAAAACTCTTGCTTAATACGATTGGAAGGGGGCGTAGGAAACATTATTGTTGTAACAAGCACTCCAGGTGGTCAGAAGGCCACTGGGGAGAAGCAGTCATTTAGTCACCCATGGATTAAAGTTCAACTCTTTAACACTGGGTGCTCACTTTTTGTGTGTGTATATTTCCATTTCTGTGTGCAACGTGGTTAGTAGTGGCAGCTTAAGGCCCCAATATATCAACTGGAAAAAGTCCAAAATAATTTTAATTAAAAAAACTTTAAAAACATCAAGAGCAGAGAAAGAATCAAGGAACAAATGAGCCACAATTCCAGAGAGAGATAATTATTTCAATGTGAGATGACACGTGTTTCCCTTGGAGCATTTTCTGATTCTGGATGTGTGAGGAGGACCAGGCTTGGCCAGACAGAGAGGCTTTGTTAGGGGAAAGAGAAGCTAGTTGAGCTTTAGTGTCAGGTAGGGACCTGGGACATCCACTGAATTGTGGGGCTGTGTGGACAGCTAGGGGAATGGAGGATGAAGGCAAGGCCAAAATCATGTAAAGGCAGAATAAATTTTTTTTACAATATTGCCATATTTAGGAGGGATCTTACTCCAATTACAAATTATATAATTGGTCTCCCCCTTAGGAAGCTTGGTGAGAAAGGTTAAAGCTCTAAAGAGCAGAATTATTTCTTCTACACAGATTTTTAGGGCTAGGAAGAAAGGTGGAGCTAGAGCGAGAAAGAGAGAATTATCCAAAATATTAAAAATATACTTCATATACACTCAGAAATATTAAAAGTAAAATGATAAAAATAAGATGGAGCATGCAAACACTAGCTGAAGAAAGCTAGTATAGCTATAAAAATTTTAAAGTAAACTACAGGTAAGAATCACTATTAGAAATAAAAATATTTCCAAATGGAAGAGAAGTCAATTCCATAGTATATTGGCATCAAATATCTGTGTTCATCAATAATATGGCTTTAAAATATATGAAGCAAAAATTAATAGAACTAAAAGAACAACTAGAGAAGTACACAGTCATACCTGAGATTTTAACACATTTTTCTCAATAGTTGATTTTTTAAAAATAATAATAAATCCACATCCTACTTTGCATCCAGTTTTTAAGCATAGAATTATGTGCTACAAAGTCATTTGGCTCCTTGTAGAATACTTTTTATGATGAGACACTCACTACTTTTTTGAGGTAATCAAATCCATTTCAAGAGCACTCTAATCTAACTTGTGACTCAGATTTTATTAGGTAGTGATTCCTAGAAATGGAAGTACAACAATAATATATGTCCTCTCTAAGAACATTCAGCAAGTTAGTGTTTGATCTGGGTCATGAATCCTGGTCTCAAGACTCATAATTCAATTAAATATTCTCTAAATGAATTTTAAATATTATCTGACTGGATTAAATACTCCCTGAGGGTAGGAACTTTCTTTTGCCCTTTTTGCAATACATACCTTTAGAGTCCTCATATATTACTGAACACTTCAGTGGGGGTGGAGAGTGGTTTTGGTGGGGAAAGATGAAACAGATAAGAAAAATCACTGCTTTTATATCCAGTTGGGGTCAAAGTACTCCTGACTGTGTGCCCCCTAGAAACCCACCCAAACTCTCAGAGCCTCACTTTTCTCAATTTTTATGTAAAGTTGAAAAGCTATGCCATTCGAAGAGCCTATATGGCACAGGGGCTTAATATATATTAAATACATAGTTCCTGATAAATATTTACTGTTTGAGAGGCATAAGAAAAGTTACCAATAATTATGAAATAAAAAGACTGTAAAACCTTTTAATGAGGAAGATTGTACAAGCATATGTATCAGTCCAAAGTAGACAAATGGTAAATTCATCATGTTATTTGTTAAAAAACAGCACCAGTTTTACATAGCAGTCCATTATAAAACACAACACACTTTTTGTCTAAATGGGTTTTAGGCAGACTTTCATTTTTTTTAATGCTGTAAAATTCTTCTCTTATTCAAAGTTTAAAATGGCTCCCTATGAGACCATTAATAAATATTTCTCTCTGTTAGAGTGATTTTTTTAAGCTCTTCTTGTCCAGAAAGCAGAGACCAACATGATAATAAGTGAGAGCACAAGCGTATTTTCTCTTTAAGATATCTCTGGTCATAGGACAGGCTCATTAATGTTGTCATAGCAACCATTCCCTCACAGGTTACATGCTTGTGAGCTTCTACTAAGATGCAAATTCTCGATTAAACAAAGCAAGCTTACTCTGAAATGGCATGTCAACTTTCAAGGGGGAGTAGAGTGCTCTGATGATTTTATTTTTTCCATATGCAATATACTATTTAAAGAGCTGACTTCTTTGTTTTCCCCTATATGTTAACTCTTATTTTGTCCAAAATGCATTTTGCCCAAAAATAGGAAGAAGATAGATTAAAATGGGATCTCAATAGAAGCTCTCCTTTCACATTTATTTGCCTCCTGATACCACCTGTCACATCATCCCTTGATAAGCCAGTGCAGATAAAAATGTTCATAAGTCAGTCTAAAACATATTTAACATGAACTCGCCCTTGAAGCCTTCTTTTCGTCTCAGATCTACCCTTCTTTGATTGTTCAACTTGTGTCTACACCCATTACAATGCCATTATGAGAATTATAGTCCAGAAATCAAGGAAGTTTCAGTGAGAAAGCCAGGCTCAACTCAATACCTTGAAGTTGGATGTGGAGGTTGATCCTCTCCCCTCCAATCTACACACCTTGACCTTGACCCATAGAGGATGCTGCTGTCATTTCCCTTCCCCATAGAACTAATGAGGTCAAAGGATGGAAACTAGGGCATTTGATGAATAATTTGTGTGATTGTTGAAGTTTCAAAAGCTGCAGATAGAAGTGGGGGCAGGTATTAAGATAATAAAGCAGATGCTAAAGTCAACAATAAATTAAGGAGAGTGGCTAGGGTATTGAAAGAGCACAAAGAAGGGTAATAAGTGTAAAAATAGGAACATATGCTTCAAAGGAGCTGGGCTTTTGGAGAAGGAAGGTAGGAGAGACAGTTATAATGGGGCAATGAGAAGTAACACAAATATTTCCCCCATACATAGCCCACCTTTAAAATGGCTGCTAAGAGATCATCATGGTAGTAAGTGATTATGGATGATCGAGGGTGCTTTGTCTTCTGATGGAGAGTGAGGTGACAGGTATGTATGTTATGTTGCTTGGAGATATCAAGTGAAACTCACCTGAGGCTAAATGTGTTTTGGTAGCCTGGAACATGCAGTCATTGAACTTCTGAGGGTGCATGTTCTTGCCTGATGGTGGGGTACACATGCTATTATGAGAAACCCTATATTTTGGAGGTTTATAAAGTTTTTCTCCTTGTATGTATTATCTATTACCAGAATCCTGAAGTGAATGAGTGATGAATGGTAAGACTTGGCATCCTGTATTCAAATTATTCTTAGTAATGTGACCATAGGTCATTGTTAGGATCTTTAGGGAATATACCATTATAATCTAGAGTGAGAGATAAAACTACAATTGACTGCCGTGCACATATTTGCAATAACCAAATATTGTCTCATTTGATGAAAAAACTAAAGAGAATTAAACGTCCCAGGACTCTCACTCCTGTATGAGTATCCTTCCTCTTTTTAATAGAGTTTCAGCCAACAGAGGACTAGACTGGAAATTGAGAGATCTAGACTTAAGACTTATAGGAACTCCTAATTAACTAAATGAGTGACCTTTGGCGGGGGGAACCTCTCTGTGCCTTAGTTTCTCCATGTTTCTCCATCTATACTACAGAGATAATGTATACTGATCCTTTTTCCTATAAATGTGGAGAGTCAAGTATTGATGCAGATGAGAGTGCTTTAGAAATAAATTACTTTTTATAAATGTTATATCTATTTTCTATCTTGGAGATAGGATGAGCACTGCAAGTAAGATCAAGTTTGGTCTATGCACTTCGTAAACAAATTCCATCAGCATCATATTTAGAATAGTGTCCTGACATAGTGATGGGTTGTAAGGTATTGTTTTGGAGGCATTTGTCTGGTGGCTAACATTTCTAAGAGATGGCTATATTTTAAGTCACAAGATGAGCCCATAGAACAACACTGCCATTTCCAAGTCTGGGTTAATCATTTAATTTCTCTGGACATCTAGACCTTCATTTGTATGTAAAGTAGAGATTTTGATATGTGCTCTGCCTCTTTTGTGGGAATACTGTGAAAATCAAATATAATGCATATTAAAGTCTTTTGTTAACCATGGAAAGAAACCATTTCTAGTGGAATTTGATGAGGTCCATAAGTAGAATGCATGATTTATTGTTTTTATAACCTTAGTGACTAGTAGCATGTTACACAGCAGGAATTCAAGAAAAGCTTGTAAAAATAAATTGTGATTCTGACTTTGCATTTGAGTCCCTCTTCTTTCTCTGTTTCCATATGAGCTTAGCTCCAAGACCAATCATGAAATCTATAGTGTGGGTTCCATTCTGTTCCTGGGCCCTGTGATTCCCAGAGCTATGCTTCACTTCTCTTCCCTCTCGTTCCTCACCCCACCCTGCCACCCACCTAGTTCAGGGTGAAGTCTGAAGTCTTTATCCCAGTGTTATTTTTTAAATATCCCAAATGATTACTGCATCACTGAAAAGATCTGCTGTGACCCACCTATCACATTACAAATGCGTAATACTGAAAAGGCTGGCAAGAGATGGGACTAATGTGCGGGCTTAGATTGTGTTATTTTAAATCGGTTTTAAAACATACTTTTTGTTAAATATTATTCCAAAAGTGGTTTGTTTTAGATGAGATAATGATGTGGAGATATATTTTTTGAAGTTTTAATATCTTTAATATTTATATGTTTCTAATTGATAGACATTTTTCTTACAAAAATCAATAACAAATACAATACCAACAAGCAGATTTTGTTTACAAGTGGTTGAAGGACAGTGCTATTTTGAGCTCACTTGGGCAAAGAAGGGACAGAGAGGCAAACATCAGCAGGTGAATAATGGGCAGAAAATGATTTTTTTTCACATGACAAGACTTAAGTCTTTACAGGAGCAAATGTCAGTTACCTGGAGAATGGAGGCCATGGTTACATATGGGAACATGGGAAAAGCAACATCTGTGAGGCAGGGCAGCTATGAGAGATGCAGCCAATGACCTGGAAATAAGGTTTGGCTACAGTTCAGTCATCCATGGGTTTAAATAGTGTTCTTAGGCAACTGTGCTTGTCTACAAAGGAACCTCTTAGAAGATCTTGCTTTTGCTTCATTTGGTGTGCCTTGCATAGCCAACTTAGAGACCCTCTTGGTTTGACCCTTACCCAACATAAGGCCATAATTCATTTTGGGTGGAAGACTCCTCTTTCCTTTGATAAGTGATTGAAATAAGACAGTCATGGGAGTTTATATTTATGTTATATTGGCGCATTCTTTGTTAGCATTCTTCTTCCATCTCTCTTTTCATCCCTTCTTTTTTAGCTTTCACTGCTTCTTCCTCATCTACCTTCTCTTCCTTTTCCTTCTTTTCCTCCTCCCCCCTTGCCTCTTCTCTTCTTCTTCTCCCTCCTCTTTTTCCTTTTACTCATCCTCCTCTTCCTCTTTTCAGAGTAAAGAGGCAACAGAAAAGTTCAAAGGAGTGAGAGGCAATAGAAAAACCTCATCATAATTTTCCGGGTAAATATATGACATATGGCTCTGATATGGAAAAACACTGGCAAGTGAACAAAGTAATGTAAAAGGCCATGATAGGAAATTGCTCTGAAGCCCTAGGGAATGAAAATGAAAGCAGAATTAGGCACAACAATTTAATGAAAGATTATGTAGAAGGTTAGAGCTCTAAATCTTCCAAAGATCATTAAGATTTTTTAAAGAAAAAAGTAACAACAATCTCTATTCCAGTTAAAATATTTTTAGCTAAAAAGATATTACTCAATTGGCTTAAATAAAGGAACATGTTACTTTACACAAAAGGAAGTCCCAACATAAAATAGTGTCAAATCAAAATTGCACTAGCCAGAGTTAAACAGGCAAGGAAGACTTTTTTCAACACTATTGCAATAGGAAAGAGAGAAAGAACTCAACTCCACTGAAACAAAGGGCTGGAGGGCTTTTAAACTCTGGGTTGAGCTCATGGAAAAGTACTGAAATACATTGGAGGGGAAGTTGGTCAGTGTGATTAGGCTATCTGAGTTCACTAATTGTCCCTTATTGTAGTTAGGCTCCTACTCTCCCACAGAAACTGGGAGATAGGGGTATTACATTTTTAATTATTATATTTCAAAGGGATGGTGCCTAGGTCCTTGAAAAAAAAATCCTGTATTATAAAACTGTCCTGAGGCTGGGAGAAAATTTACATCACAAAGGGCAGAGAAATAATTTACAATTGCAAGTTTTCTAAAGTAAATCTAAGAAAAGAACTCAGGGACCTACAGTCAAGAAGAAACAAACTTGAAGTTTAGTAAAACTCTGGGGAATGCCCAGGCTGTCTTGGTCAATAGTTTTGGGGCTGATTTAATTCAGAGTGGTAACCTTAAAGAAGCAGGGTGATTTTATCTTTGCTCAAATTCACTTGAGAAAATAAAGAGAAGAGTCATTCAATGCTGATATAACTGAAAGTCAAGGGTAATTGGCTTTGGGCATTGTTGGACCTAGGTGTTTGAGTTTCATCAGAAATCTGTTTCTGTATCTTTTGCTTATCTTTTTATTCACTTTTATTTTAGTTCATTCTCAGACAGGCTTTTCTTTCCTTATGTCAAGATTCTCATTATTAATTCTAGAATTACATCCTTTCCATCTTGCATAACTTCAGAAAGAGTGTCTCATTCTCAATAATTTTAACAAAAATCTCATATGATTTACACTGTTCAGCTTGGACTATGTGTCCGACTCTCAATCCATCTCTTAGCCAGGGGAATAGAAAATATTCGTTTTCTCAGTCTGGGCATTTTATGTGCCTTAAGCTGGAAGATGAGTTCTTTCTTAACCAGAATGAGTAATTTTCAAAGGGAAAATCATCATGCTGTAGCAGGAAAGGGCAAAATGCATGTCGGGGAGGCTAAAACAATAGATTATCGAGTCAGGGTTTCTTTCATTCCTCTTCCTAATTCTCTTCAGGGAATAAGCAGAATAGGGCTCTGCTGAAGGTAGGAAATGAAATTGCAGAACCTAGGGCCATATAACCAGCATGGTTCCATTATTATTGACAGATAATGTTCCTGAAAGATAAATTACTGGGATTGCATAATCAGATGTATATTGCAGTTTCTTCTATACTAGGATGGCATCATCAGACCAACTTGATGACTCTAGCATAATTAGTCTCCTTCCCTCACCTTTGTTAAGGTTTCATAGTCCTCAAGTATTTCTGTGCTGATATACTTGGTTCCATGTTGACTTTTCTGGAAGAGAGAGATTGTGACCTATCCCTTGCTGTCCCTTCTCAGAGATTCCTACCTGGCTCTTGCCCACCAGTTTAGCTGCCTGCATTTAGTATTGAGAGTAACTCTCGTTAGGGCTCTCTACCTTGATTTGAAAATTCTCTCCTCATGACCCTTTGACTTTTCATGTTTGGCTTTTTACCTGTACTCCTTCTTTTTGCGTTACCCCAGATTGACAACTTTCTTTTTTTTTAAATTTTATTATTATTATACTTTAAGTTTTAGGGTACATGTGCACAATGTGCGGGTTAGTTACATATGTATACATGTGTCATGCTGGTGTGCTGCACCCATTAACTCGTCATTTAGCATTAGGTATATCTCCTAAAGCTATCCCTCCCCACTTGCCCCACCCCACAACAGTCCCCAGAGTGTGATGTTCCCCTTCCTGTGTCCATGTGTTCTCATTGTTCAATTCCCACCTATGAGTGAGAATATGCGGTGTTTGGTTTTTTATTCTTGCGATAGTTTACTGAGAATGATGATTTCCAATTTCATCCATGTCCTTACAAAGGACATGAACTCATCATTTTTATGGCTGCATAGTATTCCATGGTGTATATGTGCCACATTTTATTGGATGGACTATTCACGTCTAATCTTGTACAGTCCAAGACACTGCTTCTCAACTCTTACCTTGGTCCTTTGTACTGCAATTTACAGGCAAATCTATAGTACATTGTAATCAGCCCATTAGATCATTACTTCTCAACTGGGTCTCAGTGTCCCTGGATTTTTATTTTCTGAGAATTAAAATGAGACAGAATGCAATAGGGAGATGAAATTAGTTTCCTAATTGTATGATAATATATTTCTCATTTTTAAGCCATAAGTTGGATTTCCACTTCATATATCACTTTTTTCTGTTGAGTTTGGTTGGTGTAATCACTCTCGGTTCATTGACAGAGAGAAGTGTCTTGACAAAGGCAGTATCACTTTTGAACTGAACCCATTTTAATTCCAGTGCAGTCTCCCCAAACTGCATGGCCGTGGGAAAATTACTCACCATCTCTGGACTTTGGTTTTCTCACCTAACAGCAAATGATGAAGGCTACTTCTCAATGTTGTGGGGATTACTGAGGCAATTCAATGCATAGCATACTCAATAAATACTCTTCTTATGGTTGTATATTGTATTTTAAGAGAGTCTGAGAAAAGTTTAGGCTCAGATTCTGAAGTGTGGTGACAGCACCAAGATAATTTCACTGTCTAAGACTCTGCTTGAGTAGGCTTCTTCTCCTTCAAAACTTCCCAGGCATATTGGTATGCTACAAAAGGATGACAGATGTTCTTTCAATTCTCATTTGCCTCCAGGCAGTTGAGCAGAATCTCAGGGTTGTTGAAATTCCCTAGGTGGTTCCCTGGCATCATTCAAAAACAGCCTTACCTGTTTACTCTATTGTACCATACAAATATTTTTATGTATTATATGTGTCATGATGTGAAATAGTTTGGAAAGCAATACTGTACATTATTTCTCTTTAGATGCAACAATCCTATATGTGAAATGTATGGCACATAAAGTAAATATGGGAAAATGAATGCTGAAGTCCAGAAGGCTTAGTAAATTGGTGAAAATTGATCTGATTCTTGAAGAACAAGCAGTATTCAACATACTGTGAAAGAGTAGAAGCAGAAAATTTTAAAGTGAAGTTGAGGAACAGATATATTTATTGGCTGTGCTTGTTGGGGTACTTAACACTAGCTGACATGGTGGCTTGATTGTGTGTGTGTGTGTGTGTGTGTGTGTTTGTGTGTTTCCATTCATACTACATATAATGTAAGGTAGACCCTGGAAGTGGTGGCTCACACGTGTAATATCAGCACTTTGGGAGGCTAAGACAGGTGGATCACTTGAGGTCAGGAGTTTAAGACCAGCCTGGCCAACATGGTGAAACCCTGTATCTACTAAAAATACAAAAATTAGCCTAGTGTTGTGGCTTGTGTCTGTAATTCTAGCTACTCTGAGGCTGAGGTGGGAGAATTGCTTGCAGGTGGAGGTTGCAGTGAGCTGAGATGGTGCCACTGCACTCCAGCCTGGGTGACAGAGTGAGACTCTGTCAAAAACAAACAAACAAACAACCAAAAAACAAAAAAAAAAAAACAAAAAAACAGTAAGGCAGTAAGGTAGAGAACCGCCCTCCATCTTGTTGTAGATTTGCCATTTGGAAACACATGATTTCCAAGTTTGCATAGGCAGTGCAGAGAAGTTAAGAGGATTTAAGAGAAATTGTAAAGAGCCAGGCCTGTCTTATGTCATATCTCCCATACCCCATTGGCCACAATCCATTTCTACCACCTCAATCTAATTGCAGAGGAGATTTGGGAAACATAGACTTCCTATGTGACTAGGAATATAAAATGTTGTGTTAAACACATAATATAGTCTGTGCCATAAGAATTTTCAGAATCACCTATATGGAAATCCTAATTATCAGCAAGGGTTGATTAAGAAGCAAGGTATCATGAGACAGAGAATGCGCTGGGGAGTCTCAATGCCAGAGCCATAAATCAATACAGCCTAAGGTGTCCGTCATCACTAAAGAGTATAAAAGATGAGAATCCGCATGTCAGCTTGTCAAGGTGAAGATGGAGACACTTGACAGTCTTGATTGGCTCCCCCTACCTGTTCTGCCTCTGTTGGTCAGCTGTCACCTCTATTTAGCCCCATCATATTTATGCACTTAGTAAAAGTAGTAGGGGCTGGTGTCATAGAAATGTTGGAGGCTTCCTCAGGAAAGTATCAGGGGTTCTTGGACAAACTTTATGGAGAGTGCTTATAACAGTCAAAGGAGAGAAGGCTGCAAGAGTTGCTACTATCTTGATTGTGAAAGGACAAACTGTATGTTAGGCTAAAGGGGACCATCTTCATTCTTAGATTGTGAAGATTCACTGAAAAAAAAAATTGAGCAGTGTTGTCATCTTGTTTATCAAACTATGCCTTTGTTAGATGAATCTGGCTTTTCCTGATGCCACTGCAAGCTATGCTTGTTGTAGCCCAAGTTGGCCACTGAAAACAAGCTTAAGATGTCTCTTTTCTGTGACTCCATTGTACTGAAAAATTTTTGGTGCTAATATCTGTTTTATGTTTTCCTCATCTACCCTAATGAGCTTATCCTGGACTAGGACTAGTCTGATTTGTTTTTCTATCACCAGTGTTTTGCGTACTGTCTCATAGCAGCACGTTTAGGGAGCACAAGTTCTCAAAAGCTATTTATTTATAAAGCCACCTTTCCCATTCTCCTCAACAAACCAATCTGGATAATTGTCAGTTCAACTCTTCTGTGAAATGGATATTCCTGAACCTGAGCCCTAAAAGAAGCTAAGTAGCCTCTGAATCATCAAAGAGATTCAATTATACTCAATCTATATTTTAATGGCTTATATGTTGATTATATACAATTATTTGAAACTTGTTCCTCTGTATATGAGGATATTCTACTAAGTAGGGCATACTGTTTTTAAACTATCATTATCTCTTCATGTTGATTTAAATAATCTGTTTGAGTGGGTGAGAAAGCCACAGGGAAACCAAATAATTCTCAATAGTTTTATGCATATTTACAAACAAAAATGAAGTATGGAGACTGACCATACAGTGTTTTTTCTGAGAGTAAGCTAAGCCTTAGAGGATTTCAGTGAGATACGGAAAGGAAATAAAATGTTTTGAACACCTGCAATACTCTGGGAAATATGCTAGGCATTTTACATCTGTTTTCCCTTTTAATTCTTCTAACAACCTGCAGGATTGATATCAGTATCCCCATTTTACAGATGAAGAAATTAAAGCTCAGAGAAACTAGGTCTGTTGTCCAAGGCAAACATCCAGGAAATGATCTGTAGGACTCTGAAGTTTGCAAACCAACATTTTATGTGGCAAAAGCAGATCTGAGTCTTGAGTATGGTTAAGACAATACCTTTTGTAAATATCTGAAACTTACTTATCCATAATTCAGTAGCCGTTTTTCTACCCTCCCTTCTTCCTTTCCTTCTGATTCTTCTGCACTGATCTAATTAATTGGCATTGCCCGAGTCTGCCCCTTAGGGATTTACCTCACCTTGAATGGCCTGTATGGAAAGCACCTCTCAGCAGGAAAAGATCAACTTAAAAACGTTTCTGTGGCAACCATTGACTCCCAAAGACTGCTCCTCCTTTGACCATATATCTGAAAGCCAGAAAATAGATTACTTTTTAAAGTTTCATTTTACAGCAAAGTCTACTTACCAGTGATGAACAGCTAATATTTTAAAAAATATAGTCAGTTATGTAACCTCTGCTGATTGTTGCCAGTGGAAATCAAGGAGCTTAGAGCTATCCTCTTCCCTCAATCCTTAGCTCCTCTGCCAATAGAATTTTTTTTCAAACGCCAATAGAATTGGAGTTTGGGGAAGCTTAGGTGAATTGAATTTGCAGGGCAGGATCCTTGAGAAAAGTGAGCTTAGTGAAGAGAGTTCCCAAAATCTGCACAGAAGTCTTCTTTAGTCTTTAAGTGACAGTTTGTGCATGTATTAGATACAATTTCAGAAATATGCACATAAAACAATTTCTGGGAAAAGAAAAATTACCTAAGAGCTGTAAATTCAATAATTCCCAGGTTTACACAGGAATGGGATCTTGTGACCTTTTACATCCAGAAGGAAGAGAACTTGTAAAATACAGGGGACAATTATTAGGAATCGTAGAACAGTAAGGTCTTAGTATTTCTACTGAATTCCACCTATAGGAAAATCTGCCACAGACTAGACCTAAGATAACTTGAAAACGATGCTTAACAGGAACAAACTATTGAGCAAATAAATGAATTGCTTGCTGTAACAAAGTCTAAAAGTCTGTCAAATACTACATCAAAATAGAGCACTCTATTATGTAAAAGTCACAATATCTGACATCCAATCAAAAACTGCTCGACCTAGTGAAGGAGCAAGAAATTGTGACCCACAATCAGGAAGAAGAAGACTGTAAAGAAAGGTTCATAAAGAACAGAGATGGAACTGTTAAAAAACAAAGATCTTAAAATAATGTTTATAGGAATTTTAAAGGAACATGAACCTAGAGAGGAAAGACATGGAAGAAGAAATATTTTTAAAATGAATGAAGCTTCGACAGATGAAAAATAACCTCTGAAGTAAAATTTTCACTGAATGCATTAAAATAGATCGGACATTTCAGAAGAAAAGATCAGTGGACTTGAAAGAAAGCAACAAACACTATCCAAAATGAAGAACATAGAAAAAAAATTAAAAAAAAAGCTTACGATCTGCAAACAAAATTAGTTCTCTAACACACGTCCTCTGTAGCTAGAGCCCCAGTATCTAAATTTTTCTGTGACTCTAAAACTGTCCTGAAAAATAAAAAGTCTACTTAAAAAGAATAAAATGATGGAATAAAATATTTTGTGATAACATTTATCAGAAAGTTGGAATGGCAACATTAATATCAGACACAGTAGACTTCTGGGTACCAACTATTGCCAGAGATAAAGAATGACATTTTATAATAATAAAAAAGATGAATTCATTATGATGACATAATCAACCTAAATTTGCATGAACTTTATAACAGATATTCAAAATACAATGGAGCAAAATTTTGACATAATTGAAAGGAGAAATAGAAAAATTGAGAAATATAGTTAAAAATTTCAACACTCCTTTTTCACTAACTGATATAACAATAGTCAGAAAATCAATAGAAATATAGAAGAAATTATAAACCAACTTAATCTAACTGATATTTGTAGACGTTTCCACCCATCAAGTGAAGAATACAAATTATTTTATTTACCAAGATAGACCATATTTTGTGTCATAAAACATGTATCATTACCTTTGAAAGGACTGAAATCATACCAGCTGTGTACTCTGACACACCAGGAATTGACTCAGAAATCAGCAACAGAAAAATATCTGGAAACCCTCCCCCCACAACATAGCTGGAAATTTAAACAATACATATTTCTAAATAACCCATCTGTCAAAGAAAAAAATCACAAGATAAATAAAAAACTATTTTAATGGAAATAAAATACACTAAATTGTGGGATGCAGGATCTTAGTGTGCTTGGGCTGCCATGATAAAATACAATGGACTGGGTGTCTTAAACAACAGAGGTTAGTTTCTCACAGCTCTGGAGGCTGGGAAGCCCCAGACTAAGACCAAAGTGCTGGCTGGTGTGGATCTGACTGAGGGCTTTCTTCCTGGTTTGTAGAGGCAAGTAAGGGAGCAAGAGAGGAGGGGCGATCTCTCTTCCTCTTCTTATAAGGCCACCCATTCCATCATAAGGACTGCACCTTCATGACCTTATCTAACTCTAATATTTCTCAAAACACCTCTCCAAATACCATCATGTTGTGAATTGAGACTGGAATATATGAATTTTGGGGTGTACACACTTATTTCTTAACATGCAGCCAAAACATTGCTTAGTTCTCCCCTCTCAAAAAAAAAGTTATTGAGAAATTTTTCATCATCCCATAATAAAACTCTGTTCCCACTAAATAAAAATACCCCATTTCCTTTCTCCGTAGACCCTGGTAACTGCTGCTCTGCTTTCTGTCTCTAATAATTTGAGGATTCTAGGTACCTCATATAAGTAGAATCTTATAATATTTGTCCTGTTGCATCTGGCTTATTTTATTTAGCATAATGTCTTCAAAGTTCATCTATATTATATCAGAGTTTTATTCCTTCTTAAGGCTGAATAATATCCCATTGTATTCACATACCAAATTTTGTTTATCTGCTTATCCATTGGTGGAAATTTAGGTTGTGTCCATTTTTTGGCTATTGCGAATAATCTTGCGATGAACATTAATGTGTAAATGTCTGTTTGAGACCCTGATTTCAATTTTTGGGGTATATACTCCAAAATGAAACTGATGGATCATAGGGTAATTCTATACTTAATTTTTTTTAGGAACTGCCATACTTTTTTACACAGCAGCTGCACCATTTTACATTCCCACCAGCAATGCACAACGGTTCTGATTTCTCTATGTCTTGTGAGTATGTATTATTATCTGTTCTTTTGATAATAGCCATTCTAATGGGTATAAAGTCGTATCTCATTGTGGTTTTGATTTGAGTTTTTCTAATGGTTATTGATGTTGAGCATCTTTTCATGTGCTTCTTGGCCATTTGCATATCTTCTTTGGAGAAGTATCTATTCAAGTATTTTGTCCATTTAAAGTTTTTTTAATGCTTAGATTAGATACAAAGAAAGGTTTATAATTAGTACTCTTAGGTGGCATTAAGAAGCTAGAAAAGAAAGCAAAGTATACCCAAAATAAGTATAAGGAGATAAATAATCAAAATAAAGGTATAAATCAATGAATTAAAAAACCAGAAAAATAGAGAAAATTGATTAAACCTCCGATCAATTAATAAGTCTTATTGTTCCCTATCTCCCAAATACATCTTAAGCCTGCCAGCCTTCCAAATTTGTTCATCTTGGTAATTCCAGTGGCTGGCATAGTACCTTGTTAATAATGTGTGTTCAATAATTACTTGACCAATTAATTCACATATTTTTTTTCACAAATTAAAAATGGTAAGATAAGACAAACACATAGAAACAACACAGAAAAATGCAAAGAAGTGCAGTGGAAAAGGAACAACATTTAGAATCAGAAAATTCACTGTGTAATTATGTTGCTCTACACAAGTTCGTGTGGCTTTCTGATCCGCATCTGTAAAATAAATATGATTCAAATAACAAATATTAATGTTTGGGATCTCCGTTCAACATAAATTAAAAATGGTTTCATTAATCCAGATTTTGGGGTTAAACTTGGTTCAGCTCAGAGCAGTCCTGCTCTATTGTCTCTCAGAATTGTGCAATGTCTGCATGGGTACCTCTTCATGTGCTGTCTAAAAATTCACCTTCTCTTGTGTTACCTTCTTTGAACTGTCATTCCAGCTTAAGTCACAAGACACAAGCTCCTTGAGGTCAAGTACAAAAACTTTCTCTCCGTCTTCCTTGAAACTGACAAGTTCCTGGCATAGTAAATCATTGTTGAATTAGAAGGATTAGAAGAGTGTGAAAGCTATCAGAGCCTAGAGAAAATTATAATTGCTAATACTTTATTTCTGAAAAAAAAGTAACGTAGGATCAACTGCTCAATAGTTCTGTTTCTTCATGTAACACTTGTTACTTGAAATACCAAGGATGAAGTTAAGTACTTGATTCTATGCAGCCTTTTCCCATGATCTCCTTAATACCGGACTCCAAATTGTTTTCAAACTATTTGTCAGATCTCCTTTCTTTCCTATAAGCATTAAAGAGGTTTTCTCTCTGGCACATACTTAGCACGTAGTGCTCTCTTCACCAAGCAAGACTTGTGGAATTTGTCCATGCTTTCAAAGCAAATACAGTGAGCAGAAAAAGGAAAACTAGACTTGACTGAAAACTAGCACGAGTTAGAAAACTATGAAACTGGGAGTTTCTTATTTTCCAATCAAGTCAGAATAGTTCATCTGTTACAGTAAATTTCTCCCTCCTCTTTGCTGTCCAAATCACGTCCATCCTCTTCAGCCCCACTCTAATCACACTTCCCTGTGTAATCAGACTCTTACCTACTGCCCTCTGCTTTATCTGAATTTCTGCAGCATTTATAAATAATATCACAAATCTAGTACCTGTTTAAAATCTGTTCCGCAAAAATAATTATATCTGAACTGCATTACACTTTTGAAATGCTTTTACTTTTAATTTCTTTGGTGTTTGCAATTATTTGGAGAGTTAGGTATTAGTGTTTATGCAACCATTTTAAAGATCAGAGGCAGAGAGAGCCTTGGGGACTTACATGAGGCTGTGTATCATGATGTTAGGATTCCAAGCCTATCCAGTGACCTTACCCAATGGTCCTGCATTGTTTCTCTGTGCTTGCCTTGGCTTCCCCATCTCCAGCCTTAGCACGTCATGTCGTCCCAGCAAAGCCTAGTAGAGCACTAGGCACAAAGCCTCGTGCTTACTTATCCTTTGTCCACTGCAGGGTACATGTTCATGTAAAATTTCTATTTGTTGTAA
Organism: Homo sapiens; assembly: GCF_000001405.40. Classification (NCBI taxonomy): domain Eukaryota; kingdom Metazoa; phylum Chordata; class Mammalia; order Primates; family Hominidae; genus Homo; species Homo sapiens. The sequence goes on from NC_000004.12 coordinate 18,523,254, forward strand.
AACATCATATTTTTGCTCTTTTGTTATATTAAATGTTCATTGCTTCAGATTTTAACTAGCTTCTCCGGTACTTGTTTGTAACGGGATCTAGAATAACAGAATACAGAAAAAATAAGCTATGAAGAAACTTGAGATCATATAAGCCACCACCTTCTTTTCCGGTACAACATCAATTCCTCTTGGTGAAAACAGACCTACCAACCTAGCTGAGAAATGAATTCCATATGGTTCTGATGATCGTAGGCCCTTCTTCTTTTCTATTCACCACACATAGAGCCGGAGACATGACTCAGGAATGGAACAACACCCAAAGCCCCAGTCAAAACTATTGGTCTAGCCATGGGCACGTGCTTGAAGAAAAGGCAGAATTCTCCCTGGGATGTACATATACACATATATGTATTTTGCCAAACCTTTGGAAGAGGATACATTTCCCCTGGCAGAGTATCAGTTCTGATTATGTATTTCTATTACATTCATTACTTGGAGAGAGTGTACTTGAGAGAAATGGAACCCCAACTACATTGTTTGAGTCTTTTATCCTAGCCATACCTAACCTTAGCACTAAATTTGATCGTTTCTATTGAGTAATAGTTCTTTAATGTTGAAACTAGTTCAAGTCATATTTTTGTTACTTGACAATTGGGAGTAGAGACTAATGCACTTGTCACTACAGAAGAGAAAACTCATGTTGGAAATAACTTATTGAAAGTCATAAATCTAGTTAGTGACAGGATCTGAAAAGAAATAACCCAGATCACTTTAATTATAGTAAAATATTTTTTCTAGCTTACCAAATTTCAGTACGTGAGGTTTTCATTTTCTGGGTTTATAATTTACAACATCACTGCCTCTTTATTATAAGAGTGCACAAATATTCTTATTGCAACATTTTTTAATTTCAATAAATTTTACCACCCATGATGAAGCCCCTTCTTATTCAAAGGTTCTATAATTGATGTCTGCCCTTCATGAGTTATGACATGGTATATATTTGGTATATGTATGCCATATATTTAAAATAAACTTTAGGGCTGTACTAATTATGATGGCAATTCTTATGTGCCAGCTACTCTATTTTGCACTTTCTATGTTTTCTAAATCTACTTAATGATGCTATAAAGTATCCATTTTTAGAGTAGAAAGTTGAGGGTGAGATAAATTATATAAATTGTTCAATGTCACTCAGAGTTAGATTGAAATTCAGTTGTATTTGACCCCAACCTGTGCTCTTTTCTCTGTACCAGATACTTTCAAGTTTCTCTGCTTTTATCTGAGTTTTCATTTTGCTGATGAAAAATCTAAACCACAGCAAGTTTTGCCACTTGTTCAAGGTCATCCATTCAGTTAGTGGCAGAGCTGAAATCTATTCACTCAATACCAAAAATCTAGACAACACTAAGAACATAATCACTCACAGGTACTACATGGCTTTGGGGTAGCTTTCAACAGAATTATTCACTTCTCATTATACTTATGTTGGTATTGCTAACCATCCAAATTCCCTGGCTTCTGGACTCTAGAGCTTTGAAATTAGTGCCTTTTAAGTACATAAATGTCTCATCCGCTGATAAGGGAAGTAGGGCCTGCCAAGCAAGTGTGTTTTTCCACAGGGATCTATGCCAGGCAGATGGCGTGAGCCCAGGTGGCCATCAAGGCAACACAGCGGAGAGACTTCGGAAGGCAAGCATGAAACCATGCCAAGAGAGTTCTGGTGGTCACAACTGAAGAAGCCACATCTGTTGTCATGTCCCTAAAACAAATATGGAGCTAAGAATGAAAAAAAAAAAAAAAAAACCCAAGGGATGAAGTCTAAGTAGCACAGGAGTATAGTGGATGCTAACGAACAAAAGAATGAAGTAAGATGGTTTAGGACTTTCATGTTAAGTGGCGCTGGGATGCTGATGTTATTGGCCTATACCACATGATGCTTTGGTAGACACAGCCTGAGTTATAGGAAAACGTTGGTATTGGAAAATTTTAGGAATTTGTAGGAATTCTACTTCAAAACATATATGGTGCGGAAGCTGCCTAACTGTGGAAGAAGAGCAGTAGATGTTTTTGCTGTTTGGATTCATTGCAAAACTGCTCTTTTCTCCAATTTACATAAACTCCACATTGAAGTACTTACATATTAAAAGCATTTCCTGAAAGCTCTTGGAACACTTCACAGTTTTCATTCTTTAATTCTTATATATAGGTACTCTTAAAAATATTATGAAAAACTATTCCACCACACAGAACTGAAGAAAGCCTGAGAATGGCAGACAAGTTTTCTGTGTTGATTTTAAGACCAATTACAATTACTTGGAGAATTTAGACTTGAAGCTTTCTCAGTTGAGATAAGGCAAATGGCCATTTGATCATTCTGTTCTATAAAACAGAAAAAGTACATCTAACCAGAAAACTGGTTGCATTTGGAAGAGACGCTGGCTTCTCTTCTGAGAGCTCAGGTAGTACTATTCACTCTTGGACTGCAAGTAATGAAGTTGGCAACTCCTCAAAGGGAGTGAGCTTCTTGTTGTTTTATGAATTTTATTTTTCTTCTTTTTAACCTCAACTGGCTTGTGTTTTAAGATTTTCTTTGATTTTATTCAAATGAAGTGCAACTACTTTTGAATTTGATTGACATATACACTTAACTCCAAAATTATATAATATTTATTGCTCTTATTTTGTTTAAAGTAGTATTATGAGTTTATTTTAGAAAATTTGAAATGTACAGTAAAGCACACCAAAAATGCCAGCTGTAATTTCACCATCAGAGAAAACTGTTTTTTCTATTTTAATGTCTGGGGTTTTTTTGTCAGTTATTTTTGATGCTTAATGATATTTTATCAGAAATATTCATGCTTCACATACTAAATTGTAATCTATCTTTTATCATTTTACACCAGAAAATGCACTCTCCTAAAAGAATGTATACCATCATTGATTTAACCAATCCTATCAAATGTTTAGATTATTGCTACTTCTTTCTTACTCTCTTACAATGCATGATGCTGGAATAAACATCTCTTTAGATATCCATGTACATATCCATGATGTTTGCCTTACAATCAATACAATTCTAGAAGTGAAATGTATGCTTGAGTTCTAGAGTAACACTTTGACATGTTACCTCTTTATTATCAGGTTGTAAAATAAATATTGGCCCAATTCAAACTAGTATTTAGGGGGTGAGGCGTAAACCTGGAAGGTTGATAGACAAGTCAGTGTTGGTCAATGTTGAGACTGGATTTTGAAATCTGTAGCTCGATTTGATGGAGATAGTAATTTGAGAAAACTGAGATAAAGGGAACCTAAAGACCCAGTTGGTTAAGTGGAGATAAAATTATAGTTTAGGAGTGCCCATGTGACTGAACATTTTGCTTTGTGCTAGACATACAATGACTGTAATCGTCAAAGATCTCTAAGGCAGGTATTACCCCTATTATTTTAGAAGTACAGCAACTAAGGCTCAGAAGGTTTAGCTAAGAATCTTTTAAAAGGGCATCCCTCCAGGTCAGGGTTTCTCAAACCTGACACTATTAACATTTTGGGCTAGATAATTGTTGTGAGAGGCTGCCCTGTGCATTGTAGTATGCTTAGCAGCATCCCTGTCTAGGTACCACTAAACACTAGTAGCACTCCAATCCCATCACTGACAAACAAAAATGTGTCCACATTGCCACATCTCTTGGGGATGCGGTGGGAGAAGTGGTCCCTGGCTGAGAACCACCACTGTTGTAGGAAGAGCTAAAGACAAAATTCAAAATCTCAACTGTGTGATTTCAAAGCACGTGTTCTTTTCTCTACAGTTTATTACCTCTCTCCAGAATAGGAATTCTGATGTGCTCTGGAGCCCTGGCTGGTATCCGATCTGATTTCTCACAGAAGCTGCTGGTGGCTTTTACATTCTCTAGAAATTTTATGATCCATTTCTTAGCAGACTATTTCACCATATTTCACTGAAAACCGGACACTCATTTAATATTTCCTCATCTTGCCTTTTTGTTCCCCACTCTTTTCATCCCCTCCAGAGTAAACTTGATATCTTCACTCAATTACTTCTCTCTCCAACTGTCTGAAGGAACAGAGTAATTTTCTGGACAGGTGTGGTGGATAAAGCTAGGCTTTGGAATGCAAGATCTCTGGGTTTGAATCTAGACTTTTATACTTGCCAGCTTTGTGACCTTTGATGAGTTACCTAACCATTCTAAGTCTACTGTTCTTTATACGTAAAATGGGGATTAAAAATAACACCTTATTCGCTTGCTAGGGGGGTGCTGTAACAAATACCACAGACTGGATGGCTAAAACAACAGAAATTAATTATCCCACACCACTAGAACTTCAAAGTATGGTGTTGGCAGGTGTGGCTTCTCCTGAGGTCTCTCCATGGCTTGCAAAGGGCCATCTTCTTGCTGTGTCCTCACATGGGCTTTTCTCTGTGCCTGAGCATCCCTGGTGTCTCTCTGTATGTCTGAATTTCCTCTTATTACAAGGACATCAGTCAGAGTGGCTTAGGACCTTAAGGGCCTCATTTTAACTTAATTACCCCCTTAAGGGCTCTATCTTCAAATACAGTCACATTCTGAAGTACTGGAGGTTAGAGCTTCAACATGGACATTTTGGAGGGAACATGATTCAGTTCATACCATGTATTTACTGTAATATTTTAGGAATAAGTTTATTAATAAATTTACTTTTTAACTTTTATTTTAAGTTCAGGGGTACATGTGCAGGATATGCAGGTTTGTTACCCAGATAAATGTGTCTCATGGGGCTTTGTTATACAGATGATTTCATCACCCAGGTGTTAAGCCTAGTATTCATTAGTTATTTTTCCCAATCCTCTCCCTCCTCTCGCCCTCTACCCTCCAATAGGCCCCAGTGTGTGTTGTTCCCCTCTATGTGTCCATGTGTTCTCATCATTTAGCTCCCACTTATAAGTGAGAATATGTGAATCAAAATCAAAATGAAATACCATCTCACACCAGTCAGAATGGCTATTATTAAAAAGTCAAAAAATAACAGATGCAGGGGTGGTTGTGGAGAAAAAGGAATGCTTTTACACTGTTGGGAGTGTAAATTAGCTCAACCGTTGTGGAAGACAGTGTGGCAATTCCTCATTAATTTATTTGAAGGTACATCACAGAATGATGGCATGAAGGAGACCATCTATCTGAATTAAAACATCTGAACCTCATTGAAAAATAATTTCAAATTTTATTTTAGTTTCGGGGGTACATGTGCAGGTTTGTTACATGGGTATATTGCGTGATGCCGAGGTTCATGATTTGGTTGTTCCCATGTCCCAGGTAGTGAGCATAGTACCCAATAAGCTAGTTTCTCAAACCTTGTCCCCCTCCCTCTATTCCTCCACTAGTAGTCCCCAGTGTCTGTTGTCGCCATCTTCATGTTCATGAGTATCCAATGTTTAGCTTCCACTTATACGTGAGAACATACTGTATTTGCTGAACCTCATTTCTTTCCTCAGGGTATACCTTGACTCTTCCATTTCCTTCTTTTCCGGAAGCCTTCTTCACTTATACAATTTATCTTTTATTGTCTCTCTCAAAACAATATAATTCAGAGCAGAATTAGGTATAGCATAAAAAGAGAACAAATCAATTACAATTGTATATCTTTTGAAAGATGTACATACGATATGATATACTAAAATCTTTTATTTTCCACCATATATAGGTATTTTTAACTTACCTATATATGTAGTGAAATATATAAATACCTATATATAGTCAAATATAGGTAATTTTTAGACATACCTATATAATATATGGTCAAAACCAGAACACTTTAATTTTGACCATATATATAGATATGTTTAAACATACCTATATATGGGATCAAATATATAAATACCTGTATATATATGGTCAAATATAGGTATATCCTTTTAGATAATTTATAAATGTACTTTATGATATACTAAAATCTTTAGTTTTCACCATATACATAGGTATTTTTACCTTGCTCCAACCTTGTATATACATAATTTTGTATCCTGATCTCTTCAGTTAATATTACACCTGTGCAACATAGACACAGTATTATATAGCATTCTTTTTATGTTAAAAATAACTAAATTAACAGTCTCATCATTTATTTAACTATTCACATACTTTGCAATATTTGGATTGCTTTGATGTTCTGGGGCTGTTATCAACAATACTGTCATGTACATTTTCAGCATATAACTTTTATTTCTTTTGGCTTGTTTCTCAGAATAAATTTCCACACTAAATCAAAGAGAATGCACATTCTTATGGTGCTTTTAGATTAGAAGGCTGCTTTTCAAAAAGGTAGCACTAGTTTGTACCAACACTAGCAGTGAACTTGTGTGAAACTTTGACCATGAGATTATTGAGGATTTGATCTCCCTTTGCTCTACTGTGCACAGTCATCAATTTTCCAGGTGTTGTTGACTTAATAGGTGAAGTGACATCATTATTTATTTAGGGGCCTATTTTCCTTTTGATGAAGTCATACTACTTTTGTGTATCTTTATTGATTAGATTTTTGTACTGTTCTCTATTTTCTGATCTCTAACCTTTTTATCATATTAGCCTACAGATGGAAACCAAGTCTTACTTTCCTCAAATGAAACTTCTCTTGATTTTTCTTTTTAAATGTTAACATGATTTCTTTCCTTTTAATAATGTCTTAAATTTTAAGAACATTTTTTGGTAACAAAACAATAATATTTTGAAAGTAGTAATAGTCAAAAGCTTAGAAAATATAAGAACACTTGGAAATAAAAAATTCTTAGTCTGAGCATGTGGCTCATGCTTGTAATCCCAGCACCTTGGAAGGCCGATGCAGAAGGATCACTTGTGTCCAAGTGTTGGAGACCAGCCTGGGCAACATAGGAAGACCCCAGCTCTAAAAATAATTTAAAAAAATTAGTCAGGTGTGGTGGCGTGCACCATGGTCCGAGCTACTTGAGAGGTTGAGGTCGGAGGATTTCCTGAGCCTGAGAGGTTGAGGCTGCAGTGAACCATGAACCATGATCCAGCCACTATACTCCAGCCTGGGTGACAGAGCAAAGCCCTGTCTCAAAAAAAAAAAAAAAAAAAAAATTATGATTTAACCACCTTAAGATGACTCACTTAAAAATACATTATCATAAAGTTTTCTTGCATAAATATATTTAAAATTAGGATGATATCGATGATGGTTTAGTATCCTAATTTTTTCACTCAACATTATGTCATTAGTATTTTCTGATATCCTTTGACTTTAAGAACATTAATTTAAATGGTCAAACTATATACCATAAAAGAACTATACTGCTTTGCATTTAACTATTGGTCTACTAAACACTTAGGTTAGAATCATTTTGTTCCTGCCATTATAATTAATTACATTGAGCAACCTTGTACACAAATCTATCTACTCATGTATTCAGGATATATTTGTAGAAGCTACTGATTCCATAGATATAAACTTTCTAAAGACTCAATTCACATTGCCAAATTGCATCTCAGTCAGGTTGTGCCAATTTTCCCTTCCTTATAACGGGTGAGTGCCTGCCTAATGCATCCTTGCCAATACTAGGATAATCTTTGAAAAATCTTTGCTACTTTAATACTTGAAAAATATTAACTCATTACATTTGCATTTGTTTAGGGAGTCTGATCATTTTTGCATATGTCCACATTTGTTGTTTTACTTATGTGAGTTATTTAGTAATGTCCCTTTCCTATTTTTAAGATATGAGTGATTTTTAATTAATTTATAAACATACTTTATGATTAAAGATATTATTCTGTTGTCAGCATATTACTTATAAATAGTGCCCGTGACACTATCGGTTTGCTTTAAAATGATTATTGTAGCTACTTTGTGGAAAAGAGGTTATAGGGTAATGAACAAGATGGGGCAGATCAATAAGAGGCTATAGCTGTCACATTTGGAAGATACAATACTATTAATTTTTGAAAATGTATTTGTATTTAACTACTTTATTTAAATTATCTTTGTTATAATTCTAGAAGTCTTTCAGTTGGCTTATTAGGATTTATAGATATATAATGATTATTTTTAATTGATAATATTTTTTATCATGTACGATATTCATACCTATTGTAAGAGGTATTTCATTTCCTTAACTTTAATGATAATGTCATGGTTGAGCCATGATTAAATATGGTAATGCACACTGTTTATCATCCTGTGTTTTTAACACGCTTTTATCAGTAGTTTATATTCAATTGCATCAATGCCATATTGGCATCTATATGATAATCACATAGTGCTTCTCTTTCGATTATTATGTAGTCTTATCTCTTCTCATGGTTACAACTCTCAGTCCTGTGACATTAACCCCATCTTAGAAATCTAGCTGGAGAGAGTCTGTGGCAGGTGACACTATTATCTAAAATAAGGAGCTCCAGAGGTGGGAAATTAAATGATTTGTTATAGTCACACAGGATTATCCAATTCTAAGACTTTCACATCTTTGGAAGTGCAGGTTTAAATATAACACCCTCTTCGGCTCATTTGCTAGTTTTTATTTGGTGTAAAACCTCAGGTCTGCATGCAGAAAGAGCCAGAAAGAATAAAGAGGAAAGAAGGACCAGGGAGGCAATATGATTGCCATCAAATGTGCAAAGATTTGGGGAGCCCTTTATTGCATGGTTCGAATCCCACCTTGGCTGTTACTAGCTGTGTAGCTCTGGGCAGGATACCAGATTCTCTGGGATAAGAATCTTAGCTTTGAAGGAGGACTGTGAGGATTGGATGATAAAATTTAAGTAAAGGATTTAACACGGCGGTTGGCAAAGAGTAATTCTTACAGAGATTTCCTAGTGAGCCTAGCATTGCACTAAGAACTGTTTTGTGCTAAAATGTTAACTCATTCAATTCTCCCAACAACCCTATGAGATAGGTATTATCATTATCATTTCTGTTTTGCAAAGAGGGTAAATGAGACACTGAAAGTGTAAGTAATTAACCTGCATTCCCACTGAAAGTAAGTGGTACTGCTGGGAGGTGATATTGGGTAGTGTGGCTCCAAAGAGCCTGCTCTTGACCACTGCTGAGACACGACATCTTACTGTAGATAGTGTGCATCTTTCTCTACTCACTAAGACTTCAAGTTCTTAGAAATCACAAAGTACAGCTACTCCATTTAACAACTGAGGAAATTGAGGCCCAAAGAGGTAAACGACTCTCCCAAATCACAAAGCAAATGAATCCCAGAACTAGGATGAGAATTCTGGTCTCCTCACTCCATTTTCTACTTCTGCAAGTAGAAGGCGCTTCCAGTACCACTGGTTTGGAACATTCTGGGCCTACCTTCAAGCTCTTATATAAGCTTCAAGCCTTGGAAAGTGAAAAGAGGCATTTATCTACATTGTGTAATTATTTTCAACCAGTTTTTAAAAGCTTTTCCTTTAGGTCAGACATAATTACTTCAAGAATGTAAGTTATAAGTCTTTGTGGATCTTTATGATGCTACAAGTGATTATATTTATCATATTTTTTTCTGTTTTTTTTTTTTCTTTTTTTTTTGAGATGGAGTCTTGCTCTGTCTCCCAGGCTGGAGTGCAGTGGTGCGATCTCTGCTCACTGCAACCTCCGCCTCCCGGGTTCAAGCAATTCTCCTACCTCAGCCTCCCAAGTAGCTGAGACTACAGGCGCGTGCCCCGACGCCCAGCTAATTTTTGTATTTTTTTTTTTTAAGTAGAGACGGGGTTTTACCATATTGGCCAGGCTGGTCTCAAAATCTTGACCTTGTGATCCGCCCACCTTGGCCTCCCAAAGTGCTGGGATTACAGGCATGAGCCACTGCGTCTGGCCTATTTATTACATTTTTAAATTGTGGAAGAAAGTATAAACAAAAGGAAAAAACTGAACAAACAAAAAATTAAGAAAAATCTACATGTATAAGTCTTGCAGGTTTACTTAAGACTTAATTTACCTGGCCTAACTTGAATTTCTAGCTCAGTTTCAATAAGAGGAAACAGTGCCATGCTTCCAGTACCAAAATGGATTCATTTCTGAATAACATAGATAGAGCAATGCCTAAAATGCAAATCCCAGTTTTCTCATTACCAATGTGATGAAATGAGATTTGTTTCTATGGAGGAAACCTTCCCCAGTGGACTTTGCTAATAATATCTGATGAGGAATGAATTGAGGTATTGGGAGCTCAGATTCTAGAGATAAGTTATCTACCAGAAGTTCACTGTTAGACGTCTTCACCGTATTTCCTATCTTTGTTTTTTCTAAGGTTTCAACGTTGCATTCATGGAGCTCTGGCAGTTATTTTCTTGCCATTCTTTCAGCTGCTGCTGAACTGAACCTGACCAAATAACATCAATTATCAAGTTAGTGTGGTCATGCCACAAGAATTTCCTGCATGGCTCTGATCACATTTTGGAATGGATCTAAAATATACAATTTGAAAAGGACAACACAATATCTCACATTAATAGCACTTATTTTCTACTTCATTACCTCCATAGACAGGGAACTCATCACATATTTACCACCATTATCATCACCCAACACTACAATTTACTCAGAACTTACTGTGGGCTGAATGCTGTCTGTGTCTACCCTTTTTAGTCCCTTCAAAACTTTATAAGGTAGGTATTATCTTCCAAATTTTATGGAAGGGGAAATGAAAGATCAAATAAGTAAGAAAAGAAAGAAAAACTGACTCACAGTTTCACAAGAGTGAAGATAAAATTGAGCCAAATTCTTTATGGGTTCTGAGATTAACTCCTTCCTGATAACTGAGAAGTCACAATTACAAGGCTGCATCATTTCCACCAAGGGGACAAAAAGGAAGAAGCTTTATTTCTTCCTGCATATCTCGACCCCTTGATTGCTGATTTAACCCTATTCTCTTTCATTCTGTGTTGGGAACATGACTTCTCTGGGTCCTGAAAATTTTGCAATTATAGTTAGTGAGTCAGATTACATTGCTAGTTGTCATTCTATTTTGGAGACACCGACAGTGGAGTGCACTGGATAGGGACACAGACTGTGATGCCATGCTGCTTGAGTTCAAAGCTAAGTTCCTGTGATGGTTAATTTTATGTGATAACTTGACTGGGCTAAGGAATGCCCAGATAGCTGGTAAAATATTATTTCTAAATGCGGCTGTGAGAGTGTTTCTGGGAAAGAACGGCACTTAAATTGGTAGACTGAGTGAAGACTGCTCTCACCAGTGTGGGTGCACATCATCCAATTTGTTGAGGACCAGCTTAGAACAGAAAGGCGCAAAAAAGGACAAATTCACTCTGTCTTCTTGGGCTGGGGTATCCTTCTCCTGCTTCCTTAGAGATTTAGTGCTCCTGGTTTTCAGACCTTGGGACATGGAGTGGGACTTACATCACTGGTCCTCCTGGTTCTCAAGCTTCTGCTGTTGGACTGAAACTACACCATCAGCTTTCCTGGCCTCCAGCTTGCAGACAGGACACTGCGTGGCTTCTCAGTCACCATAATGGTGTGAGCCAATCTCTCATAATGAACCTATTTATATTGCGCTCTCTCTCTCTCTCTCTCTCTCTCTCTATATATATATATATATATATATATGTTGCTCTCTCTCTCTCTCTCTCTATATATATATATATGTATATCTGTATCTATATATCCTGTTGGTTCTGTTTCTCTGAACAACCCTTACTAATACAGTTTCCCCAACAAAATTAGCTCTATGACCTTGAACAAATTACTTAACTTCTCTATCCCTTCATCTGTAAAATGGGAAAGTTGTGAGGATTTAAAGAGTTAATAGGTATAAAACACTTAGAGCACTACCTGGCATTTGGTAAATGCCATATGAAAGGATTTACTATTATTGTCACTACACACCAGCCCAACCTAATTCCCAGCTTCCTTATTCCTGCTTCTTGGAGAACTGGAGCTGATGTGTGAGACAGGGTGCCTGTCCTGAGGTAGAGTGTGTTTCAGGACCTCTTCTTTCACATTCTGGGGCTCAGTCTCCAGTCTTATCCAGATCCTGTCTCTCCTTCCCATCACTCAATCTATTTTCCACACTACTCTGGGCTTTTGTTGTGTCACCTGCTTCTGACCCAGGATGGCTCCTCAGAATCTCCACTGTGAGATCCCTGCTTTACTGGGGAACTCACTCTACCTGCCATCCTCCTCATCTGCCACTTTTCCCAGCTGCGTCCTATGCTCCCATGTCTTGAAATAGATTTCCCTCCCTGAGCACTCCTTCCAGGAGTTTTTATCATTTCATTCCTTCCTTCTGGAAAGCTCTTTGTCTTATCCTCATGGCAAAATCTCAGATATCATCATGCCAGACCCAGTTAAATATGTTATAGCCATAGAAGTCTATCAGTTTTCCTTCTCTGGATCACCAAGACTCTATTTGTTCAATTTCTTGTAATAGCCCATGTGATATTAGTGTGCTGCATTAGTTGTTTATGAGTGTCTTCACTGTCAGTAAAGATGATGTAGAGTATCACCCTGGCATGGTGTACTCATGGTGTACAGAGTGGTGTAGAGTACCACTCTGGCATGGTGGTGTAGTGGATTGGGACGTGACTCCGGCAGCCACATTTTTTTGATTTAAATTCTCATTTTTCAACTCCCTGTGTAACCAAGAGCAGATCGCAGTGTGCATTCCTCTTTGCCTTGACTTCCTCATGGGGAAATTGGAGGTAATAATAGTAATTTCCTCATAAAATTGTTGTAAGAATAAAATAAATGTATAAATGCTAAGAATATGGAAACATAACTTGGTATATCAAAAGCATTCAAGAACCATTGGTTGCTAGTAGTATATTGTTATTATTAAGTCCTCACTGCTTCTCATAGTAAATGACATGGCCCATGGATATACTCAATCACTATTTGGTAATTAGATGAATTTCCAATTTTAGAAAATCTCAGCTCTATACAAATATCTATTGTATATCATATCCTTTCTCTTTTTCTTTTCCTCCCTTCCTCCATTCCTCCCTCCCTCCCTCCCTTCCTTCCCTCCCTCCCTCCCTCCCTTCCCTCCCTCCCTCCCTCCCTCCTTCCCTCCCTCCCTCCCTCCCTCCCTCCCTCCCTCCCTCCCTCCCTTCCTTCCTCTCTCTCTCTTTCTTCCTAAACTGTTTTCAATGTGCTCAGTATGACAGGGTCCTCTAAATCTGGAACCTTCTTTCTACCTTGCTTTACCCAATCCAGCAACTGGAGTCTGGCCCTCACACTTAGTCTCGGACCTGAGTTTCTATCAGCTGACAGTCCTAGCTCTTTGCAGAGGATCCTGAGCAGCCCCTGCCTGGGTTTCCTGTCCGGCTTTGCCCTCCTCCTTATCTTGGATGCCTATCTTTCAGGCCACTGCATATTTATTTTCTGGTCTGTGCCCCATTGTTACCCATCTGTTTGGGAACCTGTTATGTCCCTGGACAGATCTGTCTCTTAGCACCTGTAGGGGGCCCTGTCTCACTAACTCTTGCCACATCCCTTGTAGCTGAGTTAGTTCTAATTCCCAGCTCCACCCCATCTGCTCTGTCCTGCAGATTCATTGCACTATATTCAAATATATCTGCAACCAAAACATCAAAGCTGGGGAAGGGCCAGTTTGGCTTGTAATTTAGATATCATTGGCTTTTTTTTGCATTATTAGGAGATATAATGCTGAGTGAACCTATTTTCCTTTGAGGATGCCCTTGTGCTGAACTCAGCAATGAGTGAAAAGGGTAAAGCAGGGAGTAATTCTTAAAGTATTTCACAGTGTAGTATGAGCACCTCTAAATTAGAGTAGGTGCTGCATGTAAACAGTCAGTTTGGCTGTTCCCAGGGGTTCCCGCTGGAGAAGAACTCAGTCCTAGAAGCTAATATTGCAGTGATCTTTTAGGCCCTTATTAGGGAGCAAAATGTCTTTTTTTCAGTCTCCTTTTCTGTATACATGTCTTTAACTGTTAATGTTGCCAGATTAAATACTGTACACATGGTAAAATTTGAATGTATTCAGACAAACAATGAATGATCTTTTAGATTAAATATTCCTCAAAGATTACATGGGACATACTTATAGTAACAGTAATACATTATTTATCTGAAATCTAATGTTAGCTGGACATCTTGTATTTTTGTTTGCTAAATATAGCAACTCAATTTACTGTTCCTCACCCCATTCTGGCCTAAACGTTGTGCCCAGCTTTATCCCCATGCAGTTGAAATTATCTATATTCCCATTTCAGTGACTGAGTGGCACATAGTAACTGCTGCAGAAATGTTTGTGGAATTGTCTTTTAATGAAGGAAATTGAAAGAAATCTCAAATTGAAAATCAAATACAGTGCAAGGAAGAGAAAAGAAAGAATTTCTGAGAACTTCATTTTCTTTAGACAATGTTCGTCTCATAATGGAGCAGATACCTGTGTGTATCTGTTGCTCCCCAGAGATGACCCATGTAGCTCTGATTTATTCTGTATTCTGAAAATCTAGAGAAATGGAAATGCACCATCACACACAACCTCTCAAAAGGCAAATGGCAGATGCTCTGCTGCTGTAATTCAAGGAAGCATATTTTTTTTTCTGTTTCATGGGTCTTATGCCACTCCTTAATAAGCATTTTCAATAGGCACAGTCCAAGCTGGCACTTTCCCACAGTGTTCAAGTTTCTCTAGTGATGGAGAAACTTCTGAACCAGGCTATTGGCACATAGTGGGACGCAGTATCACTCAATAAATTGCAATGATCCACTTGGAATGCCCCCACAATGGCCGAAGGTTAAATCTTCATAGCCTTACCTGGAATGCCATGATATCTTGTTCTCTCATCCTTCCACACCTTTGTTTCTGTCATTGTTTCAGCCTGACATGTTTTTTTTTTCTTACTTTGCTCCTAGACAAGTTCTAAGTATCTTCATAAGTTACATTTTTTAAGTTTCCTGTGCTCGGTGAGGTCTTACATAGTCTCTTATTTATTTGACAAAATTGCATATATTTATGCTGTACAAATGATGTTTTGAAATATATATATATCATGGGATAACTAAATCAAGATTATTAATATATTTATTAGCTCATACACTTATTTTTTGTGGTGATAACTCTTAAAATCTATTCTGTCAGCAATTTTCAAGTGTACAATACATTGTTATATTTACTATAGTTACCACATTGTACAATAGATCTCTTGAACATATCCCTCTTGTCTAACTGAAATTGTGTTATACTTTGACCAACATTTCCATACCCTCCCTCTCTCATCCCCTCCCATCATTCTACTCTCTGCTTCCATGAGTTCAGCTCTTTTAGATTTCTCATATACACGGATCATGTGGTATTTGTACTTCTTTGCTTGGCTTATTTTACTTAGTATAACGCCCTCCAGGCTCACCTCTGTTGTTGCAAATGACAAGATTTCCTTTTTAGTTAAGGTTAAATAGTACTCCAGTGTATATATGCCACATGTTCTTAATCAACTCATTCATTGTTGGACACTTAGCTTGTTTCCATGTCTTGGCCATTGTGAATAACTCAATAAACATGGGAGTGCAGACGTATTTTTGATATAATGGTTTCATTCATTTCCTTTAGATTTATATCCAGTAGTGGAATTTCTGAGTTATGTTGTAGACCTATTTTGATGAACTTCCATACTGTTTCTCAGCTTCTTATCATGTTTTCATCATAGCATCTTTCCTCTGCATTTTCTTCTGCCCAGAAATGAAGGAGGGAAGATACCCTCTTTTGGGGTCCATATTAATTAGTGATCCATATGTGTTAGAAATTGTATTCAGCTATGAATAACAAAAACCCTCCAAAAATGACTCAAATCAATTAGTAGTTTTACTTTTCTACTATTTTATTTTCTAGTTTTATTTTTCCATGTGTTGTCTGGAGGTTTACATTCTAGGGCTGGTATGGTGGCTCTGCCACAGAACAGGGTCTTTCTGTTTTTCTGGTGAGCTATCCTTAACATTGTATCCTGGTCTAGGGAATGTTTATTTCTAGATCTTTGAAGGCAGGGGCTATATTATTTATTTAGATTTTTAAAATTGTTCATATCCCTCAGGGCTTATAGAATAATGCTTAAAACATAGTGACTATACAGTAAATGCTCATTGAATGAATAATAAACAATGAGATAATTTCTCACTTGGGGAAAAATGAAAAATGTGTATTTGATCATTGTTAAACACAACCTCAAAGCCATCACCTACAGAACTTAAGAAAAATATTCAGTGCTTCCTTTTATTTGTCTCAGATATCACACTTTGGTTTACCTATTAGTGCCTCGATCTGAAAAGTCAACTTAAAATATAGGAAGGCTCCAAATTAGAGTGTGATATATTCCTAAAAACCCATACGATAGAGTGTGATTCTTATGGAAATAATATTATAATTGACACATATTTTCAAGAAGGATTTGTCAACAAATCACAGAAATGATGATTAGTGTGTCATAATAACAGAAAGCTACAATGATTTAAAAGTGTAAAATTATGCCTTATGTCCTAGAAAGTGAACATATACTTACAGTAAATATTTATGAAACAAGGAGTCCAAATGTACTATAAATTGTATATATTACACATAAAACACAACTCTATTCTGCCATAAATATGACTTAAAACTAACATGCTAGTGATAATAATTCTTGAAAGCTTCGCTAGATCCCATTGATCTTGTTCAGGGCTTATTGCAGTCCTTTTCACATAGAAGATGCCCAAGAAATGCTTCTGAATTGAATTAAACTGAATCTGTGCAAAGTTCATAAAGCACTTTCACATCCATCATGCCATTTTGTTCTCTTAATAATACTTCTGTATGCTTAGTAGAGAGTATCCCAATTTACAGACAAAATGAGGATCATAACAACTTAGTCACATTTTTTAAGATCAGAAAATTATTGAGTTGTGATGCAAAAGCTCTTATCTACTTTTTTTTGGCTCTAAGTTTAGTGTGTTTCCATGTTGCCTCACACAAATATTGATGATTCAGATGACCCAGGTCTGCACAAAAAAGTTTGCATAGCCAAGTGCTTTTTCTCTTAACAACTTTTTCTGGAGCAGAGACATTCAAAATCATTTGATTTATCTTAGTTCTGCCTCAATATAAAATAATATTTGAATGGGAGTGAATTTCCTATTGATGAGTGTTATAGTTTGGATTTATACCCCACCCAATCTCATGTGGAATTGTGATCCCCAGTGTTGGAGGAGGGGCCTGGTGGGAGGTGATTGGATCATGGAGGGCGAACCTCCCCCTTGCTGTTCTCCTGATAATGAGTTCTCATGAGATCTGGTTGTTCAAAAGTGTGTAGCACCTTCCCCGTCTCTCTCTTCCTCCTGCTCCGTCCATGGAGGACAGATCTGCTTCCCCTTCACATTCCATCACGATTGCAAGTTTCCTGAGGCCTCCCCAGCCATGCTTCCTGTGCAGCCTGTGGAACTGTGAACCAGTTAATTATCTTTTCTATATAAATTATGCTGTGTCAGGTAGCTCTTTATAGGAATGCGAGAACGGCCTAATACATTGAGTAAGATAAGTTGGGTGTTTTTCTCACCCAACGATAATTTCAACAGGAAAGTCTGGCCTAAAGTTTATCCCTGCTTCTTCTCCTATGCCAGTTATTTTTATAAAGAACTACAGTTTGCTATCAGGACAAAGAAAGGCTACTTTAATACATTAAGCAATGACTTCGCTCCATTTGGTCTTTGTGTATGAACTCAGGGTGCTTCCCATTTTATGGAAAACTTGACACAACAATTACCACCCAAATAACCTATAATTTTATAAGGTAATCCAATGCATCTACCAAAAATTGTCAAAACAGGAAAAGAATGGTATGTCAAGGGAGCATCCTTTATTAGAAAGTGAGTGTGCTGCAGTGTTCAAAACCATGGCTTCCAATGTCAGATTCTCTGTGTTCCAGTCTCTTCTCTGCTTCTTACTAGAAGAGTGAGCTTAGCAAGTTACTGAAACCGCTCAGTGTCATAGTTTTGTCATCTGAAAATGGATATAAGAATGATACCAACCTCATATGATTGCTGTGAAGATTAAACATGTTAAAATACATAAAACTGATAATCATTCTTAACAAGAAACAAGAATTTAATGAACTGTAGCAAGTACTGTTATTGGTTATACATTTTTGAACAATAGTGGGAACTTCTAATTGTCTGCCTAAAATGTGCTAAGGATTAGAAAACTAGACAATTATGCTTAACATAGATTTCAGTAAAATCTGAGCTAATAGTATCTACATGTAGATTGAATGACTCATACAAGGTAAAAAGTGCTAGTTGTTCTGTTTACTAGAATTCTGAAATTCACTTTTGGAGTCACAATTATGTTTAACTACTAGATTAGGAGAGGACTTCTTTGCTTTTATCACTCTGTTTCTCAAACAATTGGCACATTGTTGGTGCTCAGTAAATTCTTCTGTAATGAATGAGTAAATAAATGAACAAATTAACAGGATTTCCAGAAGTTTGACTTGTGATTAGGTTACCATATAACTACCAAACCTATTAAGTTGGCCATCTTGATTTTACTACTGAATGCATTAGCTTGACATGTAGATACACTCTTCTGAAATATAGCTTTTGAAGTTTAGAAAGATGTAGCTGCATTATAAATTTTTTCAGTGCTAATTGTTAGTTTTTCGATTACTGCAATCCCAGTATTTTCACATTACCTATGCTCTTCTACTTATATGAAACATAGCAGAAAGAGACCATAATCTAATACATTTAAATTTGCCACAATGGAAAAGGAAATACATGGCTGTTAAGTAGAAGCTAAATGTTAAAAACTGTATTTAAATATGATCTTTGCAAAGGTTAATGACTTTTCTGAAGACAGAGACTTTGTATTTTATGTTTTATCTTTGTCTTGAAGATTTTGGTGCAGACCAACCATTAATAATTCAAAAGTAGTTTCATAAAAAATAGTATGTGGGGGTCATTTTGTGCTGTGACCCTCTGTCTGGTTTACTGACTTAAGGAAAGATGAATGACCTGAAAGAAGAGTTTATTCCCTTCCTGAGGGCTCGGAAAGACTTGGGAACTACTTTCATAACCTAGAGATTTTGAAACTTCCATTATAATATGGATAAAAAAGAAGTGAACCACAATATTAGTTTTAATGGCATGTTGAAATGTATAATTCTGTTTGTTTTGTCATATTCTGTGAACATGAGATACTCCCTGGCCTTCAAATTTTATTTGCTTATTGGCTGTTTGGAGCTTGATACTTTGCTACATGAACAATGTTAGCAACTGAGATAGAGAAACAACTACCTCCCTCCCCTCCGCTCCCCTGCTACACTGCAATCATCATTTCTATAGAAAATGTCATTCCAAATTCTAGCTTTTATTTCTGCCTAATTCTATGATTATTAGGAAGTAGATGCTCCTTAAATTTTGCATGACAAAGTGATTTCAATAACATTTCTCTGGAGCAGCCCCAGAATTGGAGCTGTCATCTGCATCTGACCCTTTCCTTAGGGCCTCAATGCCCAAGGAATGGGAAAGATTTTGTCCTAAGGGTCTGTGGGTTGAATGTGGGAATAAAATATTAATACTCCAGATAACAGAAGTTACTTTTTATGGCATACTCATTATGTGCCAGGTACTGTGCAAAGCACCTTACATGCATTATTTCATTTGATTCTAGGAATGCTCACTTTAAGAATGAGGAGACTAAGGCTGAGAATAAGCAACTTGTCTAAGATCATAGAGCTACAAGTGTCTAAACCAGAATATTGTGGCTCCTGTTTATATCTCTCTCTCTTCCTGCCCAGCCCCCAAAGTTATTTTGCTTTGGTGGCTTCTCTGTCCCTGCAGAAGAGGCCAGACACAGTACTGAGACTTGGTAAATTCAGTTGGGAAAAGAGATAGGAAGCTTGTTGTCCATGGGTTCAAGTCACATGAATCTCACCACCTTTCTCAGCAAAAGCAAGTGTATTTTTCTCCACCTGACTCCCATGTCTATTCCTAATTGCTTCTAATTTTTAGGAGGAAAGATTATGATTGACTACCAACCTTCAGACACCAGGTTGGGGAACTGTCTCTGTGTAGCACTGTGTTGTGATACTGTTTAATGTTTGTTGGTTGGTGCTTTAGAGATCTTCTTTGGGGACTACAAATCCCTTTGCAAATAGCACTATAGGTACAAGATCAATTGAAATAATAATAATAATAAAAAAACAGAACTAAACAGAACACAAAAACCATATTGGGTGAACGGAAACTCATATCTACATTAAACCACCTTTGCAGTGTGCTGATGGACGAAAGTGACATTTACACAGAAATGCCCTGAAGGAGAAAGAAACAAGAGTTGAAACAAAAGCACCACAAACAATGTGGCACATAAACCTGAAAACAGGAAGAGTGACCTTTCCAAAGGTTAGAAATGTACTGTTCAGCCTCTAAAATTCATATCATTTTTGGTATCAAAATTTCCTCAAGCTCCAAGTTGGTGTTTTCCTCAACATGGTTGAATTGAAAACTGTTGTAGCTTAAACTTCAGGTCTTCAAGTGAAACCAGCATAAAGTCTGGGCCAGGGAAATGTTTCCCTGGGGGTAACATAGAATAGCCAGTGGGCCTCTTTGAAATCAATTGCCCCCATCTTTTCTTTCTGTAGTTGACAGATGAGAATTGCAGAAAGTAACATCCAACCCTTTGAACTTTTGTTCTCTGAAGGTTTCATCTGACTGTCATTCTATGGCCAGGTAAACCTTCCTAAAGTACCACTTTCTTCAACAGACTATAAACCAGCAACAGTGAGTATTACTCAGGTCTCATAGGGTTTGGGTACAAACTTAGTGTGTCAAGAGAACTAGAGAAGTTTGTTGGAAAGAATATAACCCTTGGAGAAGAAGTGAGGGTGGTCTACAACGGCCTGAAGGACTTTTACAAGGAAGAGGGGTGTCTACATCATAGACCCTTGGTCTCCATTCTGATGTGCTCAGATCCCCTTTACCATCGCTGTGAAACATTATTATTTACCATTTCTGGGAAATGAAATTCTGTTTATTCTGGAAAACAAGATTAGGATGAGTAGATAACAGAGAGAAGCAGATTTTGAATCAATACAAGAAAGAACTTTTTACAAATTGAATTTCTCAAACATGATTTGTGAGAAACTACCTGGAAATATTTAGATAGAAGCTGGATGAGTAATATTGGTACTGTGCTTGGGCAGCATTCATGCATGAGGTGTGGCATTACTTTTAGGGTTTCGTACCAATTCCTTACTCTCAGATTGTCATGGTACATGAATGAGCCTCAAACATTCACAGGTGAGTGCCAAATTTGAGCAGTATTTAACATGGATATTTTACAGTGCCTGTGTATTTCAGTTGTTATAGAGCTCTCTGTCTATGTCAAGTGTGGAGTGTAGCTGGGTGGGCTGCCCAGTTCAGGAGAAACAACTGCTACATGTGTGAGGCATAACATCAAATTGGCTCCAAGTTAAAAATTTGTGTAAGAACTTTATCTTTCAAGTATATATAACAGTGATTGAAGCAGAACATGGTCTGACAGAAAAAAAAGTGGAGAGCTAAATGCTGACTGAGTAAATGTTATGCAACTGAGACTGATACACAGTGATTGGGTACTGCAAGAGACTGACAGACTGAGACAAGGATTGAACTAAATTTTTGCTTACTTAGTTAGTGGTACTTTAAATTTTTTAATTTTCCTATATGGATTACCAAATTCCAGTATTTGAAATCCTACACACACACAAAGATTAACAATTGGATTTCAACACCCTCCTCCTCAACCTTCAAAGTCTCCCCTATCTGGAGGATAAAAACTCCAGTTGTGGTTGAGTATGCACAAACTCTCACACAGCCCCAGGAGCAGGTTTTATGGTAGCAGAGTCAGAGTTTTTGTTTTTGTTTTTGAATCTAGAGAAAAAGAAAGAAGAGATATAGTGTCAGGCATAATTCATATATGAAAAAGAAGTATTACGTTGGGAGAGGGTGGAAGACAGGTTAGAGATGGCAACAAGAAAGACAAAAGCAAAAAATCATAAGAATTCAAGGTAAAAAATAAACAAAGCTAAATAATTGGAAATGAATACTATGATTGCCCTGAGGGGAACTAACAGATGTGGGCATGAAATCCTTCACAAGGCAGAGATGAGGTAACTTCTGCCAAATGACACCTTCCCAGAAGTACCGAATGCTTGGAAACTTGGATACCTTAATCTTCCTCTTAATCTTCCTGGCCTTAATCTTACTACATAAAATCTAGATTTATTTTGAATCACCTTGCACTTCTTCATCCTGCTCCAGTTTTTCTGGTTTACTCCTAGTAGTTTGTTCATTGATTTTATTTGTATAAATATCCTCATCTCAGGCAAGCTAAATCCTACCCATCCCTAATGGCCTAGCTTCAGACTCTTCTCCACTATGAAGTGTTACATAGTCCTTCCAGCCCACAGAACTTACTTTTATGTTGAAACCAAAGCACATTGCTTGTGCTATTTATTTGACCCTTGTCACATAGTATCTTCTGAGATTTTCTCTTGCATTTATATATTGAGTCTTGTATATTAGGTATTTGTAGATTTGCCTTCTCAGTGATATATTAAATTGCTTGTGCCTTGACTTCCCAAGTAGATCTCAGTGCAGAGAATCATCCACTATAAATGCAAATTATATCTATTTGGGTTGTCAGATTGCACATGTCAAAATTTACACTAGGTAACATAACTGCTGAGAGTTAGGAGAGATTGCTGAGGACTGATGTGCTAGTCGGAAAGCCACAATGGAGGTGAGGGGAATGAAGGTAGCTGAAGGACGTAACCTTAAGAGTCAAAACCTTTCAGCAGTGGTGTGCAGATGCTGTAGAAGAATAACATGTAGTAACAGAAACAATTGATAGTATTTATTGCTATGTGCTAAATGCTTTACTTATATTCTCTTATTTAATCTTTCAACAAATTTAATTTCTTCCAGAAGGTGTAATGACAAATAAAAACTGGTATATTTAAGATATACAATGCAATATTTTGATAGCCATATACATTATGAAGTGATTAGCACAATAAGGCTAATTAACATACCTGTCACCTCACATATGGTTTTGTGTGTGCATGTGGTAAGATCTACTCTCCTAGCAATACTTAGTTATTAACTGTAGTAACCATGTTGTACATTAGGCCTTCAAAATTTACTCATCTTACAAGTGAAAGTTGATACCCTGATGAGCAAAATTTCCCATTTCCCCCCACCCATTCCTTAGTAACTACCATTCTACTCTGCTTCTCTGAGTTCTCCTTTTTTTGATTCTACATTTAAGTGAGATTATGTAGTGTTTGTCTTTCTATGTCTGCCTAATTTCAGTTAGCATAATGTTCTCCAGGTTCATCCATGTTGTTGCAAATGGCAGGGTATTCTTTATAGAGGTTTAATAGTATTCTGGGGTGTGTGTGTGTGTGTGTGTGTATCACATTGTCTTTATTCATCTATGGACCAACACTTAGCTTGTTTCCATATCTTGGCTACTGTGAATAATGCTTCAGTGAATATGGGAGTGCAGATAATCTCTTCAAAATACTGATTTCATATCTTTTGGATATATACCTAGTAGTGGGATTGCTGGATTATATGGTAGTTCTATTTTTTATTTTTTGAGAAGCCTCCATGTTATTTTCCGTAACAGTTGTACCAATTTATATTTCTACTAGAAGTGTATAAAGATTCTCTTTTCTGTACATCCTTGTCAATGCTTGTTATCTTTTGACTTTTTGATAATAGTCATTCTAACAATTGTGCGGTGGTATCTCCTTGTGGTTTTGATTTACATTTTTATAATGATTAGTGGTGTTGAACATCTTTACATATACCTTTTGGCTGTTTTTTGGGTTCATTGGAAAAATGTCTTTTAAGGTTTTTTGCCCATTTTAAAATTAGGTTATTTGATTTTTGCTCTTAGAGTTCTATGAGTTCCTTATATATTTTAGATACTAACTTCTTATTGAATATGTGGTTTGCAAATATTTTCTACCATTCCACAGGTTGCCTTTTCATTTTCTTGATTGTCTCTTTTGCTGTGCAGAAACTTTTTAGTCGATGTGGTTCCACTTTTTTATTTTTGATTTTATTACTGATGCTTTTGGTGTTATGTCCAAAAAAATCATTGACAAGATGGATGTCATGAAGATTTCCCCCTATGTTTTCTTCTAGGAGTTTTACCTCTTTAGATCTCATGTCTAAATCTTTCATCCATTTTAAGTTGATGTTTGTGTGTAGTGTAAGATAAGGATTATTTTATTTTTTTCACATGTGGATATCCAGTTTCCCAGCACCATCTATTGAAAAGACTATCCTTCTTTACTCTATCTCATTGTGCATTCTTGGCATCTTTGTAGAAGATGAGTTGACAGTATCTGTATGGGTTTATTTATGGGCTTTCTATTCTGTTCTCTTTCTTTATACATACTGTTTTGATTAGTTTAGCTTTGTAATATAATTTGAAATCAAGACGGGTGAGGCCTTCAGCTTTGTTCTTCTTGCTCAAGATTGCTTTAGCAATTTGAAGTGTTTCATGGCTTTAAATAAATGTTAGGATTGTTTTTACATTTTTTGTGAAAAATGCCATTGGAATTTTTAATGTGATTTGATTGACTCTGTAGAGTGTTTTGGGTTGTTTGAATATTTTGACAATATTGACTTCTGATGCATGAACATGGGATATATTTCCATTTATTTTTGTCTTCTTAAATTTCTTCCATTAATGTTTGATAGTTTTCAGTGTACAAGTCTTTCACCATCTTGGTTAAATTTATTCCTAAGCATTTTTACTTGGTTATAAAGGCGATTGTATTCTTAATTTGTATTTCAGATAGTTCACGGTTAGTGTATAGAAGTGGACCGATTTCTGTATGTTGATTTTGCATTCTGCAATTTTACTGAATTTATTAGTTCTAGCATTTTTATGGTAGAGTCTTTAGGGTTTTCTCTATATAAGAGTATGCCTTTTTTCTCAGGTTTGTCAAAGATCAGATAGTTGTAGATATGCGGCGTTATTGCTGAGGGCTTTGTTCTGTTCCATTGATCTATATCTCTGTTTTGGTACCAGTACCATGCTGTTTTGGTTACTGTAGCCTTGTAGTATAGTTTGAAGTCAGGTAGTGTGATGCCTCCAGCTTTGTTCTTTTGGCTTAGGATTGACTTGGCGATGCGGGCTCTTTTTTGGTTCCATATGAACTTTAAAGTAGTTTTTTCCAATTCTGTGAAGAAACTCATTGGTAGCTTGATGAGGATGGCATTGAATCTATAAATTACCTTGGGCAGTATGGCCATTTTCACGATATTGATTCTTCCTACCCATGAGCATGGAATATTCTTCCATTTGTTTGTATCCTCTTTTATTTCATTGAGCAGTGGTTTGTAGTTCTCCTTGAAGAAGTCCTTCATGTGCCTTGTAAGTTGGATTCCTAGGTATTTTATTCTCTTTGAAGCAATTGTGAATGGGAGTTCACTCATGATTTGGCTCTCTGTTTGTCTGTTATTGGTGTATAAAAATGCTTGTGATTTTTGTACATTGATTTTGTATCCTGAGACTTTGCTGAAGTTGCCTATCAGCTTAAGGAGATTTTGGGCTGAGACAATGGGGTTTTCTAGATATACAATCATGTCATCTGCAAACAGGGACAATTTGACTTCCTCTTTTCCAAATTGAATACCCTTTATTTCCTTCTCCTGCCTAATTGCCCTGGCCAGAACTTCCAACACTATGTTAAATAGGAGTGGTGAGAGAGGGCATCCCTGTCTTGTGCCAGTTTTCAAAGGGAATGCTTCCAGTTTTTACCGATTCAGTATGATATTGGCTGTGGGTTTGTCATACATAGCTCTTATTATTTTGAGATACATCCCATCAATACCTAATTTATTGAGAGTTTTTAGCATGAAGGGTTGTTGAATTTTTTCAAAGGCCTTCTCTGCATCTATTGAGATAATCATGTGGTTTTTGTCTTTGGTTCTGTTTATATGCTGGATTACATTTATTGATTTGCATATATTGAACCAGCCTTGCATCCCAGGGATGAAGCCCACTTGATCATGGTGGATAATCTTTTTGATGTGCTGCTGGATTCGGTTTGCCAGTATTTTATTGAGGATTTTTGCATCAGTGTTCATCAAGGATATTGGTCTAAAATTCTCTTTTTTGGTTGTGTCTCTACCAGGCTTTGGTATCAGGATGATGCTGACCTCATAAAATGAGTTAGGGAGGATTCCCTCTTTTTCTATTGATTGGAATAGTTTCAGAAGGAATGGTACCAGTTCCTCCTCGTACCTCTGGTAGAATTCGGCTGTGAATCCATCTGGTCCTGGACTGTTTTTGGTTGGTAAGCTGTTGATTATTGCCACAATTTCAGATCCTGTTATTGGTCTATTCAGAGATTCAACTTCTTCCTGGTTTAGTCTTGGGAGAGTGTGTGTCCAGGAATTTATCCATTTCTTCTAGATTTTCTAATTTATTTGCATAGAGGTGTTTGTAGTATTCTCTGATGGTAGTTTGTATTTCTGTGGGATCGGTGGTGATATCCCCTTAAAAGCAGTGGGGAAAGGATTCCCTGTTTAATAAATGGTGCTGGGAAAACTGGCTAGCCATATGGAAAAAGCTGAAACTGGATCCCTTCCTTACACCTTATACAAAAATTAATTCAAGATGGATTAAAGTCTTACATGTTAGACCTAAAACCATAAAAACCCTAGAAGAAAACCTAGGCATTACCATTCAGGACATAGGCATGGGCAAGGACTTCATGTCTAAAACACCAAAAGCAATGGCAACAAAAGCCAAAATTGACAAATGGGATCTAATTCAACTAAAGAGCTTCTGCACAGCAAAAGAAACTACCATCAGAGTGAACAGGCAACCTACAACATGGGAGAAAATTTTTGCAACCTACTCGTCTGACAAAGGCCTAATATCCAGAATCTAGAATGAACTCAAACAAATTTACAAGAAAAAAACAAACAACCCCATCAAAAAGTGGGTGAAGGATATGAACAGACACTTCTCAAAAGAAGACATTTATGTAGCCAAAAGACACATGAAAAAATGCTCATCATCACTGGCCATCAGAGAAATGCAAATCAAAACCACAATGAGATACCATCTCACACCAGTTAGAATGGCGATCATTAAAAAGTCAGGAAACAACAGGTGCTGGAGAGGATGTGGAGAAATAGGAACACTTTTACATTGTTAGTGGGACCGTAAACTAGTTCAACCATTGTGGAAGTCAGTGTGGTGATTCCTCAGGGATCTAGAACTAGAAATACCATTTGACCCAGCCATCCCATTACTGGGTATATACCCAAAGGACTATAAATCATGCTGCTATAAAGACACATGCACACGTATGTTTATTGTGGCACTATTCACAATAGCAAAGACTTGGAACCAAGCCAAATGTCCAACAATGATAGACTGGATTAAGAAAATGTGGCACATATACACCATGGAATTCTCTGCAGCCATAAAAAATGATGAATTCATGTCCTTTGTAGGGACATGGATGAAATTGGAAATCATCATTCTCAGTAAACTATCGCAAGGACAAACAACCAAACACTGCATGTTCTCACTCATAGATGGGAATTGAACAATGAGAACACATGGACACAGGAAGGGGAACATCACACTCTGGGGACTGTTGTGGGGTGGGGGAAGGGGGGAGGGATAGCATTAGGAGATATACCTAATACTAAATGACGCGTTAATGGTTGCAGCACACCAGCATGGCACATGTATACATATGTAACTAACCTGCATATTGTGCACATGTACCCTAAAACTTAAAGTATAATAAAAAAAAAGAGTATGCCATCTGCAAAAAGAAACAATTTTAATTTTTTCTTTTCAATTTGGATGCCGTTTTCTTTCTTTCTTTTTTTCCTTTTAATATTTTTGTTTTTATTGTTTAGTTGCTCTGGCCAAGACTTACAGTACTATGTTAGATAGAAATGATGAGTGTGTCATTTCTATTTAACTTGTCTTCTCCCTGATAGGCCATATATGACCTTTATTGTGTTGAGGTACATTCCTTATATGCCTAATTTGTTGAGAGTTTTTATTGTACAGGGAGGTTGAATTTTGTCAAGTGGTTTTTTTTTTTTTATCTATTGAGGTGATCATATAATTTTTATCCTATTGATGTGGATTATCTTATTTATTGATTTTCATATGTTGAACCATCTTTTTATCCCAGGGATAAATCCCACTTGATCACTGTACTATCCCTTTATTGTGCTGTTGAATTTGGTTTGCTAGTGTTTTGTTGAAGATTTTGGCATCCATGTTAATCAGGGATATTCACCTGTAATTTTCTTTTCTTGTGGTGTCCTTGTCTGGCTGTGCTATTAGAGTAATGCTGGCCTTGTTACATGAGTTTGAAAGTATGTCCTCATCTTCAATGTTTTGAAAGAATTTGAGAAGCATTGGTATTAATTCTTTAAATACTTGCTAGAATTCAGCAATAAAACCATCAGGTACTGGGTTTTTCTTTGATGGGAGATTTTTGATTACTGATTCAGTTTCCTTACCTTATGGATCTTCTCAAATTTTCTGTTTTTCAGGATTCAGTCTTAGTATGTTGTATATTTCTAGGAATTTATCAATTTATTTTAGGTTATTTAACTTGTAAGCATATAATTGGTCATAGTATTATCTTATGATCCTTTGAACTTCTGTGTTTCTGTGGTATCATTTTTAATACCTTCTCTTTCATTTCTTGTTTTATTTGTCTTCTGTATTTTATTCTTAATCTAGATGAAGGTTTATCAGTTTTATCTTTTCAAAAAACAACTCTTAGTTTTGTTGATCTTTTCTATTGTTTTTCTAGTTTCTATTCTATTTATTTCTGCTCTGATCTTTGTTATTCCCTTCTATCTGCTGACTGTGGGCTTAGTATGTTTTTCTTTTTCTATTTACTTGAGGTCTAAAGTTAGGTTGTTTTGTTTGTTTGTTTTTTGAGATCTTTCTGTTTTCTTAACGTAGGTTTATCACAATAAACTTCCCTCTTAGAACTTCTTTTGCTGCATTCTATAAGTTTTTTTCCTTTATCTTTTGGTTTTACCATAGGTTTTTGCCTTGTTGTTTACAATGAGACTTGCATAAAGTATCTTAGAGTTATGAAAGTCTATTTAAAAAGTAATAACTAAACTTCAATCACATACGATAACTCTACATTCACTCCACCATTTTATGTTTTTGGTGTCACAATTTACTTCTTTTGACATGAGGTAGCCATTAACAAATTACTGTAGCTTTAGTTATCTTAATACTTTTGTATTTTAACTTTTACGGTAGAGTTTTAAATGATATACAAAACACCATTATATTATTATAAATTTCACTATATATTTACCTTTAACAGTGAATTTTATACTTTCATATGTTTTTATGTTATGAATTAGCTTTCTTTTGTTTCCACTTAATGGCTCAAATTAACATTACCTATAAGGTAGGTGTAGTGAGCTCCAGTGATCTGCCCTCCTTGCCCTCCCGAAGTGCTGAGATTACAGGCATGAGCCACCGCGCCCGGCCTCAGTCATTATTTCTTTAAGTAAACTTTCCTTTTCTTTCTCTTACTCTCCTCCTTCTAGACTCCATAATACAAATTTAATTCTCTCAATACTGTCTCATAAATCCAGCAGGCTTTTTAAATTTCTTTTCTTTTTCCCCCCCTTCCGACTGGATTTGTTTTAATGGCTTTTAGTTCACAGATTTCTTTTTCTGCCCAGTCAGGCCTGCTGTGGATGCTCTCTATTGTATTTAAAATTTTATTCATCGTATTCCTCAGCTTCAGAATTTCTATTTCGCTTGTTTCAATGATTTCTATCTCTTTGTTTAACTTCTCATTTTGTTTATGTATTGTTTTTCTGATATCATTGAGTTGTCTGTGTTCTCTTGTAGTTCACTGAGCTTCCTTAAAACAATTGTTTTGAATTATTTTTCAGACAATTTATAGATCTCCATTTCTTTGGAGTCAGTTGTTGTCATATTACTGTGTTCTGTTGATGTCATGTTTTCTTGATTTTTTCATGTTCCTGAAGTCTTGCATTGTTGTCTTCACATTTTAAGAAGCAGTCATCTCCTTCAGTCATCTTTACTGAATGGCTTTGGGAGAGAAACACCTTCACCAAACAGCCAAGCCAGCATTAAAATGAACTACATATGGCCTGGGAAGGACTCCATACTATTATATTTGAGTCCTTGTGGACGAACTGTAACCTAGCTTAGATAGGTAGACAAGATTGAAAACCTAACTTAGGAGTATGTGCTTGTAACAATTGCTGAGTCTTGGCCAATCCCAGTGTCCGTACTTCAACCAGTCATACACTGCTGAGTGTCCAAACAAGGGAAATGCCAACCTGTAACCAATCCAGACATTCTGTACCTCATTTCCAATTTCTGTATGTCATTTCCCTTTTGTTGTCTATAAATCTCCTTCCATCACGTGGCTTCACTGGAGTCTCTGTGAATCTGCTGTGATTCTGGGGGCTGCCCAATTTGGGAATACCTCATTGCCCAATTAAACTCTTCTAAATTTAATTTGGCTGAAGTTTTTCTTTTATCACTAGTAATTTTGAGACTCTCTCAGACCTTTCCTATGAATTTACTTGATCCACATCTCTTGTTGTTTCTTAGGGTGAATTCCTTACATTGTGTACCCTCTCAAGATCTTGCTAAACCAGGCTAGAGCTGATAGCCCTCCTTTTTATTTTTTTCTTCTATGGTGATTCCCTGAAATACTCAAGTTTGTCTGCCTCCTGTCAATCCCACAGAGTTAAGCTTCGTTATTTACATGAGACACTTGCACTTGCTGTCTATGAGGACATGCTCAAGAAGTCTGCCTGGGAGTTGTGGTAAGGTGTGTGGAATATTTGGGATGCCCATCAACAAGTTGGGGGTTCCACAGAAGAGGGGTTGAGTTCTTGGAGTGATTGTTAGGGTTCACTGCCTTTCTTCCCTGCTCCAAGCCTCTCTCAGCTATTCAGCCTTGCTGATCACCTCAGTATTCTGGGTGGAGTGAATGAGAAGTGAGCCTAGGCCAGGATATTTGGATTCTCACTCATTATACTTTCAGTATTTCCTGTGGGAGAAATTCTGGGCCAAGGGGATCTCTCCTGGCAGTGGGCTGTGCCACTTTGAGGGAAGGGTGACATAGGTGAAATAAAACTATTCTTACTCTCTCCAATGCATCTGTTCTTGGAATTTTGTTCCAGCAACGTGCTAGAATTTCTCTGATGGACTCCTGGACTACCATAAATGTACTCTCATCTGTGGGTTGTTCTCAAAATTGATGCTTCTGTGGGGGCATGATGGTATAATTGAGAAAATTGTTTTTTTGAGCTTTATCTGCTTATGATGATCTTGGAGCTTCAAGATCCTGATGGGACAGAGACCACAATTTACGATGTACTGCTCAATTTTATTTTTGATTTTTAATGTTGTTCAGGCACTTTGCATTCCCTCAGAACATCTACTGTAGGATTTTTTTTTTTTTTTTTTTTTTTTTTTAGCGCACCACTTACCACTTTTCCCAAGGGCTTCTCTGATTATGAGGGGGTGATCTGGAGTCTGGAAGTTAAAAATCTAGTCCTGCTCTACCACCTATAATCATAGGCCACTGAGATTGGAGGTCAAAGAAGACTCTGCTTCCTCTAAGCTGTGTAATTATATAAAAATCGTAGAACTATTTTCCAAAAGATACATTGATGATAATTATGTCTGAAAAGTTTAAGAAACATAAGTGTTTATTATATTATTTCCCATATGTTTCTACATTTCATAAGATGATATATGTTTTTAATTATAGGATTTGTTATAGAGTTGCTATTTTTTTCTTCTGCCAAGTAAACAAAAATAAAAGAAAACAAAACTATAATACTGTTTGCTCCTACCATTATAGGATAAAAGAGAATATTATTACACTAGTAAAGTACTGAGGACATGATTTTAGAATTAAAAGGAGTCATTTAGTCTCTGAAAATCTTACTTTACCATCTTTATTTTCTGGGACATTTTCTTGGGGTGATAAAAACTTTTTAATAGTCTTTACCCATTCACTCATTGGCATTTGGGACCCATTGAAGTGGATAACACTAAACTCAATTATACCCTTCTCTTGTGTCTATGCAACATTTGGGCTTTTTGCATATAGACAAAGCAAAGAGAAGAATTTCAGGAATTTGAATGCTTCAAGGAAACTATTAGCTATACATTTGTCCCAAATTCTGTTTTGTGTTCACATGGAATTGTTTGTTCTTTGACCCATATCAAGATTTTTGCTTCACTTCTCCACATCCTAAGTTTGTTGCTTCAGTCACGTGTGAAAAAGTCTATCTATAGATGTGACCAACACAATGATATCATATAAAAATATGTATTGAATCCATACACTCCATGTACTAGGAAATTGTTGTAGGAAGAATAATGCCAAGATTAGGTGTGTTGGTGTCTCTCACACATGAAGTGTTTAGCTCACTAACTTTCTGCAAAATTGCATCTCCCTACTGTAATCCAATCTTTCTAATTGTTTGCAAAAGCAAACCATGTCTGGGGCAGCAAGTTTTGCCCATTGGGGATTCTCTTTTATAAGCTTTCTCCCTTGCCTTCCATCACAGCTTGGGTTTGTCAATTATTAGGAGGCATGGCATGAAGCAATGGTTCCCTGTGGTTCGTTAGGAAAGTGGGGCTTCATAATGGGAGAATAAGGCAAGAACTCTGCTGGTGACTCTGAAATCTGTGGAGATTCACTGTTGTGAGTTAGTGGTGTCAAATTTGGTTCTGTTGCTGTAGTGTTTGGCCACTTGGATTATTTGTTTTATCTTTTGTTCTTGTACCTATATGTGGGATGTGTATTCGGTCAATGGAAAGGAGGCTGAAGAAGCAAGGTGAAAGAGGAAATAATTACTTCGGCTTGGAAATATGTCAGAATCCCAAGATATTTGTTACTTGGGTTCATGTGAATGTGCTCCTTAGCTTCCTTTTTAGAAGTGAATCTTTGCTGTCATTTCATGATGATCAATATTTGCAGCCCCGCTCCCTGCAATCAAACATGGAAACTCAGATTAACATTCAAACTAACAATATTTAAACAGGAAATTTGAACTTGAGCTGTGGATTACAGTCTTTACGGTTCAAACAAGACAGTTTACATAATCAGCTTTTGTAATATTTTTTGCCAGTGCCTGACATTTTCCCCTGGTTTTGGCCTTTTCAGATTCAATGTGATGTTCTGAGCAAAAGCTATTACCATGTAAACAACTTCCCACCCACCCCCATTTCTTCATCTAAAACTTGTGCATGATGATTTGCTCCTCAGTTCTCTAACCAGGAACTCAATGGCTGTGTCTACATTGATACAATGAAATGAATGGAGCCTCCCTGCAGTTCTGTGAGCCTGGGCTCCTTATGGCGTGAAATCCCATGTCAGAGGTCAGAACTCTAACATCTCAGTTTTCCCTAAGAGCAAATTGCAATAAACCAAGTGGACCAAATTCAGTTGCTTGATTATCCAGTTTAGCTCTTCATTGTTTTATTCTTTCACATATACACTCATTCTTTTATTCTTGCTTTCATACATTTTATAATGCAGTCGTATGTTTGTTCACCAGATATTCATTATACATGCGACAGAAATTGAATGGCACTTTACCAAGGAGCTGGCCAAGAGAGTAAAGTGGGAGAATCAGAGATAAATGAGACAAGATCTCTACCTTGAAGGAGCACACAATTTAACTGGAGAAAAGACATAAACCCAACTGGTAATAGTGTCATGTTTGACATGCTCTAATAGTGGTAGCAGTGATGTTACAGCTGTGAAAGAAAAAAAGTAGTTTATTTTAGCTTAACTGTTGGTAAAGATAGCTGGAAAAGGCTTCATGGAGGGGATGGACCATCAGCTTGGACTTAAAGATGATTTAGGTTTGTCCAACAGACAAATGAGTGGTGGGGAATTTCAGTCAGAAGGGACAACTGGGCAAAGATTATGTTTTATAATAAAACATTCATTTATGGGTTTATAATTTTACAAGTCAAGATAACTCATGTTCTACTTAGTTTTTACTTAAATGATGCCTAGTAAATGGCTAGACTGATTATTTCAATAATCAACTGGTTGCCTAGGTACGTTGTAAACAGAGCCACAATGGAACCAAATGGTCTACTTCTGTCTACTTTTTAAATCTTGGATTCCCAGTGTAACTAAAAGTACAACTTAAGTTTTATGACTTGTAGACTTCTTATGCTACTTAGCATTCTCATTCTTCTGTAAGTTAATAATAGACTCTGCAAGTTTGGGTTTGCAATAGATTGGGATCCGTGTCAAAAATTAGCTTTAACATAATATGTTGCTTTACAGGTTTCACATTTGCATTGCTTCACAAATCAATGAAATATTGATGACTCCTAACACCATGCTTCAGGTGCTCTTCTGAATCCTTCCTGCACATCTTGAATTGCTTTCTAGACATCTCTCCAGAAATGTGCCACAGAAGTCACAAATGTCCAAAGCTAAACAATGCATCTTCTTTTTTGAACCTGGTCTTTCTCTTTTCTGTCTTAAAGTAACCACCAGTAATACATAACAGATGCATCAGTTAGTATGACGTTCATTTCTTTTCACTTTGATCACATTAATGCTGTAGCTTTTGGTTTGGTCTGTCTACTTCTAGTCTGAATTCACTTTAAAAACCTGCAATGGATCACAATTATGAATAATAGTAGTTGTTAATGGGTACCCAGGAAAGATAATTACAGGAAAGAAGGGAGAAAGAAGAAAGGAATGTGTGTGTATATAGGAAGAGAGGGCAGGTTTTTTCCATGATATAGCGAATTAGAAAATGTTAGGTGGAATCATGTTATATAGATTTCTTTCATCCAAGACTTGTCTGAGTTTTTAACATCTAGGGAGCATTTTGAATTTCCAGGGTAGTGGATTTAGTATTAACCATTTTCCAAACTTATTTGATTACAAAATGTATGCTTCTGAGGCAAGTTGATTAATATCTTGTGGGACACTGGTATTTAAGAAAAGCTGTCACACCATACTGATTTCTTATCAAAGCATTTAGAGCTCTTTTCATATTGTTCCAATATTTGACTCCTTGGATATTGACATTCAGAACTGCCAGTCAATTTGTGGTTTCATAAATACATTATCCCTTTTTTTCTTGTCTCTTTAATTCTCTTTCCTTTTGCCTGGGAAGTAGACTTCCACTGTGATTCCTGCTACTATATCCTCAAAAATATTTTTCTCAACTACTTGTTTGTGTCACATGTTGTCCACATTACTATGAAAAAACATAAAATGGCAACTGATTTTTTTTCTAGAGTAATTATTTATTGTTCATCTTGTGTCTCCTCAAATGGTTAATGCAATACTTAGAACATTTTAGTGTAAATAGTGTAAATGATTGTAAAATCTATGGCAATTTTTCTCTGGATATAGCATATCACCTTGAGTGCAAGAAAATGCCACTGTATTCCTCAGGTATAGGAAACTTTTATTTGAACAATTCATAAACTAGAGCATCCTCTAAATTAGCTTATCCTGCCCTGTGCATTTGAAGTCAGGGTAGAAGTTCCTTTACGAGGAGGAGAAGAAACTCCCACTAACATCCCCTAAGACCAACTTCAGAAAAGGTAGATTTCTGTGTGGCTGGGAAACATTTGTGACTTCTTGACTTTCATTTTGCATTATTACCTACTCCAAAAAATCAGAGCCAACCCAATTTTAATTTCTATTGCTGAGATCCTGGAGATAATTGATTTAAAAAAAAATTTAAAATCAAATAACCTCAGAAGTATTAAATATTGTTAATTTTGACTTTGAAAGTTACCACATCTGAAATTTTTTATCTCAAAGTTAAAAATAGGCAGGTGGCTGGCAAGACGGCCGAATAGGGACAGCTCCAGTCTCCAGCTCCCAGCAAGATCAATGCAGAAGGTGGGTAATTTCTGCATTTCCAACTGAAGTACCTGGCTCATCTCATTGGGACTGGTTAGACAGTGAGTGCAGCCCACAGAAGGCAAGCCAAAGCAGGGTGGGGCATCACCTCACCTGGGAAGCACAAGGGGTCTGGGAACTCCTTCCCCTAGCCAAGGGAAGCCATGAGGAACTGTACCATTAGGAATGATGCATTCTGGCCCAGATACTACACTTGTCCCATGGTCTTCACATCCCACAGACCAGGAGACTCCCTCGGGTGCCTATACCACCAGGGCCCTGGGTTTCAAGCACAAAACTGGGGAGCCATTTGGTCAGACACTGAGCTAGCTGCAGGAGTTTTTTTTTTTATACCCCAGTGGCACCTGGAATGCCAGGGAGACAGAATCATTCACTCCCCTGGAAGGGGGTGCTGAAACCAGGGAGTCAAGTGGCCTAGTGCAGCAGATCCAACACTCACGGAGACCAGCAAGCTAAGATCCACTGGCTTGAAGTTCTCACTGCCGGCACAGCAGTATGAAGTAGACCTGAAATGCTCGAGCTTGGTTGGGGGAGGGGTGTCCACCATTACTAAGGTTTGAGTAGGTGGTTTTCCCCTCAGAGTGTAAACAAAGCTGCTGGGAAGTTCAAACTGGGCAGAGCTCACCACAGATTAGCAAAGCTGCTGTAGCCAGACTGCCTCTCTAGATTCCTTCTCTCTGGGCAGGGCATCTCTGAAAGAAAGACAGCAGCTCCAGTCAGGGGCTTATAGATAAAACACCCATCTCCCTGGGACAGAGCACCTGGGGGAAGGGGTGGCTGTGGGCGCAGCTTCAGCTGACTTAAACGTTCCTGCCTGCCAGCTCTGAAGACAGTAGCAGATCTCCCAGCACAGTGCTCGACCTCTGTTAAGGGACAGACTGTCTCCTCAAGTAGGTTCCTGACTCCCATGCTTCCAGACTGGGAGACACCTCCAAGCAGGGATCGACAGACACCTCATACAGGAGAGCTCCAGCTGGCATCTGGTGGGTGCCACTCTGGGATGAAGCTTCCAGAGGAAGGAACAGGCAGCAATCTTTGTTGTTCTGCAGGCTTCGCTGGATATGCCTATGATACCCAGGCAAACAGGGTCTGGAGTGGACCTCCTGCAAACTCCAGTAGACCTGCAGCAGAGGGGACTGACTGTTAGAAGGAAAACTAACAAACAGAAAGGAATAGCATCAACATCAACAAAAAGGATGTCCACGCAAAAACCCCATCCAAAGGTCACCAACATCAAAGAACAAAGGCAGATAAATCCATGAAGATGAGGAAAAACCAGTGCGAAACGCCTGAAAATTCCAGAAACCAGAACACTTCTTCTCCACCAAAGGATCACAACTCCTTGCCAGAAAGGGAACAAAGCTGAACGGAGAATGAATTTGACGAATTGACAGAAGTAGGCTACAGAAGGTGGGTAATAACAAACTCCTCTGAGCTGAAGGATCATGTTCTAAACCAATGTGAGGAAGTTAAGAACCTTGAAAAAAGGTTAGAGGAATTGCTAACTAAAATAACCAGTTTAGAGAAGAACGTAAATGACCTGATGGAGCCAAAAAACACAGCATGAGAACTTTGTGAAGCATACACAAGTATCAATAGTCAAATGGATCAGGCAGAAGAAAGGATATCACAGATTGAAGATCAACTTAATGAAATAAAGTGTAAAGACAAGATTAGAGAAAAAAGAATGAAAAGGAATGAACAAAGCCTACAAATAATATGGGACTATGTGAAAGACCAAACCTACATTTGATTGGTGTGCCTGAAAATGATGGGGAGAATGGAACCAAGTTGGCAAACACTCTTCAGGATATTATCCAGGAGAACTTCCCTAACCTAGCAAGACAGGCCATCATTCAAATTCAGGAAATACAGAGAACATCACAAAGATGCTCCTCGAGAAGAGCAACCCCAAGACATGTAATTGTCAGGTTCACCAAGGCCAAAGGGAAGCCCATCAGACTAACAGCAGATCTCTCTGCAGAAACCCTACAAGCAAGAAGAGAGTGGAGGCCAATATTCAACATTCCTAAAGAAAAGAATTTTCATCCCAGAATTTCATATCCAGCCAAACTAAGCTTCATAAGTGAAGGAGAAATAAAAACCTTTACAGACAAGCAAATGCTGAGAAATTTTGTCACCAATAGGCCTGCCTTACAAGAGCTCCTGAAGGAAGTACTAAATATGGAAAAGAAAAACCGGTATCAGCCAATGCAAAAACAGACCATATTGTAAAGAGCATCGACAATATGAAGAAACTGCATTCTGCATCAACTAACGGGCATAATAACCAGCTAGCATCATAAAGACAGGATCAAATTCACACATAGCAATATTAACCTTAAATGTAAATGGGCTAAATGCCCCAATTAAAAGACACAGACTGGTAAATTGGATAAAGAGTCAAGATATATCGGTGTGCTGTATGTAGGAGACCCATCTCACATGCAAAGACACACATAGGCTCAAAATAAAGGGATAGAAGAATATTTGCCAAGCAAATGGAAAGCAAAAAGAAGCAGGGGTTGCAATCCTAGTTTCTGAGGAAACAGACTTTAAACGAACAAAGATCAAAAAAGACAAAGAAGGCCATTACATAATGGTAAAGGGATCAACGCAACAAGAAGAGCTAACTATCCTAAATATATATGCAACCAATACAGGAGCACCCAGATTCATACAGCAAGTCCTTAGAGACCTACAAAGAGACTTAGAATCCCATACAATAATAGTGGGAGACTTAACACCCCACTGTCA
Organism: Homo sapiens; assembly: GCF_000001405.40. Lineage (NCBI taxonomy): Eukaryota > Metazoa > Chordata > Mammalia > Primates > Hominidae > Homo > Homo sapiens. The sequence continues at coordinate 18,561,959 of NC_000004.12, forward strand.
GTGTCAGTATTTGACAGGTCAACGAGACAGAAAATTAACAGATATTCAGGACTTGAACTGAGCTCTGGACCAAGTAGACCTAATAGACATCTACAGAACTCTCCACCCTAAATCAACAGAATATACATTCTTCTCAGCAACACATCACAATTATTCTAAAATTGACCACCTTATTGGAAGTAAAACACTCCTCAGCAAATGCAAAAGAATGGAAATCATAATAAACAGTCTCCCAGGCCACAGTGCTATTGCATTAGAACTCAGGATTAAGAAACTCACTCAAAACTGCACAACAACATGGAAACTGAACAACCTGCTCCTGAATGACTACTGGGTAAATAATGAAATTAAGACAGAAATAAAGAAGTTCTTTGAAACCAATGAGAACAAAGAGACAATGTACCAGAATCTCTGGGACACAGCTAAAGCAGTGTTTAAGAGGGAAATTTGTAGCACTAAGTGCCCACAGGAGAAAGTGAGAAAGATCTAAATTCAACACCCTAACATCACAATGAAAAGAACTAGAGAAGCAAGGGCAAATAAATTCAAAAGCTGGCAGAAGACAAGAAAAAACTAAGATCAGAGCAGAACTGAAGGAGATAGAGACACGGAAAGCCCTTCGAAAAAATCAGTGAATACAGGAGCTAGCTTTTGTTTTTTTAAAGAATAACAAAATAGATACACTGCAAGTGAGACTAATAAAGAAGAAAAGAGAAGAATCAAATACACACAATAAAAAATGATAAAGGGGATATCACCACTGATCCCACAGAAATACAGACTACCATCAGAGAATACTAAAAACACCTCTATGCAAATAAACTAGAAAATCTAGAATAAATGGATAAATTCTCGGACAAATACACCCTCCCAGGAGTAAGCTAGGAAGAAGCCGAATCCCCGAATAGACCAATAACAACTTCTGAAATTGAGGCAGTAATTAATAGCCTACCAACCAAAAAAAGCCCAGGACCACACAGATTCACAGCCGAATTATACCAGAGGTATAATTCCTTCTGAAACTTCTGAAACTATTCCTTCTGAAACTATTCCAAACAATAGAAAAGGAGGGACTCCTCCCTAAGTCATTTTATGAGGCCAGCATCTTCCTGATACCAAAACCTGGGAGAGACACAACAAAAAAAGAAAATTTCAGGCCAATAGCCCTGATGAACATAGATGCGAAAATCCTCAATAAGATACTGCCAAACCAAATCCAGCAGCACATCAAAAAACTTATCCACCGTGACCAAGTCAGCTTCATCCCTGGGATGCAAGTCTGGCTCAACATATGCAAATCAATAAACGCAATCCATCACATAAACAAAACCAATGACAAAAACCACATGATTATCTCAATAGATGCAGAAAAGGCCTTCTATAAAATTCAACACCCTTCATGCTACAAACTCTCAATAAGCTAGGTATTGATGGAACATATCTCAAAATAATAAGAGCTATTTATGACAAACCCACAGCCAATATCATATTGAATGGGCAAAAGTTGGAACCATTCCCTTTGAAAACTGGCAGAAGACAAGGATGCTGTCTCTCACTACTCCTGTTCAACATAGTATTGGAAATTCAGGCCAGGGCAAACAAGCAAGAGAAAGAAATAAAGTGTATTCAAATAGGAAGTCAAATTATTTCTGTTTGCAGATGACATGATTGTACGTTTAGAAAACCCCATCATGTCAGCCCAAAATCTCCTTATGCTGATAAGCAACTTCAGCAAAGCCTCAGGATACAAAATCAATGTGCAAAAATCACAAATATTCCTATACACCAATAACAGACAAATCATGAGTGAACTCCCATTCACAATTTCAAAAGAGAATACCTAGGAATGCAACTTAGAATGGTTGTGAAGGACCTCTTCAAGTAGAACTACAAAGCACTGCTCATGTAAGCAGGAGAGGACACAAACAAATGGAAAAACATTCCATGTTCATGGATAGCAAGGATCAATATCTTGAAAATGCCCATACTGTCTAAAGTAATTTATAGATTCAATGCTATACCCATCAAGCTACCATTGACTTTCTTCACAGAATTAGAAAAAACTACTTTAAATTTCATATGGAACCAAAAAAGAGCCCGTATAGCCAAGACAATCCTAAGCAAAAAGCACAAAGCTGGAGGAATCATGCTACCTGATTTCAAACTATACTACAAGGCTACAGAAACCAAAATAGCATGGCACTGGTAAAAAAACAAAAAAAAACGAAAACAAAAAAACAAAACACAGATGTATAGAGCGATGGAACAGAACAGAGACCTCAGAAATAACTCCACACATCTACAACCATCTGATCTTTGACAAACCTGACAAAAACAAGCAATGGGGAAAGGATGCCCTATTTAATAAATGGTGTTAGGAAAACTGGCTAGCCATAGGCAGAAAACTGAAACTGGACCCCTTCCTTACACCTTATACAAAAAATTAACTCAAGATTGATTAAAGACTTGAACTAAGACCTAAAACTATAAAAACCCTAGAAGAAAACCTAGGCAATACCATTCAGGACACAGGCATGGGCAAAGACTTCATGACTAAAACACCAAAAACAATGGCAACAAAAGCCAAAATTGACAAATGGGATCTAATTAAACTAAAGAGCTTCTGCACAGCAAAAGAAACTATCATCAGAGTGAACAGGCAGACTACAGAATGGGAGAAAAATTTTGAAATCTATCCATCTGACAAAGGGCTAATATCCAGAATCTACAAGGAACTTAAACAAATTTACAAGAATAAAAACAAACAACCCCATCAAAAAGTGGGCAAAAGATATGAACAGATACTTCTGAAAAGAAGACATTTATGTAGCCAACAAACATATGAAAAAAAGGTTGTCATCACTGGTGATTAGAGAAATGCAAATCAAAACCACAATGAGATACCATCTCAAGCACGTTAGAATGGTGATCATTAAAAAGTCAGGAAAGAATAGATGCTAGAGAAAATGTGGAGAAATACGAATGCTTTTACGCTGTTGGTAGGAGTGTAAATTAGTTCAACCGTTGTGGAAGACAGTGTGGTGATTCCTGAAGGATCTAGAACAAGAAATAGCATTTGACCCTGCAATCCCATAACTGGGCATATGTCCAAAGGATTATAAATCATTCTACTATAAAGACATATGCACAACCCAAATGTCTATCAGTGATAGACTAGATAAAGAAAATGTGGCACATATACACCATGAAATACTATGCAGCCATTAAAAAGGATGAGTTCGTGTCCTTTGCAGGGACATGTATGAAGCTGGAAACCATCATTCTCAGCAAACTAACACAGGAACAGAAAATCAAACACCTCGTGTTTTCACTCATAAGTGGGAGTTGAACAATGAGAACACATGGACACAGGGAGGGGAACATTGCACACCAGGGCCTGTTGGTAGGTTGGGGGCTAGGGGAAGGATAGCATTAGGAGAAATACTTAATGTAGATGATGGGGTGATGGGTGCAGCAAACCACCATGGCACATGTATACCTATGTAACAAACCTGCACATTCTGCACATGTATCCCAGAACTTAATGTATAATTTAAAAAAAAGACAAAATGACAAGTTATATGTGGACAAGAATATTTTAAAACCACTTACATATTCTGCAAAGGACTCATATCTAGAATAAAGAACTTTAAAAAAAAGTTAAAAATAATTCTTAGCATTAAATCATTAAAAAAAATAGACAACAATCTTCTAAGTCAACTTGTGCTTCTTAATTACTTCTGACTTTATGAGAGCCTTATCATTGACCCTATACTTTCCTGACTTTATTGAAGTCCAATCTTATATCTCAGCTCAAGAGGAATCAAGGAAAATTCCTCCTCCAGTCTGATTTGGCAAAGTTTCACTAAATGCATTTTCTGTTTTGTCAAAGGATCATTATCAATAAGCTATAAAGAAGTTCCTAGAAGAAAAATGGTTATTAATTTAATGTACTCTTAGTCACTTAGATGATGGGAATGTTTAGATGCAGATTCAATTATCAGATCTCTCACATTTTCAACAGTATTGGAATCAAGAAGAATGGCCCATTAATTACCTATATTGTCAGGGGAGTCACTTGGGAGACTTTGGAACAAAAGGAGTATTCATTAGTGGAAAAGAAAACGGATGGAGCTTGAGTACATCAGTTCCCTCTTTCATGCCAACTTTGAAAATGGCCTAGCTTCAGCTCATATCCATGCATTCCTATAATTGCAGAGGATTCAATAATGTGTTTGGAACACCAGGATGTGGCTTGGATTATTATGCACCAATTCAGTGTCTGTCTGCTTCAGGGCAACCGTTCTTGTGCTAGGAAAGATTGTCCAACCTGAAATTACTTTCTGATCCAATTTCTTTATAATTGGACCCAAACCCAAAGTCAATAGGGAGACAGAAAAAGTTGCGTCTTTTTGGCCTCTGCTACAGAGCTGTCACCCTTGGGTATACAGAGGCTTCTATGCAGCCATGGGTGCTTGCCTTGGCTTATGGTAAGTTTCCCATATTGATTAAGGATAATCCTTCCAATGTATGGTTGTCTCTGGAATGGTTTCTGGAATACTGTGAGGTTCCTGAATTCGTAGAGCTCATACCCTGAGCTTTGATTCATGAAAATTATTTAACGAGATCAAGATTTCTTATTCAACCAATCCTGCACTCATTTATGAATTTTTTTATTGAGCATTTCCAGTAAGTCAGGCACTGGGGCACAGCAAGTGCTCAGATATGCCACTAATTTCAGAACACTTAAAATATAGGAGGCAGATGCATGTCCATAACACTAGTGCAAAAACCTCAGTTTTCTTTGATACTGGCTAGTTGTGTTACTTAGTTTACAGATGACACAATTGAGGAACAGGCAACACAGCTAGCCAAGTACCAGGAAGTACTAAGATTTAAAATATGGTGACCTGATTTAAGAATGCAGGACCTTACCATGTCACAAACCTATTCTAGTTATTATATTCACAGAACTATATTGCAGAATAAATAAAATACCCATGTAAAGTCACATAGCACTTGCCATAAAAATGTTCACTAAATGTTATCTGACATGATTGTTATTTTCATTATTATTGTCCTATTGTTGTGGCTTCTCCACTCTCATACTTTGGTAAGCAGGAGGGAGCGTTACAGCTCCTTTACTCCTGCTGCCCGCAGCTCAGCAAGCAGAAGTGTTACAGCTCTTTCACTCCAGCAGTTTGGCGAGTTCCGGGTTCTTGTCCTATGACCAAGAGTACTAAGGTATGTGGACACTGGAGAGGGGGTAAGACAGAGTAGAATTTATGGAGCCAAAGAAAAGCCCTTGACAGTGAGAAGGGACCCAAAAGTGGATAGCCATCTATGAGGCTGAGTCTGGGATTTTTATGGGCTTAGAATGGAGAATTTATGGGTAGGCTTGGAAAAGGCATCATTTGATTGGTTAAAAGGCATCATTCAGAAAGAACCAATCAAACGAGAGCGGACAAAACAGGGATGAAAGTTCTCACTGTAGTTCGTGGATTCTATCTGTAACTGGTAGCTCTGTTTTCAAGCTTTAGACTATCCTTGGCCTGAAGGTCAACTTTCACTAGGGATCCATCCCTATCTGCCTAGGAATCTGTCTGTCTGCCGTTGTTATCACTATTACCCCACTTAGTCACTGTTGGAAAAATGTAGTAGATAAACATGCTCTGTGCCTTACTGGCTGCAATCCAATCCTGACTTGGACACTGAAAGTGTGTGTGACCTTTAGTAGTATACTTAACTCCTTCATACCTCAGTTTTGTGTAAAATAAAAATTATACTGGTAGCTCTCAGTAGACAGTGGCAAGGGAGTAACGACATTTTCTATCTTGCTCTTTGCCATAACCTCAGCTCATAGACTACCTGCACAGAGCAGGAACTCAGTAAATATGTATTGAATGAGTAAATAAATATCTGCTAGAATTATCCTAACGACTAAATGAGTTAACAAATATATAAAAGAGTTATGAATATATAAAGTGTTTGGGAAAATTCCTGGTATAATTAGGTCTATTCATGTTATTTTGGCTTTATTTCCATTTTATCATTAGTGTTGTTATTATTATCAAATGCCAATTCCCCCATGAAGCCTTCACTGATTACCTTAGCAGGACATGGTCTCTTTTTCCTCTGGACATGCAAAGGTATTTGACAGCTTCTTTCTTGAGCTGTACTTTTTTCACATTGTTTATCTTCTCCTAAAAATTTTGTGAGAACAGGCATTGCCATTCATCTTTTGGCAATGATGAAAAGTTAGCAGGCTGCTACTCTGCCAACTCAGTTTTCAAGTTTTGCTTAATTGTATTCCTATGCTTTTGTACTAGTATTTTTGTTGTTATCGTTGTTTGCTTTCTTAAGTCAGCCATACAAAATCAGTAGAAAGAAAAATATCAAGTCAGATCTATGGTGTCATGGGGTTTTCAGGGAAGACATTAAACACTGGCCCCAAACATTCTCCCTTCTTCTCAGACACTGCTTTCCTCCTTCAGGTAACCACTTAGTGGTGTCTGATGAAGGAATAGGGGATGGATGGAAAATAGAATATGTTGACTTTCCTTGACTGTAATGACACAGCATGGATGTTGTAGTCTTTCCTGAAAGCAGAGACTGGATAAAGGGAGGATGAAAAAGTGGCTTCTTAAGTAACAGCTTTCTGTAAATAGAGTTTTAGAGCCACATACAGAATTTTCAGATGGTAGAGGATGCAAAAAGACTCAAGACAGGTAAAGTCTCTGTGAGAGTTGTTCACATATGGGAGAGAGCTCATTGCCTTAGGATCAGATTGGGGTAAGGCATTCAGAACGTACTTTTTAGTACATGCCACTTGAAAATGAATATCTTAGTAAGCAATTCCTAGAGGAATGGTTCCACCAAGTGGTAGGTTGTTGTGGTGGAAAATGAAATAAAGCCTGTGTTTTGAAACCAAGCAGACTGCAGTTCTAAACCACGCTCTGCTGAATCACCTTGGAAAGGTTACCTGTACTTTCTAAGACTGCATCATCTTTTGTAGGAAGAAAATTGTGGATGTGGTTGTAGACGTTATTAGTTTGCCATGTTCTTTTGAGCACAGAAGACCAGAATTCTCAGCCCCTTTAGAGTTTGTCCAGGCCATTTTAATGATTTCAGACAAAGGGCTATGAGCAGAAGTGACACAGATCGTTTCCAGCCTAAGGCAGTAAAAAGTCATTGCCAAATTCTTCAATCTCTCTTCCCTATTGGCAGCCTGAAGGAGGGCTTGTTTGGAGACGGCGAAGTCACAAGATGAAAGTATCCTGAGCACTAAATACTGCATGGAGGATAGTTGCCTCTGAAAGTTACCTGATTATAACAAATACAGTTAAACCACATGGTTTAGTGTATGGCATATTGTAGGCACTAAGAGTTAGCTCTCCTCCTTTGGGAGTTTCAGGCACAGAGAGTAATGATAGTGAGATGGTTTGGAGTAAAAGAAACGTAGCATTTGAGTCCCTTTGAGTGCATGTAGGTGTCTAGTTATGCCATCTGTATGAAAAGCCACCCATATCTGGCACTGTTTGTTTTATTCGGCATCATGACTCCTATCTGCCTGAAAGTATGTGATAAAAAATGGTACTCAGTAAAGCTTTGCTGAATAAAAGCGGGATGAGAATCTGAAGTTAATTACAGAGTACTCCAAATAAAATGCTGGTATTAGGTGGGATTAGTTAGTTGAAATCACCAGACTAGCTAATGATAATAATTCCTTATATTTGCATAGTGCTTTAAAGCTAGTGGCTTGATTTCAGAGATGTCATTTACATTCTCTTATTTAATGAGAGATATTACACTGACTATGATCTATCAAAGCCTTTACTCTTCTGAAACAGGACAGGTTGGACTTCACTTTCAAAGTATCATTATTTAACATAGAATTGTGCATTGGCAGGAAATGAGGCAATAGTGAACACAGAGCTTCTCTTCTCAGTTTTATAGTGTGTGCACTGCTTGCTGATGGTAGTCTCTGTGAGTCAACCCATGTGCTCTGACTTGGGGATGCATTCTCCAAGGACAGGTGCTTTTTATCTTGACATAGGCATATCTGGGCTGCATCTGATTGTTAAGAGGAGAATACTTTTTCTAATTTGTTTGCCCCAAATGGGTTAGTGTCAGCTTTGGGTTCACATATATAGAAGCATTGTTGTGGTAGCCAGACTTCTAACATGGCTGCAGATGATGCCCACTTCCTTCCCAACATGCTTTTGTATAATCCCTTCCCCTTGAGCATGGGCTGGACCTAGAAACGTAAAGAATGTATTGCTTTAAATGTATAGAGTATGCCAAAAGTGATGGGCTATAACTTCCTTGATTCATTGTGAAAGACTGTGGCTTCCATCTTGCTGTCATGCTCCCTTTCATTGTAACTACCTCTCTTGACCCCTTACTTGCTCACTCTGGGGAAGCCAGCTTCCCTATGGACAGTCGAAAATGACAAGGAACTGAAAATTGCCTTTGGACAACAGTCAGCGGGAAGTTGAGTCCCTTAGTTCAATAGCTCCTGAGAACAAAATTCTAACAATAACTACTGAGGGACCTTGGAAGCATATATTCCTTCAGTTGAACTTTGAGTTGACTGGGTCCTTTATTGACACAACATTGCAAACTTTTGAAAGACTCTAAGCCAGATGACCCTGCTGAGCCATTCTTGGAATCTCTGACATATAGGAACTACGAAATTTGTGTTTTAGGCTGTAAATGTTTTGTGAGTAATGTGTTTTGCAGCAAAGGACAAGTGATTCACATTGTAAAATGCCTTTGACTCCTCACCTATCCCTTCTTCTTCAAATTTTACTTAGGTTGCATGCTCACCACTATTTTTTTCAGCCAAACGTCCAGATTTTAGGGTACTCCAACCAGCAGTGGGTGTTACATACACCCCTTTGTCAATAACAAGGGAGGACAACATGACTTAGAGAACTAAGATAATTACATAGAATTGGAGAAAAATATTTCCCAAAGCGACAGGCAGGCAGACAGATAGTTAACGGATGACCAGTACAAAAGGTGAGATGGGCAAGTGGCATACTCCTGGAGTTTCATACAAAGATTGTCACGCTTGAGTTGCGCACTGCCCACAGAATCCCCAAGCAACTATTTAGAAGACCCATTGATACAGGGTCTCCTCTTAGGGCTGAGAGAATTCAGATGCCTCTCTGTTCAAAGCAAGCAAATGATAATACAAAATCCATCATCAATCCAAGGGCAAATGTAGATTCTGGGTCCAACTGAGAATCTGCAGGAAGCATACATGGATATGTATATGTTTTGATGATTAAATACCTTAAACAGCAGCTTGGAGATTGAGATACTAATCAGAGCCTCCCTTTGCAAACTAGCATTGAGAAGCACAGTCAGTTCTTCTATGCTTCCTGACAAGTCCTTTAGTGCCACTATTGTCAGACAGACCTTGGCCTCCATACAATGACTCATTGCAACAATCTCTGTATCAAAGTCAACATTTTTACACTATCAGATACCAAATGACTTTACTGTAAGGACCACACACATAGAAACTAGACTGATTAAAATCTAGACTCCAATCCGTATAGACCTGGTCAGATGGCAGTCCTTGGTGGTATTTGTGTGAGCTCAGCTAGGAAATGGTTCAAGCCAGTAAAAACATTGAATTAAACTGAATTGAACACTCAATTGATTAAGAGCTTACCACATGGAGAGAAAAGACCACAGGATTCAGGTCAGCAGTTCTGGCTTTACGAGCACTGTGTAATTAAATGGTTGCAGGTGGGCAGTACAATCTGATGTGGTTGGCCAGTCACTCAGTAAAATGATACTTGCAGCACTTAAAAAAATCAGTCCTGAAGAAAAACAGTGTGATTTTTTTTTACAACAATAAAGAGGAGATTAATGATTTCTAGAGATGATTTTGTGCAATAGCATTCTTAGAAAATAAATATACATAGTATTTAGAAACAGAAATCCTAGGAACAAAATATCTTAGTCAAATTTGGCTCAATTTCTTCTTAATGGTGTGGCATTTGACAAGTTAATCTAAAGTATGTGACTCAGTTTCCTCATTTGTCAAATAAAGATATCTATTAACAATACCTACACTCATCAGTTTGCAGTAACAGCACCAAGGATATGTATGGAGAAGCAGATTAGTTAAGTGGTTGTGCACATGGACTCTGGAGGTAGACTGCCAGGGTCTCAAGTGCAATGCTACTACTTCCTAGATGTTTGCTAGCAAGTCAACCTTGGAACATTGTTAAATCTGTCTGTGCCTCAGTTTCTCACCTGTAAAACAGGGTGATACTAATGGAATAATAATAATAATAATAAATAAGGAAAGGAGGTTATGAGAATTGACTCATTTAAAAAAAATACTGATCGAATGAGCTTCTGTTATAATCCAGCCACCACTGTAGGTGTTATCAGTAAACCAAAAATTTTAAAAATTTCTGCCTTGGTCCTTATTTTCTGGTAGAGTAAAACAGAAATAAAGAAATAGAGAAAACAGAAGGGAAGAACATGCCATTGAGGAGTTCAAACCAGGGAGGAGAATAGGGGTGGTTGGGGTTGGTAATGCCAAACAAGGGAGGGGGATTGGGAGTTCCAGAAAGAGGGATAGGTACGTTGCAGCAGCAGAAGATAGGGTGTTTAGAGTTGGCCTCATTAACATGGCAATCTGTGAGCAAAGAGCTGAAAAAAAATGAGGGGGCCATTCATGCAGATATCAGGGAGAAGCCTCCCAGGCAGAAGGTCCATAGTCTAAAGCCTGAGCTGAAAGCATGCCTAGAATATCTGAGGAAAAGCAATAATTCAGCATGGCTGGAGCAGAGTAGAAGCTGGGAAGAGAAGTACAAGGTGGAATAAGAGGGATAATAAGGGTTTCTGATACTGCAGGGCTTTGTAAACAACTGCTGGAAACTGGCATCTAATCTGAGTAAGGTGGGCTAACTTGCAGAATTTTTTTTTTTTTTTTTGAGACAGAGTCTCGCTCTGTCGCCCAGGCTGGAGTGCAGTGGCCCGATCTTGGCTCACTGCAAGTTCTGCCTCCCGGGTTTACGCCATTCTCCTGCCTCAGCCTCCCAAGTAGCTGGGACTACAGGTGCCCACCAACACACCCGGCTAATTTTTTAGTATTTTTAGTAGAGACGGGGTTTCACCATGTTAGCCAGGATGGTCTTGATCTCCTGACCTCATGATCCACCAGCCTCAGTCTCCCAAAGTGCTGGGATTTCAGGCGTGAGCCACCGTAACCTGCAGAATTTTAAGCAGAGGAGTGACGTGATCTAACTTACATGTTAAGAAAATAACTTTGGTGTCTGTATTGAGAACAGATGTAGAGTGGCAAGCATAGAGGCATGGAGCTCTTTGTCAGATATGCTGTACTATGTGTTCCTCTGCATTTCTAAGGATCCCTTTCAGCTGACTTGACCATAGAACTGAATTCTGGCCAATGCAGTGTGGGCACAGATGATGATGTCTGCTCTGTGAAAGGGCCGTATATGCAAAGCAGCTCTTAAATGCTGAAGGAGCTGAGAAACCAAAGAACAAGGTAGACAAATCCAGTTTGTCAATATTGGCTGATTTATTTGGGGAAAATAAAATAAAAACAAAAGCATGGTTTTGGGTGGCCATGAGACAGGTAGATCTCTGCACCTGTTACTCCCAGAACTAGGGGCTTATATACCATAGAGAAAGGGTACATGTGCTCTGGCAAGACAATTAAGGGCAACCCTGCAGAACAGGCACAAATGCTAAATGCATCATAACCTGTAATTTGTGCCGTAACATCAAGGTTGACATTTTCTCACACTAAGAATAATAAATAAAGTAGGAATCAGGAGGCATTCACAGCACTGGGGCTAATCAACATAGAAGTCATATCAATATAGTGGCTGAGCATCCAAGATGGAGTCACTTTTATCTCTACAATGTCACCTCCTGTAGAGACCCTGAGGCCCTAGGAATTGTAGAGCCATCAGATGGATGAGGTCTGGCTTCCTACAATACAGCTGGGAGGAGAGTATCCCAAAGGAACCACCAGACCAGGAACATCTGCTTAGAACTCTATATGAGTTAAACTTTTGCTGTGTAAAGTCACTCATATTTGGGGATTATTTCTTATATCAGTTAACCTACTTGATCAGTACAACCTGTTGAAGGCTATTGTCAATAATTCAGAAAGAAATAATGATGTCTCATATCAGTGTCTTAGCAATGCAGGTGGTGAGAAGGTAGAGCTTTCTGGTTTGGGTTTGGGATATCCAAGAAAGAAAAACATGAAGGATGACTTCATGTATTGCTACTTGAAAAATTGCATGAATGGAGTTGCCAGCTGAAATGGGAGAATTCCATGTGCAGCAGTTTGCGGGTAAGGTCAGGGATTTATTTGCTTATATTTGATGTGTTGAATGTAAGAAATATATTAGACATCGGAGCAAAGTTGTTGAAAAGGCAGTTGGATATATGTGTTAAGTGTGAGAGAAAGATCTGGACTGGAGACTTAAACTCGAGAGTCATAGGTATATGGACGGTGTTTAAAGTTATAGGATTGGATATGATCACTAAAAGTTTAAATATAAACAGAAAATTAGAATAAGAATTGTGTTCTGGACTACTTAAAAATTAAGAAGTCAGGTAGAAGAGCAGAAACTCAGGAGGCCGAGAAGAAATAATCAGTGAGGGAGGGAGGAAAACAAAGGGAGTGTGCTGACTTGGGAGCCAAGAAAGTTTTTCAAGAAAAAGGAAGTGATCAGTTGTATTAAAAATGCAGCTGAAATGTAAAACAAAACTCTCCATGGAAATAATCAATCCGAGGTCATTGTTGACCTCTGCGGACCTTTTCAGTGCAGCAAAGAATTGATCAGCATGGCCTTAAGAAAGAATGGAGAAATAGAAATCAGAGTTGGTGATTTTAGGCAACTCTTTTTCAGGGAGTTTTGCTGCAAGTGAGGGTGAAGAAATGTAGTGGTAGTAAGAAGGATGAGCAGGTTAAAAAAATTTTTTTTAGGATAAGAGAAATGACACATTTGTGTGAAAGTGTGAATTATTCACTAAAGAAGATAATTTTGATTATGCAGTGGGGGAGATAATTGCTTTCATTAGGACTTTAAAGAATTTTTTCCCTATCCCATTGATCTATTTGTTACATATGCTCTATTATCCTTCTTTATTTATAGAGATGAGGTCTTGCTATGTTGCCCAGGCTGGAGTGCAGTGGCTATTCACAGGCACGATCCCACTACTGTATCTATATAGTAAGTGTTGCAATCTGCTAAGTCAAATCTTACTAACCTGTACCCCTTTTCTACTCATCTTTTTACTGTGCCCATTCTCCAATGTTACCATGGCTAGTCTAGGATCTATATTCTTTTATATAAATTCTATAATCCACTATCAAGGCGATCACACAGAAACACACACACACACTCTCACACACATACAGGTTTTGAGACTTTGAATGCAATTGCATAGAATATGTAGATTTATAACATGTATGAGATTGGATATGGTGTATATTTTCATGAATATGGTACATATTTTCATTAATGTTTTTCAATAAAGTCTGATAATTTTTGGACAAATTTAAACATCTCCGAAAATATATTCTAGGTACTTACATGTTTCTTTTCCTGTTTTCATATTGAAATATTATTTAAATAAAATAAAATGTCATGGATCTTAAGGATTTTGTTTGATAATTGGGACAGTTTGATCGTTGTGATAATTGCATAGACTTTTATGTACCCAAAACAAGATATAGATCATTTCCACTACCACACAGAGGTTTTTTAGATATATTTCTTATAAATTGACTTATACACAATGTGCTTTTTTGTGTCCGGATTCTCTATAACGTTTTTGGGGTTATTTCATGTTGTTGCATGAGCAGCATTTTATGTGACTTTATTGTTATGTAAAATTCTACTATACGATTATAACAATGAATTTATACATTTTCCTATTAGTACACATTTGAGTTGTTTCCAGATTTGCTTATTATTAATAAATCCCCTAAAAGAATTGTGCAGTTCTCTTTGTGGGTATAGACTTTTCTTTCTCTGAGATAAATACCTGGAGTGGAATTGATAAATCATACGATAGATGTGTGTAACTTTATCAGAAAATGCCAAACAGCTCTCCAAAATGAAGGAGCCACTATACACTCCCATTCTCTTTACAGTTTTCTTCCTTTGTAAACATTGCTGTTCAAAGATTTGCATGTTTCATTTGTTTACTGCTGGCATACTAGCAATAAGGTTTATTTAAAAATATTCTTGTATCCAGCAAATTTGCTGAAGTATTTTGTTAATAATAAAAGTTTGTACACCAAACTTATTGGATTTTATATGGAGATAATATAATTTAAAAATAATAAACATTTTCTTTCTCCTTTTCAATTCTTCTCATTTTTATTTGCTGTTTTTGTCTTAATATACTGGTTAGAAACTCAATGTTATATTGAATAAATGTATCAGCAGGTATCTTTCTCTTCTTTCTGACTTCAAGGAACATTATTCCCAATATTTCCTCATTAAATATATTATTTCTGTTGGTATATGATAGATACACTTCTAAGATTACAGTTAATTCTTTTATTCCTGTTTTGCTAAGGATTCTTATCATGAAAGATTGTTGAAGTTTATGAGAAGTATTTTCTGTACATATTGGGGATCTAATACAATTTTTTTCTTAATATGGTAATGTAAATTAATAGATTTTTTTCATGTTAAAACATCTTTGAATTCCTTTCATAAATTATTATTCCTGACAAATTATTTTAAAGACATAGTTTAATTCTTCTTCCTAATATTTCAGATTTTGCATCTATATTCATATGTAAGATTGGCCTATAACTTAATGGTCTTTTCAGGTTTGGTTTTTGGGTTTGATTATAACAGCCTCATAATCTACTTCGGGAAATTTACCTTCTTTTTCTTTTCTCTAGTACATTTTATGTATCACAAAATTTATCTGTTTTCTGAATATTTGGGAGAACTCATCTGTGAAACTGAGGTGTGCGTGTGTGTGTGCGTGTGTGTGTGTGCATGTGTTTGAATTTTAACCATTGATAATTCATTTAAAAGTTAAATTTTATATTCAGTTTGAACAAGTTTGTTTTCTAAACAGATCTTTCTAGATTTTTGTCCTTTTCATCTAAGTTTTTGGTGTGTGTGTGTGTGTGTGTAAAGGGGGTGTGTATGTGTGTGTGAATTTGGCTGTTACTCTAATCATAATTTTGTGTAGGTAATCTTGTCTTTTCTCTCATGTTTGTTTAATTATCATCAGTTTTATTTTTTATATTTAATATTTTTTCTTGACAATGTATTTGGATGTCGATTTATTTATTCTGCTTAGGATTTGTGTTTCCTGAATCTGAGGATTGTTTGCTTTCCTTAACTCTTCTTAAACTGCCAACACTTCTTCCCTTCCCTCCCACACCTTTAGCCAATAACCATTCTTATTTACCTGAGAAAAAAGAAGCAATGAGAAGATAATTTGTACATCCTCCCACCATCTAACTTCCTTGTACTCACATACTCTGTACCTATACACTTTACCTTTTCTCCTTGTACCATGGAAGAACTATTTTAGCTCTGTCTGGGGCCAATCTCTTCACTTGTTTCCTTGAACCCATTCCCTCTTGCCTATATTCAAAGACATTCCTCATGGTATTGCTCTCTCTCTCTTTCCTCTACCATCAATTTGTGTATCTGTTGGTCAGTTCCTATCAGGTAAAAACATGTTGTCATGCTATAAATTTCATATAACCAGTTCCTGTTCTCAAAGAGTTTATAATTTAATTTTGTAAATAGGTAATTATGGCGGAGTGTGCTATTTCTCACCAAATACCCACAAGTTCCTCCACATTTCCCATTCTCAATCTAAGTGATGTCAATATTATGGATTCTTGCCAGTTTTTAGCTTTTTTGAGAAAGTTAAGAGCAGATGTAGCTCCTCTCCTCCTCTCCTCTCCCCTTCCCTCCCCCTCCCCTCCCCTCTCCTCTCCTGTCTCTCTCCTCTCTCCTCTCCTCTCCTCTCCTCTCCTTTCCTCCCCTCCCCTCCCCCCACCCCCGCCTTCATTACCCTCTCGTTTTTTCTCTTCTCTCTCCACTTCTGTACACTTAGGTGCAAACAGAGGATTCTGAATAGAAAAAAGAGTTGAATCTAGAAGCAGCCTGGATTCTTTAATTATTTCTTAAATAAGAGCATTTAAATAGGGCCATCCAGTTCACAGTGGTTGGTGATTTAAGTGAGCAATACAGCTTTGTTAAAGTACTGAAATTTGGGGGTTTACTTTGGAAGTTTAGCTTAGCCTATCCTTCTGCTACAAAGGGTAAGGGATTATTACAAAACAATTAGACACTGCCTTAAGATTAAACACAGGGTGCCAGGAAAACACAGAAGAGGACACCTGACCCAGTTTTAGAAGTTAGAGAACACTTCCTAGAGGAATTAATGTCTAAAGTGAGATTGCAGAAACTAACAGGCATTGTTGTGTCCTAGCACAGTGCCTCGCGCACATGGTCACCAAAATACTTTCTGAATGAATTAACGAAACTATCAACTATCAGAAGTGAGGTGTGTTGCTGAGCACATCTGCAAATGGTTCCTGTCTGACTAATCTGGCCTTTTGACAATGTAACATTCTGTTTGATCTGGCCTTGGGAGCTAGAACTTTTTGGAAAACAACTCTGTGTATTCCAACCGTGGACTGATCATCAGAAAAAAAAAATTGTTGTCTTGCCTGCTTTACATGATATTTTGAAGCAATGCAAGCTCATCAGCTTTTCCTTGATTTTTATGTTCCTGTAGCCTGACAGTATTTACAATTCACAGACAATTCCACCAGGCTTCTCAAAAACAGAGGATGCCAGAGCCCAGAAAATGTAATTCAAAGCAAAATGAGGAAAAAGAGCAAAGGTATTTGCTTGACTCAGGAAGACTCACAGGCGACTGTCTGGGTGTGGTGATCTGCAGGGAGAGAGAGTGAGATTGAAAGCAAACTGGTAAGAGGTTTCAGGGACCCTTAAATTCAGGTAACCTGGGAGTAAATGCCTGAGAGGAAACAACTGCTGGGGAAGGACATTTTTCATTTTGGATGAAAAACACTGGAAGTAAATCATAACAAACATACACAGCATCGTACATTTTAGCCCAATGGTAGAACCTGGTCATCACATGAGGACATTAAAGGTCATTTATGCAAACTTCGGAATTTGTCCACACAAGAGATGAGGATTTTGTTAAAAAGAAAGGAGCCTCCGAACTTTGTTTTAAATCTTGAGGGGACAAAGTGCGTGCTCTTTTAATTGTTTTTATGTTTCCTCTGATGGCTGTTAAGTACTCATATAATCAAGCCAAATGCATCTTTTCTTCTTTTCCTGGTGAGAAGTGCTCTCTATCCAAACAGTGACAGATAGTATCAGGTGCAACATGTTCTGCAAGGGTTGCCATGGTAAGAGTTCGTCTGCTCCCCCACCGCGCCCCCATCTTTCCACAAATAACAGAGTGGAAGAGTGCAGAAAGCCTGTATAGAAAAGATATCTAGGGCCAGAGTAATTACTTAGTGCTCTGCCATGCAGAAGAGTCACTATGTTTTATGTTAAATATATTGGATATTAGAAGTGTGCACTCACATGCTCTCTCTCTCTCTCTCTCTCACACACACACACACACACACACACACTCCTTCTGTTATGGGTAGGTGGCCTGATTTTCAACATTAGACAGTTCCAAGCATCACCACCAAACACTGGCAGATTTAATTGATTTAATGAAGCAGCAGTGTAGTGTGTGAGTATGCGTGTGTGCGTGTGTGTGTGTGTATGCGTGTGTGTGCATTGAGATGCAGCTGAATTTCAGTAGCAGCTCACTTCCTTGTAAATGCCAACTCTGTCTTTATTATAACATACTTAGTAGTCATTTGATCTTTACAGTGGCATTTTAAACATAGGGTTATGTTTCCTTTTTAGAAAGGAAAACTCGGTTATCTCTTGTACACTTACTGACAATTTCTAATATATTTTCCTGGAATTCTTAAGAAACTATATCCTGGAGTAAATTACTTATAGGTGACTCGAAACATTTGTTTCCTGTGAACAGAGCAAGCTTTTGTTTCAGTTTAGCAAATCCTCCTTTAATGCCTACTCTGTGTTCTGTCTAGAATGTTCTGAGGAATCAGAGACCATTCAGATATGATCTTTGTCCTCCAGGAGTTCATATTCTTTTGACTTGTTTTCAGAACATTGGTCTTGGGTTTAGAAGGTTTTCTTTGCAGACTGGAGAGAAAGTGTTTTGGGGGCAGACACCTAAATGTTCTGCTTGCAAGCTATGTTGGCTGAGTCCACAGGTACGAGAAACGTGGAAGGGCGTGAGCATACTGGCCTAGTGGTCCAAGGCAGAAGGGATGGTAGAAAGAGCCACTTTTCTTGCTTATTCAGTCCTGGGCAATCTCCAGCGGCCACAGCAACCACTGGGCTGAGGTTGGCACGATCAGGAGCAAGAGGCTGTGGCCACAGTTATTCTGTCTTTTGCCAGGAAGCATCCACTGCCATTTAAACCAGAGTGGCTCTGAGGTTTCTGCTCAGTTCCACCCTTTCTCATTGGACCCTCTGGATTTAAAGGACAAATTTTGGATGGGGATGATGCATTGCCTCTACATGGCTGTCCTGACACAAACACTTGCTTTGGCTATTCAGGCTGAAGAAGGGATCACATTTCTGTCCAAGCACAGGGAACTGATTAGAGCAGCACTGTATCTCAAAGTATGGTGCACAAAATTATTCTACAGTAAACTTTTTTAAAAATTTACTTTAAGTTCCAGGATACATGTGCAAAATGTGCAGGTTTGTTACATAGGTATATGTGTGCTACGGTGGTTTGCTTCACCTATCAACCGTCATATGCATTAGCTATTTGTCCTAATGCTCTCCTTCTCCTTGCCCCCACCCCTTGACAGGCCCCGGAGTGCATTGTTCCCCTCCCTGTGTCCATGTGTTCTCATTATTTGACTCCCATTTATGAGTGAGACTATGCTGTGTTTGGTTTTCTGTTCCTGTGTTAGTTTGCTGAGGACGATGGCTTCCAGCTTTATCCATTTCCCTGCAAAGGACATGATTTCATTCCTTTTTATGACTGCATAGTATTCCGTGGTGTATATGTACTACATTTTCTTTATCCAGTCTATCATTGATGGGCATTTGGGTTGGTTCCATGTCTTTGCTACTGTAAATAGTGCTGCAATAAACATATATGTGCATGTGTCTTTATAGTAGAATGATTTATATTCCTTTCCCAGTAATGGGATTGCTGGGTCAAATGAACTTTTAAAAGTGGTTTTGGTTTTATTTCTTGTAATAGAAAATAAAAAGTAGTCAGCACATGAAATCTACATGTTAAAGTAAATAATGCCATAATAAATAAATTTAAGGAAAATGCAAATTTATTTAAATAAAATTATTTAGTAAAAATGGTTGAAGGTGTATTTGTCAGGGAAGACTGACTACATAATGAATAACCCCCGATTTTCAGATGCTTAATTTAGAAAAGATTTTCAAGGCATGTCACAATTCATTCTGAGTTGGTATAGAGTCATATAGTCATTAAAGCCTCAGGCTCTTTCCAACTAGGTGCTCCAGTATCCACTGAGCCTCAGGGGCCTCCGTTAGATCATTTGAATATGACTAGGAGATGCAATAATAGAGCTTGGAGGATTGCACAGGATGTTTCATGAGCCAGGTTTGGGGTGGCAGTGATCACACACACCACATTCCTTTGGCCAGATTTTAGTCAAATGGCCACAAAACTTCAAGAGAGGCTAGGAACTATGGTCTGGCTACCTGCTCAGATATTCTCCTGCTTGCATCCATATAACAAAGTTACTAAAGTTAAACATGAATGGCTGACTTATAAGAACATGGATGGATTAGGAAAAGCATAAAGCATGAAGGTTTTTGCTTTTGTTTGTTATTTTAATCACAACACTGATGAAAAAATATCTCAACACTGCCTTTTATTTCTGAGGAGATCATAGGCACTTTATTCAGTTCCTCAAAGGCCCTTTCTGTAGAGTAGGAGAATCTATTTCAAGGGTTTTACAGGGAACTAGAGGAGCTCACATGTGTTTAGCGTCATGCACAATACTTGGCAATAACCTTGGGTACCAAAGGTTAATGCCCTTTCCCTAGCATCCCTTTCTTCTGAAGCTTTCTCTTTAAAAATCTGGGGACACACCTTTGTCACAGAAGTAAACTTGTCAGCTCAGCAATTAAAGTAATAAAATAATGCTTCTACCCCCCAGTGAGAAGGATGCCTTCTCCTTTCCTGAATTGGCAAGCTTTCAATTTCAGTATTATATTTTAAATTGTGCACATTTTAAGAATGTAAAAAAATCACCAGGTGTGTTCATTTTTTAACAAAATTAAGAAATACTCACATTTGGTCTAGCTAGATTAAACAAAAAAAAAGTTATCATAATGAAACCTTGTCTACAGAAGCCCCAAATAGCCTTTTAAGTGGGTCAGAAAACCTTGATTTTAGCCTTGTTTATTTGGTTGGAGCTTTCCACACAGATCTGTCCTTTAACATTTAGTTAGGACAATGATGAGACACAAAGTCACATAAAGGAGGCAATTCTTCTTCAATTTTTTCTTCAACCTGAGGCAAGAACTTCTGGAGTCCCTTTAGGTTTACAGGTCTACATTTTTTGTTCATTTGTACATTTTATTATTCAGCCATAGTAATCACATCTCCTTAACCTACAGAGAAGTTCCTACTGTAACTTATAAGGATATCAGCCTAAATTAGGTTCTAAAACTAATGAAACTTAGCAATTCTCTGACAGTACCTGAATAATAATCTCAGCTCAATGAACACAGAAAAGTTCCATTTTACTATGAATGAAGAAAGCCTATGAATAATGGGTGGAAAATGAATCATAACACAAGCACTAGCAACTCAAGCCTTACATTTCCCCCATTGAGGCACCTGCTGGGGATTGTTTTCCTCCCTTAAGAGAGAAATCTCGTATTTAACAGTGGGAGTTCATCACATAATGTTCCCTTGAGATTTCTGAGTCATTTTAAAATTTCTGGTGAACTGAGAAATCACCAAAACATATATTAGTGGTAATAATAGAAACTGTCATCTAATTGGCACTTACTTGGTGCTAGAGGCTGAGGTGGTGCATCACAGCTGGTGGAGATGAGGTTTCAACTCCAACTGGGTGACTCCAAAAATTCCTACTCCTACACTACCTGCCTCAGGGGACAGAGGAAGACAAAGGAACATTGGGGCCGGATTCTACAATTGTTCCACTCACTTCCTCCGGGACTGAAGGAATCAGTTTATCTCTCCAGGCCTTCTGCTTCTCACTTCTAAAATGAAGATAAATAAAAATACTCCGAAAAATATAGTTCTCCTACTTATGTAGGTTATTATGTAAAGTCTTGATTCATTTGAGGCTCTAGATAAATCAGATTTGGAATTCATTGCATTTCATTCTGTGAGTTATGGCTTAATTGGATCTGACATTTACTGAGCACCTGCCATGGGCCAAAACTCACTTTGATGTTTCATAGAAGCCAAAAATATAAATAAGCTGTGTCTTGGTCAGCAGGAGACTCTTGATTGCAGGTGATAAGAACTAAACAACAATGACAATAATAAGCAATAGAAATGGATTGGCTTCCCTAATTGAAAGTTAAGGAATGTCATCCACACAGTCCATGAAGCCAGCAGGACTTGGTCTCTCCATCTGTCAGCTCTGTTTTCCTAGAGTTGTGTGTTTTTACAGGTGAAATGGTGATGTGCAGTTCTCAGCTCACATCCTTCTAGTTTAACAGCTAGCTGAACAACTCACGCATAAAAGAATACAACTTGACTGTATTTTTTTTGTTTGTTTTACCAACTCTGCACCAATTTCAGATGTCTTTCTCATTGGCCTGGATTGGGTCGCATGCCTGCCCCTGAACTAATCCCTAAAGTGAGGCGAATGCCACACTCTTTTTGACCAGAACTAGGTAAACCTGTACCCGTTTTGTGGCATCTGCAAGGAGTGGCATCTGCAGCTACACCAGGACAGTTCCTCAAAGGGCATGAAGGGGAGCAGAAGACTTGTTGTCCACAAAGGAGGTCGTTTTGGTCGGGCCATGAAGGAAGTGCAGGGTTTGGGCAGAGAAAGAGGGAGATGAGGTGTATTTCAGGTGGAGAATTCAGCAAAAGCAATGATGTAGATACAGGAAATAAATTTAGCTGATTGGAAACATCAGCTGCATGTGGGTGATAAAGTGGAGTCGTATACTGGAGTGTTCTGAATGCCAAACAAATAAGTTCGCTTTATTTTCTGGGCAATCAGAAGCCTCTGATCCCAACTGCAAATGAACACATGAAGTAAAATATTCCCCACTACGTGGTGAGTCTTGGGAGAGCCAAAAGGTATCCTTTTTTCCCACTTTGACTCCCAGCACAAGATAGAATGCTTAGTATCTAGCCAGGTCTCATTAAATACTTTTGAAGAAACATCCATGTTATCACCAAATGCCTAATGATACTTGACACCTGTTGGGTGCTTCTGTGCATCAGACATGATGAAAAGTGCTTTCCAGGTATCTCATGGGTCGTCACAGAAAACGTATGAGGAAAATGTTGTGTGTATTACATTATTCATAGATGAAGACTGTGACACTTATCATTGTCAGGTAGTAGGTAGAAGGAGGACTTCAACTAATGCATTCAAATCACACATTCATAGTATCACACCAGAGGACTCCAGGTAATGTTTGTGCAACACCTGAAAGAAGATAAAGGACTTCCATATACACACTGTCTTCCTTAGGCTTCACTGTATTCCCATGAGGTAGGTGCTATTATCATTTCCATTTATGGCTGATGAAATTCAGAGGAAAGAAGTAATGCAACCAGAATTACAGAGCTACTAAGTAGAGGTGCTTGACTTGTGTTTGACAATTCTGTGTCTAAAATCCATGTACTTCCCCCACACACTTACGGTTTTCCCGCAGCTGCGAGGGAATATAAAGTGAGCATAGTGGGGAAGATAATCTGTTGGATTTTTTTTTAATTTTATTTTTTGCTAACTCTAACAGTCAGATTCCAATGTTCTGACAAAAAAATTATAAGCACATAGCACTTGTCTCAAATCTTTCAAATATAAAATGCGAGCCATGCAGGCTAAAATAAAAAGTCATTAGAATAGGCTCATGATTTTAGTTGAAGTGCTGCTGATTGAATCACATGAAAAGGGTCTAGGTTAGCTTTCTCTGTATTGTCTTTTAAATTTTTTTTAATTTTTTTTATTTCCATAGGTTTTGGGGGAACAGGTGGTATTTAGTTACATGACTAAGTTCTTTAGTGGTGATTTGTGAGACTTTGTTGCACCCATCACGCGAGCAGTATACACTGAACCCAATTTGTAGTCTTTTATCCCTCACCCCCTTCCCAGCCTTTCACCCTGAGTCCTCAAATTCCTGTATTGTCTTTTCTTGCTCATACAAATATCCACAAATTCTTTGCTCCTGAGATCCTTTACATTCATTCCATGAGGCATTGAATGGGAACCCTTCTATGAGGAGCCATGGTTTGGCTCTGTGTCCCTACCCAAATCTTAAATTGTAATCCCCATGTGTTGAGGAAGGGAGGTGATTGGATCATGGAGATGGTTTCCCCCATGCTGTTCTCGTGATTGTGAGTGAGTTCTCATGAGAGCTGATGGTTTTATAAGGGGCTCTTCACCCTTTGCTTCCTTCACAGGCTCTTTCACCTGCTGCCATGTAAGACATGCCTGCTTCCCCTTCTGCCATGATTGTAAGTTTCCTGATGCCTCTCCAGCCCTGTGGAACTATGAGTCTAATAAACCTCCTTTGTTTATAAATTACCCAGTCTCAGGTAGTATCTTTATAACAGTGTGAAAACAGACTAATACAAGGAGCACTTGGCAAGGTGAACTGGCTTGTAAAGCACTTTCGAACTTGTAACTTGAACTTTGATGCAGCATATGACATATTGAATGCATCACCTAGAATCAAACCTAGGATTCACAAATTAGGGATGGATATGAAGAACTACTTTTGTTTCATTTGAATCTGAAGGTAGCAAGAAAGTAAGGATGTTTTTACACTTGGTGCATGCATGTGCTGGTATGGTGGCATGCAGTTGGGTGATAACAAATGACCACTACAATGATTAAAAAATTAACATCACTTGAAGACTTACTGTGTCCCAAGCACTGTCTCAAACAGTGTATGTGGAAATCTGCCTTTAGCGTGGAGACTTCACTTGCTTTGTGTTTAAGTTAGAGTTCTCTTTGTTTCTGAGAGTCTTTGGTGAGTCTTTCAGTTTTATTGATGTAGGACAAATCCATATCCATTGCTCTTGGCAAAGACCAATCAACAGTGGAGTTTTCCAACTGCAGATGCTGTCAATGGCAGTATGAAGTCATTGGTTTAGAAATTTACATTGGACATATATGTTGTGTCCCTGAAAATAGTGCAAGGTATTTTTTTTCTAAATTTGCATTTAAATTTCTGTATGTCTAAACATTATTTTTTGTCTTAGGGATTTATTTGCATGTTTTCTTGTTAAGCATTTACTCCCAGGAGATGGAGAGTGGAGGGCAGACAACATACGAGGGATGTGTTTGTTGGATCTCTTCCTCACCTGGCATTGGAGGAAAGGTTAGGAAAAAGAGTTGGGATCAGCTTGGTACAGCACAGTACAATCCAAGCAGGACTACTGACATCTCACATATAGAGTTGACTGACTAAAAAGCAAGAATTTTAGAAATGGGCTGTCAGATGAGGGGACTGCCAGGACTGTAAGATTAAAATACATCTTATACTGGGGATGGGATTTCCAGTGATGAGAAACAATGTTGTGCCTGCCAGTAGTTGTGGGAGAAGATCCTGGGCCAGGATATGAGGTGGGACTTAAATGAATGTTAGAGAGGTAGAGATTAACACATTCTCCTTTCTACTCTTTGTCTCTGGAGTGGCTAGGGCAAGAGGGTTTCCCAATCAGTTGGGCCTAGAGTTGAATTTATGGAAATGGACGTTGATTCTAGCTGGGATGTGTAAGTGTGGAAATAGGCAGAAAGTCAAGGAAAGATTCCAGTTTGAGCAGCCACTTATACTAAATGAGTAACTGCTTCTTCTAAGTAGCCATGAATAGAATAATTTAGGGCAGATGAGTGGCTCCTCTGGAGGCCAGGATGGGCCACATCTTCGATATAAGACAGCTGTCTCTGGAAGAGAGAATATTTGACCAGTCAATTGGTGGTAGAAGTCACAGCCTGCTAGCAAGGAGAGGGTGGAAAGGAAGGATAATAATAAGGATAAAAACAAAGATTTGTTGAACGTTCATTGAATACATACCATGTGCCATTCACTGCATTAAACTGTAGCTTCAAGCACAAATGCCTTCTAGCTTGGGAGATGATTACTCTGAGAGGCAGGGGAAACTGGAACTAAATATGGGAATAGCAGCTTCACACCTCCCTTCTCACCGAGGCAAGCAACCAATTATTGAAAGTGGAATTTCACACACTGTTGAACTGTTATTTCTTCCCTTTCTTTCTTTTTATCTCTATCTCTGGACAAGAGCTTACAGTTGAATTCACATAAATTCGATGTGGGTGTTGGGTACTGTACTTGCATGATCTCATGTAACCTTTATAACAATCCAACAAGGCCCATAGGTAACAGCTATTATTTTTTCTTATGTTATATCTAGAGAAACTGAGGGTGGGGAGGTTGAGTGATTTTTCCAGAGCCATATGGAGCTAAGTGGGGTATCTGGCACTCAGGGCCAGGGAAGAGGGAATTAAATTTAACAGCAATGAAGGAACACAAGCTCTCATGTCCCTTTGCTCATCTCCAGGGTCATAATCCACTTTTAGAGTTTCATGACCTCCTGATGGGACTGTTGTAAAATCCACCAACTTATTTCACAGTCTAAACACTCTCACCCTTTCTTTCCCAACTCATCCTTTCCTATCCTGTTTATCTTCTGGATGAATCTGAGTTCACGCTGAATTTCTTGCGATCTAAAGCATGATAGTCCTTTCACTTCTCCTTGCCTTTGCATTTCCTATCTTCTTTGTCTAGGGTATATGTTCTCCTTCTGTCATTGACAAGAAAGCCCCTCATCTCTTAAAAATGGGCCAATGTCAAGTCCTTCAGGAAAAAGCATAGCATAATACTTAGAAGCAGTGACCCTGGCTCTGCCACTTAACATCTGTGGGAATTCTCTAAGCTTTTGTTAGTGTTTTCATCTCTAAAATGGAGCCAGCACTACCTATATCACGGGATTATTAAAATCATGAAAGATAAGGGCTTTGCATAGATCCTGAGACACAGTGAAAGCAGAATGAATGTTATTATTTTATGTAACTGCATGTATTATTTTCAGTTCTCCATGAAAACATCCATCATTCTTCAAGTATTATTAACCACCTTCTCAGATGGGTTGTAGAGTAGGTACTGTTCATATATACATAAACACACACACACACACACACACACACACTAGAATTTATTGTTATCTTTAATTATCTGCTTAAATATCTCTTCTTTTACCATCTTATCCTCTGTCCCCATATATATTTCCTGTAAATAATCGCACAGAAGTCTTCTGCCTCCAATACTGTGGAAATCTAGGCTATGGAAGTTGAGTCCAGGAAAATCCCTAGAAAGCAGATCCCAAGGATCTGTTTTGGGGATGAACTGCTTATGGTCTGTATGCAATATGGGACCCGTGGTGGTTGTAAACAATGGGATAATAACCCCTGGCATGTAGAGGCATTATAATGAATGGTGTTTTTACCTCTGATTAATTGCGATAATGTGAAAGAAGTAGGTGGGGCGTTATTTTGTGCAAAGGCTCTGCTGAATAAATAGTGTGGGGAAAATGATAATTGGGAGGATATTGGAGTGGGTTAACTGCATTGTAATACTTAGGAAAAGAAAATGATAGCATCAGAGCAGTAAACTGTGAACTCAAAGCATGCCATGAAGGTCAGAGGGGCTTTATGGCTGCTTTGGAGAGCAATGATTCCTTTTATGGTTAAGGTGCAGATTATGTAGAAAATCTGAGTGGCAGAACCACAGAGGAGACTGAATGCACAGCCACACTACTTAGGACCTTACAGAAAAAGAGTGGGAGCCTGAGAAATGGCTAGGGTATATTTGGGTGGATGAGCCTGAGAATCTTTTTTTTTTAAATTTTATTTTATTATTATTATACTTTAAGTTTTAGGGTACATGTGCACAACGTTCAGGTTTGTTACATATGTATACATGTGCCATGTTGGTTGGCTGCACCCATTATCTTGTCATTTAGCATTAGGTATATCTCCTAATGCTATCCCTCCCCCATCCCCCCACCCCACAACAGTCGCTGGTGTGTGATGTTCCCCTTCCTGTGTCCATGTGTTCTCATTGTTCAATTCCCACCTACGAGTGAGAACATGTGGTGTTTGGTTTTTTGTCCTTGCGATAGTTTGCTGGGAATGATGATTTCCAGCTTCATCCATGTCCCTAGAAAGGACATGAACTTATCATTTTTTAAGGCTGCATGGTATTCCATGGTGTATATGTGCCACATTTTCTTAATCCAGTCTATCATTGTTGGACATTTAGGTTGGTTCCAAGTCTTTGCTATTGTGAATAGTGCTGCTATAAACATAAGTGTGCATGTGTCTTTATAGCAGCATGATTTATAATCCTTTGGGTATATACCCAGTAATGGGATGACTGGGTCAAATGGTATTTCTAGTTCTAGATCCCTGAGGAATCGCCACACTGACTTCCACAATGGTTGAACTAGTTTACAGTCCCACCAACAGTGTAAAAGTGTTCCTATTTCTCCACATCCTCTGAACAGACAATTCTCAAAAGAAAACATTTATGCAGCCAAAAAACACATGAAAAAATGCTCATCATCACTGGCCATCAGAGAAATGCAAATCAAAACCACAATGAGATACCATCTCACACCAGTTAGAATGGTGATCATTAAAAAGTCAGGAGCCTGAGAATCTTAAATCTGCAAATTCCCTTGAATTTCCACTACCAGAAGACCCAGTCACCTTCCTCTTGCTGGAGGATAGCAGCCTCTTACGTGGTGACCATGTGAGGATCTACACTGAGACAGGGCCTCATAATGCTATTCTGTTCTCAAGATCTGCCTCCGCCACCCCTCAGTCCCTCCAGGCCAATATCTAGGGTCAGGACTTAGCAATATCTGAATGGAGAAGTACTATCTCAGCTCCAGGATAAAAGGGCTTACATCTCAAAGGATTGCAGAACTTGACTAATAGGCACTGGTGAGGACTGGGGGATCACTGTGGGAGTGAAATGTGAGGCTGTGGGGGACCAGGCAAAGTACACTACACTGTTAAATGGGGAAGGTTTTTATGTTTTGTTTTTTTGTTTTTGTTTTTGTTTTTGAGACGAGGTTTCACTCTCGTTGCCCAGGCTGGAGTGCAATGGTATGATCATAGCTCACTGCAACCTCCACCTCCTGGGTTCAAGCAATTCTCCTGCCTCAGCCTCCCGAGTAGCTGGGATTACAGGCATGCGCCACCACGCCCAGCTAATTTTGTATTTTTAGTAGAGACGGGGTTTCTCCATCTTGGTCAGGCTGGTCTTGCACTCCCAAGCTCAGGTGATCCACCCGCCTTGGCCTCCCAAAGTGCTTGGATTACAGGCATGAGCCACCGCACCTGGCCAATGGGGGAGATACTTGATGTTGAGGCACTCATCCATGATGCTAGATTCAAGTTCTGGAAAATATACCTGGAGTTTTCTGAACTGGCACCTGAAGCTTCAATATAAAGATGGACCAGAATGAATGCGGTGGAGATGCCAAAACCTCCTTGGAAGCGCATTGTGGAATGGGTCAGAACGCCTGGGTAGGTGAAGAAGTTCAAATGACTTTGCTCTGTAAGACTTTGCAAGCCTACCAGCTGTGGTACTGATATGCTAGGAGTCTTCCATTTGGAGTTGGAGCCAGTGGAGACAGGGCAATAAATGGAATTTGATCCTAAGTCTTTCTTACAGTTATTATTCAGGATGCAAGTGAGTTAGAAATCCTTAGCTTCCAGTAGAAAGTTCACATTGGTTCTCTGAACTGTGGTATAAAGACCACTGTGGTACAAAAGACTGAGTCGAAACTCATGAAACTGCCCTGTGCCATGCTGGTTGAGGTAGCCAATCAGACACAACACTGCCACTCTCAAAGATTTAAAGGATTCAGAGGTGAGGGGCTCCATCATTGCTGCTTTGAACAGTATGCACCCTGCAACACCAGAGGGTTTGTAGAGGGTGACAGTGGATACCATAAGCTAACAAGGTACTGCTCTAGTAGCAGCTGCTGGGCTTGGTGTGGTGTGTTACTGCAGCAGGACTAAACAGTTTCTGGTGCTTGGAATGCATATTTTAAGTTGGAAAATGCATTATTTTTCACCACATAAGTGGAGGAGGATCCAAATCATTTCACCTTTGTAAAGCAGAAAAGCAGTAACCATACACTCCCATGTCTTAGGGCTGTGTTAATTCTCCCGCACTCTGTTGTAATATTGCTTGTAGAGATCACAACCATCTTGCTGTTATCAGACCTTCATGCTGTCTACTCTATTGATGACATCTCACTGACAAATTGTCTATTGTAAGCTGAATGTATGCTGGAAATGGTGTATTAGGAATTGAGCTCAAGAAGATCCAGAAATGATACCAGCAAACAGGTAGCCTAGACTCACTCCCATGTTATTCTGACACCTCTCTCTTGACACACACCTGCGGCTTGCTGGGATATTTCCTGTGATTAGTTGACAACTGAGGAAAGGACCCAGGCCTGGTTCACAATGGACTGGCATGATGTTGGTGCTAGCTGAAAATGCACTATTGTTCTATTATAGCACCATTAAAGGACAATGATGAAATAGAATACTTTGGCTGGGCAGAGTTTTAAACACCTGGTCATGAGCTTGGTGTGGTGGGAGATGTTGCCTGCTAAGATGCAGGCATATGCACACATACACACACCCGTGCACACACTTCTGGGCAGTGGCAAATGGTTTGGGTGGAATAATGAAAGGATCACGAATGGAAAATCAGGGACAAGTTGCTAGTGGAAACAAGTGTGTAGATGAACCTATGACCATGAGCCTAGAGCATGTGGATCATTTATCTTAGGTAAATGCCTGCCAGAGAGCACCTCCTGTGAAGGAGGATTTGAACACCCAGGGGAAAGATGATTTCCCTTCTAATCTCAGCTGGGCTCTGTCCCTGGCCCCCTAAGTGCTCCTTGCTGCAGCCTTAAGGTGATCGGCAGTGCGGTTATGTGATAGTTTTCAAAACCATAAAAACAGTATTTCTTTTTATTGTATTAGTTTCTTTCTGGTCCAACCACTCTTTAACCATATTTAGTCTGTTGGTGTGGTGCTATGATGTCATTTTTAAATTAAAAGAAAACTAACCATACATTTTCTTAGTTAAGATCATACAGAGAGGAAATAAACCGTTAGGATCTGTCAAATTAATTACAATACATCCTTGCTATGGAATCTATGTTAAAAAGAGAGAGAGAGAGAAGAAAAAACGGGCTAGGTGCAGTGGTTCATGCCTGTAATCCCAGCACTTTCGGAAGCCAAGGTGGGTGGATTGCCACAGCTCAGGAGTTTGAGACTAGCCTGGGCAACATTGTGAAGCCCTGTCTCTACTAAAAATACAAAAAATTAGCGGGGTATGGTGGCACACACTTGAAATCCCAGCTGTCTGAGAGTCTGAGGCATGAGAATTTGCTTGAGCTCCTTGAGCCTGGAAGGCAGAGGTTGCAGTGAGCCGAGATCATGCCGCCGCACTGCAGCCTGGGCGATAGAATGAGACTCAGTCAAAAAAAAAAAAAAAAAAAAAAGCCTGCATGATTTTTTGTTTCTTTCTTGAAACTTCTCTACTTAAAAATTTAAAAATACATTTGAATAATAAAAAAATAATTTTTAATGGGAGAGAAATTATTTTGAATGTAAAATGAGTGTGATGGGGAGGAAAATTGTGGGTTTATGCATTAGATTGTTCAGATTCTGTGTATTTACTGTCTTTGGGAGCTGAAGTTAGTTTATTTTTTTTTTTACTTTACTTTCTTCCTGTGTAAAATGAAAATAATGACACCTATTATACACAATTACTTTAAGATTAAATGAGATAGTCCCTTTGGTGCACCTGATATATATAATCAAGATGAAATATTTTGAATGCATAGATTGGCAAGCAGGCTGCACTGTGGATTTATTGCTAGACAAATACAACTTGTGTCAATTTGAAGAAGTCACCAATAAAAATGAAAAATGCCAAACCAAATATTTCTTTGCTCCTTGTTGGAAAGTCACATAAAGAGACAAGATAATAAAACTTAAACTCAGGGACACGTTTTAAGTCCATGATTTGCCTGAAATTGTAGTTGTTAGTTGTGTTTTGCTTTCCTTCTTGTATGAAAGCACCTTTCTCTAAGTCCCTAGTGATATTTGTGCCAAACAAAATAATTGGCTCATTAGGCTGCTGTAGTATTGCCTCTCACTCGGCACCCATATCCTTCTAGTAAGCTGGAAAGAAGAAACAGAGCTCTCTATTCAGAGACCACACAGCTTGCTATCTTTTTTTGCACATCTCGAAGTCAAAGAGGACACAAAAGGATGTTTTTCTGAGCCAATTGGCAGCGCACTCTTATTCTGAACTGCTGGGGCTGGAAGTCTTTCAATGCATGGTAATACTGCCACCATGTGGTCAAACTGAGAAAACCTCGCCCAAATCCTTCAGTCGAAGAGGATTTTCCTTAACATTAATGGGACAGAAGCATTGCGCTTCTTCGACTGGGATTGTTTCACGATAGTCACAAACTATCGTGATTGTTTAGGTAAACGGTTGTCTCACATAAAGGGGCTGAGTGTACTTGATTGGGTGCTAACTGCTAATCCTCCCATTAGCGTGACTGTAACTTTAAATCATTGGTACTTTGAAGTTTCTGTTCTAGGAAATAAGGATGAGAATCTCCATGCTTCCCTATTTCATAAGGTAAGGGAGATACAGTAATATATGCATCGCAACTCTAGATGTAATGGTGTCATAAAATTTCGGGGAGAAAAGTGGGATTTGCTAACCAAAGTGCTGCTATTTGAATGCTGCCACTTTTTAGGGGTATGATCTGAAACAAGTTTTTTCATTTCCTTGGTCCATAGTTTATTGTTCTGAAGAAATGCTGTGAATATTACCTTTTTTTTTTTCTTTTGAGATGGAGTCTCGCTCTGTCGCCAAGCAGGAGTGCAGTGGTGCGATCTCGGCTCCCTGCAACCTCCACCTCCTGGGTTCAAGCCATTCTCCTGCCTCAGCCTCCCGAACAGCTGGGACTACAGGCACACGCCACCACGCCCAGCTAATTTTTGTATTTTTAGTAGAGACGGGGTTTCACCATGTTGGCCAGGATGGTCTCGATCTCTTGACCTTGTGATCCGCCCACCTCGGCCTCCCAACCATTTTTAACTAAGATATTATGTTGATTGTTTGCTGAAAAATTGCTTTTTTAAAATGTAAAATGCTACACCAATATTAGTTTGCATGATTATTATTTGAATACAGACTTAAGAATCTTTATGGCGAAAATTATGCTTGGCTGAATTAGAAGATCTGTGTCCTGGTTCCCACTTGCTCACTAGTATTTTAGGTAAAATTGGACAAGTCAGATATGAAGACATCCATTATTCCCTCTCTCATATATGGATAATGAGCTCATATTTTGTGTATCCTATGGTGAATGTTATTGACATGAACCTTTTGGGGAGATATTTTGAAGACTCTATGCGTGTCAAGCATGTTACATGTTTAGA
This sequence comes from Homo sapiens, assembly GCF_000001405.40. Classification (NCBI taxonomy): domain Eukaryota; kingdom Metazoa; phylum Chordata; class Mammalia; order Primates; family Hominidae; genus Homo; species Homo sapiens. The sequence goes on from NC_000004.12 coordinate 18,594,840, forward strand.
TCTTATTCTTATTTCATTCCAATAACAAGTAATTCTTTCCTCCTATTAACTGGTAATAGGGTCATTCATGGATCACAGATTTGCTTCAAAGTAAATAAATAATCCCTATAAATTCATGCCTCATTTATTATAAATTATAATGCAACCAGGAGCTAGAATCACCCATACCCCTAAAGCATACACAATTGAATATCTTCAGCTGGAGAATACAGTGTTAGCTTCTTTGTGGCAGGTGGCAATTTAAATAGATGCTCTACCTGCTGATCCTGTTGATTTTATGTGCCCTATTAAAATGCATTTTCTGAATGACTTAGTTTAACATAGCGAATAATTTACAAGAAAAATTTTCCATCTCTCTCCCCAATGTTTGAAATAAGAGCATGTTCTGCTTTTTCCCATAGCCCATTTCTCCATTAAAAGAATGTTCCACATCAGAAATATAATTCCTCTCACACTGGCATTTACAGAGGTCTCATTACATTGAACAGAACATTCTTGAGTATGGCTTGATGAACAGCTGATCCACCTCCATACACCTCACACACAGATCTTGCCAGGTGGAGAAGCAGCACAGGAAAGGGAAAACCTGTGTCCTCCTGGGTACCAGAGAACAGCTTGGCTTTAAGCTTATGGAAAAATGGAGAATACTCTCTCTCACACACACACACACATACACACACACACACACACACACACACACACACACAATATTTCTGGGAGAATATACAAAGACTTAAGAGAGATTAGCTATGAAGAATGAAGATAGGAATGAATAGTTTGGGGAGGATTGGGGAAACCTTGATTTACATTTTTCAGTGTTAATGGTGTTTTTCTTACTATAAATGCGTGAATACATATCACTTCTATGCAAAAAATGATACTCTTTAGGTATTTAAAAGAATGATATCTGCATAGGCCATGTAAGCATTCCAAGATATTTTCAATAAAAAAGGAAGTTACAGAATATGTATAGTCATATATATGTGTACATATACACATATATAATGTATGCCTATGTATACATATATCACTATATATCTAACTTCCTTTCTATTATTTATATATAATGTATGTATATATTTAGAAAGCTTTTTGTTGTTGTTGTTGAGATGGAGTCTCACTCTGTCACCAGGCTGGAATGCAGTGGCGTGATCTCGGCTTGCTGCAACCTCTGCTTCCCGGGTTCAAGCGATTCTCCTGTCTCAGCCTACCAAATAGCTGGGACTACAGGTGCGCGCCACCACACCCAGCTAATTTTTGTATTTTTAGTAGATACGGGGTTTCACCATGTTGCCCAGGATGGTCTGGATCTTCTGACATCATGATCCGCCTGCCTCAGCCTCCTAAAGTGCTGGGGTTACAGGTGTGACCCACCGCACCTGGCCAACTTTTTTATTATTTATACAGACAATGTGGTGTGTGTGTGTGTGTGTGTGTGTGTATATATATATATATATATACATATATATATACACACACATATATATATAGACAATATGTGTGTATGTATGTATATACTTAGAAAACTTATGAACGTCTACATAGCCATATAGTTAAAAATTATTATAAGTGAAAAGATTGAAAGGGCTCCAGTGAAGAAAACATGAACTTTAAAACTGTTCTTGCATATTCTGAGTTTTTGATTGAATTTGTATACTAAAAACGCATTTGTGTATTACTTATGTTGTTCAAAAAGTATATATTTTTAGGGATCAGTCAGATTAGGTGGCTGTTTTGTGGCGGATGAAATATACCCACTTGCCCTGGGCTGTTTCCTGCAGTCTCTGCCCAGGATTTCTAGTCTCTATGCTGAGCCTGTCTGTAAGGTGTTTTCTACCCAGCCCGGACTGGATGATGGTCCTTCACTCTAGTCCCGTAATATTCCACTCCCACTTCTACCTGAGAATTAACTACACTGCATTTTACCTGCTTCTTAATTATCCGACCCAGATAGAACGCAACTTATGGTCACATTTCTACATAGTTTCTGATGTATAATAGGCTCTAAAATCAATGTTTATAAAATGGATGGATAAATGGAAACAGGGAAGAAACAAGCAGGAAAGGAAGGAAGGAAAGGAGGAGAGGATGGAGGAAAGAAGGGAGAAATATACATAAAAGAAGTGGTCGAATTGGATCTTCATCAAGAACAAAAATATCTGAGTTTTTATTCAGCTGTGTCTGAAGAAAAAATGATGGAGAAATGAGAATTCCAGTCATTATAGAGATATACATCATTGGGGACAAGTATTTTTCTTCTGTTTTTGTGTGTGTGTGTGAGTATATTTCTTTTTTATTATTATTATACTTTAAGTTTTAGGGTACATGTGCACAATGTACAGGTTAGTTACATATATATACATGTGCCATGGTGGTGTGCTGCACCCATTAACTAGTTATTTAACATTAGGTATATCTCCTAATGCTATCCTTCCCCCTTCCCCCCACCCCACAACAGGCCCTGATGTGTGATGTTCCCCTTCCTGTGTCCATGTGTTCTCATTGTTCAATTCCCACCTATGAGTGAGAACATGCGGTGTTTGGTTTTTTGTCCCTGTGATAGTTTGCTGAGAATGATGGTTTCCAGCTTCATCCATGTCCCTACAAAGGACATGAACTCATCTTTTTTTATGGCTGCATAGTATTCCATGGTGTATATGTGCCACATTTGCTTAATCCAGTCTATCATTGATGGACATTTGGGTTGCTTCCAAGTCTTTGCTATTGAATAGTGCTGCAATAAACATACGTGTGCTTGTGTCTTTATAGCAGCATGATTTATAATCCTTTGGGTATATACCCAGTAATGGGATTGCTGGGTCAAATGGTATTTCTAGTTCTAGATCCCTGAGGAATCGCCACACTGACTTCCACAATGGTCGAACTAGTTTACAGTCCCACTAACAGTGTAAAAGTGTTCCTATTTCTCCACATCCTCTCCAGCACCTGTTGTTTCCTGACATTTTAATGATCACCATTCTAACTGGTGTGAGATGGTATCTCATTGTGGTTTTGATTTGCATTTCTCTGATGGCCAGTGATGGTGAGCATTTTTTCATGTGTCTTTTGGCTACATAAATGTCTTCTTTTGAGAAGTGTCTGTTCATATCCTTCACCCACTTTTTGATGGGGTTGTTTGTTTTTTTCTTGTAAATTTGTTTGAGTTCATTGTAGATTCTGGATATTAGCCCTTTGTCAGATGAGTAGGTTGCAAAAATTTTTTCCCGTTCTGTAGGTTGCCTTTTCACTCTGGTGGTAGTTTCTTTTGCTGTGCAGAAGCTCTTTAGTTTAATTAGATCCCATTTGTCAATTTTGGCTTTTGTTGCCATTGCTTTTGGTATTTTAGACATGAAGTCCTTGCCCATGCCTATGTCCTGAATGGTATTGCCTAAGTATTCTTCTAGGGTTTTTATGGCTTTAGGTCTAACATGTAAGTCTTTAATCCATCTTAAATTAATTTTTGTATAAGGTGTAAGGAAGGGATCCAGTTTCAGCTTTCTCCATATGGCTAGCCAGTTTTCCCAGCACCATTTATTAAATAGGGAATTGTTTCCCCATTTCTTATTTTTGTCAGGTTTGTCAAAGATCAGATGGTTGTAGATATGCGGCATTATTTCTGAGGGCTGTGTTCTGTTCCATTGGTCTGTATCTCTGTTTTTGTACCAGTACCATGCTGTTTTGGTTACTGTAGCCTTGTAGTATAGTTTGAAGTCAGGTAGCGTGATGCGTCCAACTTTGTTCTTTTGGCTTAGGATTGACTTGGCGATGCAGGCTCTTTTTTGGTTCCATATGAACTTTAAAGTAGTTTTTTCCAATTCTGTGAAGAAAGTCATTGGTAGCTTGATGGGGATGGCATTGAATCTATAAATTACCTTGGGCAGTATGGCCATTTTCATGATATTGATTCTTCCTACCCATGAGCATGGAATGTTCTTCCATTTGTTTGTATCCTCTTTTATTTCATTGAGCAGTGGTTTGTAGTTCTCCTTGAAGAGGTCCTTCACTTCCCTTGTAAGTTGGATTCCTAGGTATTTCATTCTCTTTGAAGCAATTGTGAATGGGAGTTCACTCATGATTTGGCTCTCTGTCTGTTATTGGTGTATAAGAATGCTTGTGATTTTTGCACATTGATTTTGTATCCTGAGACTTTGCTGAAGTTGCCTATCAGCTTAAGGAGATTTTGGGCTGAAACAATGGGGTTTTCTAGATATACAATCGTGTCATCTGCAAACAGGGACAATTTGACTTCCTCTTTCCTAATTGAATGCCCTTTATTTCCTTCTCCTGCCTGATTGCCCTGGCCAGAACTTCCAACACTATGTTGAATAGGAGTGGTGAGAGAGGGCATCCCTGTCTTATGCCAGTTTTCAAAGGGAATGCTTCCAGTTTTTGTCCATTTAGTATGATATTGGCTGTGGGTTTGTCATAGATACCTCTTATTATTTTGAGATATGTCCCATCAATACATAATTTATTGAGAGTTTTTAGCATGAAACGTTGTTGAATTTTGTCAAAGGCGTTCTCTGCATCTGTTGAGATAATCATATGGTTTTTGTCATTGGTTCTGTTTATATGCTGGATTACGTTTATTGATTTTCGTATGTTGAACCAGCCTTGCATCCCAGGGATGAAGCCCACTTGATCACAGTGGATAAGCTTTTTGATGCGCTGCTGGATTCGGTTTGCCAGTATTTTATTGAGGATTTTTGCATTGATGTTCATCAAGGATATTGGTCTAAAATTCTCTTTTTTTGTTGTGTCTCTGCCAGGTTTTGGTATCAGGATGATGCTGGCCTCGTAAAATTAGTTAGGGAGGATTCCCTCTTTTTCTATTGATTGGAATAGTTTCAGAAGGAATGGTACCATCTCCTCCTTGTACCTCTGGTAGAATTCGGCTGTGAATCCATCTGGTCCTGGACTTTTTTTGGTTGGTAAGCTATTAATTATTTCCTCAATTTCAGATCCTGTTATTGGTCTATTCAGAGATTCAACTTCTTCCTGGTTTAGTCTTGGGAGGGTGTATGTGTCCAGGAATTTATCCATTTCTTCTAGATTTTATAGTTTATTTGCGAAGAAGTGTTTATAGTATTCTCTGATGGTAGTTTGTATTTCTGTGGGATCGGAGGTGAGATCCCCTTTATCATTTTTTATTGCATCTATTTGATTATTCTCTCTTTTCTTCTTTATTAGTCTTGCTAGCGGTCTATCAATTTTGTTGATCTTTTCAAAAAACCAGCTCCTAGATTCACTGATTTTTTGAAGGTTTTTTTTGTGTCTTTATTTCCTTCAGTTCTGCTCTGATCTTAGTTATTTCTTGCCTTCTGCTAGCTTTTGAATGTGTTTGCTCTTGCTTCTCTAGTTCTTTTAATTGTGATGTTGGGGTATCAATTTTGGATCTTTCCTGCTTTCTCTTGTGGGCATTTAGTGCTATAAATTTCCCTCTACACACTTCTTTGAATGTGTCCCAGAGATTCTGTTATGTTGTGTCTTTGTTCTCGTTGGTTTCAAAGAACATCTTTATTTCTGCCTTCATTTCGTTATGTACCCAGTAGTCATTCAGGAGCAGGTTGTTCAGTTTCCATGTAGTTGAGCAGTTTTGAGTGAGTTTCTTAATCCTGAGTTCTAGTTTGATTGCACTGTGGTCTGAGAGACAGTTTGTTATAATTTCTGTTCTTTTACATTTGCTGAGGAGTGCTTTACTTCCAACTGTGTGGTCAATTTTGGAATAAGTGCGGTGTGGTGCTGAGAAGAATGTATCTTCTGTTAATTTGGGGTGGAGAGTTCTGTAGATGTCTATTAGGTCCTCTTTGTGCAGAGCTGAGTTCAATTCCTATATATCCTTGTTAACTTTCTGTCTCGTTTATCTGTCTAATGTTGACAGTGGGGTGTTAAAGTCTCCCATTATTATTGTGTGGGAGTCTAAGTCTCTTTGTAGGTCTCTAAGGACTTGCTTTATGAATTTGGGTGCTGCTGTATTGGTGCATATATATTTAGGAAAGTTAGCTCTTCTTGTTGAATTGATCCCTTTACCATTATGTAATGGCCTTCTTTGTCTCTTTTGATCTTTGTTGGTTTAAAGTCTGTTTTATCAGAGACTAGGATTGCAACCCCTGCCTTTTTTTGTTTTCCATTTGCTTGGTAGATCTTCCTCCATCATTTTATTTTGAGCCTATGTGTGTCTCTGCATGTGAGATGGGTTTCCTGAATACAGCACACTGATGGGTCTTGACTCTTTATCCAGTTTGCCAGTCTGTGTCTTTTAATTGGAGCATTTAGCCCATTTACATTTATGGTTAATATTGTTATTTGTGAATTTGATCCTTTCATTATGATGTTAGCTGGTTATTTTGCTCGTTAGTTGATGCAGTTTCTTCCTAGCCTCGATGGTCTTTACAATTTGGCATGTTTTTGCAGTGGCTGGTACCAGTTGTTCCTGTCCATGTTTAGTGCTTTCTTCAGGAGCTGTTGTAGGGCAGGCCTGGTGGTGACAAAATCTCTCAGCATTTGGTTGTCTGTAAAGAATTTTATTTCTCCTTTACTTATGAAGCTTAGTTTGGCTGGATATGAAATTCTGGGTTGAAAATTCTTTTCTTTAAGAATGTTGAATATTGGCCCCCACTCTCTTCTGGCTTGTAGAGTTTCTGCTGAGAGATCAGCTGTTAGTCTGATGGGCTTCCCTTTGTGGGTAACCTGACCTTTCTCTCTGGCTGCCCTTAACATTTTTTCCTTCATTTCAACTTTGGTGAATCTGACAATTATGTGTCTTGGAGTTGCTCTTCTTGAGGAGCATCTTTGTGGCATTCTCTGTATTTCCTGAATTTGAGTGTTGGCCTGCTTTGCTATATTGGGGAAGTTCTCCTGTATAATATCCTGCAGAGTGTTTTCTAACTTGGTTCCATTCTCCCTGTCACTTTCAGGTACACCAATCAGATGTAGATTTGGTCTTTTCACATATTCCCATATTTCTTGGAGGCTTTGTTCGTTTCTTTTTATTCTTTTTTTATCTAAACTTCTCTTTTCGCTTCATTTCATTCATTTCATCTTCCATCACTGATACCCTGTCTTCCAGTTCATTGAATTGGCTACTGAGGCTTTTGCATTCGTCACGTAGTTCTTGTGCCTTGGTTTTCAGCTCCATCAGGTCCTTTAAGGACTTCTCTGCATTGGTTATTCTAGTTAGCCATTTGTCTAATTTTTTTTCAAGGTTTTTAATTTCTTTGCCATGGGTTCGAACTTCCTCCTTTAGCTTGGAGTAGTTTGATCATCTGAAGCCTTCTTCTCTCAGCTCATCAAAGTCATTCTCCGTCCAGCTTTGTTCCGTTGCTGGTGAGGAGCTGCGTTCCTTTGGAGGAGGAGAGGTGCTCTGATTTTTAGAGTTTCCAGTTTTTCTGCTCTGTTTTTTCCCTGTCTTTGTGGAAGATCTTTGGTCTTTGATGATGGTGACGTACAGATGGGGTTTTGGTGTGGATGTCCTTTCTGTTTGTTAGTTTTCCTTCTAACAGTCAGGACCTTCAGCTGCAGGTCTGTTGGAGTTTGCTGGAGGTCCACTCCAGACCCTTTTTGCCTGGGTATCAGTAGCGGAGGCTGCAGAACAGCGGATATTGGTGAGCAGCAAATGTTGCTGCCTGATCATTCCTCTGGAAGTTTTGTCTCAGAGGAGTACCCGGCCGTGTGAGGTGTCAGTCTGCCTCTACTGCGGGGTGCCTCCCAGTTAGGCTACTCAGGAGCCAGGGACCCACTTGAGGAGGCAGTCTGTCTGTTCTCAGATCTCCAGCTGCATGCTGGGAGAACCACTACTCTCTTCAAAGCTGTCAGACAGGGACATTTAAGTCTGCAGAGGATTCTGCTGCCTTTTGTTTGGCTGTGCCCTGCCCCCAGGGGTGGAGTCTACAGAGGCAGGCAGGCAGGCCTCCTTGAGCTGTGGTGGGCTCCACCCAGTTTGAGCTTTCCGGCTGCTTTGTTTACCTACTCAAGCCTCCGCAATGGCGGGCACTCCTCCCTCAGCCTTGCTGCCGCCTTGCAGTTTGATCTCAGACTGCTGTGCTAGCAATGAGCGAGGCTGCGTGGGCATAGGACCCTCTGAGCCATGCGCGGGATATAATCTCCTGTTGTGCCATTTGGTAAGACCTTTGGAAAAGTGTAGTATTAGGGTGGGAGTGACCTGATTTTCCAGGTGCCGTCTGTCACCGCTTTCTTTGACTAGGAAAGGGAATTCTCTGACCCCTTGCACTTCCTGGGTGAGGCGATGCCTCGCCCTGCTTCGGCTCACGCTTGGTGTGCTGCACCCACTGTCCTGCACCCACTGTCCGGCACTCCCCAGTGAGATGAACCCGGTACCTCAGTTGGAAATGCAGAAATCACCTGTCTTCTGCATCGCTAATGCTGGGAGCTGTAAACTGGAGCTGTTCCTATTCGGCCATCTTGGCTCCACCCCTGGGGACAAGTATTTTTCAACAGGCTTTGTCTAATTGTTTTTACAAATTCTTTCACACATATAAGAAAAAACAATTAGAACATATAAGTAAGTAAAACAATTTGAGACATCATTCATGCCAATAATTTTTTTAATGTACGAAACTAAACACAAGAATTGTGTAGGATCTATTGAAGAAAACCACAATGATTTACTGAAGGACATGGAGAAGGGCTAGAATAAAGAAAGAGATACTCCATTTTAGTAGGTGGGAGCACACAAAATTAAAATGATGTTAATTATCCACAAATTACTTTATGGACTTGATGCAGTTAAGTCAAACTCCCCATAAAATTGCTTTATTTTCTTTTCTGTCTTTCCTTTTTTCATTCTTTTTTCCTCCCCTTGCGTTAGTCACACTGGTATTCTTTCTGCTTCTTGAGCTCCAAGCTCTCCCCAGGATCAGGAATTTTGCATCTGTTCTTTTATTTTATTTTTCTTATGCTGGAATTCTCTTCTGGATCTGCATGTGGCTGCTTCTTCCTGTCATGCATGTCTTAGCCCAGTGTCACCCTGTAAGAAATTACTGAACCACCCAACTTAGAGTAACTTATAAGAAATTTTCTGTTGCATTGCCCTGCTTTCTCTTCTTCTTCACAGTTGCCAAAATCTGAAAATACATTGTTTATATATTTACATGGTGTTATCTGTTACCCCACCACTAGAACATAAGAGCCATGATAGCAGTGGCATGCTCCCATTTATTTCTACTGAATTTCTAGCCCCTAAAGCAATACCAGACACAAGAAAGACATTCCATTGATTGATTTTTTTTAATGAATGATCAGTTTTGCAATCTGATCTGATAATTTTGCAGAGAAAGCATTCTGCTTACAGACCCATTAGACTTAATTCTGTTATTTTAAAACATAACCATTTATTAGACTAGTTTTAAGTATTTACTTTGTTGTATTCAAACCATTTCCTAATTTTCCCTGAGTATGATTCTTATCACTACCACCATTTCTTTTTTTAAGTATTTCTCTCTCTCTTTTTACACATCCTTTTTTTAAGGAACAGTTTACGATCACAGCAAAATTGAGAAGAAGATGCAGAGATTTCCCATATGCCTCCTGTCCCCACACATCCCCCATCAGAATGGTGCATTTGCTACAACTGAGGAACCTATGCTGACAGATTATTATCACCCAAAGTCTGTAGTTTACATTAGAATTTACCTTTGGTGTACATTTGATGGGTTTGGACAGATACATAGTGACATGTATCTACCATTATAATATCATATTGATTTTTATCACTGCCCTTCTACCAGTTTTTAGCTTACGACTTTAGGCAAGTTGCTTAACTTTTCACAGCCTCAGTTTCCTCCTATGTAAAATGGGGATAATGAGAGTACCAACCTCATAGGTTTCTTGTGAATGATAAATGAATTAATAGAGATAACTTAAAACATTGTCTGGCATATAGTAAACATTCAATAGATGTTAGTTATTATTTTACTAATTATATAACATTTATTTCTATATCTAAAACCCTGTCAGAGAGGCTTTTTTACTTTTTAAACGACCACTTTCTGAAAGACTCTTCATCAGTCAGTTGTTCATAAGTAAAAAGTGACACCCTATGATTAATTGGTACAAATATATTGTTTGACAGACAAAATAAAACCTAGTATTTTATAGATCAATAGGATGACTATCATTTATAGTAGTCTATTGTACATTTCAAGATAGTTAGAGAATAATTCAAATGTTTTCAGCATAAAGATAATTATTTAAGGTGATGGATATCCCAAGTATAGTTATGTGATATTTACAAATTATATGAATGTATTAAATTTTCACATGTACCCCAAAAGTATGTGCATCTATTATACGTCAATAAAAAATTGTTAAACAACACCAACAAAATGGCACTCTACAAGGGCTAATGTGAATGCATTGGTGTTAAGTTTGGATTCACAAGAGAACTGTGCAGATTTATGGTTTTGGTTCCAGTGACTGCATTTACCCAGGTAATATTCATAATTTTCTCTCTTGCTTTGCTATCAAAATTTCCGGACTTGTCCTTTAAGTACTTTCACTGCATTTGTAAAACAAACATCTCTACAAATACATGACTGCTGATGGCATGTGTGGTGGTGAACAGGTTGATTTTGCTCTGGCAAATAACTCTTTATATATTTTCATTTAGCCAGTATTTACTGAGTGCTCCCCATAGACCAGCACTGTTACAGTCTCATGAGAACGACGTGGTATACACAGTCAATGAGAGTCCTGCTCTTTGGTAAGTGTGTAAACAGAGAACACACAGAAGAGCGGATGTGGAAAAACCTAAGTAGAAGATGTTGTGTGTTTTCAGTGGGGTTTGGTCCTTTAAAGACTCTGCAGCTTACTGTACACTAGGATTGTTTACTCTTGAGGAGAACCTTGGCTATTTCACCCTTGATTTTAGCATTAGAGATAGATAAGCCATACTACATGTTTTGACATTTCAGTTTGATTTAAACCAATTGACTTTGACAGCTTCATGCCAAAGCGTGTTAATTGTTCATCAGAAATAATATCCCCATGGACCAATGAATGTGTTTAGCATTAATGGGCAGTGGCTGCCTGCAAGCTTTCTGTGGGCAACAACGGACAGAAAACAAGGCGCAAGCAGTTTCAAGGGGGAAAAAAAGGTATTTCTGAAACAGCCACATCAAAGAGGATTTATCATTCCTTTGTGGTAACTATATTCTATTCACTGAACATACATGTCTTTATTCAAATAGCATTTAAAAACACCCACTATGCATAACAGGTGCTTTGGGGATACAAAGATATTGCACATTTAAGGAACTCATAGTTTGATGGTGGAATCATACATGGAAACAAATGATTAGAATCAGTTTGATTAGTTTCTTACAGCTTAGCTAACTCTGCAGGAAGTAGTTAAATGTTTGCACAGGAAGTAAAAATGGATATTTCTGTATATAGGGGAAATCTATTTTTCTCATTCAGAATTTCAATTCCTTGCAAGTGTTCTCCCTATCAACATATATTCAAAGGTCCTCTCCCATTGCCACAAGGCACAGAAAACATGGATTTCATGAGCGACTGCAGCTGCCCCAGGTGCGTGGTGGAGACCCGGTGTGCTTAGGTATTGCTAATGGATGTCATGCTTCTCCCAGTTTCTCAAGCTGAAAACTTGGGTGCCATCCTTGACTTCTCTGTTATTCTCCACATTCAGTCAATCACCAAGTTTTGTCAGTCTTCTCTCTTCTATGTATCTTTCTGGTGTAGATATATCTTTTTCGCCCGCTTTTAATTGGTCTGTGGTGTAGCTTTGACATCAGTAGCTTTAAAATGCCCTCAAGTGATTATAATACATGGCAACATTTGAGAACCACTGGTTTGCAAATAAATCAGAATTCGGAGTGAGACTCTGAAAGATAAATGAAGCTGGATGCTAGTTCAAGTGGTGAAAACAGATTTTAATCAATAATAACTATTGCAGTAGGACAAAGAGTCCCGTATGAACTGAACCCGACTTCAATTTTTAAAGAGGTGACTTGGAATTTTAAAGGAAAATGAGGGAATAGGGAGGGGAGCATTGGGAGGTCAGTAGAGTCAGGGGAGTGAAAAATTACTAAAAGTGGAAAGGGAGGGTTGGTCTATCTAAACTCTTCTGGGTTTGTTAATTGGCACTGATCAGTTAGACTCCTATGCTCCCACAGAAACTGGGAGGCAGGGGCCCTGTCTTCAGGTGTTGGCTGGAACAAATAGCAGGTTTTTTTGGCAGTCTTGTCTTTTCTCAGGCAGGCACTTTAAGGGGCAATAGGGTCATTCCAACAGCTTTGAGCTGTTAGAAATTGTGTTAGTGTTTTTTTCAAGTCTTGACTAAGCCAAGGTCGAGGCTTAGTCAAGAAAAAGGTTAGAGAAGCCTGGCTAAAATGTGGTGAAGGAGGAAATGTGGACACTGCCATTTTGCTAAAGCTTCTTAAATGACACATACTGATGTCCTGCCACGTTTGAAACCACTTGTGTAGCATAGCACATATCAAACTTCTATGTATGTACACATCCCATGGGGAATATGTGGATATATGGATTCTGATTCAGTAAGTCTGGAGTCTGAGATTCTGCATCTTGATAAAGCACCCAGCTGATGCCGCTGCTGCTGATTCAAGGACCATACTGTCAGCAGCAAGGGACTAGAGTCCTGCAAGAGCCTTGTGAATGGCCCTTGTGCGTTCAATCCACTTCCCCTCTGATTCCAGTGGAACGCTGCAACCGTTGTGACCTTTCTAAAGCACATCTAATCATGTTACTTATCTTCTTAAAACAACTTATCAAATATTAGTGCTGTCCAGGATGAAGTTCCAAATTTTGTATGATGGTTTACAAGTCCCCCTAAGCTCATGCCCCTGTCTAACTCATGGGTTTTGATTCTAGCCACTCCCTCCACTGACACGTTTAGCCATTCCTAGATGCTTGCAGCTTGATAATACCATGTTCTCTCTGGCCCTTGGAGATTTTCTATGCTGTTTCCTCAGCTGAAACATTCTTTCTCGTATACTGAAAGAATTTTATTTATTTCAGCTTAAATATTACCTCTTCTGACATCTCCGTCCTCCCTCTTCTCCAGCCTGGGTCAAGGACACCTTCAATATGCTTCTGTAATTTTTCATAATTACCCAGCTATTGTAATTTTCAATTTGTGTGTCTCATTCATAAATTATAGGATGCATCTCTGTTACTCACTCTAATTTCCTAGTACAGTATTTAATGCATGATAGATGTCCAATAAATATTAATTATATAGATGAGCAGGTACCATAAATACTAACTAAATGAATAAACCAATACCGTCAAAATTTGGTGGGGAGCTACAACTTTGGTAGAAATCAATTAGAAATCAATTAGGAAATATTTTGAACAAATGCCTAAGATGAATTAAGACTTTATACATTTATGCAGAAACGCATCACCTGACCAAGTCAAAGTCAACATGAGATTCTGATAAGGACACTTGGTCTTTATGAAAAATGGAAAGACTCTTCCTTTCGCCACCAACCCCCTCAAGTTAAGGATTATCTCCAGTTTCCATGTGTGAAGGAACTGGAAACTGACAACCCTTGGTTGTCCTTCATAATTGCTTGTATATATTACATAATGCAAACTCCTTCTGTATATATTTTTTGTCCATGACTTGGCTTTAGGCATTGCTAAGACATCTTTTGGTCAGCTTTATAACATTTTGCGTTATGAATTATGAATCTCATTCAAGGATACATGCACATACAAATAAAATGTACATATCTGAATTTGGTAGGTTCTTCATTAGACGGATGTCTAAAGTTGGTAAAATCAGTTTATCAGCTTCTACCCTTTGCCATTGAGAACATCTTCTCCAAGCTCTTGCTGACCTCTGAGCTTTGTAGATACTGTTCCCTTAGCTGAAATATCCTGGAGTAAAATATTTCACACTGCAGTGGTGGTTTTCACCCAATATTATGGGAAATTAGGCTAAATGGGCTCCCTGTCTTTTTCCTTTCCTTCCCTGCTTCTTTCCTCCCACCCTCTTTCCTTTTTTCTTTCTCGTCCAACTGATAAGGTTTTCATAAAGATATAATGAAATAATTTATGCAAAGAGATTAGCATTGTGCCTTACATTTATTGGGCACCCGGTAAATAATGGCTGCTATCATTATTCTTGTCTTAACAATGATCCAGTTTCTGGCCTTCCTCCTGGATTCACTTAGTTCAACCACTCATAGGAAAAAATGTTGACTTCAGTGAGGGTGATTTGAAAAGTCAACTTTGAAAGGATATGAAGTGGCATGAGAATTTGATTATGCAATTTCAAAATCCACATCAAAGCTGAAAAGTATAACTGCATTGGAGACAATGTTTGCTTCATTCAGAGTATGAGGCAGGATTCAAATCTGAGTCCAAAGATCTGAGATCTGAGACCCTGAGAAAAAACATCTTTAAGAAAAACTAGTTCTGTCTTTCAGCTTTGATATAGTCAGGAACTACCAGGAGAATTGTCAGTCTTGCAAGTTTTTGCCCTTAGGCGTCTTGTACGGGAAGGAACATTCAGTTGCTATAGCAGCAACTACATTAAATTATCTTTTATGCGGGTGGATATCTTTGTAAAAAAATGGTAGCAGGGTGGCTACAAGGGAAATATCACTTGTATACTTTAATTTGTAGCTCATTTTGAGCCTCAAAAAGAATTTAGGTTTTTTAAATTAGTTTTCAAAAAACTCATTTGTACATATTAGAAAAGATTTATTGACATAAAAATAATCTTTTTCTCCATTTAAAAATCTGATTACAACTACTGTTTAACACAGTGTAAACACCGTTTAACACAGTTTAACACAGTGTTGAGATATTCAACACTTTATTATAAAATAGGTTTTGTGTTAGATGATTTTGCCCAAATGTATGTGTTCCAAGCATGGTTAAGATAGACTGGGCAAAACTATACTGTTCAATAGGTTAAGTATATTAAATGCATTTTCAACTTATGATATTTTCAACTTATGATGGGTTTATTGAGACATAAAGCTAGCATAGGTGAAGAAGCATGTGTATTACATACAGAAAATAAACAGAGAAAGATGAAGGCATGCAAGAAGCAGTGGACCTACACTAGCAGAGAAGTGGTGGATTCTCTACAGTGGGCCTGGAGAGCAAATGGTGTGCATTGAAGAATAACAATAGAGAGGGAATTTTCTAGGGGAAAAAATAAAAAATAGTAGAATAAGCCTAGATAGTGAGATTAAAAGATTGATGAAAAAAAGTGAGGCAAATAACATTTAATTAATAGTATCAAGGCAAATAATACAAGAATAAAAGAAAGGTAACTAGAATTTTAAAAAATAAATTTAAAAGAGAAAGTAAAATAACACACGTGCTGATTTTCAGCAGTCGACCGAATATAGGAAAGCAGGCTGCATTGACTGCAATGCTAGCAGTAGTCGCAGAGTGAGAAGCAGTAGCAGCGGTGAAGGGATTTTCATATCCACAGAGTATTCTTGCTTCTCTTCCTTCCCACTTCCCTCCTTCTCTGCATATTGACTTTTCCTAATTTGTCTCAAATGTTTGTCCAAGTCATGTATACATGAAGTGACACATCAAATAATATGGAAGAATCTCCCTCAGTAATAGCTCCAGGAATCCAATATAGAACCTATAGAAAAGCAAACATGACCTTAACAAGCCATAATTATCAAACACTGTTTATCGCTTTGCACCTTTTACAGTTATTTACTTATTTATTTTATATTATTATCTTTTTTTTTTTTTTTTTTTTGAGACAGAACTTCACTCTTGTTGCCCAGGTTGGAGTGCCATGGCCCGATCTTGGCTCACTGCAACCTCCGCCTCTTGGGTTCAAAGAATTCTCCTGCCTCAGCCTACCGAGTAGCTGAAATTAGAGGTTCCCATGACCGCGCCTGGCTAATTTTTGTATTTTTAGTAGAGACGGGGTTTCACCATGTTGGTCAGGCTGGTCTCGAACTCCTGATCTCAGGCGATCCACCCGCCTCGGCCTCCCAAAGTGCTGGGATTACAGCGTGAGCCACCACACTCAACCCCTTTTAGGGTTATTTTACAAACAACACTTAGAATTCACGAATGCAGTGGCAGAACAAAATGTAGCCGTGTTAAGTGAATGTGCATCTAAAAAAATAACGGAAGAATGGAAGCAGAGGAGCTGATGAGTCTTTTCTTTTAAATAAAGGAAGTGCTGCTAAAAATCTTCATTTCATATTGTGGAAAACCAAGAGATACAGTCGAAAGTGAGTGGAACAGAAATGGAGGCATAGGTCTATTACTTAGTATTACAAAGGGGGCCATTTGAAGAACGGGAAAAGTATATGAATGTTAACCTTGAGAAGGAAGAGAAGGGAGAAAGCAGAAGTTTAAAAGAGCTAAGTCATCATATTGTGGAGTCATTATTTGTGGTCTAAAAATGATAAATCAAGAAATAGAGTTATGAACATGTCACTTAATGTCAGGAGGAAAATTATCAGAAGAGCCAAAAACAATGCTAAGAATGAATGCCACTGTGTAACCAGACTTGGTAGTGTTTACTGGGGTGTGCAAAAGAGTTTTGCTTCCTTATTAAAATTGGTTTATGTTGTTTTGTTACTGTTGATTTGTTAAGTGCATATATGGCTTAAAAACAGTCTTAAAAATAAATTACAAAAATATGTGAGGATTTTAGAAGGAAGGCAGGGAGGAAGAAAATGAGGGAGGAAGGGATGGATGGAGGAGGGAGGAAGGAAAGAAGCAAGGAGGGAAGGAAGGAAGGGAGGGAGGGAGGAAGGAAGGAGAAAGGGAGGAAGGAAGGAAGGAAGGTGAAAGGGAGGGAGGAAGGAAGGAAAGGAAGGCAGGAAGGAAGGGAAGGAGGGAGGAAGGAAGGGGGGAGAAAGGAAGGAAGGGAGGGAGGAAGGAAGGAGGGGGGAGGAAGGAAGGAAGGGAGGGAGGAAGGAAGGAGGGGGGAGGAAGGAAGGAGGGGGGAGGAAGGAAGGAGGGGGGAGGAAGGAAGGAAGGAGAAAGGCAGGGAGGGAGGAAGGAAGGTGAAAGGGAGTGAGGAAGGAAGGAAAGGAAGGCAGGAAGGAAGGGAAGGAGGGAGGAAGGAAGGGGGGAGAAAGGAAGGAAGGGAGGGAGGAAGGAAGGAGGGGGGAGGAAGGAAGGAAGGGAGGGAGGAAGGAAGGAGGGGGGAGGAAGGAAGGAGGGGGGAGGAAGGAAGGAGGGGGGAGGAAGGAAGGGAGGGAGGGAGGAAGGAAGGAGAAAGGGAGGAAGGAAGGAAGGAAGGTGAAAGGGAGGGAGGAAGGAAGGAAAGGAAGGCAGGAAGGAAGGGAAGGAGGGAGGAAGGAAGGGGGGAGAAAGGAAGGAAGGGAGGGAGGAAGGAAGGAGGGGGGAGGAAGGAAGGAAGGGAGGGAGGAAGGAAGGAGGGGGGAGGAAGGAAGGAGGGGGGAGGAAGGAAGGAGGGGGGAGGAAGGAAGGGAGGGAGGGAGGAAGGAAGGAGAAAGGGAGGAAGGAAGGAAGGAAGGTGAAAGGGAGGGAGGAAGGAAGGAAAGGAAGGCAGGAAGGAAGGGAAGGAGGGAGGAAGGAAGGGGGGAGAAAGGAAGGAAGGGAGGGAGGAAGGAAGGAGGGGGGAGGAAGGAAGGAAGGGAGGGAGGAAGGAAGGAGGGGGGAGGAAGGAAGGAAGGAGAAAGGCAGGGAGGGAGGAAGGAAGGAAAGAAGGAAGGAAGGGAGGGAGGGAGGAAGGAGGGGGGAGGAAGGAAGGAAGGGAGGGAGGAAGGAAGGAGGGGGGAGGAAGGAAGGAGGGGGGAGGAAGGAAGGAAGGAGAAAGGCAGGGAGGGAGGAAGGAAAGGAGGAAGGAGAAAGGCAGAGAGGGAGGAAGGAAGGAAAGAAGGAAGGGAGGGAGGGAGGAAGGAAGAAAGGGAGGGAGGGAGGGAGGAAGGAAGAAAGGGAGGAAGGACGTCTGTGGAACACTACCATTGCTATCATCACCTCCATGACCACTCTTACCACCCCTGCTGCTGTTTCTACTTCTGCTCTGCTACTGCCCGGGATTTATGACATGCTCTCTGTGTACCTAACACCATGCTAAATGTTTTGCATGTATCATCTAATGCAGCAGTCCCCAAACTTTCTGGCACCGGGGACCAGTTTTGTGGAAGACAATTTTTCCACAGATGAGGGTTGGGGGAAGGGATGGTTTCAGGTTGAAACTGTTCTGCCTCAGAAAATCAGGCATCAGTTAGATTCTCATAAGGAGCATGCAACCTAGATTCCTCACAAGGGCAGTTCATAATAGAATTTGTGCTCCTATGAGAATCTAATGCCGCTGCTGATCTGACAGGAGGAAGAGCTCAGGTGGTAATGCTGGCTTGTCCACCACTCTCTTCCTGCCGTGCGGCCCAGTTCCTAACAGACCAGGGACCAGTACTGGTCGATGGCCCAGGGGCTGGGGACCCCTGGTCCAAGGTAATTGCCTTTTAGTTTTAGTATCCTAGAAACAAGGAGTCATAAATTCTTACTAATAACTGCCCCAATGCTAATCTCTTTCTTGCCTTTTATATCTTGTTTGATACATATTAGTCAACTGCACATTTTTCATCAGATATTTAACTATACTTGGATGCAGGGTATTTAGAAAGAAAATGTTTAGTAGCAACACAATATTCATCTTCAATATCTGAAGAGCGGACATGTGAAAAATAATTAGATTTTTTCTCGAATGTTAGGGAGCATGCTATTCTTGCAAATTGTGATCTGTAGGTCTGATATGGAGAGGGCCCTCTTAGTACTCACCTCAGTTGATTCTGAACCAAATGGTGCATGGAGAAACGTTAGTGGCAGAGGTAGTATTTGCTAATCTCTAGGGTCCCTTCTACCAGCAAGAGCTTCTGACCTTCACAGATTGATGCCTTTCTCAGGCAATAACTTGGAAATGCTAGATAGACAATACTTTCTTGTAATGTGAATAGAAATCATTCTTATAATCAATAAAATAAATTCAATCCAAGTTATTTTACTTTGTTTCTGTCTCTTAGGTATTATTTGTAGCAACTTATTATGCACACAAATACAAATCCCAAGTTAAAAAAGGCAATCGAAATACAAATACAAATATAAAAATGCATTATGCTGGTTTGTTTAAAAAACAAAGCAAGCAAACAAATAAAACCTGTTTCTCTCTGAAAGATTGATTTTCCAATAAGAAGTAAAATAAATTATCCCATCAAATGCTCGTTTCTACTCTTAGAAATGCTTATTCCCAGAATCCCCAAAGATACAAGTACACAGAACAATGTTTCTATTTGCTGAGTTAACGTACTTCCCTTTTTTTTTTATTGCAGTCTGACAAAAGTAAGCAACAAAAAGGGTTATTCTATTTTTGGGAGCTTCATAAAATATCACATGCTTCATAAGACATAAACTTCCAAAATTTGAAGTAAAACTAATGAAACAAACACTACAGGAAAAACAAACTCTATTTCTGCTTATTTTGTGTCCTAACAACTTTGATTCTGTAATTTCTCCTTTATTTATTAAGCAACTTCTTATCTAGATTTGTGTGGAAGAAAAGAATCTGCAACTAACACTAAATAGAATTGAATAAGTTTCCAAAAGAATGTTTTGTATTTATTGTTAATAACATCCATGTTCATTAACCTTGGAGTAACAAAAATGTTGTTACCTGCCTTATTTGGCAAACTGCTGTGTCCATGAAGACAATAGTTTGTTCATAATTTTAGCTTGACCTTTAGAAACTCACAGTGACTCCAGTCACTAATAATCCAAGGATTGGTCAACCAAGTAGTGTTTTGCCCTCATGGATCTAGTTGAAGGATACCAAGAAGGTGGAAAATAATATATTTTTAAAAATTCATTAAAGTGTTAGCATGTTTTCAGTTGCATGAATGAATTTTTTAAACTTCATTTTGAAGACTATAAAAATGAGTAGAAAAAAGTTAGATAATAATTTTTAAAATATTGTTATTTTCTTATTACCATGTATTTGAACCTCAAACTATCAATACTGAAAACAGTTTTGGGGGAAATCATACTTAGATTAAATCTCTGCCAAAATATATCTCCTAGAATTCCTGTTATTTCCTTCCTTCCTTTCCTCCCTCCCTCCCTCCTTAAATTATAAAAATTCAAGCCTGCTTGATGAGAATATCTTAGTGAATTTAAATGTTCATTGTTAGGGGCATTTTGATACACATTAAATTTCTCCTCCTTTTAAATCACCCAGTGTTATTTTCTTCTTTCTTGTGATCGATGGGCTTTCACTTACTTCCTGAGATACTCACTTTCTTTCTTTTTTTTTCAATATTCTCATATAGAATTATCTAGACAACCTGGCTAGATCCTTTTCCAGCAAAAAAATAAAAAAGTTTGCAAAATTAAAAAAAATAGAAATATCCAGTGCTTGTATTGACTTTGGCATTTCAACTGTGTCATTTTCACAACTTAAGAATAATATAACTGATGAAAAGATGTCAACAGACAAAATCCAAGACTGAAGTGTTTCTTAAATGGCAAAAGATACTGATTTTCATGCTCCCAGAGGGAGGTACACACTCCCCAAATCTCTCAAATTTCCCTACACAGACATATAGTGGCTGATGAAAATACCAAATCAAAAGGTAAATTCAACTGGGTATGAGACATTTGCTTTTGTCATTCCCATGACCTCCTATTCCGCACCATATCTATTCACCCTTCTCTAAATGTTCCACATATTCTGAATACATTGCTATCTTATCATTGGACGTAAATGACTGGTCTACAGTAACTCAGCACATTTCTGAGGTTTCCATGTAAAATAGTTTCTCAGAAATAGTGTTCTTAACAGGTCCAAGTTTCAGATCGCTATAACACTTATTCACACACATATTTATTTTACATTATTTGCATTATCTATATATACATAGATATGTACACAGAGGGAGAGAAAGGAAGGGAGGGATGGAGAGAGAGAGAGAAAGCTTTTAATGTAGGCTTATAATTTAGTTATCTACCTAGGTGTAGATATTAATTTGTAAATCAAGTACATGTACTACTATCATTGGCAAATATACATGCAGGGCAAGGATCATTTTTAATGACCACAGATATCAAAGTATTCTTAATAATGTCATTAATTGGATATCTGACTTTACATTTGATTTTATGAGCTTATTGTTTATTTTACTAATAGTAGGAATAGGAGGAAGAAAATCAACTTTGACTTTTTTCTTATTCGTGTTCACATTTTGCGCTTGCATTTGCAGTATTTTCTTCAATCAATGATGTCTTTGAAGGAAATTTTTTTCAATTTATTTGTTCACTTGGTGAAGATTAGAGTTGCAGACATCATTGTTCTTTTCTGATATCTGGTTCCCCTCTACTTCTAGGTATGTTTGAGGATTTCTGTGTTACTTTGGGGTTAGGTGTTGTTATATGAGTATTTCCAGCTTATGATATTGGGCAAACGTGACATGTTGCCTCTGGGCCAGAGCATTTAAATGTTGGTGTTAAACCTCTTCTCTTTTTTCTGTTGTTGTGAGCAGTGACTTTCCAAAGTGGAAAGCATAACTAGAAGCTGCAATAATTACTTTCTATTATCCAAAAGCTGATCTTTCCAGGGTCTTAGAACCACCATGTAATCTTCACAGAACAGATCTAATAAGTAGTATAGGGTTATGAACATGACTGGATTTCCTATGGAAAACAGTAGAAGCAACCACATTCTGTGATCTGCTTCACGTGGGCCAAATCCCATAGATGAGTGGTCACAATCAGCAAAGTTAAAGATACTTAAATTTACTTATTGATTGGTTTATTTATTCCTACTTTATAGTAAGCTAAATCAAAGAATCAGGACCTCTACAGTGACTCTGCAGTTTAATAAACAAGCTATGCTATTCTACAGTTAGAAAGATCATAAAATCTTTGCACTTTAATAAGTTCATAAACCATAACATTAAAAGGGGCCAGGCACGATGGCTCATGCCTGTAATCTCAGCACTTTGTAAGGCAGAGGCTGGCAGATCACCTGAGGTCAGGAGTTCAAGACGAGCATGGCCAACATGGCAAAGCCCTGTCTCTACTAACAACAAAAATTAGCTGGGCGTGGCGGCACGCTCTTGTAATCCCAGCTACTTGCTGAGGCAGGAGAATCACCTGAAGCCAGGAAGCAGAGCTTGCAGTGAGCCGAAATCATGCCATTGCACTCCAGCCTGGGCAACAAGAACAAAACTCTGTTTCAAAAAAAAAAAAACAAAACAAAACAAACAAACAAAACTAAAAAGATATAAATTATTCCAGGGAATATTCACAAATCAGTGTTAAAACATAGATGTGGCCTCTTCCAATTTTGGAAGAGAAAATTTGTCTTGGGAAGCATATGCCAAATGAAAGGGCTTGTTTCAGTGAATTTAAAGAAACCTTTGAGTTTCAGTTTAAGTGTGTTGACCTTTAGCTTAAGACAATTTATTGTAGGAAATTGATTTTCACAGGTCCCTCAACAGGTCCCAAATGGCAGACTTCAGTGCCTTGATTTTGAGACAAGAATAGCATCATATACTGGTAATGTGGCCAGTGTCTAAGAAGTGATTTAAAAAACTGTGTTAAAAGGCAATTTTCTAACAGAGTCAATGTAACATTTACAGATAAATATTCAAATAGCTTGTTATAATCATCCATCTATCATTTACATACAGTGCATTAAATGAGAATGTATTTTGTCTACTAAATGTTAGGAGCTGGTTTGCAAAGACAAACAGGACATTGTTCTGGAAGGGCTCATAAACTGGTGGAGGAGAACAGAAAATCTATCCATTATAGAAGTCGGAAGAATGAAGTATGGCAACAGAAATAGCTTTGGGAGGTGGAGAGGGATATGGAGAAGCTTTTCTAGAGGGGACGACTGCTGCTCTGGGAATGGTTGGCCAGAAACATCAAAGGGGAGTGCATTCCAAGATGATGTATTAAACATGAAAACACCTGAGAGAACATGGGTCATTCAGACATTTACAGAAGCTTTGCTTCATTTACTACATATTCATTGTATTCATTAATTCAACACATATGTGTGGATACTATATGTCAGGTACTATGTTACAAATTTAGATTATAACTCTGAATGAGAGAGACATAGTCCCTACCCCAAAAGAGTTAACAATCTAGTAGAAGAGATTTATTTTTTGAAAAAAATTCCCCATATTGTGATAAAGAGCTAGAAAGATTAGGTAGACACCACTCTAGTGATATGAAAAGAGGAGAACTTAACCTGGATTAGTGGGGTCTGTGAAAGAAGTGATTTCTAAGCTGATATCTGAGGATGAAGAGCATTTATTAAAGACCAGGAAGTAGAAGAACATTTGAGGTAGAGGAAATATCATACAAAAAAGATCTTCAAGTCAGCAAGAAAGTGTATTACCTTGAGAACCAGGGTTATTTCAATGTGACTGGAAGAAAGGGTTTGAAGTGGGGATAACAAGCACTGAGTTGGAAGGACATGACTGCTTTTGGGACCTGTGTGCCTCCACACTTCCTGCCTATAGCTCTGAAGTGAGAGACAGTGAAGCTAAAATACACAAAGGTGTAAAAGAAAAAATAATTAGAGAGTCACGGCAGTGTTTATGTTCCCCATTCTAGCCATACATGAAGTCCGTAGGCCACCCTGTTCTATTACATTGGTTATTTAAATCTTCCCTGAATTTCACCAGTATTTTTGGCCTAACTAGATAGAGTTGACTTAATCTCACTAGCAGGCAAGAATACTAAGAAATGCTCTCATTAATAGAGCTTCTTATTCCCTTTCTCTAGTCTAACATTGTGTTGTGATTACTTGCCATATTCTTTCTTCCCAACTAAAGTATGAACAGAGGGGACCATGTGTCACCATCCTTGTTTCCCGAATACATGGAAGACGCAGTGAGAAGACTAAATAAGGCACATCACCCTGCCAACCTGTGAGTCAGGAGGCCCTATTTCTAGACTGACTGGCTATTACTAGCTGTTTGGTCCCTGTCCCGCTTCTGTAGGAATCTGTGCTTTTGTTTCATGTCTATGACAAACTTAGTAGATTAGATGCTGAGATCTTTGAGTTCTAAGTTTGAAAAAGCCTGTGAGTCCCCCTAATTAGGCCATACAGCTTCAGTGAGGTTCAGAATGAGTATTGCTTTATATCCTGTCAAGGCACTTAGCTTAGAGGTTTTTAATATTGGAATCCTAGCTCTGCTCAATATCCATCAATATTTACTTATTTCTTATTTTTTGAGACGGAGTCTTGCTCTGTTGCCCAGGCTGGAGTGCAGTGGTGCGATCTCGGCTCACTGCACCCTCCGCCTCCTGGATTCAAGTGATTCTCGTGCCTCAGCTTCAGGAGTAGCTGGGATTACAGGCACCTGCCACCATGCCCAGCTAATTTTTTTGTATTTTTAGTAGAGAGGAGGTTTCACTAAGTTAGACAGTCTGGTCTTGAACTTCTGTCCTCAAGTGATCCATCCCGCTCAACCTCCCGAAGTGCTTGGATTACAGGCATGAGCCTGGCCAATCTCCATCAATCTTAGCTTTCTCTTCAGTTATATGACAAATATTAATTTTCATTTTGTAGAGTTATTTTGAAGATTAAATGGCATGCAAAAAATGTCAAATACATTGCCTAGCATTTAGGTGCTAGAAATTTGAGCTCTCCTCCCTAGCCCATAGAAACATCAATCAATATTTGTTGTTTGTTTTGCCTTAGGTGTTAGTATAAAGCAGAAGGAGATGATAAAGTTAGGCAGAAATTCTAACTTTACTTCCCTAAGAGGAGAAAACAGGAAGGGTTCAGATTTTTGTATTCATGAGCCTCTTCCTAGTTTCAAGTTTTTATTATCTATTTAACAAAACAAATGTACTGATTCTCTATTCTGAGTCACTGCATTAGATTTTCTAGTCTTAAAGAAGTCAGCCCAAAACACCGAAAATGGAAATGAACCCAGTTTCAGACCAAATTACCTGGAACTCAAACCAGGAAATGTAACCTGACAAATACCTATGTGCTTTTGGGGGTGTCAAGATAGACTGTTTGAAATTGATTGTCTTGATTGTCATAGAAATGAGAACAGTGTATGTAAGAAGAACATTTTCTTCCCAGTTCCTGTCACATCCACTTCACCAACCAATTCTTTCTCATTGGTCAAATGTAAGTGCTTTTCCACATTCATTTCCTCTATCCACTGGGACATGAAATTGTCAGCCACACGTAAATACCTTCTATATCAAAGCTAAAGTGATACATGCCTGAGAAGAGGTGATAGACATATCCCCACAGGAATTCAGAGATGAAGACAGTATCTCCAGCTGGAACTTCTCTTTTCTCTCTATACTATTCCCCAAACCCTAGCTGCTTAGGGTTCAGCAACATCCACTTTCTCAAGAGCTGGACTGTAAGTTTCAGCAAGGTGAGTGAAAAATCAGTAAATTACACTGCAGAGCTTAAGTCAGGTTGCCTTTATAATTTGACACATTTTACAAGTGTTTGATTTAAAAACAAATGTAGTTAAAGAAGTTGGAACTGCAAATGCCCCTCTCCATTGTTTTCTGGTAAGGAGAAGTATTTCTTTAAGGCAAACATTTTCTGAATTGGATAGCCGCACACATGCCACAGCATCTCTCATTTTCAGTGAATCAAATTTTTAAAGGAACCTGCTTTTTCAGCTGCTCTGTATTGGATGCTCAAAGGATTTTTTTTTAAATAGGTTAAATTGAGGTAGTTTTTGGCAGGCCTGTAACATGCGCAGTAAATGCATGGCTTTAGGATTTTGTGAGTCAAAGACCAAATGGAGTAATTACTTGATGTCTGTTATGGACTGAATTATGTTTCTACAATATTCATATGTTGAAGGCTTAACCCCAATGCAGTGGTATTTGGAGATGGGGCCTTTGGGAGATAATTAGGTTTAGATGGGGTTATAAGGGTATGACCCTCATGGCAGGATTAGTGCCCTTATTAGAAGAGGCAGCAAAGAGTTGGGACTCCCTTTCTCTGCTATGTGAGGACACAGAGAGAAGATGCCCATTTGCAAGAGAGAAAGCGTGCCGCTTCCAGACCCCAACTATGCTGGCACCCTGATCTTAGACTCCTAGTCTCCAGAACAGTGAGAAAATAAATTTCTGTTGTTTAAGCTCTTCAGTGTGAAGTATTTTGTTACGGTGGCCCAAGCAAATATAGTCCCAACTTTTCTTCATGTATATATGTTAAGTTTCATGTATGGGAAACAAGCATGGAACTCTGTGGTTGAGTTACTTTCTAGGAAGATTCATGGCAAATAATGTCATTTTCATCTGAACAAATAGTGGCTCTGTGTGTCATGGCAGAAATGGATGGGAAAAGTGCATGATTTCCCCATGGTAGGAGTAAGATGGTTTTACTGAAGAGTGGCCTTGAGCCAATCCTGAGAAACTGTGTCCCAGGATGCAGCAGGACTCCACTGAAAGATGATGCTTGTTTCTCACAGCTCATGGACAGATCTAGGAGTTTGTCTCTCTCCTACCACCACCAAATTCAGCCTGTAAACTAAAACAAATGAGAGAGAAAGAAGCAAATAAATGCTGACTGAGGTCTATTCAGTGACTGTGTTTTCCAGGTATCCTGATGTAGGATTTCTGCAGATTATCTTAAATAATTATAATACTCTCTTTCTCAACCTAAACACCTTTCCCTCCTACCAATTTAGAGCTGGTTAAAGTGAAGCTTACAGAGAGAGGTTGATTGAATATCTCAGTATCACGTGGTGAGTAAAGATGGGGCTGAGACTTCAATCCAGGGGCATCTCATGTTTGTGTCATGTCTGACTGCTGTCAGTTGCAAAGACAGTCTCACAATCATTTTCCCTAAAGAAGTAAGGAGAAACTTTCATCCACTGAAAGGACCTACTCTAGCCACAGCACTGAAGGAAGAATCTCCACCTGAGAGTGGAGCAAAAATTCCAACTCTCAGCTTCAGCTGTTGTCTCTGCCTGGTCCATAATGAAAAGGAAAGGAACTCCACCAATATCAACCACCTAGAGGCAGGGCAGTGAGGGTTTTCTGCTTAATGGAATATCCTCCCTCTTATCCTGTATCCTTGGAAATGACTCCAAGCGCAAAGTTATAATAAGTTTAATTAACAAAAAATATTTTATGTGCTCAATTCAAATATTGAGTGGGCAGATGATACGCTGATTCTGAGATGCATAAAGCAAAGAATGACTGTACTACAGGGAGAAATTGTACAATTTCTCATTAGAGTGAGTGATTTTTAACATATCTCTCTCTCGGTAATTGATGAATATAGATGACTCTGACAACACAGTTAATGAGTCTTATTTAAAGGTATACATAGGGTCCTGAGTTAAGGAATCAGAGAATACATATTCTTCACACAGAGTATTTACAACAACGAACCGTGTACTATATATTGCAAAGGAAATCTTAATACATTTCAGAAGCTTGAAAATATTCAGACCAGGTTGCATTGACTACAAAGCAATTGACTTTGAAATCAGTTATCTCATTCATTTAGAAAATTTTTTGAACAGCTTCTATATAATTGGTACAAAAAATCTTTTAGATATTTGATATTCTTTATTTAATTTTATTTTATTAATTTTATTGAGACAGAGTCTTGCTCTGTCACCCAGGCTGGAGTGCAGTGGCACAATCTCAGCTCACTGCAACCTCTGCCTCCCGGGTTCAAATGATTCTCCTGCCTCAGCCTCCTGAGTAGCTAGGATTACAGGCAGATGCCACCACACCCGGCTGATTATTGTATTTTTGGTTGGCAGAGATGGGGTTTCACCAAGTTGGCCAGGCTGGTCTCGAACTCCTGACCTCAGGTGATCCACCAACCTCGGCCTCCCAAAGTGCTGCGATCACAGGTGTGAGCCACCAGGCCGGGCCTTGATATTCTTTGAAACTAAAAAATAAAGAAAATACTACACATTCATACTTGTAGGTATTTTGAGAATTACATATAGAGAAATATATAGCATGAAAAGAAAAAAACCTGAAAATTAATGAGCTAAACATTCAACTAAAGAAGTTAGGAAAAGACATACAGAATAAAACCAAAGAAAATAGAAAGAAGAAATTAATATAAATAGGAGAAGGTAATGAAACAGGAATAATATACAATAGTAAGAAATAAAGTCAAAAGTTCTTTCTTTAAAGTAACAAATAAAAATAAAACCTTCGCAGTAAGCAATCTAGAAAAAAAAAGGAACAAAGAGATATATCGAAGATAAATAAAGGGGCTTGATTAGAAATAGATTCAAGATTTAAATAATACAAATATACCTAATTATTTTGTATTATGTGTTCTTTTTAATTTTTTTGATTTTCTTATTAAAGTGCAAAAAATCTATCAAATAGCTAAGGGAAATAAGCACTGTTTGTTATCACACGCCTTAGGCAGAGTCAAGAAACACGATTTGAGAATGAGACCTTTAAGACTGGTACTGAAAGTAGGGGTAATTCCATAGGAGAATGCTTAGGAAGCTGGCAAAAGAAGGGGAGAAAAAGTGTGTGTGTGTTTGTGTGTGTGTTTCCAGAGTATACATTTTTACTAAACCTCTGTGTTTCTAATCTTCTTGGTCTAGATTTTGCCCATTACCACCCCTTCCTGCCAATGCTTTGATCAAGGTCACCATTGTCTTTCTAATTGTCCATTTAATGTCCTATTTTCTGTTTTCGATATTCTGATTTTTGTGTAGCATTTGCCACTTTTGACTTCCCCCTCTTCCTCCACTTCCTTCTTCAGGAATCCCTATTTATTTTCTTGAAGTTCAAAACATCACCATTTACTCAGACTTAACATGTCCTAGTACTCTCCTTTTAACTGTCCTGTTTCTCTGATGTATTTACACACCTTTGATGAGGCTGTGACATTCTCTGAATCTTCTGCTACAAACTTCCAGTGTCCTACAACAGATCTTTCTTTATTACTCAACATGTCCTTTTAGCTTAAAAGTAATTCCCATATTTGTCTCCTCTTCTCTATTACCATTGCTTTTACCTTTGTTCCAGCTTCATTGACTCATACTTTTAAACCACCCCTTTGAGTATTTTCAGTATGTTTATGGTCCTGAGGGGGAAAAATCCCCCAAGTTCCCAATAGTTTATTTTTATTCTGAAGATTGCTTCAGGATCCTCTCTCAGCTGTTCACTTTCCCTTCCCCAGGCTGCCATTTTGTGTGACTTTAAGCCTTGCCTTATTCTCATCTCTCTTCTCTTCATGTTGTTACGGGGAGTTGTGTGTTCTGCCTCCATTGTGTTTGACTGAATAAAGCAGCTTCCAATCCAAGCGCTGACAGGAAGAAGGCTTCTCGCATAAACTATGGGATACATCCATTCTCCATTGGATTTTCTTGTTTGCCAGTTCTTTGGTATGGTGATTTTCTTTCATCTGGAACTTCTTGAAATTTCATGTTAATAACTCTTTCTTTCACTCTTGGGAAGTAAAGGTCAAAGTCTTTCCAGTGAACTACAAGGTTTCACCTGGTCTAGCCCCATTTAGCTCCTTAAGCCCTCTTAACATTCTGTTCTTCTGCTTACTCAGCCTGTCATATTGTCCTCCTCACTATTCTTCAGACTCAGCAGGCATAAACCACCAGGGGTGTTTGAGTGAGCTGGTCCCTCTCCCTAGATGTTCTTCCCCCAGTTGTCCACAGGAATCCTTACTTCTCTCTAGAGTCTTCGAGTATTTGTCCCTTTCACAAGGCGTCCTACCTGATTATCCAACTCACTACTCCATGCCTATTGTTTTAAAATATAGTATATTAAGAGGCCGGGTGTGGTGGCTTATGCCTGTAATCTCAGCACTTTGGGAGGCCGAGGCGGGTGGATCACGAGGTCAGGAGATCGACACCATCCTGGCTAACACAGTGAAACCCCGTCTCTACTAAAAATACAAAAAATTAGCCAGGCGTGGTGGCGGGTGCCTGTAGCCCCAGCTACATGGGAGGCTGAGGCAGGAGAATGGCGTGAACCTGGGAGGTGGAGCTTGCAGTGAGCCGAGATCGCGCCACTACACTCCAGCCTGGGCGACAGAGTGAGACTCCATCTCAAAATAAATAAATAAATAAATAAATAAATAAAATATAGTGTATTAAATATAGCATAGAGCATATTAATATGCTTCCTGCCTGTTATACTAAAATATAGGGAAAATTTGACAGAAAGGCCAACAGAGTAGAAATTGATTGCCATTTTCCACTGAAAATATAATTTGTTACTCACAGTTCCCAGAGCATCCACCATAGGGAAGCATTACGGCCAGTCACAAGGTAGAAGGAGTGAGGGGAACTAAGGACAAGAGCCTTTATTCTGGGTTCTGCAGGAAGGAATGGACAAAGCAGGGCAAACAGACTTCAGATTGGCAATTTGAAGAACTTCAGCAGGTTCTGGGACATAGGAGTTGTTTCTAGTGATCTGGCACCTGGCCCTGGGGTGATTAAGGCAGATATGTAGTACCCCGGAGAATGAGAGCCCAACAAGGAATGTGGTTAGGGGTGTGGACTCTTGGTTGGGTGGTTTATATTTGAAAAGCACACCCTCAGGAGTAGAGTTGGGGGACCATCAGGGAGGCAGGAGTCTCAGGCTAGGCAATTCAGGCATATCACTGGGTTGTCCAGAACAAGGTGTGTCCAGCATATGCATGTAGGGCAGATGGTAAAGCACCAACTTTACAGAAGTTAGTAACATGGTTAATACATTCGTATTTCTAATTCTCTTTTCTTTTTTCCATAGTATTTTTTTTTTTTTGAGACAAGTTCTTGCTCTGCTGCCCAGGCTGGATTGCAATGGATGATCTCATCTCACTGCAACTTCTGTGTCCCAGGCTCAAGCAATTATCCTGTCTCAGCCTCCCTAGTAGCTGGAACTACAGGCACATGCCACCACACCCAGCTAAGTTTTGTATTTTCAGTAGAGATGGGGTTTTGCCACATTGCCCAAGCTGGTCTAGAACTCCTGAGCTCAGGTGTTCCGCCTGCCTTAGTGTCCCAAAGTGCTAGGATTACAGGCGTGAGCCACCGCACCCAGCCTCCACAACATTTTATCACCTTCTAACTTACCATACCATTTACCCATTATGTTTATTGTTTATTACCTGACTCCTCTCTTTAGAGTATAAGCTTCAAGGATAAGGAATTTAATTTCTATTTTATTAACTGATATCCCGAACCTAGAAAAATATGTAGCATGTATGTTCAGTCACTGTTTATGGAATAAACACCTTTAGCTCTACAAGCTGTAAACTGTTGGCATTATATCCCATGTCCCACGCAAGATTCTGAGATGCTCTAACCTGGCTGAAGATCTGGTCCCTGATTGTTCATGGAGTTGGACAGGACAGTCTGGACTCTGGAAACAAAATCTAACTCCTTAAGAGGTCTTATTCTTAGTTCATTTAATTTTCATTTTGTTTTTATGTTGAAGGTTATCTGGATGGAATAATACAGCTTCTAGAACTCAAGGTCTCTTAAGCTAGCTTCTTTGTTAATAAATAACAAGATAACAAGATTCTTCACCTGTGATCTTTAGGTTATTGTGAATTGAAATCCAGAGGTGGATACACACACATAATGTATGTGGATGTGTGTATCACAGGTGAAAAGGGAAGAGGAGGAAAGTGTGTGTATACTTCTGCACACAGGCTGGAGAATAGAAAACTCAGGATGATATTCATGGAAGGTTTCTAGGCCTTCTTTTCTAGTAAATCTCAATGTCTCTTTACATATTTTACAGAGTTGTTACCATGGTAACTATTTTAAAAAGTCAAAAACATTGTAGCTTTATATTCTCCACTTAGAGCTTCTAAAAAGGGGGTGTCCCAGATACTTAACTTCCAAATCTTTTCTTTCCAATTACACACCACATTGACCTTTTATACAATAAAAAATAGGCATTTGTTTTGTCAATGAATAGTTGTGTACAGTCCATGTCAACTTGGCCTTATCACTCACACAGTGTTGTGGTTGAATTGCAAAGGAAATATACCAAATTTGATATCTCATTAAAATGATTATCTCCTGAATAAATTTTCTGAATTTAACCATATTTCTTATTTTATGCTTAAAAAATTCTTTCACATCTATGATGGAATGAGAATAATATTTTAAATATCTCATGTGATAGGAATTATACTTCTGACAAATGTTGTCAAAACACTATGGAGATTCAGTCTATGCTGGAGTTTTTTTCTACCACCTAC
Source organism: Homo sapiens (assembly GCF_000001405.40). Classification (NCBI taxonomy): domain Eukaryota; kingdom Metazoa; phylum Chordata; class Mammalia; order Primates; family Hominidae; genus Homo; species Homo sapiens. The sequence goes on from NC_000004.12 coordinate 18,627,019, forward strand.
TTTCTTTAAAAAAATTGAGAACTACACACTGAGACAAAAATTATGAAAACATACTTGGTATGCTTGGAACTAGAAGCTCTATCTTTTGTTGTTAAAATATACTACAAAGATCGAGTGTCTGGAGAACTGAAATCCATTTTGGGTTTTCACTGCCATGCATAATATGTTGAGATACAACAATTGCCAGTTGGATCTCTTCCTATGCTGTCTACATTCACACAATATGTTTTTCTGCTAGGCGTGATAATGAATGACAAAAAAATTATACCAGTTGGTGGCAATGTTGTTTTCATAGCAATGGTCACTTAGTTAAAACTGCAGGACTTTGCTGATTTTTCCCTTATAAACTCTGTTATTTTGACTTTTTAACTTGTGCTACAAGTTATTTCTGGCTTAAAAATGAGGCCAGGTTTTCTATAACTTCCAAGTATTCATCTTGTTATCTTTAAGCCTTTTTTCATTTCTGAGGGCAAACCAAATGTGAAATAATAAATAGGGTTGTGTGACCTGAAAAAGCAAATTCTGAAGACCGCAGGAAACTCTGTAAAACATTGCCTTGCCTCATCAAGAAATTACACATACATGTGGTAGAAAGCAATTTTGAATACTGATTCCTGAATGCCTTTCATCTGGTATCTGTTTCAGAACTTATTACTTAATAGGCAGAGTATGTGATATTTAGTGAAAACTTCCCTGAACATCAATTTTCATCCAACTAAAATCAAAAAGCTTTCCAAGATAAGCAATTGATAAAGTTTAACTGTCTAAAATTATTTCATGTGTAGAATGGACATATGGGATACAAGAGTACATCTGGTGGTTGGAAATTGAGCATGTACATGCATTGGCCTAAAGTTGTGCTAGAATTCTTCACCCTCTTGCTCAGATTCCAACTCCTACAAGAAACCTTTCCAAATCACACACCGCTTTAAATTAGTATTTCTACATCAACTCTTATCAACTTCTAAAACACTTTATTCATATCTTTGGTGTTGTACTTATCACAACTTGCTTTACATTGACTATTTGTGCACCCATTACACTCAATAGGTATCAGTTTAATTCAACAAGTTAACTACACACCAATCATGTGCTAGTCCCACTGCTGGACATCAGTAAGTAAATGAACTTTGCAGAGTCCATGGCTTAGTCTTACTGAATTGTGTATTCCTCTTTCTTCCTAGAATTGTGTGTTTGTTGACTTTGATGAAATCTGAGCCTTCATCTTTAAAGAATGATACTGTTCTACCTGTTTCTTGAATAAATGCAAGCAGCAAACCTAATGTCAAGAACTAAATACATGAATTGATGAATAGATAGTGGGCCAAGACTCAGAGACTCAAATACCAGGGATAAAGCAAGTGAGGGGACAGAATGATGAAGCAAGTGGGTTTAGATGCAGAGCTAGGAGGAAATGGAGAAAACAATATAGTCATCATAATAGAAACTACAACCACCACATATACTGAGCTAAGGACTGTGCTATGTGCTTCTTATAAATTAACTCACTTATTCCTCCCAACAGTTTCCAAGGTGGGCATTATTTCCCTTTCATAAATGAGGAATCTTATAGGTGCTAATATCAGCTGCCTGTCTGGGTTCTGTTTCCTAATTTTTTCTTTCTCTCAGAACCCTGATTTGGTTCAGATAGTCACCTCCTCCCAACATAGACCAAACACCTACAGAACAGGAAACTGACGATTTTACCTGTAGGAGAGGTCCTAATTGGTTTAATAGTAACTCCATACCTTGCCAATGATTTGTTCAGGAACTTAGGCCTAAAATGTTCAGCTCATGGTACTGCCTGGTTCTAAGAATTTGTTGAGAAATAGGCATGTGATCCAATTCAGGCTGAAGGCTTGCTTGAGGGCTCCCAGGAAACATTTTCCTTTACTTGGAATCAAATCTTTCATTTCTTCTCAATTAAATACTGCTCAGATATGAATGCAGAAATTGCTACAGACATTTTGCCTTCATGACACAACTAGGAAGGATTTCCAGTTAAATGAGCCAATGTCTATCTGAATTAGATTTTTTTTGTTTTTGTTAGTCAATCTGAATGAATTTTTTTGTTTTATTAGTTACTGCTGAAAGCATCCTGAGTGACACAAACTTGAAGCATGCAAGAGGACTAAATAACTTCCAAAGTCACACATATTGCATGTCAAGAGCCAGCTTCAAACTCAAGTCCCTGTGACCAGAGGTCGATGCTCTAAACACATTTCTGCATGACCTGCTTGTGGCAGCCTGGAGAAATTCTACATAAATCTTCTCAGAGTGAGTCTGTACTTTTGATGTGCTAGTTTGGTCTTCCTAAATAGGCTTCTGTTTCTGTCACTCTTACAATTTCTTCCCAATGTTGTGGTTCTTTTATCAGGGCCCTGACCCAATATTTTCATAGTCAAGTTCCACCTCTCTCCCACAATGACTGGAGACACTTTCTTAAACTCTTGGCTAGTGGCTGCAAGGCTGCTCCAACTCAGACGAGTCTCTCAGGAATCATAATTCACCCAATTGTGAAGCCATCTCTCTTTAGAGTGTGTCTGGAATTGGTGGGTTCTTGGTCTCGCTGACTTCAAGAATGAAGCCGCGGACCCTCGCGGTGAGTGTTACAGATCTTAAAGATGGTGTGTCCAGAATTCGTTCCTTCAGATGTTCAGATGTGTCCAGAGTTTCTTCCCTCTGGAGGGTTCATGGTCTTGCTAGCTTCAGCAGTGAAGCTGCAGACCTTCGCAGTGAGTGTTACAGCTCGTAAGGCGGTGCGTCTGGAGTTGTTCATCCCTCCTGGTGGGTTTGTAGTCTCGCTGGCTTCAGAAGTGAAGCTGTAGACCTTTGCGGTGAGTGTTACAGCTCATAAAGGTGGCACGCACCCAAAGAGTGAGCAGCAGCAAGATTTATTGCAAAGAGGGAAAGAACAAAGCTTGGGCACCAGAAGGGGACCCGGAGGGTTGCCGCTGTTGGCTCGGGCAGCCTGCTTTTATTCGCTTATCTGACCCCACCCACATCCTGCTGATTTGTCCATTTTACAGAGAGCTGATTGGCCCATTTTACAGAGAGCTGATTGCTCCGTTTTGACAGGGTGCTGGTTGGTGCATCTACGAACCTTGAGCTAGACACAGAGTGCTGATTGGTGCATTTACAATCCTTTAGCTAGACACAAAAGTTCTCCAAGTCCCCACCAGATTAGCTAGACCCAGAGCGCTGATTGGTGCATTTACAAACCTTTAGCTAGACACAGAGTGCTGATTGGTGGGTTTACAATCCTTTAGCTAGACAGAAAAGTTCTCCAAGTCCCCACTAGATTAGCTAGACACACAGCACTGATTGGTGCATTTACAAACCTTGAGCTAGACACAGGGTGGTGATTGGTGCATTTCCAAACCTTGAGTTAGACATAAAGTGCTGACTGGTGCATTTACAAACCTTTAGCTAGACATAAAAGTTCTCCAAGTCCCCACCCAACTCAGGAGCCCAGCTGGCTTCCCCTAGTGGATCCCGCACCAGGGCCATGGGCGGAGCTGGCCGCCAGTCCTGCACTGCGCTGCGCACCCGCACTTCTCAGCCCTTGGGTGGTGGATGGGACCCAGCACCGCAGAGCAGGGGGCGGTGCCCGCTGGGGAGGCTCTGGCTGCGTGGGAGCCCACTGCGGGGGGTGGGGGCTCAGGCATGGAGGGCAGCAGGCCCCCAGCCCTGCCCTGCAGGGAGGTGGCCAAGGCCCAGCCAGAATTTGAGCACAGCATGGGCAGGCAGACAGCGTTGGGGGACCCGGCGCACCCTCCGCAGCTGCTGGCCCAGGTGCCAAGCCCCTCACGGCCCAGGGCCGGTGGCGCTGGCTGGCCGCTCCGAGTGTAGGGCCCTCAGAGCCTGTGCCCACCCAGAACTCACGCTGGCCTGCGAGCGCAGGGCGCAGTCCCAGTTCCTGCCTGCACCTGTCCCTCCACACCTGCCCGCAAGCAGAGGGAGCTGGCTGTGGCCTCGGCCAGCCCAGAGTGGGGCTCCCACAGTACAGCGGTGGGTTGAAGGGCTCCTCAAGCACAGCCAGAGTGGATTCCCAGGCTGAGGAGGCGCCAAGAGCCAGTGAGGGCTGCTAGCACGTTGTCACCTCTCAAGACCACCCGTCTATCCATGTGGACTCAGCAGCTCAGTCTCCTAAGAAATTCTGTAGCAATCCTGACTTGATTAAGAGTTCGTTTTGTCTCACAATACTGATTTGGGCTGCTACTCTCATTTCTCTTAGTACTAAATGTGTTAGATTCCAGGGTATTTCTCTCTTGCCAACCCTGCCTTTCAGAATCTATGCTTTGCAATTGAAGTGGGACTTGGCTGTGATAGTATGCTGGTTATGGTCAAAGATGGGCCATGTATATACCACTGTCATACAAGGCGTGATAAGAATTATAATCGACATCTAAAAAGTGCAGTTGGTGTAAAAGGGAGATTAATCCAAACTTTATCTACAGAAAGACGAAAAGACAGAACAAGAGAGAGAAGTTTATATAATGGATGGGAATATCATGTCTTATTTTTAACAAGCGTCTCAGAACCCACAATAGTCAATGTTTTTCCTCTCTCCTGCCTTCTAACTCTGCCCCTTAAAGGTTTGTGCTGGCCTCTTTTAAGATTTGGAGTTCTTGCTTGGTGAATTTGAAAAATGGAGACTCAAATTGCTGGCATATTGAATTGCTCCAAGGACATAATGAAGTTATCTTGGCAAATGAATCAAATGATAGTTGTTAAGCAAAAAATCAGGAAAATAATTTAATGTTTATACAGTGTTGCCAAGAGTCACATCTTTTTAGATTTCAAAGGAGCAACTAGCTGCCCAGAAATCTTGATAAATGTATGTTGACATCCTAGAAAAGAGTGGCCATTCAATTACTTCCATACTATATCAGCTGAACAAGGAGATGAAAAGCATATGGTTGGAAAATGCCCCCAAGTTCATGAGGCCTTTGACTGTTTCTAAAATATTTGATATTAATATCCTTTTCAAGCTGGTCTCAGAGAATTTCCTTTCAACCAAGAAAACTAAAGGGGAAAGATTAGCCCAAGTTAGATGTCAATTCAGATCAAATACACAAATTTATATGTATTCATCTATTCACTTATTCAGCCAGTTATTCATAAACCCTGAAAATATTTATTAGGCACCTACTTTGTGATAGGCTCTGTGTGAGGCTCCAAGCTTGTCAAAACTAATGTGAAAACAAGCTATTTTAAGAAACTCACAATAGGCTGGGCATGATGGCTCATGCCTGTAATACCAGCACGTTGGGAGGCCAAGGTGGGAGGATCACCTGAGCACAGGAGTTTGAGACTAACCCTGGCAACATAGCAAGATCTTGTATGTATAAAAAATAAAAAAAAATATAGATTCTGGCAAGACTGCAGAGAAAAGGGAACATTTAGACACTGTTGGTGGTAGTGTAAATTGTTTCAACCATTGTGGAAAACAGTGTGGCAATTCCTCAAAGAGCTAAAAACAAAAGTACCATTCAACTCAGCATTCCCGTTACTGGGTATGTACACAAAGGAATGTAAATTATTCTGCCATAAAGACACAGACATGCATATGTTCATTGCAGCAATATTCACAATAACAAAGACATGGAATCAACCTAAAAGCCCATCAATGGCAGATTGGATAAAGAAAATGTGGTACATATACACCATGGAATGCTGCATAAAAAAGAACAAAATCATGTCCTTTGCAGGGACATGGATGGAGCTGGAGGCCATTATCCTTAGCAAACTAATGCATGTTTGTTGCATGTTTTTACTTATAAGTGGGAGCTAAAGGATGGGAATACATGAACACAAAGAGGGAAACAACGGACACTGGGACCTACTTGAGGGAGGAGGTTGGGAGAACAGAGGCGGCAGAAAAAATATCTATTTGGTACTAGGCTTAGTATCTGTACAACAAACCCCCGTGATGCGAGTTAACCTATATAACAAACCTGCACATGTACCCCTGAACCTAAAATAAAAGTTAAAACAGGCCTGGCATGGTGGCTCATGCCTGTAATCCCAGCACTTTCGGAGGCTAAGGTGGGTGGATCACGAGGTCAAGAGATTGAGATCATCCCTGGCCAATATGGTGAAATCCCGTCTTTACTAAAAATACAAAAATTAGCCGAGTGTGGTGGCGTGCAACTGTAGTCCCAGCTACTTGGGAGGCTGAGGCGGGAGAATCACTTTAAACGGGGAGGCAGAGGTTGCAGTGAGCCAAGATAGTGTCATTGCACTCCAGCCTGGTGACAGAGCAAGACTCCGTCTCAAAAACAAAACAAAAAAGTTAAAACAAATGAAATAAAAAGGATAATATTTTTTAAAGTAAAAATAAGAACAAAATAAATAATAAATAAATAATTAGTTGGGCATGGTGGCTCATGCCTGTAGTCCCAGCTATTCAGGGGGCTAAGGATCACTTAAGTTCAGGAGTTTCAGGTACACCATAGTTGCACCAAAGCACTCTAGCCTGGATGATAGATAGAGATCCTGTCTCAGAAAAAAACAAACCCCCCCAAAAAAATCATTTCACAGTGTAGTAGGATGTGGGCAAAGGGATTAGGATCCTGTAAATACTACTCATTGCAATGCAATATGGTTGATACTTGCTCAATCAGAGGCTTAAAAGGTGATGTGGGGGCAAAGATGAGCTAAACCCGCTAGGGAAGAAGACACCACTGAACCGACATGTAGACAGAGACAAAAAGGAAGAGTCTGTGTCCACCATACTGGCAAAAGGAGAGAGAATAATAAGAAAAAAGATATGGAGGCATGAAGCGGCTTGTAGGATGTTGGTGATATGGGTTCAGCAGGACTTAGAGGGAGAGAGAGCCTATGAGGCTGGAAAGATCTATGGGGCTGGAACAGAAGGGGCTGTGGGCTAAGACATTTTGATTTTATACTACAAGGATGCTAGTCCTGAAGGCTTTGTTTTGAAGATGCTTTAAGAAATTTACTTGACACTAGACGACAGGATGGGGAGGAGAAGAACAATATGTATTCATAACAACCAGGGTGAGCATGTGATGCTTTTTGACCAGATGTCTTCTTCAGGTCACTTTTTCCTTCTGAAGAGATACCCAGCCCTGGCAAACACTACACAGCCAGAGACCCAAATAGTCTGGGTGAACTGTAGCAAGTCATTTAATTACTGAGTCTGTTTGTTTCATTGAGAACGATCAATGGACTTTTCCATTTCTTACAGTTTATTTAGAAAAGAAAATGTTTACGAGGGAATTCAATTAATATCTATGGCAGACCCACTATGTACTTATTGTTCTGCTGTTTTAACAGAAGAATTTAGCCTTTGTATTCTTCATAAGAAGCAAATGAGGTGATATATATGGAATGGTTTTATGCATGTATATGCAGGGATATTTATATAGGCATACGGTCTGGTTAATTTTTTTCTGGGTAGAATTATAGTATCAAGTGAAGAAAAGTGAGTAAAAATGGTGGATAGAGATTATCTGGATCAAACTCAACTTTTTAGTTAGTGTATTCATTATACCTTAACCCATTCCAAAATAAGCCACATCACATACACATGAAGAAACTAAGTCCTGAGAGAAGATGGTCTCAGGGAAACATGGTTTTCTGGTCAGAGAGGAATATTAGAACTGCTTCCCCTTAGCCCACCCACTGCACTTTCTCCTTTACTTTTCTCTTTTAGATGAAATTTATATGGTAATGTATTTTAAGAAAATAATTGGAATCTACCCTTAGAAACCAAGCAGTTAGTTCTTGTTTTTATTATTTTCTGATTGAAACATTTGGTGTGTATGTATGTCTGGGTGTATCTCCTCCACACAAAGACACACACACACACACACACACACACACACACACACTATAGTATTCTAATGTCTGATGTTCCAACTGACTCTGGTACCTTCAACATTGCAGGTAGATTCAACTACCCCTAGTTAAAAACACTCTTGGTGTATGGAACAATAAGGGTAAGAATTAATATTCATTGAGCAATTGCAATGAGTCACACATTTAATACCTATGAATTAAAGGCTAATCATTCCCATTCTACAGATGAAAAGACTGAGGGACAGAGAGAGTCACATACTGGTTTAAGTTTACATAGCTGTTTAGTAATAAAGCTCAGGTTTAATTCCAAGTAGTCTGACTCTAGACTCCTGCTTCAGTTCTAATCTAAGGAAAACAAATCTGATCTAAAGAAAACACCATCAACCCATGAAACTCAGCCAGGGTGTTGATAATTCTGGAGATAAATTCCATAGTCTCACCTGGAGCTTTCCCTGGTGACCCTTACAATGTTGAGATCCTACAGGGGACTGCACATGAATGTTTGTACCAGAAAGAGATGGGCAAGGGGAGTTGCCCTGCCTCTCTTATTAAGTTCATAGGAGACCTTCAGGCTGGAGCAGGCATGGCTGAAGAGTGATGCAAAGAGTAAAGCCCACCTCCTCATTTTTTTTTCCTTGACTATTTTGCTTTCTCCCCACTCAAGCCTTATCTGCCCAGAGATTGGGTCTCTCAGACACACTGTCAGACAGAAAAAAGGCACGAGAAACTGCTTGGAGTGTGGTAGGGAAAAGAAAAATAAAAAAGCATTGGAAATGTTTAGCTAAAGTAAGAATCATGCTTGACTGGAATGAGGGAATCTTGCAGGAGATAAAAGCACAGATGGGGATGTAAGATGCTGTGATAAGCACAGATCCTCTTTCTTTTGTGTGTTGGAGGGGAGGGAGCAGACAGCTAAATTTCCTTTCTATGTGTTATCCACCCATATTTCTTCGTTCCATTTAAAGGGAACATGTTGATCATACGTAACAGAGAACCAAAGGCTCAAGATATCTTTTCTAAATGGAGGCTAGTCAGAACTCTGGCCATTCCAGATCCCTTGATTTGATAAGAAATCATCTCTAGAGTAGTTATCTAATAAGTGCACAGAGAAGGATTTTATATTTGATAGAAACCTGTATTAGACCAATTTAATTTAAAGCTAAATAATCACATGTATCCCTGTAATGTTATGGAAATACAGCCTCTAACTGTGTAGGATGCCACACTCCTGACATTTTTATAACAACATCAAAAATGCGTATTGAAATTTCTTTTATATTTCCTTGAAAAATAATGAATGTTCTTCTTTGTGCCTCCACCGGCTGTTTTGTCTAATCAGCTTTCTCGGACAAGTGGACAGAAAACATTTGTTGAATAACTCGTGATAAAAGCTGTCAGGAGTGGTTGAGAATGCTTTTCTTTCTTATTTTTTGCAACCGTGGAAGAAATTAGATATGCATGTCATGCTGAGGGCATCTCATTTTGAGACTAAGCCAGTGCTTTTGAAACAATACTAATTTTCCAATTAGAGTGTGCGTAGCCCATGGAGCTCCTTATGAATGAAAATCAAGCATGGATTGCATTTAGACGAATTCCATGAAGCAGGATTAACAATACACAGGCTGGAGAAAATTGCCGCCGGCTGTAGTCTTTTATAAATGGTTAGAGCCAGAATTAACAATCATCTAACCAAATTTCTCACTTTATAAAGAAAGGTGTTGCGACAGAGAGAAGAAAATGTTTTTCCTATTGTTGGCAAAGGCTCCCAACACAGTGTCCATGCCCATTCCCAGGGAGATCTGTGTTTGGATTTTTATATATTCTTCCACTTTACAGTTGATGTCAATGTTTCATTTAATATCCAATATTTATTGATTTACAATGATGGCACCGCTTTTATTTGATGTTTTGTCTTTGCAGTCACAATGGGGATGTTTATTAGCTTGTCATTTTCATTTCAAATTTATTTTCTTGCCACTTTACAAAATGGATTCATCACAAAATTGGAGAACTGGAGGATGCAGAAGTTTACTTTTATAGCGTTTGTATTTTCCTGATTGAGCCAGAGACTGGAACATTGCACTGAAATTGTAACATTTTTCTCTACCAGAATATGTCAAAATGGCCATGTTTTGCATGTACCTCTAAATAATTCTGGAAACAAAAGGTCACTTTAGAATTCTCTGAGCACCCACTCACAGCATTTTACATTTAAGAAATTTAGACAGATTATTTAAATGAGTTATCACAAACTCAATTATTTACAGGATAAAGGCAGGAATCCTGGCATGACAATAGGACTAAGCTACTTACATTTCATGAAACAGACTATTTCACATTCCAGTTCAAAAATTGAGTAGTCCAAGTACAGCATTGGAAGGCAATATCCACAAAAGTCTTCCCAGTTTTGACCTGGATTTAAATTCAGTGTCTGATACCTAAACCCCTCTATTTGGAAATGAGAATTAGGACCCTGCTCTCATGAATCTCAGTGCCAGGGTTTTTCCACTCCACTGTGTGGCTTTTCCTGTCTTCTAATTTATACGGCTACTCCTTTATTTGAATCCATCATCTATGCTGGTGAGGACAAATTCCAATGAAGAGTTTTCATTGGCAGCACCAGTCAGGCAATAATAAAAAGTATTTGGAGGAATTTTCTTGATTTTTCATCTCATTGTGTGTGTGTGTGTGTGGTGTGTGTGTGCATGTGTGTGTATGTGCCTATGTGTGTATGTGCATGTGTGTGTGTCTGTATGTGAGAGTATGTTATGTGGATGAATATAAATGTGTGTGTACATGTATCTTGGTGTGCATGTGTATCTGCATGTGCATGCATGTATGTATGTGTGTGTCTCTGGGTATGGGTTGGCAGCTTGGCACATGACCTGGATTTTTCCCTGTGTTACCCTGCTCAATTGTGTGGGCACGCATTTATTTGCTACCATATTTTCAATGTCCATGAGCTTTGAAATGGTTTGTTCTCTAATTCATTATGGCATGTTTTCCTTATTTATCATGACCTGCCTAAATCAAGAATTAAATGCACACTCTTACAGGCTTTCTTCAACACCATGGATTGGCCAAGGGATATTTGCAGAAGAGGCAGACTCTAGAAATTAATCAAAGCATCTGCCATTTTCCCCCTTGACTTCTTACTGATGCCTACTTTTAAATTTCCACACCTTTCTTTAGTAGACACCAGTGATTTTTGGACTGCTTATATTGTGCTGTTTTTGCCAAATAGGAAAGGGTTACAATTGATGTAATTTGATGTCTTTCACCCTAATTGTAGCGAAAGCTACTCTAATTGTAGAGAAGCAGGAAGTACTAAAGACACATATACTTTTTTTTTTTTCTTGGCTGGAAAAGCTTTTCTAGCAGTTACTTGTCCCAGAAGCCAGTCTCTAATCTTCAAGTGTTTCTGGAGAAAGCATCAAAACGAAGGAGAAAAGTGTTTGTACACTGGGCACTTGCAGACGGAATTTGTGAGACCTTGAAACACAGAGGGAGACAAAAACAGCTTCATCTCTGCAGAAACTCACCATATTCTTGTGAGGATCCATTGGTCCGTTAGTGGTTGAAGTGAAACCTATATGTGTATGTTGTAATATTTAATTGAACTGCTTAGGAAAATCATATAATAGTTTTTTTTAATGGCTTTACACAAATAATTTTCATTCAAAGCCCAGTCAGGAAAAGTCTGAGTTATAGAAACTACCAGGCTATATAGGCTGCATCAAAAATACCTCAAGTGACCAAGAGATTTATTGGTGCCTAGACCAAAATGGACAATCCTTGGGTGTGGACATCTACCTACATCAGGCCTCACCTCTTTCATAGGAAAGAAAGGAAGAGGAAGATGTTTTGTGAATGCACTATCTTACACTCATATAATACATTTCCCACAGTAAAGTTACATTTTCAGACACCCAGCTGTTATTGCCTTTAATCTATACTGAGGATCAACAATAACTTGTATTTCTATAGTGTTTTGCCCATTACAGAGCTCCTGCATATACTTCATAATGACCTTTCCTACTAGCCATCATGCAAGTGCAGTCATCCCCACCTTACAAATGAAAAGAAAAAGGAACTAAGAATTCATGAAAATGGAAGTTGAAAACAAAGATTTATCCATGGTAGCTGAGGATCCTGAGGTCAAGAGTATGCAACAGTCATCACAATTTACTGAAAAATCAAAGCTTGTTAGCGGCAGAGCTAGAACAATATCACTGGTATTGTGATTCCAAAACCAGTGTCTATTCTGTGACTCATTCAATAAATCTTCATTGAATTCTTGTCACATGACAGTCAGTATCCCTGTTGCTGAGGCTACAACGGCAAATAAGACATGATTCTTGTTTTCAAGGATCTCAAATTCAGGTCAAGGAGACAGTGAAATATGCAATCAATTACAATATACAGTGTGGTGAGTGCTGAGAGAAATCCAAGTATAAGAAGACACTGAAAGTGGGCACAGATCTGGGCATTAGTGACCATTTTTGGAAGGAATCACTTTTGTCCAAGTTCTGAAGGACATATTGGTATTTTATAAATAAAGCAAGATTCTTAAAGGCGTTTGGAACAGTAGGGAGTGAATTTTCTAGGACCCAGAGGTAGGAGAGAAGGCAAACGAGAAACAAAAAAACTGAACATGTCAACCTTGGCGACCTGGATGAAATTCAATCTTACTAGTGTGTAGTGGCAGGAGACTAGGCTGGAGATATTAGCAGGGGGCCTTGTTAGCTGGATCTCCTCTCTCTGCAGCACATTTGGCTACATCCCTGAGCGCACAAGTCAGACTGTGCCCTGTTTCTAATCAGAAAAACCCTGCTGTTCTTGGTATCCAAAGGCAGTCAGACCTGGTAATGGGCCTTGCTTTGACCTTTGGTCTTTGATGAAGAGAGTTAGGATCTTGAAGACTGTCCAGGGAGTCACTGACTTTCACTTATAGAGAATCAAGTTTGCAATTAGTGAGGCCTGGGCACTTGGTATTGAGTTTGGCAAAGGAAAAATCCCTCTGCTGATAGGGGAATAGCTCTTCAGAAGGTGTTAGACCATCGGTAGCTTGCCAAGATTCTTTAAGTACCAGATACTGGAAGGTTAAACAGACCATCAGAGTACCTCGTAATTCAATATTTGGTGCAGACATGCTAGTCTACTTGTAGGCTTGTTTTACTGAGACAAGCTTGTTTTATGAGAGCGATACACTTTCTAATATTTCTGTGATTTGACTTAAAACTCATGTTTGTTCATCTCAGCTAGACTCAATCAAACAGAACAAGTAATCTGGCTCATAAAATACAAACTCAAGCAGTATATATTACTTTAAATTGGCTATCTCTGGGTTCCCAAGAATTCCACATATAGCTGCAGAAATTACCTTTGGTGATTACAGAGTTCCTACTAAAGTGAAACCATAACTGTGTTAGAATATTTGAGACATATTTGTTGATACAATTCTGTAGGGTAGTTCCCTGATTCACCATGGAAGATGAATGACACAAGATAATTTGATGGCATAAATTATTTATTTCAGGAAACATTTTTACCAAAGATCAGGGGAGACTTCCTTCTTGTCAGGCCATAAATAGTTAATTGTTTCCTTACAAACTGTAGTGAGTAAACATTGTAATTCTTTATGTCAGGTGTCAGATAAAAGTATATCTTAAATACATTTCATTTGTCCTCAATTTTAGAAAATGATAAGTAAAAATAAAAATTTTGCCTGCATTGTTTTCTCAGTCATTTTCTGGTGAGGTTCTCTTTTAGAATTGCTTAAATGGTGTTATGGGTTTAACCGTGACCTCCAAAAAGATATGTTGAAATCTTAACCTCTGGATCCTCAGAATGTGACCTTATTTGGAAACAAGGTTGTTACAGATGTAATTAGTTAAGATTAAGTCATGCTGGAGTAGAATGAGCCCCTAATACAATATTACTGGCGTCTTTTTCAAGAAGAGGGGAGGGAGATACACAGGAAGGTCATGTAAAGACAGAGGTAGAGATCAAAGTGGCGCATCTACAAGTCAAAGAATGCCAATGGTTGCTGACTGTCTCCAGAAGCCAGGAGAGAAGCAGGAAACAGATTCACTCAGAGCCCATAGAGGGAACCAATCGTGCTGGTACCTTGTCTTTGGACTTACAGCCTCCAGAATTGTTGGACTATGTTGTGTAAGGCTTGTGCTACTTTTTAATGGCAGCCCTAGGAAACTAAAACAAGTGATGTAAGCAGAAATGGAAACTCCTCCCTTCCCCACTTTCCAGCTTAGGATGTAAGAGAGAATGTGATCATGAGCTCCATGCTTATAACCTGGTTCCTCTTTGTTTTAAAATGAATTGCCTCCTTGCTTGACAGGAAGGACATCTAATTAAGAATTATCCTTTCCCATTGTAGCATTTCTGTTCTTTTACAGAAATGTTACAAAATAAAAAATACTTGAATATTCTCATGATTCTTAGTATAAGTGGCTGTAGCACATCTTTTATTGTCCTTCTTGATTATAATGTTTATGCATTAGCTATTGGGACACTGACACTCTAGGTCTTCTCTACCATGCTATCCTCATGAAAGTTTAGCTACCATGCTATCCTCATGACAATTTAGCAACATTGTATGTTCACAGATGAGGAAAAAAATAACCCCAGGATAAGCAGCCAGGACTGCAGCCTCCTGGGGTGGGGTTGTCCAAGGGTTCATGGCACAATCTATTCCTGAGTCTTCCCAATGATTGAGAACAGATGGGCACTAAACTCTAGGAGGCTTGGAAAAAAATCCTTGTATTTGACCATTTTCCAAGGCAAAATGAGAGAAGGTAGTCAGTGTTAGTTTGATTTGGCAATAGCACCAGACTAATAAAACAGTGACAGCCAGTAGATCCTTTTAAGGTCCAAGGATACCCGTCTTTGGTACTATTATCCCAGAAGCTCAGAGCCCACCAGTTTCATGTATTAATTTGGATTCTAATATGTGTCAAGTTTCCCTTGGTTGTTGGGTTAACTTAATTTCCAGATATGTATCTGCTCCTTGGATTACCTTGTTACATGACACCAGGTAAAATTTTTCCATTTCAGTTTAATTTAGATTATGAAAATCTAAAATTGAGGTAAACCTTCATTCGCCACAGCTTGGTAATGCTTGTTTATTTTGAAACAACAAATATCATACAGTTCTCCCTAGGCATAACCTTGTCTTTCAACCATTGAGGTGGTTTGAGTACCTGGCTTCTCCAAAACCATGGAGAACATAGCCCTCACGTGGCACTCTACATAACATTCATTGGTTCAATTAGTTTGTGACACCAAATTTATTGACCTGAGGTTGGATTGGTCCAGCCTTTCCATGCTGTCAAAGGGGTGTTTTAACGTGGCACCCACACTCCTTTAGAGCAAAACCAGCTGCCAGAAGAGCCCTAAATGAGCTGTAAATAGGGAACTAAAACAGACACTAAAACAGGATTATTCAGACCTGTTGGGTAATTAAGACTTTGGCAGGTAGACAGTTTATCCACAAAACAAGAGAAATCAAAGCAGAATGAGTTCCTTTTGGTACCATGAACCCAGGCAAGATGGCCATGGGGTAGTCTGAAGTATTGACAATGAGATGTAGTTTTCATAACTTTGGAAAAATTTGAGAACTATAATCAAAGGATATATTTTTCAACAGAGTCTGAGGCTATTTTTCAATTTAGTTGGAATGTAAAGCTGCTTGCATTAATGAATTTATAATTTTAGAGTTTTTGATTTTTGAACTTTATAGATGATGTATTCTCTCTCCTTGTTGACTAATCTTTGTGTTTGTTACATCTAGCTTGGAATACGGCGGTTAAGGAAAGAGTATCACTGAGTAGTTGTGGTGCTGCCTTCATGTGTCATACGAGAGGAAATTTGGAAATCAAAAACCATCAGGTCAGGCATGGTGGCTGATGCCTGTAATCCCAGCACTTTGGAAGGCTGAGGCAGGTGGATTACCTGAAGTCAGGAGTTTGAGACTAGCCTGGCCAACATGGTGAAACCCTGTCTCTACTAAAAATACAAAAATTAGCCAGGCATGCTGGTGGGCACCTGTAATCCCAGCTACTGGGGAGGCTGAGGCAAGAGAATCGCTTGAACTAGGGAGACGGAAGTTGCAGTGAGCTGAGATCGCACCACTGCACTCCAACCTGGGTGACAGAACGAGACTCCATCTCAAACAAAACAAAATGTGTCAATTTAAATCCGACTATGGTATTTACTAACCATGTGACCTTGAGAGAGACACCTAACCACTATGTGTGTGTGTGTGGTTGGGGGGTGGGTTTCTTTATGTGCAAGAAGTTTGCTAGAATAGAGCTGGAGTCCAAGTTCTTAGTGCTGGATGTAATTTATCAGTTGTGCTTGGAGCAAGCAGTGATAAACAGAAACAGGAGTATAAAGCACTGAACTTCATTACAGGTAAGAAGCATGAAACCTATCTTCCATTGCAGAGAAGGGCAGACTCCAGAAAGGGTCCATATAGGGGCCTAATAACAGTAAAATATTGTTGGGCATAGAAAACAACTTCCTTTAAGACATAACATTTATTCTCTAAAAAAGCAAGGGGCTATGATGATATAGAAAGTAGAATATTTTTTCACATATTTTCAGTAGATCAGAGGCTATGTATGATTCTCACTGTTTTCTATACATAGTGTTTCCCTGTCTTGTACACTACTGCATTTTCATGAGGTCAGTCATGCCCTGTGAGTTTCTGCTGCTTTTCATTGTTTTCCCAAGTTTACTTTCCTTTAACTGGCCAGTATGTGTTAAAGTTCCTGAGGACTGGACCTGATCCTTATTCTCACCCTGTAGGAAACCTCACACACAACCACAGTTTTAATCATCACCAGATGTCAAAAACTCCCAAATAAAAATCTCCAAGCCTAACCTTTCCTTAGAGTTTCAGATTTTTGAAACCAAGTTGTGTGCTTCACATTTCCACTTGGATATAACAGAGTCACCTCAAATTCAACACGTCCAAAAACACATGCCTGGTTGCCATCTGCAAACCTGGATTTTTTCCAGGTGTTCTAGTTTAATCAGTGATACTGCTTTTCATCAAACTGCATAAACAAAACATTGGAGTCCACCCTCGAAGCCTTTTTCCCCATCTTGAATTCACCAACTTCTCTATATTTCCACCATTATTTTCCTATCCAAGCTAGTGTCATGTCTTGCTTGAACTACAAGTCTCCATCCATTCTTGTCCCTTCCAAACCAGTTTATATTTTGCAGCCAAACTGGTCATTTTAATGTGTGAATCGGAATAGTAACTTACCTTTTTACTTCCTGTAGATGTGGGTGTCTATGTGTACACAAACACGTGAGCTTGTACGCATGCATTTAAGAACTCTTATTCCACTGTTGTTAGGATGAAATACCAATTTTGAATATAAGGTCTATAATGCTGTAACAGGCAAAGGCTTGGCAGAAAACAAATGACACACTCAAGTGAATAATTAAGAAGGATTTAATAAAAAGACTATTTTAAAAAATGTGGGCTAGGTTAAGGGAAAACAGCAAAGGATGTAAGGCACCCTGTGGTTAGAAACAGTAGGGAGCTATCACCTCTCAGAAGTAAAGAGGCAAAGGAAGGAAGGAAGGGAACATTACTGAAAAGGAAAGAGGGGAGGAGAGAGAGAGAGAGAGAAAGAAAGAAAGAGAGAGAGAGAAGAGGGCCATCATGCATGATCTGCTTTAAGTAGAGAGGCACAGCCACTGCTAACACAGGGCACAGCAAAGAAAGAGGTAGAGGAATACATTATTTCCTCACTCTCATTTCAATATCCAGTTTCCTGACAGTGCCTCCCATTGGCTAAGACACCACACCTGGAAGCTGGAGGGCAGGGAAGCTATTGATAGAGTTCTTAAAGGTTGCCCTTGTTGGAGAAGAAAGTAGGGCTGATCTGGAGGACCACATCCAGCATAGAGATTTTCAGCCCCATGATCTACTAGTCAGTCATGTTATGCCATACCTTTCCCTAATACTCCGTTCCATCCACATAGGTCTTCTTCTTTCAGTTACTCAGATTTTTACATATGCTGCTGTCTCCACCTAGAAATGCCCCCATGTCCAACATTTTTCTTGGAAAGTTTTATCACTTTCTTACACATCAGTTTAACTATCATTCCAAAATGGAAGCATTTCCCACACTCCCAGGCCCCTATTATATACTCCGTCATTACCATTCAACTTTCTTATTAGTAGTGTTACAGGAAAGGGGTCCCATCCAGACCCCAAGAGAGGGTTCCTGGATCTTGTGCAAGAAAGAATTCAAGGCGAGTCCACAGTGCAGAGCAAAAGCAAGTTTATTAAAAAAGTAAGGTAATGAAAGTCCAGCTACTCCATAGATAGAATAGGGCATTCCCGAAAGTAGGAGAAGGAATGTGTCCACCCGAGCTACAATGCTTGTTTATATATAGAATTGAAAAAGATCATGGGGACATGTGCTCTGTTACAGGGTTTGTGAGAAAGGATTAATTTTCTTAATTACTCTATTTTGCAAGAATCGATATTATTATCTTTAAAGCAAAATTTGGAATGCTTCTGTTCTCAAGATATAGGGATATCAGGATTCTCCCAAGTCTGAGTATGTTTAGTAAATGTTATCAATCTGTTCCTTTAACTGTAAACATCTAGAGGCTAGGAATGCCTAACTTTCTGGGAATGCAGCCCAGCAAGTCCTAAGGTCATTTTTCTAGCCCTCACTCAAGATGGAGCCGCTCTGGTTCAAATGCCTTTGGCAGTACTTGTTAGAGATTTAAATTTATATGTATTTCCCTGATTTTTCATTAATGCAAACAACCCCTGTGATACTCCCCAGTGATGTAGCTTCTTTGCATCTAACACAATGCTCTGGCACATGATAGCTGTGTGTACAATATTTGTCAAATGAATGAATGCATTTATTGTTCTACTATAGTCTATAAATGAAAAGGGGAAAAAAAGTTTTGAATGGATGACTCCCACACCTTTATTTTAGGTATCTAACATTGGGAGGAAAGGGCATACTCTTTAAATAGTACATATCAATTCAGAAGTTGAATGTTACAACTTAATGAATGCAATATATAGACATGCAAATAAGAAGTTAATTTTCAGAGGAAAAGTTAGATAGAATTAAGTAAAGACTTTTCTTATTGCAAAAGCTGTTACAGGACACTTAAAAATCATAGCTCTGTCCCTTGGTTTAGATTTTCTGATAGGAAATCAGCCAAATAAATGCAGCTTTCTAGAGTTTTTTTCCCCACAAGTACTTTCTTTGATTTTTATTGTCAAAATATGCATACTTCTGTTACTAAAGGAAATCCTCGAAGGCAAAAGTAGTGGCTTTCAGTCTGGGTCTGAAGTGGGGATATTTGTCTGAAGCAGTTTTAGACACCAAATGGAAGAATGTTTTCAGTGAAGGTTCATGAGAAATTCATCTTCCTCTGAGTCTCAGAGGGAACCTGAGATCTGGAATGATTTTTTTTTATTGTATTTCTTGGTAGAATGGAGAAAGCTGAGATCCAAGCAAAAGAGCACTCCAAGTGTTCAGGTATCAGGCACTTAAGTTATAAGGATTATTTTTGAGAATATTGAGTTGTGCAGAGGATTATATTAATGAAATATGAATCTGTCACCTGCCACTTGTGGTTCAGATTCCACTTGGTGGGAAATATATACAATATGTTTCACTAGCTGTTGTATTTTAAAGGGTGTATGTAAAACATATTGGGGGTCTGCACCCAAATCCCTGAAACTACATACCGCCCTACTAATGGGTATTGTTGTCTAAAATATCAGTTTGAATTTATATTATCCCATAATGTGTTCATACTATTTTTTTAGCCCAATGGGTTAGTGAGCAGCATAATAATTAGGAGTCCTTGGAAAGACATTGACTCTGACCGGACAAGATTAAGAATCTTAAGTTGTCATCTTTCAATTTTTATTTAGTATTTTATTTCATAAACTTACGTTATTAATTGGCTTTCAAAACAAATCATGTAAAATAAAAGGAGTCTTTCCTGTGTTTTTTGTGTGCAAATCAAAATGCCAAATGATATATTTATTATATTATTAAAGAACCAATATTTATCAAATAATAATTATGTGTCAGCTACAGTTTTGGACACTGTATTATTTAGCTCATGATGAAATATAGCTGTATAACAAATTATCCCAACATGAAGTGGCTTGAAATAGTCATTTATTCTCATGGATCTGCTGGTCAGTTTTGGTGATTCTGGTGATCTAGGCTGGGCTATACTGGGCAGCTGTACTTTAAGCTGCAGATCAGTGAGGTGGCAAGTGCAACTTACCTCCTTTTATGTCTCTCCTTTTCCTTTACCTCCTTACCTTCCTTCTCTTTACCTTAACTAGTAAGCTAGTTGAGGTAAGCTCTTCTCATGACAATGGCAGGAGTGCAAGGAAACAAAGATAAATTCACAAGATCTCTGAGTCTCTAGGTTCAGAACCGGCATATCTATCATGTTTACCCAAATGTCTCTTGACCAAAACCAATTGCAGACAAGCGCAAAGTCCACCTGCATGGAAATACACTCTACCCATAATGAGGACATGGCAAATTGTAGATAGGAGAAGGGGATGAGAGACTGGCGCCAATTATTCCATCTACCACAGGGTACTTTAAATTCTTTACCTTACTTAAATCTCACAGTAACCCTATGACATAGGTATTATTATACTACTTGGCTTGAATATGTCCCGCCAAAATTCATGTTGAAACTTAATCTGTAATGCAACAATATTAAGAGGTTGGGCCCTTAGGAGGTGATTTTTTTTTTGCTTTTCATTCCCTTTCTCCACGTAAAGACTCAGCGTTTGTTCCTTCCAGAAGATGCAGCAAGTAAATGCCATCTAGCAAGGAAAGAGCAGCCTTCATCAGACACCACATCTGTCAGTTACTTGGACTTCCCAGCCTCTAGAACTGTGAGAAATAAAGTTCATTTCTTTATAAAAAATTACCCAGTCTCAAGTATTCTACTATAGCAGCATAAATGGACTAAAACATGCATAATTTAGAGATAAGAAAACCAAAATAGCCTCAGAAGGGCAAATCAGTTATTGGCCTTAAAGATGAGGTTAAGAAATAGGGGTAAGAAGTTTACTCAAAGGGATAACAGAATACCCCAAACCAAGGAAAAATATGTATATCCAAGTACAAGAAGGATATAGAATACCAAGCAGAATTAACCCAAAGAAGACTACCTCAAGGCATTTAATAATCAACCTCCAAAAGGTCAATGGTAACAAAAGCATACAGCTACAAATAAAACAAAATATCTAGGAATTAACTAACCAAAGAAGTGAAAACAATCTCTACAATGCAAATTATAAAATATCTATGCAAGAAATTGAAGAGGGCATACACAAAATTCAAAGATATTTTATGTTTATGGATTGAAACTATTGAAACTATCAATATTGTTAAAATGTCCATACTACCTAAAGCAAGCTTGTTCAACCTGTGGCCCATGGGCTGCATACAGTCCAGGATGGCTTTGAATGTGGCCCAACACAATTTTGTAAACTTTCTTAAAATATTATGAGATTTTTTTGTGACTTTTTAAAAGCTCATCATCTATTGTTAGTGCTAGTGTATTTTATGTGTGGCCCAAGACAATTCTTCTTCTTCCAGTGTAGCCCAGGGAAGCCAAAAGATTAAACAGCTCTGGCCTAAAACAATCAATAGATTCAATGCAACTTCTATCAAAATACCAATAACATTCCTCACAGAGAGTAAAAACAATTCTAAAATTTATATGAAACCACAGAAGAGCAAGAATGGCCAAAGCTATCCTGAGGAAAAAGAACAAAGCTGGAGGAATCACATTATCTGACTTCAAATTATATCATAGAGCTACAGTAACGAAAACAGTATGGTGCTGGCATAAAATCAGACGTATAGATGATGGACAGAATAGAGAACCCAGAAACAAATTCATACACCTGCAGTGAACTCATTTTTCACAAAGGTGCTAAGAATATTCACTAAGGAAAAGATAGTCCCTTAGAAAATGGTACTAGAAAAACTGCATATCCATATGCAGAAGAATGAAACTAGATCCCTATTTCTTGCCATATAGAAAAATCAAATCAAAGTGAATTAAATGCCTAAATCTAGGACCTCAAACTATGAAACTACTATTAAGAAACATTGGAGAAACTCTCCAGGACATCTGGATTGGGCAAAGATTTCCTGAGTAATACTCCACAAGCACAGTGAACCAAAGGAAAAATAGATAAATGGAATCACATCAAGTTAAAAAGCATCTGTGCAGAAAGAAAACAATCAACAAAGTGAAGAGACAACCCACAGAATGCAAGAAGATATCTGCAAGCTATTCATCTGACAAGGGATTAACAAGGCACTTGAACAACTCTATAGGAAAAAAAATCTAATAATCTGACTTAAAAAAAGGACAAGTGATCTGAAGACAAGTTTCTAAAGAAGACATACAAATGGGAAACAGGTATATAAAAAGGTATTCAACATCATTTATCATTAGAGAAATGCAAATCAAAACTACAATGAACTGTCATCTCCCTCCAATAAAGATGGCTTTTATGCAGAAGACCAGCAATGACAAATGCTGGTAAGGATGTGGAGAAAGGGGAACCCTTGTACATTGTTGATGGAAATGTAAATTAGCACAACCACTATGGAGACCAGTTTGGAGGTTTCTCAGAATATGATCAGCAATCCCACTGCTAAGTATATGCCCCAAAGAAAAACAAATCAATATATCAAAGCAATATCTGCACTCTCATATTTATTGTAGCACTATTAGCAATAGCCAAAATTTGAAGCAACTTAATTATCCATAAATAGACTAATAGATAAAGAAAAAGTGGCACATATACACAGTGGAATACTATTCAGCCATAAAAAAGAATGAGATCTTGTTATTTGCAAGAACATGAATGGAACTGGAAGTTATTAGGTTAAATGAAATAAGCCAGGAACAGAAAGGGAAACTTTGCATTTTTCACTTATTTTAATGAACTGAAACTAAAACAATTGAACTCATGGAGATAGGGAGTAGAATGTTTATGAGAGGCTGGAAAGGGTAGTTGGTGATGGGAAATGAGGGGATAGTTGACAGGTACAAAAGTATAGTTAGATAGAATTAATAAGATCGAGTATTTGCTGGCACAACAGGATGACTATAGCCAACAATAATTTATTGTACATTTAAAAATAATTAAAAGATTATAACTGGATTGTTTGCAACACAAACAAAGGACAGTTGCTTAAGGTGATGGATACCTTATTTACCCTGGTGTGATTACATACCTTGTATACCTGTGTCAAAATATCTCATGTACCCCATAAATATATATACCTATGTACCCACAACAAATATTTTAAAAATATGAAAATAAATTTTAAAAATAAAACACCAATCTTAAAGATCCTCAAATATCAAAATAAAGACATGGTATAAGTCAATAAAATGACATATGAACAAAATGAAAATATCAATAAGAAGATTTTTTAAAAAATGAAAAAGAAGACAAAAAGTAATTCTGGAGCTGAAAAGTGCAATAATTGAAATAAAAATTTCATTAAAGGGATTCAAGGGCAGATTTGAGGAGGCTGAAGAAAGGATTAACAAACTTGAAGATAGAACAATACAAAGTATTCAATGGGAGGAACAGAAATAAAAAAATATTTAAGATGAGTGAGCAGAGCTTAAGGGATCTGTGGAACATCATCACACAAGTCAACATATGCATTTTAGGAATCCAAAAGGAGTCCCAAATATATGCATTTTTCTCAGAGGAGAAAAGGAGATAGAAATAATATTTTTAAAAATAATGGTGAAACTTTCCACATTCAATAAAATACATGAACATAAACATCCAAGAAGCTCAATAAATTCCAAGTAAGATGAACTAAAAGAGATCCACAATGAAATATTTTTCACTCAAACTATTGAAAGACAAAGAGGTAATTTGGAAAGCAGCAAGAGAGAAGTGACTCATTTCATGCAAAAGATCCTAAGAAAATGAATAGATGTCTCATCCAAAATTTTGAAAGTCAGAAGTCAGTGGCCCAATATATTCAAAATGCTAAGAGAAAAAAAAAAAAGCCTGCCAAACACGAATTCTATGTTCAGCAAAACTGTCCTTCAAAAGTAATGGAGAAATTAAGACACTCACAGAAAAACAAAAGCTGAGCAAGTTCTTTACCAATCAATGTCCCTAATAGAATTTCTAAAAAGAATCTTGCAGGTTGAAATGAAAGGACACCAGATAGCATTTCAAAGCTGTATGAAGCAATAATGATCTCAGTAAAGGTAAATATATGGGCAATTACAAAATTTAGTATCTTTGTAACAATCATATATACATCTACTTTTTGTGTTCCACATGATTTAAGAGACTGATATATTAAAATATATTAATTTCAAAGCTAGTATTATTATAACTTTGGTTTACAGCTCTGTATTTTGTTTCTGCATAATTTAAGAGATTAATGCATTAAAGGCATTAGTTTATGTTTTTGGATGCACAATTCATAGTGATGCAATTTTGTGACATCCACAACTGAAAGGGGTGAGGGCAAAGCTGTTAAAGAAGCAGAGATTTTATGTGTTATTGAAGTTAACCTGGCATAAATTCTGATTACTGTTATAACTTACGATGCTGAATATAACCATAAATAAAATAGCTAAAGAATAAACACAAAGGAAATGATAAAGAATTTCAATGTCTCACCTGAAAAAACTCACTCAGGACAAGATAGTGATGGAGGAAATTAGGAATAACAAAGCTATAAAGCATGTAGAAAATAATAGCAAAATGTCAGAAGTCCTTTCTGATTAGTAATTACTTCACATGTAAATGAATTAAATTCTCTAATCAAAAGTCAGAGATTGGAAGAATAGGTTAAAAATAAGCAAAGAAGCAATGCCCCCTTCACCCTGGAAACCATTATCCAACTATGTGTTGTCTATAAGTAACTCATTTTAGATCTAACGACACAAATAGTTTGAAAGTGAAAAGATGAGAAAGAATATTCTATGTAAGTAGTAATTAAAAGAGAGCAGGAGTATCTATACTAATATTAGACAAAATGAACTTTAAGTCAATGCCTATCAGAGACAGAATGACATAGTGGAAATTGCTCTAGGACCAGATCTCAGCTGTACAACCTACAAAGCTAAATTTAATATAATGCATAATCCTAGATTGAATCTTTGGCCAAAATAGTGTTATTGTAAAGGACATGAATAGGGAGGTTGGCACAACCTAAATATGTGTTGTATGTTAGAGTGTTTTTAATATTAGATTTTTAAAATTTGGTAATTGTACTATAGTTAGGTCAAGAGAATATCCTTGTTCTTAGAAGATATATACTGAGTATTTAGAGGGCTAAGAGTCATTATACCTATAACTTACTCTCAATGGTTCAGAAGAAGAGGAACTAAAATAATGATAATATATGTGTGTGGAGAGAGAGAAACCAAATGCATAAAAATATTAAAAAGTGGTGAATCCACATGAAGTACATATAGTGTGTTTATCCTACTATTTTTCCAATTTTCGCTTGGTGTGAAATTCTTCAAAATAAAAAAGTTGAAAAAATAAAAATGAAAAAAGAATTGAGGCAAAAAGTGTGATTTATTATAATGTGGAATATACATATACAGTGTCTGTAATGGAAATATGTTATTGAGTGAATGCTTACAATTTCTGGTGAAATATATATTTTACATTATCTACCAGAATACCTAGACATATTCATGCATATGTACATATGAAATGGAAACAAGTTGCAAAAAACAATACTTATTCCTATTCTAACTTGTCTACTGTATTGTATTGTATTGTATTACATTGTATTGTATTGTGTTGTGTTGTGTTGTATTGTATTGTATTGTACTACATTGCATTATATTAGGTTTCCTTTTTCAAAATCTTTTCTATGCCATCCACTGAATTGGTTCTGTAATCCACTCATAGATCACAAACCACGGTTTGAAAATCATGGTTTTGTGTATCACATGAAAATCCATGTGATACACTGTGAATATCTGGCAAGACATTAAGTATGAGAAGAATTTAGAGGCAGGTGGAATTACACAGACTGTGGTAATCTGATATATTTTCACCAATGAGAGGGAATTAACGTTGTTTTATCAAGGAAGATACAGTTTATAACAGGTGTACTCATATACAAGCTGAATAGTATATTGGTCCTCTTGAATTTGATGCTTTTTTTTAGTAATCAGTATAGTTACACTATAGTGAATAGGAAGTAATAGTTTGGTAGAAAGTTGCATAAAAGTTTCATATATTGATTCCTAAATTAATAGATATGATTTAATTCTAATTACATGGATTTCAGTTAATGTAAGTTTTGCTGCATTAAGCATTTGTTTGTGTATCATGGCATACTAATAGATATCAAATTATAGACACAGTTCCCAAGAACTCACCATTCTTCTTTATATGAGATAACTCTAAAAACTATATCCCTCATAATAAATATTGTGAATGTATTCTAAACTTACCATGGGCTAGCCTGTGTTTCAAGTGACATATAAGCATCACCTCATTTAAATCCACAAATGACTCTATGTGGTGATTTCTATTATTAAACTTAATTTACAGTCAAGAAACTGAAGCTCACAGAGGTGCAGCTCCTGCATAACTCTATGCAGCTAGTACATGATGAAGTCAGGATCGGAACCTAAGTCTCTTTCAATCCAATGTCTAACTGCAAAAATCTTAAACAATATAAAATAAGATGGAAGATGCCTGAATGGATTCCCTCCAAGCTTCTGTAGGAAATGTGATCCTGCCAATACCTTGATTTCGGACTTCTAGCACCAGATCTGTGAAAACATAAATTACCATTGTTTCAAGCCACCCAGTGTGTGATCGTTTGTTATGGCAGCCCTAGGAAACCACTATAAGCAGCGTGACAAAAATAGGGACATTAATTCAATAATCAAGATTTTCTTACAAACTGAGTGAGGGGAAGTTTGAGTATTTAGGGAGAAAATGTGAGGTTTAGGAAGCACAACTTCCAAAAAAATTACTCATACCTGTATTACTGAATGGCTAGGTGCAAACTGAATATTCACTGTCCAATCCAATAAAATTTTGTACATAATACTGATAAAAAATATATGTCTCTTTGTTGAGCTAGTGCTTCGCATCACATATAATTCAATAACAACGTGGCTATTGATTCTTGAATAAGTTCTATAGCAGAGATTAATCGTGGCTTTGTTTCATGTGCACCTGGTGACCAAGGAAAAATAATTACAGCAGGCCAAGTCATCAGAGTCATTACTGCCAGGGTGCCAGCCCAGAAGCAGGGGCAAGCTGACATTGAGCCATGAGCAGTGTAAGTAAGATGGAAAGCCTTGACTCTCTCCCTAGCTGCACTCAGTGGTCCAAATCCAATAACACAAGCACACCCAGCAAGGGGCATCACAATTCCAAAGCACTCACTGGGTCAAATCAAAAGAAGGAGTTGGGATAGATGCTTATAATTCTGGGATCCCATGCAAGAATGGAGTCTTGGAGTCAACGGATCTAATTTTTTACACACACAAAAAAATTGATTGTTAAATATTCACAAATAATTCAATGAAATAACACTGTGCAGGTTGTACAGAGAACATCCGCAGGCTATATACAGCTTGGTGGAGCACAGAGAGTTCTCCTATTAAATATATTTCTCTTTCCAGTTGGGTCTGAGGGCAGCAGGACTCAGGGAATGAATATAGAAGGCAGAGTTAGGTTAAGAATCTTAACCTTTGTCATCTGCAGGTGGCATTCTGTTCTACAGAGCTGAGCTCCACTAGAATACATTGGCATAGTTAGCAGGTTAAAGAAACCAAACCAAAAACCAAATACTCTTGGTATCAAAGAGAAGACAGGCAGGGAGGGACTAGCCTAACTGATTAGCCATCTACAGTCCATAAGATTAAGGGAGACTGAGAAAATTTCTTGTTCTCTTTCCTTAAAGTATAAGAATTTGCATGGTTAAAGTCTAGACTACTTTTTAATTCATTTATTATTATGGCTGGAAATTTTAATATTCTGCCAGAATTGTTTCTCACTTTCCTAGGGTTGAATGAGGCTGAATCTTACTTAGGTGGCTACTCTCATTGCTTATAATAGGAAAAGGGCTGAAATAAGTAGGGACTGGTAATTTGTGATAAATTAAATGAAAATTTAGTCCTTAGAGTTGTGTTGTCTCGTACAGGAACCACTGGCCATCTTTGTTAATGCTTGTGATGAAGCCAGGATTTAAAGTACTTGTGAGTCATATGGAACTATTAAGCCCTTGGATGTAGCTGGTCCAAATTGAGATGTGCTGTTAATAAATACATGCTGGATTTCAAAGACTTATTACAAAAGAAAAAAAGAAAAGGAAAAAAGTCAAATATCTTATGTTGAGATAAAAGTATTTTTGCACACATTGGGTTAAACAGAATATGTTATTAAAATTACTTTCACCTGTTTCCTTTTACTGTTTGTAATGTCACTACAAAATTTACAATTACATGCATGACCTGCATCTGGGCTCACATTTATTTCTGTTGGACAAGACTACTTTAGAGGATCGTGAGTTAGTTACCATTTGATATGGAAACTTAATTTGCTCGTTAACGAGCAAATGTTTCTCTTGGTAGCTGGATAAAATAACGTGATGTAGAACAAAGTACTGTTTAGTTTGCTGGAATTAGGCAAACAATATGACCTCATGAACATGCCTTTTACGGGGTAGGTATTTCTTATAAATATTTGTTCCAAATACTGTGAGTCAAATGCCAGAACAGGAGGTAGCTGATGAATGCCTGTCAAAGCAATCTTCACTTAGATGAGAGAGCATAATTCTAAATCATAGCCCAAATTATAACTGCATGCTGCATTAGCCATCCTAATCTGCATAGTATATTTTCTATAATGAATTTCCATGTGATAACACCAAGTCCAGATGTAGCATTAGGATGATCAGTAAGCTTTTTAGATGAATTTATTATGGATGAAAGAGGCATTTGTCTATTCCTCACACAATTTAATTTGCATTCTCTTTCTAGAAATCTTAAAAACCCAAGAAAAGGAACTGTAATAGACATTAAACCAATTCAAAGATGTAAGCCCTTAGTTTCCTCATGTAACATGGCTGTGTTTTGAATAGAAATGGAGGTATTAATTTGGAAAGAAAGTGTAAATTTTGCTTGGTGATGAAGGAAATATTGGAGTTTATGCTCTTTGGGCTAATGGAGAATCATTTGTCAGAAAATTATTGTTTCTAACCAGAAATCCAAATATTGTCAATTTGAATTTAAATTATAGAAAGGATTGCTATATCCTATGAATACAGGAATTTAAATAAGTGTCATTAGTAAGACATGCATAATGTTCTTAGTCTTATCCTATAAATAGTGCTATTGGGGTGTGTGTGTGTAATTTTCATGATCCAATGGCATTTGTTAAATGTCCTTTATGTGCACACAATATTAGTTTGTGTTAAAATGATAGAATAACACACATTTTTTTGAATTATAAACTTTTAAGATTGGAAGGAAAAGAGCCTATAGTCCAGTCCTCTGCCCAGAAGTGTATAGTGCACTGACACCATCCCCAGAGTTTTATTATCAGGTACCTCTGCCTCAAACTTCTAGCCTTAAGTAATTCAGAATCTCATGTAGAACATTCGCATTTTACAATCTCTTGAAATTTTCAGACATTTCCAGTTGTCAGCCGTGGTCATCTTTATACAATTCCAGATTCTACTTCCCTAAAATATAGATGTGTAGGGAAGTATCTCGTGCTGTCAGACATGCTTCATTCCTGGTAGTTCAGAGCAACACTCAATACTTACTTTTGAATGAGTAGTATGAAAATTATAAAAAGTCATCCTCTTACCTATCATCTTACCTAATCAGGTGATGCAATATTCTACTCTGAAGTCTCAAGGCTAATAGCTTGAGAAGGTTTTGTAGTATGAGGTTGTGTAGTAGGTAAGAATTTGGACTATGGTGTAGAGAGACTTAGATGAATATTTCTTAGCATTTTTACTGGTTCTTTGACCTGAGACAATTTATTTAACTTCCATTAGAGAAGCCCTGCTTTTATATATTCCATGCATTGGCATATGGAATCAGATTTCATTTGCTAAGTGAGTTATTCTTTTTTAAAAAATTCAGAGTGTACTAAGCAAACTCCTTACTTCACCAAAATGACCAGCTCTACAGAATCTGTAAAAGATAAACAGAAGAAAAGGAAAACTCTGATTATCCTTAGGGATATTGTCATTAAGTTTAGAAAATAAAATATATTCACATGGAAGGATAGCTGATTGATGTGTACCAGAGGAATGATATTAAAGAGCTGGGGAGTGTGGTGGTTAAGAACATGGGCCCTGGAGCCAGGCTGACTGGTTCATGTGCCCACTTTATAACTTATAGCTTAGGTCTTGGGCAAGCTACTTAATCTTCCTGAGCCTCATCTATAAACCAGGGATAATAACAGTACTAGACAGTATTATGAGAATTAAATGACATAATATGTATGAAGTTTTTGATCAGTGCTGGTTGTATAGTAGGCATTAATTAATTATACTTTCATACCTATATTAATGCAGAAAGGAAAGAATATTTTTATGCAGTGAAGAGCATGGATAAAGGAGGTCCAAGTGTGGTTAGTAATTGTTCAGATCCACGTGGGTAGCCTGTGTGCTTATGCCAATCTTGAAGCACAACTCTAGTCTTTGATACAGTTCAGAGCCACTTGATCCCCCACAAGACATACACGAGAAACTGATATTTTCCTAAAACAGTGTGAGGAGATTCAAAAGAAGGTTCAGGACACTTTACATAACCGAACATCATGGATCGCTCTTTGATCCACTCTTTTCTTCAAATCTCTTTCTGATGTTAATCACCTTATCCATGGCTTCTCTGGCAGCATTGGTTCTACCATCCTTCTCCTGGTAGACCCGAACATATTACCTCAACTCAGAGTCTCAAGATGCTTCTAGTTCACAGCCTCACATTCACAATTCTGCTCAGCAACAAAAGAATCTACTTCAGAAATTCTACTCATTAGATGGAGAAGAGGCGGCTAGAAAGTATTTCCCCTCTGAAAAATCAAAAAGAAGCCAATGGAGGAAAGTGTGATCTCACTACCAAGCAATGTCAGAGGACTAACGTTGGATAAGAATGCCTGATAAAAACTGTTGGACTTTTTTCAGTAGGTGCAAGAAACCATTACAAACCTTTTGGATAAGGGAAATAAAGAATAAACACAATCTTTCTGAAGAGAACCTACTTGTGTTGGTAAAAAAAAAAAAAAAAAAATCAGAACTGGAATCAGAACATCTAAGTTTCTGTGATTTGACCTTTAGAAAATCACCTTGTCTTTGAGATTTATTTCTCCATCTTCACACAATGTGGAGAAAGGCTTGAGTTAAAAGACAATTTATTTTTCTTTTTGAATCAGAAATCCCAAATCCTAAAGTAGTTCATCAGATGTCACACCATCCATTAGAGTCAGAGCTGAGATTTTAAAAAGACTTGAGTTCTGGAGGCTGCAGACTCTATAGTGCTTAAGAGTGAAAGTGTTTCATTTCTAAATTGACATTTTCATGACTAGCTAGAGTGATTAGATCCCCCTTTGTAGATTTTCCTTCATAGTATGCCAATCAAGGTTGAATTGATCGTGTTACTCTTTTATGCAAACTTTCATGGGATCTTCCCCTTCTTTTGGGGTCCGACCTTTGTCCCTGCTGTCTCCTCTGCAAACCATCTTGTCTTTCTAGGTAAAGGTTTAAGAATAAAGAAACGTATGGATGAGCACCTTGTCTGTGCTGAGCTAGGTCCACACAGAGATAACCACATCTGAAAGTGAAAGGAACTGAGTTTTATAGATTTCTGAATTAGAATTTGGAAAAATGAAGTGACTTATTGAATTACTGGAGAAATGGCTTAATCAAAGTCTAGGGAATACTCATTTGGATGATTTAACTATTTTTTAAAGTACAGAAAAGTGATCACTATGAAATTTAGGATAATGGTTACTTAGGGGAGGATGAGAGATGAAAAGGATATGACAGGAATGTAGCTCTTGAAAGTGGCTTTTCTAATAATCAGCAAAAGGCTATTTCTTGCCTTTGTTAGTTTCTATTAATAGTAATTAATTAAGCTATACATTTGCCTTTTGTGGTTATCCGCATTTATGTTTTAGTTTACAGTAGAAAGAGTGTGACAGTTATCCAAAACTCATCAGGAATTTTGGTGTTCGTGGTATAGGTAGAATTTGAAACCAATGATGAGTCTACAAAGACTCAGAAGCATTCTGCCACTCCAGGCAGTAAAAAGGTGCAGCTTAAAGTATTAAAAACTTTGGTCACCAAAACTTTAAAAAACCCCACAGATGTTCTCTGTCATCATTCTTCAATTTCTAATTTGATTTCAGGGAGGCAATATAAAAAATAATCTTACTTTTAAAGATACAATTAAATAATGAGTAGTAATTCCACTAAATTAGTCACTGCTTACTATTAAAAAAAATAAAATGCCATTTGCCAGAAACTGCTTTTTGAGTAAAATAACTCAAATGATATTCATTCACAATGCCATACCAGATACCCATTGGTCCACTATGTTAAACTTTTTATTTGTGTTCTCTTGGGTATTCAGTAACTACATGATAAAGAGGTCTAAGTGGCTTAGGCAGCTTTGTTCTGAGCTGTCAGCTCTTTCACAGTAAACTTGTGCAAAGACCTTTATTTCATTTCTACACCCTGTAGTGCTTGAGAGAGACCTAAAAGTGAAGAATAGATTTTACATTCTCTTGAAGTTCATGATTACCCTGCTGTTTAAAAAACATTTTTAATATAGGAGACCATTAATTACTAGGATTCTGATTATAACTGCCTAGTCTCGGAATTGATGAACAAAGCCATTTTAGAAAGCAATCAATTTGAAATCTAATTTGTTGGCGAAATGAACCATATAAACAAAATGCCACTCGCAGTTTGTCTAAAATGAGATGTGCTTAACGAGCCCATCGTCTTCTGTGATCCTCATCACTATGGGTCTCAGCTACCTCAAATGTCATCAGTCAGATCCAGCCCACAGAAAGCTGGAACAGAACACTGCACTATGAGCAGACTAAAATGGGAAACAGATGGCTTTGCAATCCCTGCAGGGTGACTTTTGGGGGCAGCTCTGGGGTGAAAGCAGAGTGGCTACTAAGATCAACAAAGTGCTGTAACACACTCATCTGCCCTGTGTCATCCACCAGAAGTAGCTGGGATGGTTTAAGGTAACTCATTCCATTCACATGTGTTCAGAATACAAAAGATAAAAATGCAAATAATTATATTTAGAAAAGAGGATCTGAATTCTTTCTTATGAAATACACACACACACACATATATGTGTAAAACATACATATATAAAATGTATAATGTTTATGTGTGTGTAAATACATACATTTATATGTATGTAGAGAGAGAAAGAGAGAAATACATCAAAAGGCAACTGATAGGCTCTATTGTAGAAACTGTGCTTTGCACAAAGTTTGGTATAGCACTCCCTTCTTTTTCATTGTTTAAAGAAAAAAATGCGTATAAGTCTTACTGGGTCATCTTTGATGGAATTACTTCATGGTCCTAAGACATTGTAAATTCTTAAATGGATCATAAGAGAACTATCAGTGTGTATGAGTTAAAGTCTTAGAGTTAAACTTGTTTTCTTTTTTTTTATTTTTTATCTTTTCTATTTAGCTAGGATGGTCTTGATCTCCTAACTTCGTGATCTGCCCACCTCGGCCTCCCAAAGTGCTAAGATTACAGGCGTGAACTTGTTTTCAAATTATTTTAAATTTGATAGGCCATGTGTATCTTGAAGCTTATTTTTAAAATTTTACTCAGTTGGCATACAGAAACTAGCAATTACTTGAAAATAGAGTGATCTCAGAGCTTTGTAAAATTAAAATGATAAAAACTGAAATAAACATGAAAATGAATAGTTTTATCATGAGATTGTGGGAATTATTATACTTGAGAACTGGAGGAAGGTGGGCTACTTAATTCTACAGCAAAAATCCCTTCTGATTCAAAAGCTCTACGTTTATCTAACATCAAGCAGGGGCTTTACAGAGACCTTTTGGCTGTTGGCAAATTTATTTTCCAATGGATCACTATTGAGAATATTGTATCCTATAGAAATTACTATGAGTCTGCCGGGCGCGGTGGCTCACGCCTGTAATCCCAGCACTTTGGGAGGCCAAGGCGGGCGGATCACGAGGTCAGGAGATCGACACCATCCTGGCTAACACAGAGAAACCCCGTCTCTACTAAAAATACAAAAAATTAGCCAGGCGTGGTGGCGGGTGCCTGTAGTCCCAGCTACTCGGGAGGCTGAGAAGGGAGAATGGCGTGAACCCAGGAGGCGGAACTTGTAGTGACCAGAGATGGCACCACTGCACTCCAGCCTGGGCGACAGAGAAAGATTCCGTCTCAAAAAAAAAAAAAAAAAAAAAAAAAAAAAAAAAAAAAAAATTACTGAGTCAATACAGCTTTGTTACTCAAAGTCATGGACTGGTGGTATGTAAAGAGAGTTCATAGTAAATGCAGCATCTCTGGGGAAATAAACAGCATTTTAGGAACACTGGACTGGAGAATCCCTTATTTATAGAACTCTTTAAAATTATTCCTTCAGAGAGCTGCCAATCCTCTTTGGTAACATGTAACTCTACATTAACCAGAATCCTTCATTATTCAAAGGATTAATTTCCCTTCACTTTTTAAGATAACACTGGAAATTTATTTTATTTTCCTAAAATAGCATCTAATTTCTGAGAATTAATGCTAATTGGATGGCAAATGGATGCCAGAAAGAACAAATGTATATGTTCTTTGGTTAAATATAGACATGTCCATTGTTACCTGAGAAAAATACTCTCTAGTGAAAAATGAAAAGTGAGTATGAAATAAATTAGTGACAATAATAATATCAGTGCTGAATACTTACACATGCAAGACACATACATACCTACATGCCCACACACAAACATATGTGCATACACACACATCACATCCAGATCTAGATCCAGGAGTATATTTTATAAGGGTAATATGAATTCTCCTTCTTGTTTTCTATAATGTTATGTGGGCTTCATTTTTTAACATTTTAAACATCAACAGAGTAAAGAGACGACCTCCAAAATGAGAAAAAAAATTTGCAAAATATTTGCAAATTTTTCATCTGACAAGGTAATAATATCGAGAATATACAAGGAACTCAAACAACAGGACAAGAACAAATAATCTGATTGAAAATGGGCAAGTGATCTAAATGGACATTTTTCAAAACAAGACATACAAATAACCAACAAGTATATGAAAAAAATGCTCAACAACACTAATCATAGGGAAATGAAAATCAAAACCATAGTGAGATAGCATCTCACCCCAGTTAGACTGGTTATTATAAGAAAAAGTAAAAGAGAGTAATAACAACAAACACTGGTGAGGGTGTGGAGAAAAGGGAACTTTTATAAACTATTGATGGGAGCCAGGGGATGAATGGTCCAGGACATGTCATCTGATGATCAGGACATGCAGACTTAGAAAAGCTGTCACTACTTCTCTCTTCCTTATCAGAGTAGCACCTCTGCCCATGGCATGCTGTTCCTTGCATGGCTGGTTCTTCCCTTCATTCTTTGCCTACTTAATGCCATCCTGTTCTCAGATCTAGGCTCAGACATCACTTTCCAGGGAAGTTTCCCATGACACCCTGGGAAGATCAGAGTCTTTGTAATACACTCCTAGGGCTATGCACCCCTCATTCACAGAACCTAACAGAATTGCAATTTTAGGTATGTTTCTATCATTAACCTTGTCTTCTGTCCTAGAGTGTGTAGTCTAAGAGAAGAGAAATAATGTCTGATTTTTGCTTACCATTGAATCTCTAGTGCCTGTATTGCACTTGGAAAATATTTGATCCTCAATATGTATTTTTGAATGATTTAATGAGTCATTCCAATTTTGTATCATTTACTGGTCATATCAGCCTTTTCCATCTGGCTCTATCTAGTTAAATACTTAGCATATTGACTAGCAAACAGATAGCCTATTGTAATGACAGAAGACAGCCTCACTGGCCCCATTTCTGGCAGCTGCAGCATCTGAATAACCAAAATTTAGGCAACTTCGGTGGCTCCAGGATTTATGATGTTGGAATAGTGAAGAGCTTTGTGCCCTCCCTAGCCTGCATTAATCCATGGTTCTTACCTCTACCTTGGTTAAACTCAGAGACTAAAAAAGCCACAGAAGATAATAGAAGAAATTTTAGAATAAAATAGTCGAAATAGAATAAAACAACAACAACAACAACAACAACAAATCATTAACCTGTTTTGGACTATTTAAGAACTTCTTGGAAAACTCAGAAAATAGTTCCTGGATTCTACCACAAGGGCCTTATATCAGGTTTTATCATATTAACACATTCATCAGCTGCAGATACAGATAGAATACTTTCGTGACAAAATGGAAAGTCAAAATAAACTAAAATAGATCAAAATTTAGACGTGATGAATAAAACTACAGAAGTAGGTTGTGAAATGGAAGAGATTACAAGGAGTGGGTTAATTTTTATAGTTTCTCAGTTCAGTTATATAGAAGGAGAAAAATGGGCCAGGCAAGGTGGCTCATGCCTGTAATCCCAGCACTTTGGGAGGCCAAGGTGGGTGGATCACAAAGTCAGGAGTTCGAGACCAGCCTGACCAAAATGGTGAAACCCTGTCTCTACTAAAAATACAAAAATTCGCTAGGCATGGTGGTGCACACCTGTCATCCCAGCTACTCAGGAGGCTGAGGCAGGAGAATTGCTTGAGCCTGGGAGGTGGAGGCTGCAGTGAGCCAAGATTGTGCCATTGCACTCCAGAGAGTGAGACTGTCTCAAAAAGAAATGAAAAAAAAAAAAAAAAAAAAAAAACAAAGAAGAAGAAGGAGAAAAACCTAGTGGGGGAAAGAAGAAATAGGTTTTCCTAGGCTTGTGAGGCACCTTATTAGGTCATGAGAATCTTCGAGGCTTGTAGGGGCATGATCTGGCCATTAAGAGGATAGCATTAGAAGTCTCCATTTCCTGTAGGAAGAGACAGTGGAACCACCGGGGAGCTGTAGCCATTGAAGTGATATGTTAAAAATGGCAGCCAGGAGAGCAATTCTGCAAGTATTAGACTGAGCTTTTGTCTCCAGAATAAGGGTCTTCCTGATTCTCCTGGATCATCCACAAAGCCATCTATTGACTTCCGACTGCAGCCGAGGCCACTGAAGACAGTGTCTGGGGAGGGAGTCTGAATACGAGGCAGTTATGACAAACACAGAGCTCTCCCTCCTGATGGGGCTGACTGTGCCAGGCTCTCAGAGGACATAACGCGCTTGTTAACGTTTGGTTGAATAGCACCAGTCTCCACAGAGGACGACTTGGGTTCCCATAGAGAAGTCATCAACACAGGGGAAGAATTCAGCCAATTACGCCTCACCTCATCGATCCTATTTAGATGGTAACCCCATGGGGCATGGACCATGTCTTTCTCTGTGTATTATACAGTGTTGAGGAAACACTTGGCACTCAATAAATACTAATCAAGAGCTTGTTTCTTGTCCCTCTCAGCCTCCCACTGAGCTGATCTGAGGAAGGAATTCCCTTTGAAGTTCCTTGTCCCCATGCTTTTTGATAAACAATATGGAGGCTTGGAGAGAGATGAGAAATATATACAGTCCTGGAGCTGTTTCTGGTGTCTGTAGATGACAAATGCTATCTCTGTAGTGATATACTTGGGAGTTAAAGGGCATACTTAGTGGGAACAAGCAGTGGGAAAGGCCCCTCTTTCCCCTTCCATAAACATTGTCTTACTTTTTGTTTCTCACAGATTCATGATTTGTGCTTTCAAACATTCATTAATGCTCCTACCAAGTGGCCTGGCTGAGCTGAGAACAGTCTTCATACGTTTTAGTTCACTTTGGTTGTTCATGCACTTTACCATGTACATAGAGAAAAGTAAAGTATAGCTGGGTAACAAATTAGAGGAGAGAATATAAAAATAAAAATTATGAAAATTAAAGTATATTTAAAAGATACCCTGTGATAACTTTAATAGGGCCTTGTTAGGGAGTCTCATACAGCTCTGAAATGTCTCTATCCAAAAATGACTTTGTTTATTACATTGTAAAAATTATAATTTTTGCATCAGGAAAAAAATATAATTTTTATAGGCATTAAGATTTAGGAAAAATGCAGTAAATACTATCAGTGAAATAAGGCATTTTGTGCGTAAAATATGCATTATATATGCATATTATGTATGCATACTATCAAAGGAATATACAATTTGCTTTACCTACTAGGGAAAGTCTCAAAGTTTTGTCTCTGACTAATGAGACCAAGACATCTAACATCTTTAGACAGGTACTAACAAGGTTAAATAATCTTTAGAAAATGTTACCATAAGTTGAAATGATGGCAGTTCTAACATTTTTATATACTCAGTTCCACCTTTCTCTCTCTCTCTTTCCCTCTTTCTCCCTTTCTTTAATCTCCATTTCAATACTTTATTTATAAAAACTATTCCATCTGACAACTTACAGAGATGAAGGTGTACCTAAGACTTTGATTCCATATGCCACCGGCATCTCTTACTTTGCATAATGTACAGAAAGAGAATGCAGCATGATGCAGCAGGACTTTAAAGAGAAGTGTAGGCTGGGCGCGTTGGCCCACGCCTGTAATCCCAGCACTTTGAAAGGCTGAGGCAGGTGTATCCCCTGAGGTCAGGAGTTCAAGACCAGCCTGGCCAACATGGTGAAACCCCACGTCTACCAAAAATACAAAAATCAGCCAGATGAGGTGGCACATCTGTAATCGTAGCTACTTGGGAGTCTGAGGTAGGAGAATCATTTGAACCCGGGAGGTGGAGGTTGCAATGAGCCGAGATCATGCCACTGCATGCCAGCCTGGTTGACAGAATGAGAAGCTGTCTCGGGAAAAAAAAAAAAAAAGAGAGAGAGAGAGAGAAGTGTAATGCCTACTCAGATTTCTTTTCAGTATAAAGTCAAATAGCTAAATTTTTCCCTGACAGGTGTTGCAGTTCTAAAAAGGAAAGTAGGAAGTAGAAATATCTTTGCCTAAAGGTAATATGAACTGGAAACTTTTGTTTTTGCAAATTTCCCATTTTGGTGTTGTTTTCTTAAACTTAATCTGTCCCTAAATTAAGGCCAAAGAATATGATGTTAAAACTGTTATAACTAAAATATGTGGGAGTTTACTCAATGCACTGAGTATTTTGTCACCTTTGGTCATAATGAGTCCTCAGGTAGAATTCATAGAGTTATAGAATATCAAATGAAGGCGAAGTTAGCTCTGTTCTGTGTAGGAGAATCACATCTTGTTTAGTGTTATGTTCGGTTTTGGAGACTAACATATTGGAGAGAATTGAAACGCAATATATTAATGAAAGTTTTAGGAAGTGGAGAAGTATTTCGCTCAGAACAAAGAAGGATGAGAGGGTAGGTGAATTGGAAAAGTTACATTGATACCAGTTATCTTTGATTTTACGCCAAATTTTAAAAACAATGGTGTGGGCCTGGGAGATAGTTGAGTCAGCAATTTGGATGATGATCTTTTCTGTCATAGTTGCTGAGACTGGGTAATTTTTAAGGAACATAAATTCATTTCTCACAGTTCTAGTCACCGGAAGTCCAACATCAAGGTACCAGCAGTTGCGATGTCTGTGGAAGTCCTGGTCTTTGCTTCCAGTATGGTGCCTTGTTGCCATGTCCTCTGGAGGGGATTAATGCTGTGTCCTCACATGGTGAAGGGGCAGAAGGAAAGAAGGTCCTAAGCCAGTTCCCTCCAGTCCTTTTATTAAGGTTGGTGTAAAAGTAATTGTGGCCTTTGGCATTAAAAGTACTAGCAAAAACTGCAATTACTTTTGCACCAACTTAATATAAGTTACTAAACCATTCATGAAGGCGAAGCCCTCATGACTTAATCACTTCCCTAAAGGACCCCCTCTTAGTGCCACCACAATGGGGTTAAAGTTTCAACACACAAATTTTGGAGTACATTCAGGTCATAGCAGTAAGGCATAAGTGATGGTGATGACCAGGGTGTTCAAATGTGAACAGTGATGTTTAGCTCAAGATCAAATAGCAGTTAATGCCCACAATCAGATCTATTCATTCAGATAATCTTTCAATGAATAATGATTGAGCTCATACACTGTAAGAAATGGCTTCTAGGCAATGTGTGGTGGAATGAGAATGCTATACTATCTGAACCCATGGGTTTTAGTTATTAGAAAGATAGGCTTTAATCAAGGAACTATAAATTTGGTCTTTAATTATATTTGCTAAGTACTAATGTATAAAGTGCTGAGAGGATACGCCAGAGGGAATCTGATCTTTCCTGACGGTGGGCTGGGTTGGTCATGAACGACTTCACAGAGAAGTGATATTATTCTGAGATGTAGATATCAAGAGAGCACCAAAGAGAACTTTAAAAGAAAAGCTTTAGCTGAATTAAATTTAAAATAGTTTAACTGAGTAAAGAATGGTTTGTGAATCGGGCAGCCTCCTGAGCCAGAATAGGCTCAAACACTTCAGCTCAGCCGTGTGATGGAAGATTTATGGACGGGAAAAGTAAAG
This sequence comes from Homo sapiens, assembly GCF_000001405.40. Classification (NCBI taxonomy): domain Eukaryota; kingdom Metazoa; phylum Chordata; class Mammalia; order Primates; family Hominidae; genus Homo; species Homo sapiens. The sequence goes on from NC_000004.12 coordinate 18,667,569, forward strand.
TGACATACAGAAAATGGAAGTGAGGTACAGAAACAGCTGGGTTGGTTACACCTTGGTGTTTGCCTTATTTGAATACAGTTTGAACAGTTGGCCACCTTTGATTGGCCAAAACTCAGTGATTGACACAAGAGTAGACTGCAATCTGTATACAACTCCATTTAGGTTACAGTTCACGATGTACAGAGAAACCTTTAAGTCAAACTTAAAATATGTAAGGAGGCAGCTTTAGGCTAAATTTGATTTAACAGAATGGACCAGGTAGAGCGAAGAGCAAGTGTGAATAAAGATGTGGGAATAACGTTCTAGGGAAGAAACAGCAGGGTGCATTTCAAGGAGTGATAAGACACCCTGCATGATTAGGACATGGAAAATGAGAGGGAAAGTGCTGTGTGATGAGAAAGGGGAGGACTTGCAGGCTTTGATACAGATTTTGGATTTTATTCTAAGAACAAGGAGAAGCTCTAAGTGGGATATTGGTGTCATGAGATTCACCTTTTGGCAAGATCACATTGATAGTAGTGTAGAGAATGGTGTGGAAGCTGTTGTGGTCATCGGTGGAGAGATGTTTTCAGAACTGTTGAATAGTTTTCCATCCACAATAGCCAGAGTCATCTTTTCAAGGTCCCTAAGGAAGGTGTAGGTACAGAAGACAAAATCAGGTAGTTACTTATACTCCCTACAGGGTTCCTTTTTCACACTCCGGTCTATTCTGTGATCGTGAAATAGATGGACGCCATGGAAACCACAAGAATTCCCTCTTTTTCACCTTTCAAGGCAGAGCCAGGTTGAAGTGAGTAGTTCCAAACTCTCAACCTTAAACCCTGTCTTGAGTGTTAGGTAGCCCCCCACACCCTTTCCCCCAGGCATGCATTTTTATTAGAGTCTAATAAAGAACAGAGAGACAATCTATTCAAGGGGGGAAATCCAAAGGAAGCTGCTACTGGCAGCAAGAGCTTTTATTCCTTTCTTATCAGGGTGAAATAACCAGGTTCCTCCTGTATAACCCAGGGTCTCCTAATACAGCTTTGTCCCCTGTGGTGGAGCTCCTCTTCCCTGAGGTGGAATGAAAGGACAACCCTGCCTGAATGAAACTTACAGATGGGTATATGCCTCTCACGAAACATTGCATATACATAATGAGACATGATTATCTTCCCAGATTCTACAGGGAAACATTCCGCAATTGGCCCAGATTTTCAAAAAATGGAATTTTCAGTTTTCCCCTTGGGAATGCATTGATGTCTTCTGATCTCAAGTAGAATGCTGTTTAGAGTTCCTTGTTCTATTTATTCACTTGTTTTGCAACTATTAGCATTTTCTATATACCAGGTGTAGGAGCATGTGTGGCGGAGGCAGTGGTGAAGGAAGTCAACATGGTGTCTGTCTGCATGGAGTGTGCAGGCACTAAACAAGCACACTTAATATTCAAGATATTTGTTGACTGCACACTACGCACAAACATTGCATTAAGGACTTTGTATATAGAGCTAAACTGAGAAGATATTATCTCTGCACCTAATCGAACTTATATGGACCAGTGGTGGAGAGAGATAAATAGCAAAGCAAATAAAAATACAATTACAAGTTCAGTTAATGCTTAAAGGGAATGTCAGGGGACCATGAGAGAGAATGATGGTGAATTGAAGAAGCCAGTCTGAGAAATCATGCTCAGCTGACAGTTGAATAATAATAAGGATTAGCCAGGTTGAGATTAAATGGGAATATTATTCTTGCAGAGGTAATAACATTCATGTAAAGGCTTACCTAGGGCCTTGTAGAAAGTGGATATTTAAAGATGAGGAAGGTGACGCGTGTAAACAGATGTGTCTCTCAGTAGGGCTATTGAGGAAGAGCAGGGCCAGCCCATGAAATACCTGTAAGGCCAGACTCAATATTTTGTATTTTATGAAAAATGGAAAGCCACTGAAATGTTTTAAATAGGGGAGTGTATAAACTCTGTTACATGTTACATAATCACTCCGGATGTGGGTGGGGAGCTGACTGATGGGGAATACTGAGAACACCACTGTATAAGGAGGCAATTCTAGAGGAACTGGGGCTGCTTGAGTCAGAAAGTGGCAGTGGAGCTGAAGAGATGTGGAAGGTTTGCTATGGGTTTGGATGCAGAATTGTGAGATGAGTATTTCTTAGCAGAAGTGACACTGTATTCTTCTAAGACATTCCATAAAATATCTAGTGTAAAGGGCTTCCTGCTAGAGAACACAGGATACTTGGAATTTCATGTACATAAAACATTCAAGAATTTTCTCAGACTATACTTATGTCAATAATTTTAAAACTTTAGATTTATATAATTTGTATCATTTTAGTTGACTGTGAAAACTGTAACCTTACAGTCACCAACATGTTTTTTCCATATTTTGTCATTCATGGAATTTATATATATTGAGTACTAAGTGTCAGGTGGTTTACATACATTATTTTAGCACATACAGATATTCCCCCATAGTATATAGAATAGGGGACACCAAAAGATATCCATATCTTAATCTCAAAAACCTGTGAATAGTTACTTTACATGACAAAAGGGACTTTGCATGTGTGATTTCATTAAGGATCTTAAATTGAGAGGATTATCCTGGATTAGCCAGTTTGGCTCAGTATATTCACAAGGGTTTTTATAAATGAGAGGCCAGAAAGCCAAAGTCAGCAAAAAGGAGTGTGATGGTGGAAGCAGAGTTTAGAGGGACATGGCGTGAGGAGAGAGGAAGGGACCATGAGCCAAGGAATGCAGGTCCCCACTCACAACTGGAGAAGACAAGAAAATGAGATCTCCCCTGGAGCCTCTGGAAGGAGCACAGCCCTGATCACACCTTGATATTTATCCTTGTAAGACTCACTTTGCACTTCCTAGCTACAGAACTGTAAGATAATCAATTTGTGCTATTTTAAGACACTAAGTTTGCGGTAATTTGTGTGTGTGTGTGTGTGTGTGTGTGTGTGTGTGTGTGTTCCTTTTTTTATTGTTTTTTGTTTGTTTGTTTAGCTTTTATTAAAAAGTTCAGGAGTGTATGTGTAGCTTTGTTACATTGGTAAACTTGTCATGGGGGTTTGTTGTTCAGATTATTTTGTCACCTAAGTATTAAGCCTAGTACCCACTAGTGATTTTTCCTGATTTTCTCCCTTGTCCCACTTTCCACCCTCTGATAGGCCCCAGTGTATGTTGTTACCCTCTATGTGTCCATGTGTTCTCATCATTTAGCTCCCACTTATAAGTGAGAACATGTGGTATTTGGTTTTTCTGTTTCTGCCTTAGTTTGCTAAGGATAATGGCCTCCAGCTCCATGCATGTCCCTGCAAAGGACATGATCTCATTCTTTCTATGGCTGCATAGTCATAATATTCCATGGTGTATGTGTACCACATTTTCTTTATCCAATCTATCATTGATGTGCATTTAGGTTGATTCCATGTCTTTGCTATGGTGAATAATGACACAGTAAACATACACATGCATGTGTCTTTAGAACAGAATGATTTATATTCCTTTGTGTATATACCCAGTAATGGGATTACTGGGTCAAATGGTGTTTCTCTCTTTAGGTCTTTGAGGTATCACTACACTATTTTCCACAACGGTTGAACTAATTTGCACTCCAAACACGAGTGTATAAGCGTTCCTTTTCCCCACAATCTCATAAGCATCTGTTATTTTTTAATAATAGCCATTCTGACTGGTGTGAGATGGTATCTCATTGTGGTTTTGATTTGCATTTCTCTAACGATCAGTAATGTTAAACTTTTTTCATATGATTGTTGGCCACATGTGTGTCTTCTCTTGAAATGTGTCTGTTCATATTTTTTGGGGGGGATGGGGGTGTTGTTTTTTTCTTGTAAATTTGTTTAAGTTCTTTATAGATGCTGGACATAAGACTTTTGTCAGATGCATAATTTGCAAAACTTTTCTCCCACTCTGTAGGTTGTCAGTTTACTTTGTTGATAGTTTCTTTTGCTGTGCAGAAACTCTTTAGTATAATTAGATTTCATTTATCAATTTTTGTATTTGTTGCAATTGCTTTTGGTGTCTTCGTCATGAAATCTTTGCCCATGCCTTTGTCCTGAATGGTATGTCCTAGGTTGTCTTCCAGTGTTTTTATAGTTTTGGGTTTTACCTTTAAGTCTTTAATCCATCTTGAGTTAATTTTTGTATATGGTATAAGGAAGAGGTGTGGTAATTTGTTATAATGGCAATAGGAAACAGATCCTTCAGTAGGTTTGGTGTTGAAAGATAGGAATGGGATGGTACACTGAGGTAGAAAATTTAAAAGTAAGTGCTTTTTAGTATATTATGTGAAAAATTATGACATTTTATAGACTGAAGGTAAGGATTCAGTGGACAGGAAGAGATAAATCATGAAAGGTAGAGAAGAGAAAACTGATGAAAATACAAAGAAGATGGAAATGGCAGCGGAAGAAGGGGAACTGGTGATCTAGAGGAAGAAGTAGACTCTTTTTAGTTTCTGAGACCATACAGAAGATACAACAAAATCTTGAAAGACATAATAGGGAAGTTGAAGAGATTTGTTATGGTGTTGACATTGATGTTGGAAATGTAGAAAGAAACTTCATCTTCTATTTTTTTTTTTTTTTGAGATATCCCCCAGGCTGGAGTGCAGTGGTACGTTCTTGGCTCACTGCAACCTCTGCCTCCTGAGTTCAAGCGATTCTCCTGCCTCAGCCTCCCGAGTAGCTGGGATTACAGGCACCCACCACCATACCCGGGCTAATTTTTGTGTTTTTAGTAGAGATGGGGTTTCACCATGTTGGCCAAGATGGTTTCAAACTCGTGTCCTTGTGATCCGCCCTCCTCGGCCTTCCGAAGTGCTGGGATTACAGGCGGGAGCTACCGCGCCCGGCCTGAAACATCATTTTCAATACTGTAGGGCTTAATGGTTGATGAAGTAAAAAAAGTTGTGGTTTCAATTAATCAAATTGAATGGTTTTCAGATTTAACCAAACCAGGCCAGACTTGAGTCAAAGCAAGCCATAACAACAATAACAACAAAATAGCTTGTGTGAGTTGTAATACAAGGGCATTCAGAATAGACTTGGCAAAAGTACTTTCTAGGGGAGTTAGACACTTACCAATGTCATGGCCAAAATAAAAATACAAAAGAGGGCCTGTCCAGCCACACAAAGGAATGAACCACCTTAGAAAACACATCCAAAACTCTTTTTCCCAGTCTCAGTCCCTATTGGTAACCTCGGATGATTTGAGGCAGTCATTTGTCTCACTAGATTAGGAAGAAAACTTCCTGGGAATAAACACAAATCTGAGTTAAAATTGGAATACTAAAAAAAAAAAAAATTAAAACCCATTGTTATAGCATAAATACGTTGATTAGTTTATATTTACTGTATATTTTTCTGTTTGCTTTTTAAGGTTTTTAAAGTGTTTATGAGAATTTCAGTGTGGATTTGAGAAATGTGTAATCAATTTGAAAATTTGGGGATATTTAATTTGTTAAATCCTCACATTTTTGGGTTATGAGTTAAGTGAGTAATGTGTGAATATTTAGAGAATATTTACTATCTAATTTTCTAAACTGAACTTAGAAGAGAATAGGATCTAGGTAGTTCTCTTAACACTCCAATGTCCCTGGTAAACTACAATGAGTCATCCCTAAAGAGTTAAGCCAGAGAGACATCTTCCTTCTGGGAGTTTGTATTCTCCTTTGCATGCCTGAATTTAGTAATATATACTATACTGCTTTGTATAGCTGTTGCATTCAGTATATCTATACATTAATTTATCAACTGCCTTTTATGCATTTGTCTATTCATACAACTCATTCATATGTTCATTAAACATTCATCAAGTGCATACTTTTGGTGAAGAACAATGGTGGCACTGGATATAGAAAATCAAATAAGACAGAGGCCCTGCTGTCAAGGAGCATTCAGACCAAAGGAACCTGGAGATAATGTTATCACAGAAAATGAAGCAATTTCTGTAACAGAGCTAACTGGAGGGTATGGGAGCAAAGGGAGAGGAATCTTAACCAGCCAAGAGGAACAGCAAAGGTCTTTAGGAGGAAAGTGTCCTTGGATTGAGTCTGTCCTTAAGAAAAACATTACTGGAAGAGGCAAAAGCATAGCCAAAGACTCTTTGAGACAGCACCAGCATGGGCCATTCAAGAAACAATAAATAGGTTAGTTTGTTGGAGCAAGGGGTTTATTTATTCAAAGTCATCAGCACCAATTGTTGCAACATCCTCTGGTAGGCCTTGAAGGATACAGTGGTGCATAAGAAAGATGTTGACCTAGTGTTTTTGGAGTGCATATATTATTATGAAATGACAAAATAACTAGAAAATTAGGCAGAAATAAAATTACAAAAGGCCTTATGTATGAAGCTAAATTATTTACATTTTGTCCTGTACAAGTAAGGGAATTACAATGTCAATTAAGCTTCATTTAAGAAAGATCAACTTGGTTGCAGTGTGGAGAATGGATTAGAGAGGTGGAGGTATTTGAGAGTTGACATAAAAAGACTACTTAGGAGGCTATTCTGGGAATTAAGGCAAGATGGAATTCTGAACCAAGGCAGGAGGATGTTGTAGATGAAATTTATTTAGAGCTATTAAGGAGGTAGAATCTATAGATCTTTGGGACTAGCAGCTAGCCAGGGGAATGAGAGACAAAGGAGTCAATGGTGACTCCTGGTATTCTAACATGGGTTGCTATGTGAATGTGTTGCAACTTCTTAGGACTGGGAATGCCAGATGCACAGGTGTTTGAATAAATCCATAAGCTTATACATTTATGTATTCTGTTCTCATGAAATTATGAACTCCCTGCAAACAGGAAGCACTTTTTAAACCTTCCTTATAACTTTACACTTCTCTAAGCAGTCATCCCCATCTATATTAGAAACTCAATAAGTAACCATTGAATCATTTGAGGATTAGATTTGTCTTCTCCTATAGAGATTACTGAAGAGGAATTTCAGCATTTCCTTATACATTATGTGTGAAACGGGGTGACAATTTTTCCCAATTGGAAGCTTTCCCATTGTTACTGAGAAAAGACAATCTAGCATATTAGCTAGAAGCAGATAAAGTTCTCTATCTCTGAATTACATATCATAGAAAAATCTAAAAAATCTTTGATATCTCTAAAGAAATACTGATTTATTCTTTTCTGAAATACAAGTCTCAAATACAAAAGGTTCCTGATAACTTAAATAAAAATGTAACACTATTCTAAATCACAAAGCATAATCTATCCCTATATTTTGGAGATCTGTGGACTAAAGAGATAATTTCTTACAGCCTCACAGCCTTCCCTCTCAGAAAACTAAGTCTTAATGGAAGAAGCAAAGGTGTTCTAGTGTCAGGGCCATGCAATATCCACATAATTCACAGGGGATGCTACTGGAAGGGTTGCACAGGGAAGGGGCAAGAGAATATTGCAGCAGCTTCCCAGTGGAAAGTCAATGTGAGCGATGAATGTTTCACTGATTCCCAGTGTCCTTAATGGATTGCTTATGCTGATTCTCCCCACCTCCTCAACACACACCTCCACTTTAGTTGAATCTCTTCATATCTGTCCTGTCTCTTTTCTCTGTTTAGGCCAGTGGAGGAGGTTCACACTCACATCAGGAAGAGCCTGAGGATAAAGGGGAGCACAACATGTGTTTTGCAAATCAGTAAATCAATCAACTAATATTTATGGACTATTAAATTTGAGTGGAGCTATACATTTGCAAAGACAAAGGAAACAGGTATGATATAGAGGGGTTACCTTCAAGTCACTTACATTTTACATGCTGAGCCCTAACCAATGAAAAGATAGCTAGTAAACATATCTTTGGAATGGTTCTTACAAAACTATGGTGTGGTAATCTTCTCTTCCATAGAGCTTAGTTGCCTATCCCAATGAAGATGATTATTTTTATTTCTTTTTTTTATTTTTGTAAGTGCTGGGGATGGACTAGTCTAAACATAATATCATCTCTAAATTATACTGAAGACACTGAATATTGAAATAGAGTTTCTTGTGGCCTTCATGTAACATGACATGATAATGGTATAGCCTATTTGATATCACAGGGGAATTAAATTTGCTCTTTTTAATCATCTGGAAGAGAGCAATTTGGCATATGTTGCAATTACAAGGATGCCTTTCTCTGAGACTATTTACAGAGATAGCCACAGCTTAAGACAGAAGAGCATTGTTTGATTTGAGAGCTGTAAGGAAGGGGACGACATCAAAGGCTCCCAAATGTAGCCGGACACTTCGACTTCTCTGTACAGAAAGTTGATTATGGTCTGCAAAAGTGCACCAAGGGCATTGCTACACACAAGTTCAGTCTTTCCTCATTGAAGGTTTATGGGGCTTGTAATGTCAAGATCCATGAATTTCAGGGACTGTTCTTGTCCTTGGATCAGATTTGGAAGCAGCTTTTGATCAGTGAAGTGAAACAATTAATTATAATAAATAATGCTACTAGAAATCCTCACACAGTCAGTTAAAGGAGGAGGGGAGCCAAAGAAATAAAGCTTGTCTCTGGCAGAATCTCATCATCTGGTCTGCCTGGACCCTATCCTGTTTGGCTACAGCAACCACAGCTCACTAAGCCTCTGGTGAAAGACACAGTTGCGCCATATTCTCAGCCAGTGGTGGTATTGGGTTTTGGAAGGGTGGAGGGGGTGATAAAAGAAGCTCAAAAGGATCAGAGAGGAATGCAAAATTGTTTTCCATTCATCTGTATTTGATTGCTTTGTGCCCTGAAGCACATGATTTAATTATTTTCATCATTGCCTCAGCTTCCTCAGCTACCAATCTCATTGATGGCAATAAAATTATTCAGCCTTTACAAAAAATGCAGCCATAATAATTCTTGACTCAATGAATACTTAAGGCTATAAAATCAGCTCCTTGAATGACTGCATCCAATTGAAAACACCAACCCAGGGCTTTCTCAACAATTAAAGTGAAATATAAACTTATGTGAGATAGAAGCGTCCTGCTTCTATATTCAAAATAGCTACCTGTTATTCGTTGCCTACAACTTATATTCGCTATCTCTAGTCCACACAAGAGCCCTCTGTGAAGACAATTTTTTTTCCCCTAAGGGAGCTCAAAAAAGCCCTGAGTCAGTGTTTTGAGTTGATTATTGTAAGGTGTGTGGGAGGGGGCAGGAGTGGAGCTGGAGAATGGCCAGAAATGAATGCTTGAAGTACAGACAAAAGCAAATCAAAAGATGAATGTGTAGCAGAAAATGCTGCAAGTGGAGAGAAATAGGAAGTTTCAAGCCCAGTCCAAAAATCACGTCAGAAACCTGGGGGAGATGTCAGAAATGAACTACATGGCCCAGGACTTTCTCTAAAAGTGTAATTTTCTTGAAAGGCCCCAGCAAGAGGTAGTGGCTCTGTCTGGTACTCTCACAGCCTTCCCTTGCCATGTGTATGTGTTTTTTAAATGTGTGTGTGCACACAAGCATGTGTGTGCCTATGTGTGTGTATTTAAATTTAACCTCCTTTATTTTTGTAATCTCTTTATTAAAAGTGCTTATAGAATCCAAATCTTGGCTCATTGTAAACTTAGATGAGTTAATTCTAAAGCTTGCTTTTTTCATCTGAAATCGGGGACAATAAAAATGCTATTTCACAAAGTTTTGTGGCATAAATTGATGTGTAGCACTTAGCATAATGAATGTTTAAAATAAGTATACAATGATTGTCAATAATTACTCATTTTCTAATTTATTTACCTCTCCTCTTTCTTTCTTATATACTTGCTCACTTATTCACTTCCTTAAACTCACCATGCTGTTTTCAGATGATGTGTTGTTTAGCGCTGCATAAGTCCCCTCAGGTAGAAAGGATTGTGTTGGAGTGGCAAAGCTAGGAGTGTATGTGTGTTTGTATGTGTGTGCTAGTGGGCTGGGGGAAGTCATCTTGAGGATATGCTTAGTTAAAATGTGGTATCTATTCAATGACATTTTCCAACTCATATAAAGGTATATAAATATAAGGTGGGCATATAGTGCTAAGGTGGTACTCAGCAGAGACCTGGAAAGTATTAGTGTCCTTGCCCTGTGGCTGGTTGGTTTTGTTCAAAGTCATGGATAGAGTGGTTTTTCCATTAAACATCTGGCCAGAGAGACATGGTTGACCACTTATTTCTCATCAACTGGTGGCTGAGAGATTTTAAGCTCTTTTATAACTTTCATGTTACTAGTCCTTCCTAAGTGCATATTTAACTTTATAAAAAATATATTTACTGCCACCCACTAGGAAAACTGTGAACTATAGTCACTCCTATGATTCCACTATTTCTCAGAGTTTACAAAGGGCATTACTGGGCTGTCCATAAATACCTCAGGGTAATAGGTTGCTGATGGGGATTGTGACAAAGAGGACAGGTGGGTTTTAGTGTTGGGCTGTGTGGCTCTCAATCTTAATTTCACCACTTATCAGTTATGTGACCTTGGGCAAACGACTTTATCTTACTGATCCTGAGTTTCCTTATTGTCTGTAATTAATTCCTATTTCCCAGAGGTGCTGTGAAGATTAAATGGGGTGAAGCATATTAAACGTCTATCACAGTATCTGGACCAGACTAAGTGTGCCATTAATGTGAACCCAATTGCTACTGCCCAAAAATACTAAGGACGAATCCAAGCCTTGGTTAGGGGTTTAGATAAAATGATCTTTGAGAAACTGTCCAAGCCTAAGATGCTATGACACTGAGGTTACAAACCAGGCAGGTATACTGAGAAGTGATGCCTTAAATTGCAGGTATTGCTACCTGTCCCTGCCTTCTCTTGTAAATTACTGCATGGCTGGGTGCACACATCATCCGACCTCTTAGGGCTTGACATTTTCTAAGTATTAATGAGATGTTCCCATTTATATGATGGGAAATGATTGCTGATATTTTAAAATAAAGGGTACTATATGTTCCTAAGCAATTAATCAGTGTGTTTTTGCCACATGAGAATGAATTTAAGCTATAGAGGGAAAATAGAATTTAGAGTTTAGAGCCCAAGACAGCTGTATTCAAGTTCTCATTCCTCCACTTAGACAAGTGGAGGTTAACCCTTTGACTTCTGCTTCCATTGCTGATGAAATGAGAATACTCACTACCCATTGGATCATATGAGGATTAAATGAAATGAAGCACATAAAGCACCCACACATCATTTCTACCAATGAAAACAGTTATGATGCTCAAAGAATGGATTAACAAAATAATCACGGGCAATAAAAATATCCAAATTAGATGCTAGAATTTCAAATTTAAAAAAGTTTCCTAATATTACAAGGGATGAGAAGTACTTATCAGAGTTTCAATTTCTTTCCTTTCTTTCCATTACAATAGGTCTCTATAGACTTTGTCTAGAAAGGGCCAAATAGTAAATATTTTAGGTTTTACTAGCCATATGGTTTCTGTTGCAACTATGAAATTCTGCTGTTTTGTGATGACAGCAATAGACAATAGGTAAGTAAGTGAGAGTGGCTGGGCTCTGATAAAACCACTCACAAAAGCAGGCATCAAGCTGGATTTGGCTTGTAGGGGCATAGATTATCGACCCTTGCTTTGGAATTTATCCAACAATTTCACTAAACATCTACGATGTTGAAAATACTGCCTTTGAATGTTCAAGATGCAAAGATGCATCAATATCTAGTGTAGAGAAATAAAACAAACACTTAAAACCAAAACAAAAAAAAATTCTAATACTAGAAAGTGATTGGCCAGTGTAGGCAAAAAAAAAAAAAAAAAAAAAAAAAAGTTGATAAGGTAATGACTAAAAGCCCATATCCTGGGTTGAATCTTGCTTTTTTGTCAATTTATCATTATGTGACTTTGAGCAAGTTTCTAAACATCAGTTTGCTCTAGATCTATTACATAGTGATAATAGCTTCTAACTCACAGAGTTTTGAGGAGAATTGAACAAGATAATACACACAAAGTGCATAATAAGCAGTGAATACAGTTAGTTATTATCATTCAGAAGATTGAAGGAACACAGCTAATCACTGTTACTGTGCAATCCCTACTCAAGCCACAGTGGACTAAAACCATTGTCTATGTTGCTTCCTCTTCCTGGTTTAACTTTTAAAATCCTACTCATCTTTAATGACAGTGAGAAGATATCTTTTCCTCTGGGAAGATTTCCCCACAATAACAGAGTTGATATACTATGGAGTCAGTACCTGCATTTATAACTCAAATTTTAGACGTCTTGATCAGGAGCTTCCCTTCACAGAATTAATCCCTGCCTCCTATCCTTCTCTTAGCAAGTTTTGTTCACAGCTATAGCATAACATGTGGTTCTCAACAGACTAATACTATGTTGAGCCACGATGATATAAGAGGTGTTGCACACCAAGAGTTCCCACTTTGTCATTATAATCACCTGCCTACCAACTTCTTTACATTCTCTGTTGTTACTGCCCTGTCAGGGATAGTCAAATACACTGTATGAATTTTAAATATTTTCTGTCTATAATATCTTCATCAATTTAGGACTGAAAGGGTTTACACCCTACAATAAAGTTCTGCAAGGGACCTGCTCCTTATTTCACTCAGTCATTCATTCCTGCTGCCCAAAATAAAATACTGCCTTGTTTTCTCAGGCTCACTGATAGTGGGAAAAGAAGGGCATTGCTTAATCGTTATTAGGTTGAAGCATAAAAATGGCGATGTTTTTGTAGGTCAGATGGTTGAATATTAGCAATTTCACATGGATCAACCAAGTGATATTGTTATCATTATTATTGTGGTAGTGATTTGTGCTTTTTGATTAGAGTTTGAGCTGAAAATGAATTTCCACAATGGGCAGAAATATGGATGTCATGATTCTTATTTGTGTATGCAATTAAATATCTATCTCTTTCGGTCCTAGCTGCAACAACTTAATCAATGTTTAATCATTTCACCAACAAATATATATAAATATATGCTTTATATATTGCCATTAGTTTATTAATTCAGCAGGTGCTTTATAATGTTTCCAATTCACATTCATGCATTTTTTCAAACTAAATAAAGAAGAATTGTATGTCCTTGGAAACTCTCCAATTTGGGATGGGAAAAAGAATTGGAGGAGAAGAGAGCAAGCTACCAGTCATGGAGGGACTACTGCACGCTGAGCACTCTGTTGAGTGTTTTCTACAACCAGTATTCTTTACAGTCCTTCAATCGCTTTGGGAGATATTGTGCTAACTTGTGGAAAAGGAAACAGAGGTGGAGAGACTGTATGTTCAAGTTTGTCAGGATAGTCTTGACTTACACCTATTGTCTGGGCAGAAAAGCATGCCCTCCTTAGAGCTAAATTTTTTTTTCCTTGGCAGAGGTGGATGGAATCTCACTCTGTTACCCAGGCTATACTGCAGTGGTGTGATCTTGGCTTACTGCAAACTCCACCTCCTGGGCTCAAGCGATTCTCCTGCCTCAACTGCCCTAGTAGCTGGGATTACAGGCATGCACCACCATGTCCGGCTAATTTTTGTATTTTTAGTAGAGACGGGGTTTCACCATGTTGGCCAGGCTGGTCTCAAACTCTTGACCTCAAGTGATCCACCTACCTCACCCTCCCAAAGTGCTGGGATTACAGGCGTGAGCCACGGCATACTTGAGCTTTGAACCCCCAAGTTACATTAATATCTATATGACTATGCCTCTCACACTGTCTGGTACATACAGTTGTGTTAAATATTTGTTTAGTATTTTGTTTTTATAATGATTTGAGGAATAAACTTTTTATCCTGTGGGATATATCTCGGGCATGATCATTTGATTTGGGGGAAAACTTGCTCCAATTGATAGAAAATCAAATGACCGTAATAACACATCTTTGATACCAATTTAGATTCACCTTCACTAACAAAAAAGAAGAAACTTTTCAAAAAGCTAGATATGGATCACAAAAATTGTTTACAGACATGTGTGTGGCACAGATGAAGGAGCAGAAAGGGCAACCATTTTCACTCAGCTCCTAATCACAGTTTGACTTAAGTCAGTAGATTTGGCCTTGGCTTTGTGCTTGAAAAGGAATCATACCTGTCTCTGCCTGCCAACTACCATGATTACTGAGTATATTTCCTTTCCTTAAGCCAATCAAAGCACAATTCTAACTCTAAAAATTCAGAGAAGTGATGTGGTTCCTGATGCAAGTATTGAAAATAGATCCCATTCGCCGCATGGCCCCCCAGGGTACGTACCTCTCAGCAAACTTGATATTAATTGCTTTGTTTTAGGGTAGGTCAAGTGTACTGTCACTTCTCTCTGATTATATTTTTCCTGGAGCTTTTTAGTATCCAAACTTGTCTTGCTCTATCACACACAATTGATGTTCTACATGATCAGCAGATTAACACACAGCCCAAACAATTTCCTGTGGTTATTAGGCAGTCTGATCAGAACTGCCCTAAGCTTCACCACAAATGAGCAAGTCTAATTCGAAAAATATTAAAAGAAATAGATGAAGCAAGACATTTAACTCTACAGGGTGGAAGAGAATGCTCCCTTATAGTGAAGACTTGCTGGACATGGCATAGGTGTGTTTACACAAAGGATTATCATTCTGGGAGCTGTGACCCTATGCCACATTGTTTAGAAGGACTTCTGGATTGGGGTTTACAAATATTCACTGAGTACCTGCTGTGCTGTCCCTGTGCAGGTACAACAGTCAGACATAATTCTTGCCTGTGTGCTGGTGAAACCACCACCAAGATAAACCAAACTGAGTCTAAATCCTACATCCTAAAATTATTATGATTTAATGATTGATTTTCAAATTTTCAAATAATAAATTTTTATTTTCTGTTTTTATGATTATAAAAGGAAGGCAGTTATAAATTAGAAAATTTTGTAAAATTCATAAAAGAATTGAGAAAAAATCACCATACAGACTTGGCAAATGTTAAAAGATTAGTTATTTTCTTAAAATCTTTTTCTCTTTTTTTATACATATATGTATAATTATATCATACTTGGGTTTATGTTAGATCTATATAATTTATACCTTGTTTTTTTCCTACCATATAACATTAACAAAATATGTACTTTCCTAACCATTTAATGTGCTATAGAAATATTTTACTGGCTTCGTGTTTTTCAAAGTTATGGATATGCCATCATTTTCTTAATCCTTCCCTTGTTTATGAATATTTAGATTAATTATAATCTTTCCACATTATTACTAACTCTGTTAGGAGCATCTTTATGCGTTTATATTTTTCTCTGTCTTGGATTGTTTCTTTAGTCTAGGTTGTAGAATTGCCATTCCTGGATTCAAAGGTTTGATATTAAATAATTATTTTTATATTTACGTAGTGATACTTGTTTATAATTTTAAAAGCTCAGTAATCCTAATGAGTTTATGAGTAACTAGTACTAGAAGTAAATCAAAAGTACCCTGTTTTTCTCCTGCACAGAGGCAATAATCTTCAGAAGTTTCTGTTTTTTCTTTTTATGGTATTTATCACCCTATCACTTAACATGTTTAATTGCTAGATCCTAACTTTTTAAAATTAGATAATATTATTATATTTCTGCCATGGATGACAAATATTCAGATCTTATACAACTTTTCTCTTTCTCCTCATCATTTCCCAAAGTATTTCTCTTCTCTTATTACTTAATATAACTTAAAAGTATAGGTTGCATCAATATTCAGTGTTTATTATATTATGCAAGTAAACTATGAACTATATATAAACACCATAAAATTTATTATGTAAATATTATTTACAGGTGGGCCTAAGTGTATATGTTAGAGCTTATTTCTTATAAAACTTTTCACTTTTCTCAGAATTTGTAATTGCCTTTACTTTTAACTGATGTGTATCCTATCTAAATGTGACTAATTCATCTTCGTATTCTCCAGCAAATCTATAAAGCAAGCATATAATTAAACATATAAGATAATCTGTAGCTTTTTTACATCAATATCCTTCCTGGATTCTTCTGCCCACCTATTTTAAATAGAACAGATTGTTTCATTGCAACCTCAGTCTCTGAAACCACTAATCCATAATTATGTGATTTTAAGTATGCTATATAAATGTAATCAGAGAGTATATCACCTTTGGAGATTACCTTTTTTCACTTAGCGTAATTCCATTGAGATCCATCTATGTTGTGTGAAACAATGGTTGGTTGCTTGTTATTGCTGAGTAGTATACATGGTATTGATATACCATAATCGCTTAACCATTTATCCACTGAAGAACATCTGGTTGCTTCCAGTTTTTGGCTCTGTGAGCACTTATGTTGCAGAAAAGTTGTCCCAATTTTAATTACCAAAAGCAGTATCACAGGAAAATATGTCCACTCCCTCACTTGAGAGCAGAAGGGTTTTACAGCTTAACAATGTGTGTCCCCAGAACTTAGCATCGTTTGACCATGTCATAAATAGAATAAATTTGATTTCTGAATGACTGAGATGTTCCAAGGCAGAAGAGTAAGTAACTACTGTAGATCATCAGAGATCATGGTGTTTGAGGATTCAATAGAAGAGGCTTGTTTTGTCCTTTGAAGAGTGGATATGATATGATCAGGCAGCAGGCTATGAGGGACATGGTTGCATTGTTAACAAAAGACATTGTCCTTTAGTTAAAGGGATCGAGCAACTAAAGTATGTTAAAAATGATTGAGTAGATCATGTTCGATAAAGAGTAAAATTTGTGTAGATGAGTCAAGAAAAACAGTATGAAAGGATAGATTTGAGAGCAGATTGTGGATGGCCTGGAAAGTACAGCTGAAAACTGACGTTTTTCTGATAGGCTTTTGAAAGCCATGCCAGGTTTGTGTTTGGAGAAGGATTGTTGAAAGGTGCATTATAATAAGTAATTTGGTGGCCTTTGTTGCAATACTGCAGTTGCTTGGTGGCCTTTGTTGCAATACTACAGTTGCTTATATCCAAATAATATGTACATCTTTGCCTGTGGTCAACAAAATCTCAAGCGCGATATCATTTTCAGATAAGCAATCATCACATCAGAAGTCAGAGTCTATGAAGAGTTTCTTTTACCAACTAGAGGAGGGGGTCGCAAAGTGAGAAGGAGCTCTGAAGACAGTCACCGGAATCCTTATCATGCAGAGAAGGATGAGGACTGGCATATTTCAGGTGCCTCAATCTAGAGCCATTTTTTGCCTTGCTTTCTGTCCTGACTATCAAAGCCTCCTAATGACAGTAAAATAGTGCCAATAGTGCCAGCCCTCAAGACTTCTGCACCTTCCATGTATTTTACAGGCAATGTACCATTTACCCCTTACTCCAAGCTTGCATGGAAGTTATTTTTACTCTCATTCTAGAGATTCAGTGCCTTGGGCCTATGGACATATCCTGAGAGGGCACAAATAGGGTAAGAAAATGCTACTTGTCACAAAAAAAGCAGAGGCCACACAAGAGAGAGAGAGAGATCGGAGGATTTTCAAAAGTCAAATCAGAGAAATTCTGCTACCATCACTAACTCGAAAGTGCTGCAAAAGGGCAATAACGAGGCCACACGTAGAAGGAAATAAAGTTTGAAGAGCAGAAAGGAAACTGGAGTGAAATAGGAGTGGGTGACTCAAAGGAAGTCCTGGGGAGGGGCCTCTGCAAACACTGCAGTGATGTTGGTTACTTGCCTTTTGATCCCTGGAATATGAGTAGATTCACTCAACTTAAAGGAATGGAATAGTTTCAAACAGGGTCTTAAAGTGTGAGGGAGATTTTCCTATGGGAGAAGAGGCCTGAAGACCAGAAGCTGCCCAAAGGCACTATGGCAGATGGCAACAGGAGGAACAGCTCCTAATGCTGAGCTTAATATAGTGACACGTTTTTTTCTTGCAAGTAATGCAAGTAGCATTACTAATGCTACTAATACAGAGGGCATACCTCTGTATCAGTCAGGGTTCTCCAGAGAAACTGAATCAACAGGATGTGTATGTATATAGGGAGATTTATTTTAAGGAATTGGCTCATACGATTGCGGGGGCTGGCAAGTCTGAAATCTGCAGGCCAGGCTGGGAGTCTGGAGACCCAGGGAACAGTTAAGGTTGCAGTCCAGGTCTAAAGGAAGTCTGGACACAGAATTTCTTCTTTCCTGGGGACCTCAGTCTTTCCTCTTAAGGCCTTCCACTGACTGGATGAGGTCTACCATATAAAGGATGAGGTCTACCATATAAAGAAAGGTCATCTGCTTCTCTCAAATTGCACTGATTTAAATCCTCATCCCATCTAAAGAATATATTCAAATTAAGATTTAGATTGGTGTTTGACCAAATGTCTGGACATCATAGCTCAGAGAAGTGAACACACATGAGATCAACCATCATGGCCTTGAGCTTCTGGGTCATTTCAGGTTCCTGTCCAAGGTGAGAATGAAATCGTCCCTACTACACGGTGGCCACTTCTTCTCCTACTGCACACCAGCTCTTACCATACTGTTGGAACTTTCCTCATGTGGGGCTCAGAAAATGAAGAGGAAAGTTTCTTCCTCCTCAGGGCTGTGCATAGTGAATCTGAGCAATAAGCTGCAGACAGCCAGTTCTCTGCACTCTTGACAACAAACCTGAAAGTGGGTTTATGGAATAAACTTTCTAAACCTACTCCCTCCCTGGAGGATCACAGCTCTATTCAGGATTGGCAGCACATTCTCCTGCTCAGAACAGATGAGGGGTCTTGGAAGGATAAGTTGAAAAGCTAGGTGCAGAGGGCTGACCCTGGCAGGGGCCCAACCAGACCTCATCAGTCACACGAGACTTTCTCATGAGATCACCATGGGACTGAGCCACAGGCTTAACCTGGACATGCAGAAACCCAAGAAGATGGCTTATGTGCTTCAAAAATGAACCCAAAAAATCATCAATAAATGACTTTTCCGGAGATCGGAAACATTAGCTCCCTTCCTGTGCTAGGGAGAAGAGAGTGATTCTATTTTCGATGCTTTGTTGATTTAGAAATCATGCCAGGTTCAGATGTGGTCAGCAAACTGTGGACTAGATATTGCTGGAGGCCTGATTTTGTGTGACTAAAGAGCCAAGAGTGGTGTTTACATTGTTAGAGGTATAAGGAAGAAGAAAGAGGAGGGGGAGAAGGAGAGAAGGAGGAGGAGGAGGAAGAGGAGAAACAGAGATCAGATATGGCCTGCAAAACTTAACATACTTATTATTTGGCTCTTTACAAACAAATTTGCCAACTCCAGGACTAGAAGAAAGAATATATGCACTAAAATCAAACTCTTTAACAACACTGGTGCTGCGCACCATCTGTACAACTCAGGGATGATTACTTTGACTTTGAACCTAGGTGTCGTCACCTGGGGAGCACTGCACACCCAGCTTCTCCTCCAAAGAGAATTCTTGCAGGAAAGAAACGTGTGTAACTATATTAAGTACAGCATCTAAAAAGGGCATCAACATAACAACGAACATACTTTAAAGATTCTATTAATAGAAACTTTAAAAATAAGCAAAACTCTGGTAGGTGTGTGGAGTATAGTTACTGTTTTGTTGATGAGTGCTGGTTACATGGGTATCCCTGCTTATGAAAATTCATCAAAATTTGTGTTCCCTTAGGAACACTTTTTGAAATGTGAATTACACTATATTAAAACATATTTTAAATGACATCTAACTGAGAAAACTTTTGAAACTTCAAGAAAAACCTTTTGTTTTTCTTGAAGTCTACCAATAAAATAATATCTGAGGGGAAGTTTGTGTTCAACAAAAAAAGGGAACAGGATGAGATGCGCTAGTTTGGCTTAATCAAACCAAACCATTCTTTACATTGACTTGCAGCCCAGTGTTTTTTCCACTTCACCATGATATTTCATCTCTTCTGGACCTGGAGAGGTAAACACCTGTGGGATGGTGGTGACCAACAGGGCATTTAACTGAAGCTTTGTCTATCTGATGTCCCAGTAACGACCAGCTCCTAACAATCTGCCCCTACCCACTCCCTCCTCATATCTGGTTCTGTCCACATGTAAACACATACTCTGGTCACATTAAACTATTCCTTTTCCTGATCATATCAAGATGCCTCACAATTCTGACCTTCATACATTCCATTCCTGCTCCTCAAAATACCATCAGCTTTATAAAAAACTGCTTAATTTACTTCAGTAATACAGAAGAATTTTATACATAGTTTATTAAAAATAACTTTGGGAAGCTGTACTTTGATCAGCAATAAAACTATTGAAAAGATAAGGTTATCAAATAATTACCCCATGTTAATCCTGAAAATAATTGTTATAAGCCAATCTTGTAAATTCAAGACCAGGCACATCATAAATAATCACAAAAATTAGAAACATACTCAAAATATCCGTATGTTTAGTATACATAGAAAATTCACTGACTGAAATAAATCATGAAACATGGACTGGAATTTTGTGGGCTCTTAAACTTCATTTTGTCCCTATTGTTTTAAAATGTCAATGGTTTGGACCATTTCTGCATTTGTTAAAACTGTAACCTTAAAATTTTTTTAAAAAATAACTTTACAAACACATAAATATGCTTAATCACTAACTTGGGAAACTTCTGTTGCTCCAAATCAAGTATTTCTCTTTGTCTATGAAACTTTCTCTAGCCAGCATCATGACTGCTGACCGATTTCCACTGTGTATGTTATGCGTGCTTCTATGAGGGAGTCCATGACACATACATAATTATTTATTTGTATTGTAGCAGGACAAACCACAGACAAAACCCTTCAGACACCGAGTTAAAGAAGGAAAGGTTTTATTCAGCCGGGAGCTTCGGCAAGACTCACGTCTCCAACAACTGAGCTCCCTGAGTGAGCAATTCCTGTCCCTTTTAAGGGCTCACAACTCTAAGGGGCTCTGCGTGAGAGGGTCGTGATCTATTGAGCAAGCAGGGGATACACGACTAGGGGCTGCATGCACCAGTAATCAGAACGGAATAGAACAGGACAGGGATTTTCACAATGCTTTTCCATACAATGTCTGGAATCTGTAGATAACATAACCGGTTAGGTCAGGCGTCGATCTTTAACCAGGCCCAGGGCATGGCGCTGGGCTGTCTGCCTGTGGAATTCATTTCTGTCTTTTAGTTTTTACTTCTTCTTTCTTTGGAGGCAGAAATTGGGCATAAGACAATATGACGGGTGGTCTCCTCCCTTAGTATGTTTGCCTATCCTAGTACCTCAGACTTCTTGAAGAGAAGAAATGCCCTATCTCCCAGTGACTGATATCTAGTAGAGACTCAACATGCATTTGTTAAATAAATGACTTGAGAATCCTTATGACTTGAAGATAATGTTTTAAAATGACAGAAAATTATTTTTTCCATTTGTGTGATTCTTCCTAGTGAAGTAATACTCCTTCACAAATTGGTTAAAGCTTTCTTTTTAAAACATGTATTTATGTCAATGAATTTTAACACACACAGTGATATGATTTTCAAGACCAGTCAATTTTTTTTAAGAAACTCAATAGAAAAGTTAAAGACTCGATGAATTATACAAATATTTCAGATTATTATCTGACTATGCATTATTTCTTTCATGAAAGAAAGCCAAAAGCAAAAATGAAGCCAAAAGCAAATCATTTTTTAATGAACCATTGAAATTTAACCCCTGGAATAATTAACTAAAAAATAATATAGAATTTGTTTCATAGACTAACTGTGAATAGTTAAGAAGGTCTTCACTGAATAACCAGTGGTTTATATAGCAAAAATGTTGTTAGATAAAAGGAAAGAGTTAATCTTGTGCCTATTGAATAATACATTTTTGTGTTTGAGAACCCAGTTATTTTGATATTATTTAAAACACTGCCATTAGACTAATGTGAGCCTTTTTGAAAAAATCTTTCAACCCTCTTCCTTCAATTTCTCCGTCTATAAATACTTACAATATACTGCAACTCTAAAATAACTCAAGATTTAATTTAACCTATTTGTGTTGAGGAATGATCTGAGATGCGATACCCAAAATGCTCACTAGATGGCAGGGTTCCCATTTCAAAGGGAGCGCTACCTTGTTACAAAACAGTAAAGGCTTCCAACAAACAGAATTCGAAATGTGTTTATTTGTGTGGCTATAAATATAGCACATCTGATCCAATTTTCCACTGGGTTCCATGCTTTTCAGTGATTTTTCAGCCAGTTTTTTAAAAAGTCAGATTAAAGACGTTATTTGATATGCAGCCACATTCTTTCCAAATAATCAAAATTAATCCCTATTCCTTATTTTTAATCAGACATTGCATATCCATCCACAGTGTCTTTAGCTGAAAGAAATTATGAACCCATTTATTAAGTGGTGTGTGATTTTTGAACACAGTTTCGCCAAGCCCTCAGCATGTGTAAGTATGAATATCTCTGGAATTTATTTACAGTTCCAGAAAACCAAAGCAACACCTGCTAAACTTTGTTATATTCCTGACAGGGTGCTCACTGCTGTTTAAAAGCCATTCCTACTGTGGCCAGTTGTGACTGCCTGAGACCAAATATTCTCAAGGTAAATTGAACCGAATTTTCAGGCAAGGGAAGGTGCTTTGATCAACTAAGTAAATGTATGTGGTTAATCTTTGAAAAACAAATGGCATGCATACAGGCAAAGCTATTATTATTACCAGTTATCATGATTATTATTGTTGCTGACTATTTTATTTCTAAAACTTTCAGAGGAGTACTTTCCAAGAAATTTAAGATCAAGGAAAAGAAATGTATTTCTTCTAAATCTAACATAGCAGATTTGGTGTTTCAACCAAAAGAAATTTTTCCACTTGCATGGTTCATACTGAGCAACCTTTTATTAATATGAAAAAGGAATCTTCCAGACTTCCCTGAAAATTGCAAATTTGCTTATTCTCAATATTTATCATAAATTGCTAAACTTTCTGGCCTAAATTTAAATTATTTCAAGGCAGAGTCATTGGAAGCATAGCCCTGCCTTTCCATTTGCAAAGCAACACAACACTCTAAGAAGAATCCCTCTTAACATAAAACAAAGTGATATGTCATGTGGTCTTCAGGGTAAAATGTGAAACAAATATACCAAAATCTATCTTCCTTCCATTACAACAACAACAACAACAACAAAACTAGGTCACACTTGAAATCCCCCCGCCCTTGTCATGGACAGTAGCGTTTTTTAAATCCCTCTTCAGTCTCTGGGCAGTGTTTAGACACAAAGTATTTTAATATGTCATGAAGTCCCTGTCTTTCTGCCTAATCCTACTCTATCATAATGCATCTAGCACAATGGAGATGCATGCATGCTTAATTTCCATAAATTACACAGCCCTGCATTTTCATAAAGACAAATTCCAATTGTAAACTATTAAACCTAAGTCAACATCCTTTGATGTCTCTGAGAAAGATTGTGGGGGAAGTTTAAGCATTCCCACATGGGGATGTGTTCCCTAGAGTAGGTGAGGAGGGAGGTAATATTTTTTTTGCCCCTCATATCTCTTTATTAACTTGGATGTGTTCTTCTGAGGCTGAAGTGAGTTCCTTTACAGAAACTTAAAAAAAAAAACAAAAACACAACAAAACAAAACAAAAACACTGTGGGAAAACCAGCACCACACATCACTTCTCCCAAAAGCTAAACTCTTAATCAGAATCAAAAGAAACTCTGTTTCTCTGAAGCCATGGCTTGGTTTCAGCCTCTAAAGTGGGAACCAAGTCTAGCCGTCCCTAACCAATAGCCTTACTCTTTGGATTATCGAATGTTACTTTTTTTCTTTGTTTCGAAACTCTCTCCTTCAAGCTCTCTTATAACTATGTAGTTAGATCAAAGGGAATACCATCCAGACCTCTCCATTCAGGTACCATGGAGCTTTCATTATTTAGTTGTGGAATTTCCTCAACAGATCCTGTTCTCAGCATCCTGTTGACATAATTTAACATACAGGTTATAAAGACTTCTGTGAGCCTTCTCCCTTCCTGTTTACTTTCACTCCTCGGTGGAACCCAGGGCTCAGAAGCCGGCTCTTTTACATCTGAAAGCCGGATCACCTCCCCCCAAAGCAGGAAAGGTGTGAAAAGTAAGCAAGGGAAAGCAAGAAAGCAAATACAGTGGCTTTTTAACAGCGCTGCAGACCTGGCTCGGTCTGAGAGGTGATTCAGGGAGTGAGAATTCTGAGCAGGGGGCAGGATGGGGACCATGGATACATTTCTAGGTCCTGCTGGGTTGGTCCTTCACAGGGTGGCTTTGTTGTGAGATGTGACATGTTATGAATTCCTGGAACCCCACACACACTTGCATGCAAATGTAAGTTGATTTAAACACAAGAGGGGGCTCTCAGATTCAAGGCCACTAACCAGAACTAGTGAGATGGAAGATTTCTTAGTTCTGTAATTATTCCTGATGCACACCTCTGGGAAGAGGATGTCTTCCTAACTATATTTGCAAATGTTGGCTGGAAACCATGGGGGCCTGGCCAGAAATCGCCACGTGAGCCATCTCAGGTCCAGATAAGTCAAAATGTTGTAACAGAGGAATAGCGCCAAAGGGTATTTTAGCAGCAATTTGAACTTTGTAAGCACAATACAATGCAGCTGTTGAAGGTTCAGGGCTTGTGGCATGCAGTGGGGGTGAGCGCAAGGTGTTGGTGCAGGGGCAGTGTCAATGTGTCCACTGCCAAGTGATTTTGAAGCAGACATAGAGAGACCACAGATGATGGACAGAGCAGATGAGGAAATCCTTTATTTGCACGAAACTGCTGAAGGATGCAAATTTCAGAGCAGGTAGCACAACCTTTTCAGTTCCAGATGCCCCAGGAAAAAGATTTTCTTAAATCCATTTTGGCAAGCCAGCCACAAAAGGCCAGGCATGTGGACCCAGAAAGTATAGGGGTGAATAAGTGGTCAGTGTGTATTCCGGGTATCTGAATACCAGCTTAGGCAAACTACAGCCCCATCAATTCAATGCACACCTCTCTTTGTGAATTTACCTTGGGTATTTAGGTATAGTTTATGTGACATTTTTTGAAATTATCATCAAGAAAAAAACATATGTATATGTTTCTATACCTATACTCTTCCCGAATACAATGGAAACTAACATGGTTTTATTTTGCTACTTTCAAACCAAATCCCAATTTTTGTTGATAAAATCTGAAATTTAAAACCCATATTAATAGTAAATGTGTACTTTATATTGTGATTATAATGTTACCATTATAAATATATGAATATTTATATATTATGTTTTAGTTATAATTCTTTGCAAAAAGTATTGTCTCATGTGCTTTAAAGTGTATAAACTTTAATAATTCTTCAAACTTATAGTATATTTAGTTTTATTTCTCATTACTATATGTTTTTAATACCATAATGTCTCCATAGTTGATGTCTATATTTTGGTACCAATTAGAAGTGGGCTCTTTGAAAAATTTATTTTATTTTCTAAAAAATTTCACTTAAGGACATGATTTTGGCTGGAGTGATCCCAATTTCCATTTCATCAATTATATAAGGAGTTATATGTAGAAACTTGAGGTAATTAGTATAGTATTTTCAATTTATTCCAGTGATATTTTAGTACCCTTAAAAGATTGATGCTTACAAAATTATCTTTTAAATTTCCTGTGTGTGTGTGTGTGTGTGTGTGTGTGTGTTCATGTACGTGGTTAGGTACCATTGTAAAAGTACTTGAAGGCTATACTTTTATTCATTTCTCAGCTGACTGTGATGCAAATTGACTATTCTTTTTTTTTTTTTTTTTTACAAAGGGTATGGAAGGAAAGTGTACTTTGTAAATCTCCTATAAAGTTATGTTTCCTTTGTCCTGATACCAGGCAGCAACATAGCTTGTTGTAGAAATTTTGGGTCAAATGTTTGTTTACGCACAACACTAAAATCTCATTTATTTGACATATTTGCTGAATACCCATTGTCTGCTGGGCACCCTCCTAGGTTTTGCAGACTAGCGAACAAGACTGCAGATTCCTTATGTAGTTGAACTTGCATTATTGTAATTTAAAAGACAACTTTTACTTTCTTCCCCCTCCCTTCTTTCTCTTCCTTTTTATTTTGAGTGGGTGCATATAGAGATATTTTTCTCCTTTAGTTTTTTTTTTTTAATTATACTTTAAGTTTTAGGGTACATGTGTACAACGTGCAGGTTAGTTACATATGTATACATGTGCCATGTTGGTGTGCTGCACCCCATTAACTCGTCATTTAGTTTTGAATGTGAAAAATACTATTGAGTATATATGTGAGGATACTTCATTTTTTCCTAATTGTTCTTGTTTTGAGGAGGACCTTTCAAGATGGGAGGTGTTATATTAAATACATGTTACACACACCTCTTCATGTTTTATTTTAATCTTTTCTCTCATATATCATCCTTTATCCTTTCATTCTGACATATAGAATAATTTATTAGGCTACTCTCTCCTTTACTATTTTTTCTTCCATTCTATTCAATTACTATCTACATTGCAGTTTTTAGTTCATCAATGATATGCTTAATTGCTAGGTATTGTTTCCTGATCTTAGATAGTTATCTCTTCATGATTGCCTATTCCAGTCATTCTGTGCTGTGTGCCTTCTCTAATTTGTTAGAAATAAAATTTAGATATTTTTAAAAAATATGATTTCTTGCTGCAGCAGTGAGAAACACATGCACATTCCTCTGACTACTTTCTCTCTTTTAGAGAACACCTTTTTTTTTTTTTTTTTTTTTTTTTTTTTGAGGCAGAGTCTTGCTCTATCGCCCAGGCTGTAGTGCAGTGGCATGATCTCGGCTCACTACAACCTCTGCCTCCCGGGTTCAAGGGATTCTTCTGCCTCAGCCTCCCGAGTAGCCGGGACTACAGGCGTGCACCACCACACCCGGCTTTTTTTTTTATTTTTAGTAGAGACAGGGTTTCACCATGTTAGCCAGGATGGGCTCGATCTCCTGACCTCATGATCCGCCTGCCTTGGCCTCCCAAAGTGCTGGGATTACAGGCCTGAGCCACTGTGCCCAGTGGAGAACAGCATCTTTTATGTGTCTGAAAATTTCTCTCATTTTGCTCATGTTTACAAGGAGAGATTTCGGCTGGTTTTGTGTCGATTGTGTCGGTTAAAATGAATCCTGTCAGTGAGGCTTCCTGTCTGATTTTTACAGATCCAAATGAAGGGATAAAGAAAAAGTTTTAATTTACTCTAGATCCTCTTAACTATTTCTGAGATTCAGCAAGTATATGGTGGGGACTAAAAAGTGAACTAATCCTATAATTTCCTCTAGGCCAAGTCATTTCTTTGCCATTTTGTTGAGCCTCTCAGGGGTCCTCCTACATAATTCTCTATTCCTGACTATTGTTGTAGAGTTTTTATCTTTGTGGCCTCTGGGATCAGAAGTGCCACCACATCCACAGGGATCCTTGACAGTGACACAGTCCCGCTCAACTTCTCTACTTGACTTTCTGACTTGGTAGGAGAGGTTCTGTTAAGTTCTTTCACATTTTTCCCAGAACACAATGCTATCTCATCATATAAAAGGAGTTTCTACCCACTTTTCCGTTTAAGTGAGTTTATGCAAACTCTACTATGGCATAGACCATTAGTTCTTCCCTCAGTAACTTTCTGTATTTCTTCTATACAATTAGAAGCTTCAAATGCCACATAGATAACCAGCTAAAGACCTTATTCACCAGCTTCCCTTCCAGTAAATTTTCATCATGTAATTGGATTTAGGCAAGTGGTAGGAGAAAAAATGTGGTATATGCAATATCGTGCCTTGAAAAGGGATGTGTGTGTGTGTGTGTGTGCATGCACACACACGTAGAGAAAAGAACATTCTTTCTCTGTGTGTGTGTGTGTGTATATATATACACACACACACATGCACGAGAAAAGATATATATATATATATATATATATATATATATATATATAGTCCTATAAGATTAGGTGACTTAACTTCTGTGAACCCCCAGAACTTATTTAGAAACTGAGGCTGATCACAGTAACACACACCTCTACAGTTCATGGGTTTTTGTAAGAACTAATTGGGTAACTATATTCGATTTTATTTGATAAACTGTAAAATCTTATAAAAAGCCATTTGTTACAATTGGCTCTCACTATGTAACAGACTACCCATATTATTAATTATTATTAAGTAAATTTGTAACTTATGAAATGAAAATTTAAATTGTGCTTTTGCTTTTGTGTGTAATCCTGTCTTTATATTTTTGGATATATATATATATATTTTTTTTTTTAATAACTTTTGGGGTACAAGTGGTTTTTGGTTTTGTGAATGACTTGTATAGTGGGTACGTGGATGAATTGCATATGTATTCATATATATATATATATGAAACAGGAAAAGTTCCCTTGTCCCCCTCACAGGGTGTGTGATGGGGTGTTGCTGGCTTCTTTGGTGCCCTCCTGCTCAAACCTCTAGGGGGAGCATGCAGATGGACAGGCTGTGGGACTCCAACCCCATGGCAGCATCTAGGGTTGAGTGTTTAGAGCTTCTGAAGCCCCAGTGGGCGTGTGTTACCGTGCGCTCTTTCAGTTTAGCCATCCGTAGGCAGCTTGTGTTAATCAGCTCAATTAGACTCCCTGACTTATTGCAAGGACAGAGTGCTTTCTGAATCCTGGGGTTTCTTCCTTTGGTGTATTGGAAGGGATCAGAGGGCACGTGGGCTTAGAGAATGAGTGCAAGGTTTTATCGAGTGGAAGTAGCTCTTAGCAGATGGAGGAGCCAGAAGGGAGATGGAGTGGGAAGGTGGTTTTCCCCTGGAGTCAGGCTGCTTAGCGGCTGGGCTCTCCTCCAACCGCCCCAGCCAAACGCCACATCGTTCCGCCGGTCGATGGCCTTCCAGTGCCTCTCTCTCCATGTCCAGCCGCTTGTCTTCTTCCGCTGGTGTGTTCCTCTTGACGTCCAGCTGCTTGTGTGTGTGCCTGCTAGGGTCTCCGGGTTTTTTATTGGCACAGGATGGGGGTGTGGCAGGCCAGGGTGGTCTTGGGAAATGCAACATTTGGGCAGGAAAACAGAAATGCCTGTTGGCACCTAAGTCCACGGGCACAGGCCCTGGCCAGAGCCCTAACCAGGAACCACAACCTCCTCTACCCAACACTTCCCTGAATCCTTTCCATATCAATATGTATATGTGTGTGTGTGTGTGTGTGTGTCTATATATATATATATATATATATATATATATATATATGGAGAAAAAGAATATATATACATACTCCTTTTCTCTCCTTTTTCTGTTCAGTGGAATTTGCATGTGGTGGAAGGAACTAAAATAGTGTCAGAGCCAAGAGAAAAGTTCCCCTTTGCCTGCTGAAGGTTCACTGAAAAATCAACTCACAGAATGACATACAAGTTTATTTAACATGTACACACAGGAGTCTTTAGAAGGAAAAGCCAAAGATACAGGGGAAATCGTCTATTTTATGCTTAGATTCAACAAACTATGGACAGCTGTGTAGACATATCACTGGACAAAAAGGGTGTGATCCAATTCTAATAGACTGAGTTGGGAAGCCCAGCGAGGCCTGTGTGTCCAGATTCTTCTTGGCCCCTCTGAGCATGCATTTCTTTCTTCTGGGTGTGGGCCAGGACCCTCTCTAGAATGGGGGTCTTATGACCTACAGCCAAATAAGGTGAGTTAGGTCATTTCCTTGTAGTTTTTACACAGAAAGTTATAGAAGAACTTACACCAGTATTACTCGGTTTTATGGCTGGTTTGGGGGGAAACGCGGTTCTGGTTTCAGTGATCTGCCTTGGGGAAGAAGGATTCTAGGTTTTATGGGTAGCCTTTGGGGAGAATGGGACTGAGAGACTGGAGGGCAGGAGAATGTCAGAGAAAAACTTTGGTTTTTGAGGCTGCTTCTGAGGGCTTCATTTTAAGATATTGTTTTGGGGTATTTTTTGGGTATTGTTTTCCGAAGTCCCATCATTAGTCATTTTAAACCACCAAATGGGGAGCTGCATATTAAAGATGACAGAACAATACGACAGAATAAGCCTAGGTTCCACAGGGGAGAAAAGATTCCTTTTCTTACCCATCACAAGTTTCATAGCTGAGATCCCCCATAACCAAAGGCAGATGGACAAGAGTAAAACATTCAGATTTACTTGATATAACTTTTATGTGACATGGGAGGCTTTAGTATAAAGATCTGTGTAAGAGAGGAAAACTTTTTATGAACACGTGCAGAAGTCAGAGTGGAGGGCTTGAAAAGGGGTATAGTCTAATGGTAATACACGGCGGGGGTGGGCGAGGAACTTAGCAATGTCTGTTCAGATTCTTCTTGGTGTCTCTGTGTGGCATTCCTTCCCTCTGGGTACAGGGCAGGACACTTGTCATGTGAGAGTCTTCAGGGAAGAAGAGAGAGAAAGGCCAGAGAGTGACTTTCATAGGTTTTATAACCTGCTTCAGGAGA